>NC_000009.12:127595552-128220552 GCF_000001405.40 Homo sapiens | reverse complement strand
TCCCTGGCAGGTCCCAGACAGGGAAAGGTCAGTGAAGCTTTGCTGCTACCTAGCTGTGGGGCTGTGGGCAAGTTGCTTTGCTTTTCTGAGGCTCAGTTTGTCTATCTGCACTACGGAGAGGCTAACCTCTGCTGTTCACTCTCAGAACACACTTAATTTATCCTGTTTTCATGCTTGTTTCCCCAGGCCCCATCCTGGCTTGGTCGCCTACCTGATTGAGGACCTTCTGCAGGTAGGGCGTGCCCATACGGTCAGCCAAGTGGCGATAAGATGGATGGGAGAGGAAGAACTTTCGTTCAGCAGCCAAGGCGGCGGTAATGTCCTTCTTGCCATCAATGTCCTTCTGGCTCCGGTTCACCACTCCAATGTAGCCTGTGAACAGTATCAAGGTCAGGGCAACCAGCCTCAAGAGGAGGGGAAGGGTGGGGAAGGGCTGGGGAGTGGTTGAGGGGCATGGCCTGCTTACCTCTGCGCAGGGGGAGCAGCTTGTTCTCCAGCACATCACGGGCATCTGTGCCCTCGTCCATCAGGTCCAGCTTGGTGATGACCCCGATGGTGCGCTGGCCTGGGTGCACCAGCAGGAGGGCCGTCTACAGCTGCACCCGCTCTCACACACAATTCCATGCACTCCCACTCCCATCCCCCTGCTCTCCTCGGCCCCCTGCCTGCTCACTGCCTCCTCTCTTTCCCCCTTATTCATTTTCCACAGAGTAGCCAAAATGATTTTTATTTATTCTTCTTGTTTTTTTATTTGTTAGAGATGGGATCTCGCTTTGTTGCCAGGCTGGTTTCCAACTCCTGGCTTCAAGCGATCCTCCCAAGTTGGCCTCCCAAAGTGCTGGGATTACAGGCATGAGCCACTGCACCCAGCCTTTTTTTCTTTTTTGAGACAGGGTCTCACTCTTGCCCATGCTGGACTGCAGTGGTGCGAGTAGGGCTCACTGCAGCCTCAACCTCCTGGGCTCAAGTGATTCTCTGGCCTCAGCCTCACGAGTAGCTGGGACCACAAGCGTGCACCACGGTGCCCGGCTAATTTTTAAATTTTTTGTAGAAATGGGGTCTCACTAGGTTGCCCAGCCTTGTCTCGAACTCCTGGGCTCAAGCAATCCTCCCGGCTTGGCCTCCCAAAGTGCTGGGATTACAGGCATGAGCTACCATGCCTGACCCCCAAAGTGATTTTTAAAGGTACAAATCTGATCCCACCGCTATTCTTAGACCGTTCAGAGGCTCCCCTTTACACTAAGAATAGACAGCCTGCAAGCCTGGGGTTTTGTGCATTGGCCACCGGGTGGGAACCTACCCTGGGGGTCCACCTCCTTGGCGACCTTGAGGGCGTCAGAATTGGCCAGGTCAGAGTTGGCGGGGGACACGGCCAGGATGAGGCAGTTCTCCTTGGTGACAAACTGCATAAGCATGTCTCGGATCTGGAACTCGATGTCGGGAGGTTGGTCCCCCACCGGGACCTTGGTCATTCCGGGCAGGTCCACCAGGGTCAGGTTCAGCACTGGACAGGGCGGCGAGAGGGCGGGCTCAAGGCGAGGGGCGTGGCCGCGGGCGAGGTTAAAGAATAGGGCGGGGTTAGAGAAGCTGCTTGGGAGCAGGGTGGCAGGTGGGTGGGACTAGGAAATCTCAGGGCGAAAGTGGCAGTCTGTTGGAGGCGTGGCCGGAAGTGGGCGGAATCACGGCAGGGTGGAGCTTGGAATAGGATGATGCAGAGGCAGGGTCATTCTAGGGGCGGAGTCTGCAGGAGGAGCGAGGCACGCAGAGGTGCGTGGCCAAGAAAATGATTCTTAGAGGTTAGGGCGGGGCCAGGGTCCTCACCGTGCGGCGAGTAGACGCGGAGGTTGATAGGCACCGGCGAGATGCCCTTGTTGGTGCCGGTGACCCTGTCGGTCTCGGCCTCGATCTCAAGGCGCACCTCCTCGAAGTCGGTGAATTTCTTTCCCTTGCAGTGCAGGAACTCGGCATATTCTGCTCCAGAAGCGGGCAGGGGAAGGGCAGTAGGCATCAAGGTCTGGAACCCCACCTGGGGGTTTTCATCTCCCACCGGTAATAGAACCCCCTAGACACACCCAAGCAGAACCACCACCCACGTCTCCATTATGTATTTTGATCCCCGCTATCCCTAAGGGGAACGAGGCCCACAGTCACACAGCAAGCAAGTTCGTGGCCAGGCTGGCCCTCAGCTTGGGGACGGGGGAGAGGCTGGAGTGGGCAGGCCTGGCTGCTGGTGAAGGAGGGCACGTACCTGTGGTTGCATTGACCAGCTGCAAGACCAGGGGACGTCGGGTGACAATGCCAGATCCTCGAGGCAAGAAGTCCCTGCAATGAGTTGGAGGTCAAAGGAGGGTCAAGATATGAGGGGGCGCCCTCTGTCCCAGGGGTACCTGTCCGGCCCCTGGGAAAGCCAAAGCTCCTTCCAAAGTGCTGGCTCCACCGCTCCTTAGCCCAGGGGCTTCAGGTAACTAAGAGCATATGGCAGCCCAGAAAGGTGGAAAATACTTTTCCTCAAGTCGCCTGGGTCACAGAATTTATGCATCTGAGCTGCCAAGAGACTGGATCAACTCCTAGATACGTCCTGTGTTGGTTTTGAACCAATAGGAAGTCCCTGCCCCAACTCAGCCACGGCCATTCAGCCCCAGAAAACTGAGGCATGGGGTCTCCCACATGCCTATGTGTCCAATGCCCACAGAGTGGATCCCAGGAAACAGAGCTGTAACTTCTCCCCTCCCTTCCGCTGTGGGGCAGGGCAGCATCTCACTTCCCCTTCTCCAGGCTCCATATGGCTAGGGTTGAAGAAGAGTGGGGAAGGAGGTGGCAAGGAAAAGGACTCATGGGCCGGGCGCGGTGGCTCACGCCTGTAATCCCAGCACTTTGGAGGCTGAGGCGGGCGGATCACCTGAGGTCAGGAGTTTGAGACCAGCCTGGCCAACATGGTGAAACCCTGTCTCTACTAAAAATACAAAAAAATTAGCCGGCGGGGTGTCAGGCACCTGTAATCTCAGCTATTTGGGAGGCTGAGGCAGGAGAATTGTTTGAACCCGGGAGGCGGAGGTTACGGTGAGCCAAGATCGCGCCATTGCACTCCAGCCTAGGCGACAAGAGCAAAACTCCACCTCAAAAAAACCCACAAAGAAACAAAAAAACTCATGCTTCTTAGTGCCTACTGCATGCCAGGCGCTTAGTGGGGCTCCATACTGTAGCCCCATGAGGCAGGTGCTGTTATTACCCCCATTTTGCAGATGAGGGAGCTGCACCTTAGAGACATTCAGGTTGCACAGCCAGTATCTGGCAGAGCAGACCCTGGTCTCGGATATATTTGACTCTGCAGTGACACTCCCCTGCCCTTCAGCCCCCTGTGAACCGAGCCGCCTTTGAAGGACTGGACTGAGAGGTCCCAAAGTCATCCCCCGTCCCCAGACCTGACAGTCTATAGCTTAGACATCTGCTCGTGCCAATGTCAACCTCAGCTGTCCTTTTGGCTGACTCTTGTGGGTGCCGGTTCTCTGTCCAGTCAGCTCTTTTCATCCACCTCCCTCTGCACCACCCTCCAGCTGGCGCAAGCACAAGGGTGAAGGCCTCTCCAGGAATCAGGATGTCAGAATTGCCAGTCATGGGATCTCCAGGGCCCAGGAAAGGGGGGAACAGGTTGAAGCCCGAGGGACCATTGAGACACAGCCAGCGCCTTATTCATGGAGAGGCCCAGGGAGGGAAAAAGATACATTCAAGCTCTACAGAGCCAGAGGTGGAACCCAGGTCTCTTGCTCCCAGCCCAGAGCCTGACCCAGACTCACAAGTCTTCTTGCACCCCAGGGTCAGGAGCTAAGGGTCTTAGGTACAACAGACTAGACCCAGAGCTCCTAGGTTCAAAGCCCCCTCTTGAAGCCTCTCCACTGCCTCACGTCTGGGGAAGTGGACGCTGCTGGGGAGGAGTCAGGAATTATACTGGAGAAGGAGAAGGATGGTAAGCCCTGTGTATATTCATCATTTCTGCGCACCAGGCAAATGCTTTTCATTCTTGCCAGACAGTGAGCAGGGCAGCCTCTTTCTGTCTGCCACTGTATCCCAGTGCCCAGGACAGGGCTTAGCACACAAGGGGCACTCAATAAATTCTGATTGAATCTCCAAGTCCTCGAATCTGTGCTCTGATATAGAGATTATCATTTTACAGAGGAAGCAGCTGAGGCTCAGAGAGGTGAAGTGACTCACCCAAGGTCACACAGCAGAGTGGGGATTCAAAGCTGAGTGTCTGTTGGACCCTCAGCCTGGAAACTTCCTCATTCAATGGTGCTGTCTCAAACCCAAGAAGCCAGACTTGGCTTTTTATGTAATTCAATTAAATTCAGTCTGTGCCGGGCCCTGTGCCGGGCTCTGGGGATGGGAGATGATGAGTCAGACAGTTCCCACCCTGAGGAACTCACAGTGTGGTGGGAGAGACAGACAAGTAAACAGATAATGCAATGCAGCGTGGTATGTGCTAGAACAGAGGTGTGCCAGGCGGCACAGAGGGAGGGGGTTTGCTGGGGGGTGGGAGGACTTCCGGTCTCAATCTCTCCCATCCTTTACTCAAAGACTCCTTTGGGGGCGTGACTTCCAGTTTTGGGAGTCCCCCAGGGCTGTGGAGATAGAACAGCTGTTCTCATAGAAGCTGGGGTGGGTGTGGGGGCCGGGGGTCCACCCTCTTCTCCACCAGCTCCTCACCAGCAACACCATGGCAACAGTAGTTGCCATGGAAACTGCAGGAGGGGCTGGAAAGGATGGGACTCCCCACAAAGAGTCCCCCACACAGAGACGTGGACTTTCCCTGGAGTTCTTCCCTGAGAGGCCTCTCCTTGAGCAGACAGGCCCACGCAGCCCTGGTGAGCCTGAGGGGTGGAGGTCTCCAAGGTGCCACATAGCGGGTGTGGGGAGCCCAGGGCCCAGCTGGCAAGAATGCTGGGTGGTCAGGGTCTGGGCCAGCTGCCTGCTGCCTCCCCAGGGCTACTTAAAGGGCAAGTAGCTTCTGGGAAGCAGAGACTAGAGGCAGGGCCATGTCTGGGGGTCAACCCCTCCCAGAGCCAAGATCTCCTGGTGCCCAGATGGGGAGGTGGCCCATCTCTGTCATGGCCCAGGTTCTCAAAGTGAGGCCCTCACGCGGCCTGCATCAGAATGCCTTGGGTAGTTTGTCCAGACGCATGCTCCTCAGGCATGCTGGGCTAGAATCTCAAGAGGGCTTCATGGGGAGGCAGAATCTGGGTTTTAAATGGATCCTCAGGTGGTTTCCACACTCCGTGTTAAGTTTAAGGACCATCTGCCCCATGCTGAGGAGCCAGTGCCAGGCTGGCTCCTTCATCGAATCCTACATTGGCCTTTCCTTGGCCTGGTGCCTGGTGCCAGGACCCGAGAGGTCTGCTTCCCAGTCTCACGTCTGGACTGACAGTGGGGAGGACCAGCAGGTCCCCAGGTCCGGACAATGAGCTCCTCACTCACTTCCGGGTTCCTGCCTGGCACAGGCCCCGCACGTAGTAGGCGTGCAGGCAACACGAGAAGGAATGTGCATGACTCAGCAGCTCCCTAGCTCTTCCCTTTCACCTGGACACACTGTCCCACTTTAGCCCTCTGTTTAAGGGTCCCCTAGGTGGCCCTCCTTCTCCCCAGTGGGGATCCAGACTAGATCCAGCCTCCAGCTCCTGGTTAGGCTAAGGGAGGACAGAACAGGTGCCCAGAGAAAAGTATCAGGCCCACCAGCCTCGGAGGCCGCGTGCTGTGCCCAGCGTGGGAGGGGCGGCTGCTGGCATGCCAGTTCTCCCCACTCATTTGGAGCAGATGGTGGGTTCCCAGGGAGGCTGTGCCTGGCCATCTGCAGAGGCACCTTCAAACGTGAAACATGAGGGGACGAAACAAACACCTCTCAGGAACCCCAAATGCCACACTCCCTGTCTGAACTGGAGTTGTCACCGTGAGAGGGGTCTGGAGAAACTGAACCCAAGGGCTGATGTGACCCCTACCCCTACCCCTACTCTAGGACCTGAGACTTGGGATCAGAGCTCTGGGATCCTGGTTCCCAGGCCCTGCTGAATGCAAATGACCCCAGGAAGTAACGTGCTTAACTGGGCGTGCACCCAGTGCCGGTCATTCTTCTATGCCTCCTCTTTTTTGGGCTCTGATGTCAGATGGACCCCACATTGAATGTCTGAGCTGTCATGTAGGAGCTGTGTGGCTGTGCACAAATGACCATACCTCTCTGAGCCTCAGTTTCCACATCAGTAAAATGGGTTGCTGTGAGGCTTATACAGACTGATGGCTGAACCAATCGTGGCTACTATGATTATAAATAACGATAGCTTGCTGGGCATGCTGAGACCACAGGCTGGACTCCCACAGCCTCGTCACCAGAAGAGGCAGCGGGGAGAGAGTTGGACGGTGGGTTTCCTGGAGGATGGCAGTGAGCTTGGGGGTGAGGGCAGGATATTTCCAGCCAGATCTTGACCCTGGAGGTGGAAGGCAAGGGGGGTGGGCAGGGGCGTGCTCTGAAGCAGGGAGTTGGGGTGCCTGCAAGGGAGTGGGTAGGCCAAGAAATACAGTTGGGAGGAGGTGAGGCTACCCCCAGGCAACAAGTCGCTCTCTGTTCCTGCTGCCCCAGGGGACCCTAGGCAGCCCCGTCACAGCTCATGAATTTCAAGCTGAGGTCTGAACACTGCAGGGCAGTTCTGGCCTTGGCTTTCCTTGATGTTCTGATGGCCCCGGGAGCAGGGACTAGGCTAGACTTGTTTGTCACAATATCCCAGCACCTAGCCCTGGGTCTGGCATGTAGCAGACTCTCAGGACACCCGCACTGACCAAAAGAGGGAATGGAAGATGAGCTCTACCATCGGCTTCATTGTATAGGGTAGAAACTGAGGCACAAAAGGGAAGAGTCTTGCCCAAGATCATGGTGCAAGTTGGTGACAAGGTAGGGCTCCTGAGTCCGGGTAGGTGCTCTCTCCACAGCAATCTTTCTCCCTATTAAGCAGAGCCTATTACCTTCCCTTATTTCTTATCTTCTCATCCTTCCTACTTTCTTTCCCACCCTCCCTCCCTCCCTTCCATCAATCCAAGGGTTGATGACTTTGTATTTTCAAAAGGGAAATAGATCTCTTTTGCCTCTAATTTTTAAAATCATGTGTTCTCCATTTTAAAAGATTCAGAAAATGACAAGGTGCGGTGGCTCACTCCTGTAATCCCAACACTTTGGGAGGCCGAGGTGGGTGGATCGCCTGAGGTCAGGAGTTTGAGACCAGCCTGGCCAACATGGTGAAACCCCATCTCTACTAAAGATACAAAAATTAGCAGGGTGTGGTGGCGTGCGCCTGTAGTCCCAGCTACTCGGGAGACTGAGGCAGGAGAATCGCTTGAACCCGGGAGGTGGAGGTTGCAGTGAGCTGAGATCCTGCCGCTGTACTCCAGCCTGGATGACAGAGTGAGACTCTATCTCAAACAAACAAACAAAAAGATCCAGAAAATACGTGAAATATTTAAAAAATAAAAACCAATCGTCATCCCAACACCTGATGGGAGCCACTGTAAACATTTTATCATTCATCATCATCATCATGGCTAAACACTGATGAATTGCTGACTGTCAGCCAGGGACTCTGCCAGGGACTTGAAAATCTACATCAGCACAAGATTTCTTTTTAGGGTGACGGAAATATCCTAAAATTAGATAGTGATGATGGTTGCACCACTCTGTGAATATACCAAAGATCATTGAATTGTGCCTTTAAAATGGGTGAATGGTATGGCATGTAAATTATACCTCAGTAAAGCTGTTTAAGAAAATCTACAGCCTTTGGATCGATTCTTGCATGGCTGTGTGAAATCAGAGTGATCAGTTTCTCCATGTTACAGGGAAGAAACTGAGACTCAGAAAGGTGAAATCACATGCCTCTCAGGCGCTCACATGCACACTGGGTTATCAGCCCTTTGATAGCTTCTCTATTCACCTAACATATCATAGACATTTCCAAAGTTATTCACTATGCAGCTACATCTGGATCCTCTTTCTGTTTCCCTCCTTCTTTCCTTCCTTCCTTCCTTGATTCCTTCCTTCCTTCCTTCCAGCCGGGTCTTGCCGTGTTGCCCAGGCTGGAGTGCAGTGGTACGATCATAGCTCATTGCAGCCTCAAATTCCTGAGCTCAAGCAGTCCTCCCACCTCAATCTCCGAAGTAGCTGGGACTACATGTGTGCACCACCATGCCCAGCTATGGATCCTTATTTCTTATCACCAGCATCTTGATGAGAAGGAACCCCAACTCAGCCACTAAATTATTTCCTTGTTCTGAACCTCAGTTTGCCCACCAGTGAAATAGGACACAGGCCAGCAGCTGCCTCCTAGGGCTGCTGAGGGAATGCCCTGAGATCCTGGCTGTGGAAGGACCTAACAGGGGGTGCCCATTGGCAGGTCCCAGTTCCTGAGCACGTGCCATGTGCTGGGTGCTTTATGTGCTACAGCATTGCATTCCTTTGAAATGGGGACCCAGGTTGGGGGTGAGGGTGCATTCACCCGCTGAGATTTTTCTCCCCACCCTGGCTAGTGGCCTCCTTTCCCTGACCTAAGAAGAGAGGCACATGAGACAGAGTGATTAAAGAATAACACAGTCATGACTAGATACGTTGTTAATATTAACCATGGTTGGAGCCGCCCTCTGCCAGGAGCTCTGAGCCCAAGGCAACGGGCTTCTTTCTTCCTCTACAGCTTCCCATCTGGGAGAAAACAAAGCCCCACCCCACACAGGGAGGGCCAGGTCATGGCAGGAGAGGGTCATCAGAGAAGGCATCCCAGAGGAGGTGTTGGCTGATGTGACACTTGGAGGAAAGACCCAGTGAAAGAGGAAGACAACGGCAGGGTGAAGAGCTTTCCAGGGGCCAGCCACCTGGAATCCTGTAATCCCAATACTTTGGGAGGCTGAGGTGGGAGGATCGCTTGGGGCCAGGAGTTCAAGCCCCAGCTTGAGGCCAGGAGTTTGAGACCTGGCTTGAGGCCAGAAGTTTGAGACCAGCCTGGGTAACATAACAAGACCCTGTCTGTACAGAAAAAAAAAAAAAAAAAAAAAAAAAAGAGGCTTCCAGGCGAGAGAACAGCATATGCAATAGCACCCCAGGAGAGTGAGAGAGAGGGCACGGCCCTATTTTTCCCACGCACTGTAATATATTCAGGTAGACCAGGAGGGAGCGGCTGAAAGGAAGCAGGACTGGGTAATCAGCCCTCAGGGGCCCAACTCAGGTGTGGGGTTCCGTTTTGAGGGCAGGGAATCCAAAGAGGGCTTCAAGCTAGGAAGATAGATTGGGAGGCTGGAGAGAGTTTCATGCTGTCGGGCGGGGAATGGATTAGGGGGCAAGGGAGGAAACTACCTCTGCTGCTAAGACAAAGGGGCTGGAGTCTGAGGTAGACAGGAGTGAACTGGGCAGAATCCACAGGGCATGGGGACCAAGTCAGATGGGGAGGATGGGGGAGCCGGCAGGCAGTTGATCTTGGGGCCTCTGGCCAGGGCACTGGGAAGATGCCATTCAGGAGAATATTTTGAACACCTTCCAAGCTCAATATTACTTTTTTTTTTTCTGTTGCTTATAGTAATTCTAAGTTGCCAGGGCTGACTTCTCCAAATGATTCTTGTTTCTTAGCCAGATTTCATTCCAGGGAATGGGTAAGAGTGCCAGAGAGTCGCCCAGGAAGAGGAGAGGAGGAGACACTGAGGTGTGTAGGTGTGTGCACACATGGGTGGGACTGGGGTGGGGAATAGGGTAGACAGAAACATGGAAAAGTGTGGACTGGAGGCAGGAGACCCATGCCTGTTCCTGGCCTGCCTCTGATTCAATTGCTGTGTGACATTAGGCAGGTTCCCTACGCTCTCTGTGTCATTTTTGCCATCTAAAAACCTGGTGGCTCACACCTGTATTCCCAGCACTTTGCAAGGCCAAGGCGGGCAGATCACCTGAGGTCAGGAATTCGAGACCAGCCTGGCCAATATGGTGAAACCCCATCTCTACTAAAAATACAAAAATTAGCCAGGCATGATGGCGGGTGCCTGTTAGTCTCAGCTACTTGGGAGGCTGAGGTAGGAGAATTGCTTGAACCTGGGAGGCGGAGGTTGCAGTGAGCTGAGATTGTGCCACTGCACTCCAACCTGGGTGACCGAGCAAGACCCTGTTTCTAATAATAATAATAATAATAATAATAATAATGCCAAATAAATACAAATAAAATAAAAACCTGGTTGGAAGGCCAAAGTGGGAGGATCACTTGAGTCCAGGAGTTTGAGGCCACCCTGGGCAACATGGTGAGACCCCATCTCCACAAAAAATAAAATAAAAAACTTAGCTGGGTGTGGTGACACATGCCTGTCATCCCAGCTTCTCGGAAGGCTGAGGTGGGAGGATGGATGGCTTGAGCCCGGGAGGTCAAGGCTGCAGTGAGCCAAGATCGCCCCACTGCACTCCAGCCTGGGTGACAGAGTGAGATCCTGTCTTACAAAACAAAACAAAACAAAACAGACAAAACAAAACAAAACAAAAACTTGGAATGATAGAAGACATCAGTACTGCCCTTAGGCCTGGGGAATGGAGCCCTTAGTCTGAGACTTACACTTAGGGGTCCCTCTCTGGACCTCCTCTGGCTTCACCCTCCCCATGGGGCAAAGAGTTCCCCAGGGGCCAGGGGAGGTGCCCAGCTGAAGCCTGTGCTCCCCTCGTAGGCTACGCTCAGATGCCCCAGAATTCCCTCTCAAGCAGTTCCAAGCCCACCGCCCAGGCCCAAGTGGGGACCAGCCCAGGCCCAAGGTGGGTCCTTTCTGGAGCTGGGATATGAGGGCTGGGGTGTTCACAAGTGAACCCTGGAGGGATAAAGAGGGAAATGACGGGGCAGCCTGCGGAGAGGGGACACCTGTCCCCACGCCTCCACATCCACCACGGAACTCCAAGGAGTCTGAAATTCTGAATTCAAACCCAGCTGGTCAGGTTGTGATGAAGGTGTGTTTGTTATGGTGGGAGGGCAGAATGTATTGCATTTAGCAATTCCTCAGCTTGATTTATAACTGGAATACATAGACATATGGCATGTGGGCGTCCGTTTCTCCACGCCTGACAGCACTGTGTCCATGACCCACTTCCTCCACTCCTGCCCTGCCCACCCTCTCCACTCTCCCACCTGCACCCCCTTCCCTGGGTCCGACCCTCTGACCCAGCCAGGGCCTGGGAAACTCAATTCTCCTGGCGCCGAGATCAGATGCTGTCTGCCAGGGTCACCTTTCACTCCCAGCTCCTCTGGGCCACGGTGGGGTGTGGGTTTGGAGAGGATGTCCTCTGGCTGTGGATGGGTGCATTTCCATGTTTCCAGCCCCAGGGGTGTGCTCCACATGTGGCCCACAGGCAGTGTGTGCTTAGCACGTGGCAGCTGCGTGCTCTGAGCATGCAGAGGCTGGAGCAGAGTGTGGCAGCTCTCCAGGTGGGTGGGGGGGTGTCAAAGGGCCCCTAACAGGCCCCTCAAGCCCCGCCTCCCCAACCCTCCTAGTCTCACCTCTGGCCTCTGCTCCTCACTCAGCCACACTGCCCTTCATCCTTCATCCGGGTTCTCAAACCCGTTGGGCTCTTTTCCCCCTAACTCTTTGCTCAGGACAGTCCCTGCACCTGCGGAAGTCCACACCTTGGCTTGACCACGTCCTAGTCTTGCTCAGGTCCAATCTTAAATGCTACCTCCTCAGGAGGCCTTCTGATGGCCCAGAAAGCCCCCCTCCCCTCAATGTCAGGCTCCTTGCAACGCAGGAGCAGCCTCCTTCAAAATACACGACAAACGTGCTCTTTGTGGATTTCATGTCTGTCTGCCCCGATCAGCCGCAAGCCTCCCCAAGCAGGATGGGTCTGGCTGACTCACAACTGTATCCTCAGGGCCTGGCACACAGCAAGTGCCAAGGAAATATTAGTTCCCTCTGCCCCATCCAGGTCATCGATACTCTGCCTAGGATGTCTCATTTATCCCCTAATAGACTTTGGCCTCCATCTCCAAATCTGAGAAATGGGACCACTATGATGCATCCTGGTGTGTTCAGAGGAAGAGACAGAGCTTAATAGTGGGGAGGGGGCTGTCTCCCCTGGGAAAGGCTAGGTTTGACAAAGAGAAGGGCTCTCAGAGTCCAGAGACCAGCATCACGTCCATGCTGGGATAGAATGCAGAGCAGAGAGCTGAGTGCTATGGCTCACACTTGTAATCCCAGCACTTTAGGAGGCTGAGGTGGGTGGATCACTGGAGGTCAGGAGTTGAGACCAGCCTGGACAACATGATGAAACTCCATCTCTATTAAAAATACAAAAATTAGCCGGGCGTGGTGGTACATGCCTGTAATCCCAGCTACTTGGGAGGCTAGGGCAGGAGAATCACTTGAACTTGGGAGGTGGAGGTTGCAGTGAGCTGAGATCGCGCCATTGCATTCCAAGTCTGGGTGACAGAGTGAGACTCCATCTCAAAAAAAGAAAAAAAAAAGAAAAAAAAGAATGGGGAGGAAGGGACAAGGGCATTGGGGGAGACAGAAAGCCTGGGGGTGGGGGGTAGGCAGAGTTACGGGGAAACCTAAAACCCTTCCTCCCAGGCTGCTCCTTCGGCTCTGGGCAGAGGGTCGCTCCTCAGGACCCCTACCCTACCCTGGATGGAGAAGATCCCCAACCCGTGCCCCCATCCTGGTGCACCTCCCAGCCCACGCCATCCCAGAGGGCTTGCCTGTCTACGCCCAGGCAGGGATAGAAGCAGCGCGTCCTCCATGCCAGGCCCTGCCCCGAGTGCTTCCTGGGGATTGTTTCAACACTCACCATAATCTCACAAGGGATGTGCTATTATTATCCCCATTTTACAGATGAGGAAATAGCAGCTGGGCAGGGTTTGGGGAACATGCCCAGGGTTTCTCTGCTTGTAAGTGGCAGAGTTGAGCTTCATACTCGGCAGGTCTGACTCCACACCATGCTCTCGGCCCCTCTGCCACATTCCCACCAGACTTGGCCTGCCCTAGGACAACCCACTCTTGGCCCTAGAGGAGCACTGGGGTGGGGGGTGTAGCGGGGCGGGGGTGACAAAGAGGAGCTGGAGGGACAGCGAGGAGGCCCCTTTGGCCTAGGGCACCAGGCATCTGTTCATGAAAGGCTGGTGTGTGCTGGGTCCACAAACACTCCCCCATCTACACTTACCCCCAGGATGAGCTCATCTACTCTCGGGTTTAAATCCCATCTCTACACCAACGACTTCCAAATTTTTACTTCCAGCCCGTCTTCCCCCTGAGCTCTCAACTTGCATCACCAAACTGCCAGCTGACATCTTCCACTTAGAAGTCTAACAGGCATCTCAGGCTCAATATGTTCAGAACCAAACCCTGGTCTTCCCCCATCCCCCCAGTCTGCTCCTCCTTACTCTTCCCGACTCTGTTAATGGCACCAACACCCACCCAGGAGCTCAGGTCAAAGTCCCAGAAGTCATCATTGATTCCTCTTTCCTCACCCTCCACATTCATCCTCCAGCAGGACTTCCTCTAAAATATATCCTGAAACCCACCCACCATTCTCCTTCTGGTTGCAGCTGAAGCCCTTGTCCAGGCCCCCCACTACCCCCTGCCCACTGCAGCAGCCTCCCCACCAGTCTCCTGCCTTTTCCCTCACCCGCTCCCCAAGTCACACCCTTGCTAGAATTAGCTCATCACTCCACTACTAAAAAGCTTCCCACAAGAGAGAAAATAAACCCAAACTCCTCACTCCTCATGGCCTAAGGGCTTTGTAGATCTAGCCCCTGCCTATCTCTCAGGTCCTGTCTCCCCCTTGCTAGCTGAATACCAGCTACAGGGTCTCCTTTCTGTTCTTCAAAGGCACCAAATTCTTTGCTACCCCGGGGCCTTTGCACCTTTCCCTTGGCCTGGAACTCTCCCGCCCCTGGCAAGTTACACAGCTTCTCATCCCTTGGTTCTCATCTCAGATGCCACCTCCTCCTGGAGACCTCTGACCTCCCTGGGGAGAGCAGCCCCACTCCCCTCCCTGACGTTCACCACATTTTCCAGTTGTCTTCTGAGTTTCTCCCTCTGCAGTGCAGAGTCTTGGTCTTTTCCACCATAGAATCCCCAGTGCTGAGACATCGTGCACCCTCCACAAATGTTTGCTAAATGACTGAATGAATTGGCCTCAGTTTTCCCTTCTGTAAAAGGGAAGGGGGTGAAGAAATAGTATAGACCCAGACAAGTTCTAGCAGCATCCCAGGCAGCTGCAAGGCTACCTCCATTGCAGAGTTGACAGCAGGATCCTCCTGAGCACCCAGAAGCCCGGGTGGGCCTGGGGCAGCCCTGATGCATTTTCCTGTGAAGCATTTTCTGTTGGGGATTGGCTCCTGGGAAGCCCCAGGAGACAGAATGGCTGTTACTATGCTCACCAGTCTGGGGACTGAGCCCTGTTGGAGAGGTCAGGAGCCCTTGAGGGAGCTGGCAGGCTGAGACAGTGGAACCCACTGAGCCTCAGTTTCCCTGGCCTTCTCACTAGCTTTCAGAGGATCATGAATGCTTTTCTGCCTACTCCTTCACATCAACCTAAGCCCCCTCCCCTGCCCTGGGCCTGCATCTGGACACCCTGCACATCCTCCTGTGGGGACAACGGCCAAGGGCATTGGGGTGGAGAGGGCAGCCAGAGGGCCCAGGCCTCCTGGGGCACGGTCCAAACCTTGCTCCACCACTCAACAAGCAAGTACTCGATGAAATCTGCTGTGGTCAGGGATGGCCCCTGCGTCATGGGCTCCAGGAAGGCAGGGGCTGGGCATGCAGGTCCCCAAGCCTAATTGGCTATCAGCGCCCCCTCCCGCATGTTTACAAAAGCACCTTTCCACCCATGAACTCGGTGGAGCCCACAGTCACCTTCTCAGGAAGGCAGGGCAGCGGCTGTCAGCGTTTCCATTCCGCAGATGGGGAAATGGAGGCCCACCCACCCACACGTCCCTGTGCCTGGTGCAGGACCCGGCTGTCAGAGGATGTGCAGCGTCGAGATTAGGAATTGGGCTTTGGAGTCTAACAGCTGCTGCCCTTTCTGAATGTGTGACCTTGGGCAAGGCATCTAACCTCCAGGGTCTCAGTTTCCTCATCTGTAGGATGGGCATCATGGTACCTGCCTCTTGGGAGCTCCTGTGAGCCTATGAAGGACTCAGCATAGGGGGATGCATGGGATGGGCTCAGTAGATGCGGGCTGAAATCACCAGTTGGTCCCCTCCCTACCCCAAGCCTGAAGCACGCAGCCTGGCATGGGGCAGGAGTTCAGCCAACATTCAAAGGACGAGAGGTAGGAATATGGTTTCTCCATTCTAAACTGCTGGATATCCCTGACTGCTGGCCCTTGGGGAAGGGGCCCGTGGTGTGTCTCTTGCCTGTGTCTCTGCAGCTCCGGGGGTCATGTGATCAGAAGGGGGGCTCTGCAGGAGCCATTGGAGAGACAGATGCCTTCCCCTCTGCTGACCAGATGGGCACGGCCGCCCCCACGGTGGCCTTCCAACGTCCCACACACACATGGCTCCAGTCAGGCCCTCTCCCTCTCACCTCTAGGGCTGGCATGGGTTTCCCAGGACATTTGAGGGGCAGGAACAACCACCCAGTCCCACTGTCCATGTTAGAGATGGGGACACTGAGGCTCAGAGAGGGCAAGTGACTTGCCTGAGGTTTTGCAGCAGAACCTGGCTTGGACAGAACTGCTGTACCTCTGCGGACAAGGGCCCCTGCCTCCCTCTCCCATGTGCCAGTCACTTTTTTGGCCCTGAAGGTCATTGGAAGAAAGCAAGAGTTTCTGAAGAAGATGGGGGGGAGATGAAAGACGGGGTCAGTGTAAACTCTCTCACTTCATCCCCCAGTCTGCCCAGCCCCCCAACCCACCTCCAGTACCTGGAGAGCTCCTATCTTTCTTCTCTCTCCTCAGCACCAGAAAAACTATTTCTGCCTCCCTTTGGGGGTTTGTGGGGAGCCTGCGGGTCACGACCCTGCCTGCCCCGCTAAACCCACGACCCTTTGTCTTTGCGGTTGTTCCTCTCTCCGCCACCTAGGCCTCTCAGCGCCTTGTGGGATCAGAGGCGGGAGGGGGATTAGGTTCTGCAAATGGCTCCCCCCTCCCGCCATCCCTGTCTTAGTCATCTCTGCCCTCTGCCGCCTCTCCCTCCAACACGATTCCTCTGGCCAGGCCAAGGGGAGGGCGACACTGACAGGCGCCCCCCACCCAGGGGCCGTGGCGAAGCAAGGGGCCGGCTGCTCAGAAAAGGATAAGAAGTGGTTTCTCCTCCCCTCTTCCCTTCCTCATCCTGCAGCCCGCGCCTCCCCCCTCGCCGCGCTGCGCACGGATGGCGGCGGGAGCCGCAGAGGTGTGTGTGTGCTGGCGGGAGGCCGTGCCCGGTCCTCGATGCCCGCGGGACTACGTCCTCTTCTAGGGACTGGGATGCGGGGGCTGACCTCTGCCACGGCCCAGGAATTCCCATGGGGGTAGGGGGATGTCCCCCATTGAGCCCGGTGTGGGGGACGCTGCCCCCGGGTGCTGCCCGCTCCAAGGGACTCCCGGAGCCCAACGGAGACGCTGAGTAATGCGGGCTCTCTCCATGCCCATGTTGGGGGCGGGGGGCAGCTCTTTGCCCGGGGCTTCTGGCAGAGCGTTGTCTGCCCTAAAGGATGGGACGGAGGAGGGGGCGTGATTCGGTAGCCGGAGGCTTGACGACGTTTGCAGACTAGCGGGGGGCGCTGCTGCCCCGAGGGGCTCTCGTGGTGGGGGGAGGGCCTCCTCGCTCCGGCTGGGGGTGGGGGGCGCGCCGGCCGCGGGTGCAGCGTCGGGGGCTGCGAGGTCGCCGCGCCGTCAGTGCCCCGGGCGGGGACTCCAGGGATCCCGGGGGTCGGGGGTCGGCGCCTGGGGGCGCGCCGCGCCTACCTGCCTACGAAATTCTCGAGCACCGAGCTCTTGCCGGCGCTCTGGCCGCCCACCACAGCGATCTGCGGCAGGTCGAGGTCCGCGTTCTGGCCGATGGCAGAGAAGGCGTCTTGCAGCCGGTTGACCAGCGGGATGAGATCTTCCATGCCGCGGTTGCCCATGGCTGCGGCGGGCCCCGCAGGCTGCGATCCGGCTGCCGCTAGCGCTCCCGGCTCCGACTCCGGCTCCGCCGCTGCAGCCGCGCGCCCAGACTGCCTGCGCCGCGGGGCCCCCGCCCCTCGGGGATCGGAGCGAGCACCGCTCCCGGACGCCGCTAGGGGGAGCCCGCGGCGCTGCGGGCCGGCCGCCGTGCGCAGGCGCCGTCCGGGGCATCATGGGTGTCGTAGTTTTCACCTTCTGCGGCTTTTGGGGTGCTTTAGCAGTGTCTGGGGTGCGCGGATGCTGCGCAGAATATATTTGTCAATGGGTTGGGTCTCACTCCTAGTACCAGGCCTCTTGGAGAGTGGTCTGGATGTTTCACTCCATCTTACCGATGAGGAAACAGGCCTGGAGAGCAGATGGGCTTCCTCTGAGGTCACAGCCTCCTGACCTCAGAGGTCAGAACTCCGAGATGAGTTCCCCTTCATCTCGCTGGCTTCTATCCCTAGATCCTGACTCTGATCTCCAACATGTCCTCTTCTGCCTTTGGTCCTCAGTTTCCTTGTTTCTAGAAGGAGAAAGTTGGAACATGAATTCAACAAATATTTACTAGGTACCTGCTAGAAGCCAGGCCCTGTCCTAGGCACTGAAGATTCAGCAACGAATAAGACAGCCAAGGCCTCTGCCCTCATAGATCTTGCATCAAGCTGGGGAGACAGACAGTAAATAAGTAAGCAGATAAATGAAATAGTAAAAATGAAAATAATTCATAGTAAGAGGGATGGAGGAAATAAACAGGGTGAAAAAAGGTATCTTTGTGGGTGTGGAAAGTTCACATTGGCTTGGCAGGAGTCGGGGGTGTTCTCTGCAGAAGTGACATTTGAGAAGAGACCAAAATGATGAGAAGGAGCCAGCAGCAAGCAGATCAGGGGAAGAGCATGCCAGGCTGAATGACCAGCAAGTGCAGAGGCCCTGACACCTGGAGGGCCCTTCTTGGGAGAGTTGGAAGCTCTTGTCCTAGAGAGTGGAAGTCTTTGCTCCAACCCATCAGGATGGTGGTAAAACAGCGTAAAACAGTGGGATTCAAATCCAGGGCTCCTACAATCCTACCCTGCGTACCCTTTCACACAGACAGACCATGGGGCCCTGAGCCCAGCCGTCCATCTCTGCATTTAAGAAACCTAATTAGTATTCACGGTGGAGGCTAGGAAGGGAAGGCTAGCCTACACTGTGCTCATGGGGAGTCGGTGAGTCATTTCCCTGCGCTGTGAACAGTGTGGGGGCACTGCTGACAAAGTGGTCTGTGAATTGGAGACTGTTCACTTACTCATCCATTTAATGCGTATTTGTTGAGCCAGGTACTATGCTAGACTCCAGAGATAAAGCAGTGAGCAAAACGGACAAAGTCCTTACCCACATGTGGCTGACAATTCAGTGGAAAAAGACAGACAATATGCAAATAGGGCAATAACGATGGCCCTGTTAGATGGCGTGCCCTGCAGAGCAAGAAAGCAGGGGCGGGGTAGGGTGGTGTTGCTATTGTGAAGATGGTGATCAGAGAGTGACCCTTGTGGGGAGGAATCTTCGAGGCAGGCATGGGGAACAAGCAGGCCCTCTCCCTGGTAGCACCAGAGAGTGGATTAGGAGTCTAATCTGGGCCTTAAACAAGCTGCGTGACCCAGGTCCCTCCACGTCTCTGAACCTCAGTTAACTAATCTGGATAATGGGGATAATAATAGATCAAATGCCTGTGTAGGGCACAGCCCAGGCCTAGTGCTCAGGGGGCCCTTATTAAGCTGCAGCTGTGAGGATGCCAATGATAACAGCTCACCAGACAGCTGGAGCATCAGTGCCACACAACTTGCATGGAACCTGGCAGCTGTTCCATGCCAACCTGTTATTATGCTCTGAGGACAAGAGAAGGCAGAGATGGAAGCCTGGATGACTGGCACCAGGAGGGGGTGCAGTTTATAGATGTTTGCCTAGAGGGCATCATGGCTGGGCTTTTAATATTATTTATTTACTTATTTATTTTATTTATTTTTGAGACGGAGTCTCACTCTGTCGCCAGGCTGGAGTGCAGTGGCATGATCTCAGCTCACTGCAACCTCTGCCTCCTGGGTTCAAGCGATTCTCCTGCCTCAGCCTCCCGAGTAGCTGGGACTACAGGCACGTGCCACCACTCCTAGCTAATTTTTGTATTTTTTGTTTGTTTGTTTGTTTTTTGAGACGGAATCTCGCTCTGTTACCCAGGCTAGAGTGCAGTGGTGCGATCTTGGCTCACTGCAACCTCCACCTCCTGGGTTCAAGCAATTCTCCTGCCTCAGCCTCCCAAGTAGCTGGGACTACAGGCTCGTGCCACCACGCCCGGCTAATGTTTTGTATTTTTAGTAGAGATAGGGTTTCACCGTGTTAGCCAGGATGGTTTCCATCTCCTGACCTTGTGATCTGCCTGCCTCTGCCTCCCAAAGTGCTGGGATTACAGGTGTGAACCACTGCGCCCGGCCAATTTTTGTATTTTTAGTAGAGATAGGGTTTCACCATGTCGGCCGGGATGGTCTCGATCTCTTGACCTTGTGATCCTCCTGCCTCAGCCTCCCAAAGTGTTGGGATTACGGGAATGAGCCACTGTGCCCAGCCTATTTATTTATTTATTTGAGACGTAGTCTCGCTCTGTCTCCCAGGCTGGAGTGCAGTGTCGTGATCTCAGCTCACTGCAACCTCCGCCTCCCAAGTTCAGGTGATTCTCCTGCCTCAGCCTCCAAAGTAGCTGGGACTACAGGCATGCACCACCACGCCCAGCTAATTTTTTGTATTTCTTTCTTTTTTTTTTTTTGAGACAGAGTCTTGCTCTGTCGCTCAGGTTAGAGTGCAGTGGTGTGATCTCAGCTCACTGCAACCTCTCCCTCCCTGGTTCAAGGAATTCTCCTGCCTCAGCCTCCTGAGTAGCTGGGATTACAGGTGCTCGCCACTGTGCCCAGCTAATTTTTGTATTTTTAGTAGAGACGGGGTTTCATCATCTTGGCCAGGCTGGTCTCAAACTCCTGACCTCATGATCTGTCCGCCTCAGCCTCCCAAAATGCTGGGATTATAGCTGTGAGCCACCATGCCCAGCCAGCTTTTATTATTTTTACTTTTTCCCCCCTAATTACAATATTGAAACTTATTGTAAAACCAGACTTTACACAAGTATTTGAAAACCTCTGGTCATCCTCCCACCTAGAGATAACCACTATAGCTTAGGGATCGTTCTCTGGCTTTGTTTTTCATATATGCACATATTCATTTTGTTCCATTTTGTTTTTACAGAAATGGGATTATACTAAGTATCCTATACTGCTGTATCACTGATGCCAGGCCAGCAGCCTGGCATCACATGGAGTTGGTTGAAAAGAAGAATCTCAGGGCCAGGTGCAGTGGCCCACACCTGTAATCCCAGCACTTTAGGAGGCCAAGGCGGGTGGATCACTTGAGGCCAGGAGTTGGAGACCAGCCTGTCCAACATGGCGAAACACCATCTCTACTAAATATACAAAAATTAGCTGGGCATGGTAGCCCGCACCTGTAATCCCAGGTACTCGAGAGGCTGAGGTGGGAGAATTGCTTGAACCTGGGAGGCAGGGGTGGTGGTTGCATCGAGCCGAGATCACACCATGCACTCCAGCCTGGGTGACAGAGCAAGACTCCATCTCAAAAAAAAAAAAAAAAAGAAAGAAAGAAATGGCTTCTTTACTCTCTCTTGAGCTCCCAAAGCTTTTTTGTTTTTGTTTTTTTGTTTGTTTTTAGAGATAAGATAAACCTTGCTCAGCTGCCCAGACTGGAGTGCAGTAGCACAATCGCAGCTCCCTGTAGCCTCAAACTCCTGGGCTCAAGTAGGCTTCCTGCCTCAGCCACCCAAATAGCTGAAACTACAAGTGCACACCACCATGCCCAGTTAATTAAAACAATTTTTTTTTGTACAGACGGGATCTTGCTTTGTTGCCCAGGTTGGTTTTGAACTCCTGGTTTCAAGTGATCCTACTGTTTTGGCCTCCCAAAGTGCTGGCACTATAGGTGTGAGCCACCATACATGGCTGAGCTCCCAAAGTTTTGACCACCAACTGTGCTGGGCAGAATTTTTTTTTTTTGAGACAGAGTCTTGTTCCAGCTCCAAGCTGGAGTGCAGTGGCATGATCTCTGCTTACTGCAACCTCTGCCTCCTGGGCTCAAGCAATTCTCCTGCTTCAGCCTCCTGAGTAGCTGGGATTACAGGTGCCCACCATTATGCCCAGCTAATTTTTGTATTTTTAGTACAGACAGGGTTTCACCATGTTGGCCAGGCTGGTCTTGAACTCCTGACCTCAGGTGATCCACTCACCTCGGCCTCCCAAAGTGCTGGGATTACAGGCGTGAGCCACCGTGCCCAGCCGAGAAAGAAGTTTTATTAGCCTCCTTTGACAGATGAGAAAACTGAGGCACAGAGAGGTTAGTAAAGAACATGTCTGAGGTCACATAGCCAAGAAATGATGGAGTCAAGATGTAGACGGTTGTCAGTGTGACTCAGAGCTTCCATATTTACATCCTACACTATGCCAGCTCTGGTAATCGATGGTTTTCTCCCAGAGATGCTGTGTGGTGAATACATATTTTTAGTGCACAAAAAATAAAACCCTTTTGTTTTTTTGAGATGGAGTCTCGCTCTGTCGCCAGGCTGGAGTGCAGTGGCACGATCTCAGCTCACTGCAACCTCCGCCTCCTGGGTTCAAGCGATTCCCCTGCCTCAGCCTCCCAAGTAGCTGGAACGACAGGCACTCACCACCACACCTGACTAATTTTTTGTATTTTAGTAGAGACGGGGTTTCATCATGCTGGTCAGGATGGTGTCGATCTCCTGACCTCGTGATCTGCCCGCCTCGGCCTCCCAAAGTGCTGGGATTACAGGCATGAGCCACCGTGCCTGGCCAAAACACGAGCCCTTTTTGACAGTATTTGTGTTGTATACATACACAGTAGGTGCTCAATAAATGCCAGTTGAATTGAGCAGTGGCCTTATTACACAGCTCCGGGGTCAAGTCATTATATTTAGTCACTAAGTCTGCGCAGGGTCTGGCTCTTTGGAGTCATTCATTCATTCATTTTTCCCACAGGTATGGATCAGTGGCTACTATGTGCCAGATCTCAGCAAGACAGAGGAGGATGAAGAGGTTAATAAGACGCAGGGATCATCCTGCTGGAATGGAAGTCACAGGGGAGGGGCTAAGGGGACCAGGAACATGGGACAAGGGCACCTGGCACAGCCTGGGGCAGAGTCGCCGCTGAGGAAACAGCTGGGTCAGGCTGGGCCTTCTCTACATGGTTGCAGGCTGGGCACCAATATTTCCTATGGGCTTTGGGGCTCTGGCAGTCCAGGCGTCTGTGCCTGCACCACCTTATCTCCTGTTGAAGGGCTCCCCATCAGCCTGGAACAGGGCAGGTGCCCATGTGTGCTGATTGTGCCATGGTTAGGTCTGAAGCCAGACCGCCTGGTATTCAAATCCCACTTCTGTCACTTTCTAACCTGATGACCTTGGGCAAATCATTTTACCTCCCAAAGCTTCAGTTTCTTCATCTGTAAAAGGGGGATTATAATAACCCCTAACTCATAGGATTGTGTGACGGTTCAGTGATGTAATAATAATTTAGGTAAAGCATCCAACAGTGCCTGGAACTGTGAATCATGAGAGCTACAAATAGTGTCATTATAACCATCATCACCATTGCACTGTCCAAAGAAACTTCTCCGGTGTTGCGAAGGTAGCAGAGGGTGTGACTGGATGCGGTAAGGGAGGAGAGAGAATCTGTTATCCACAAGTCTGTCCTGTCTGGCACAGTTGGCCAAACTAGAGCCCTAAGTCAGGACCTACCCTGGGTCCCCCGGAAGGTAGGGGCAGCAACAAGGTCGTGCCCATTCGGCTATTCCCTGCCTCTGTCCTCTGCCTTTCACACTCCATTTATTTTTAGGAAAAGGCACAGGTGAGCGACAGCCACTGGGGAGGCCAGGTGATAAGCATATGGTCTTATGTATTTCTCTGCCTCTTGTCTGACTTGGAGCTGTTGTTGAATACAGCCTATTCCCAGGGATTCTGAGCTGGGGCATCTGCTGGGGGTGCCCACCTTATGGCCTATGCTGGGTGCCTCACTGGAACTTGCCTCTGTAGGGTGATGGACACAGATATAAAAGGCGCGAAGGGCTGCTATGATGAACGCTAACCTGAGGACAGAGGGAAGAAATTGCATCCTGAAGCAATCCATTCATTCATTCATCATTCACTAATTTAATCAGCCTTCACCACACAAACCTGCGATGTGCAGGGTTCTGAGCTGGGTCCCAAGGACATGAGGACAACTTGGCAGGTACTTTCTACCATCAAGGGCACACGACATTGCTGAGGACAGAAATAGTGCAAGGTGGGGAGGTGGCAGGTTACAAGATAAAGAAGCTATAGTCAATTGCCAGTTAGAAAGAGTACTGGGAAAATAGCAATAATAGCTACCATAGAAACTGTGCAAGTACTAGGTGAAGAGGCCTGTGAAACTAACTTACTGCAAGGCTTGAATAAATAGAGACATTCGCGGCCAGGTGCAGTGGCTCATGCCTGTAATCTCAGCACTTTGAGAGGCTGAGGCGGGGGTATCACAAGGTCAAGAGGTCGAGACCATTCTGGCCAACATGGTGAAACCTTGTCTCTACTAAAAATACAAAAATTAGCCGGGCGTGGTGGCGGGTGCCTGTAGTCCCAGCCACTCAGGAGGCTGAGGCAGGAGAATTGCTTGAACCCGGGAGGTGGAGGTTGCATTGAGCAGAGATCGTGCCACTGCACTCCAGCCTGAAGACAGAGCGAGACTCTGTCTCAAATAAATAAATAAATAATAGAGACATTCACCTCATTCTTTTCTTTTCTCTTTCTTTCTTTCTTTTTTTTTTTTTGAGACAGGGTCTCACTCTGTTGCCAAGGCTGAAGTGCAGTGGCACGATCGTGGCTCACTGTAGACTTGACCTCTCTGGCCCAAGTGATCCTCTCACCTCAACCTCCCAAGTAGCTGAGACTACAGGCACACACCACCATGCCCAGCTAATTTTTAGTTATTTGTAGAGACGGTGATCTCCCTATATTGTCCAGCCTGGTCTTGAATTTCTGGGCTCAAGGAATCCTCCCACCTTGGCCTCTCAAACTATTGGGATTATAGGTGTGAGTCACAACACCTGGCCCATTTACCTCCTTCTTAAACTGAAAAACGGGGGGTAAAGACGTCAGTTTTTCTCTAATTTAAACATATTTAGTGCAACACCAATCAAAATTCTAATGAGGTCCAGGTTTAGTGGCTCATGCCTGTAATCCCAGCAATTTAGGAGGCCAAGGTGGGTGGATCATCTGAAGTCAGGAGTTCGAGACCAGCCTGGACAACATGGTAAAACCCCATCTCTACTAAAAATACAAAAAATTAGCTGGGTGTGGTGGTGCATGCCTGTAATCCCAGCTACTTGGGAGGCTGAGACACAAGAATCACTCAAACCCAGGAGGCAGCGGGTGCAGTGAACCAAGATTGCACCACTGCACTCCAGCTTGGGCGACAGAGCGAGACTCTGCCTCAAAAACAAACAAACAAAAATTCTGATGGGATTTCAGAGGCTGGGGAAGGTTTGACAAAATTCTATGAAGTATCTGAAAAAAATATATAATTGGGAATTAGCAAAAATTTTTTAAAGAATAACAATGTCAGGGGCTTGCACTATGAGGGGGTAAACATATTCTAAAGCTATAATAATCAAAGTATGTGACATCATCATGAGAAGGGATAGATAGAGTCCATGAGAAGGGATAGATAGATAAAGTCCTGGAGCAGAATAGGTCTGGAAGGCCTGGCATGGAGGCTCACGCTTGTAATCCCAGCACTTTGGGAGGCCAAGGTGGGTAGATCACTTGAGATCAGGAGTTTGAGACCAGCCTAGTCAACATGGTGGAACCCCATCTCTACTGAAAATACAAAAATTAGCCGGGTGTGGTGGCGCATGCTTGTAGTCTCAGCTACTCAGGATGCTGAGGCACGAGAATCACTTAAATCCAGGAGGCAGAGACTGCAGTGAGCTGAGATCACACCACTGCACTCCAGCGTGGATGACAGAACAAAATTCTGTCTCAAAAAAACAAAACAAAACAAAAACACCTGGGATGGTAATGTGCATGCATTTTATAAGCCAGTGAGCTCACTTCACATCATATTGTGGGTGTTTATCCTTTGAAAACATAATTTCTGATGGCTGGGCACTGTTCCTTAAAAGGTGACACCATGACTTATTTAGCTATTCCCCTAAAGTTGATTATTTTCCAGACAGCTATTATAAATAATGTTTTGGCTGAATGTGGTGGCTCACACCTGTAATCTCAGCACTTCAGGAGACCATGGTAGGAGAATCACTTGAACCTATGAGTTCAAGACCAGCCCGGGCAACATAGTGAGACCCCTGTCTTTAAAAAAAAAAATACAAAAATTTGCTGGGCGTGGTGGCATGGACTTGTAGTCCTAGCTGCTCAGGAGGCTGAGGTAGGAGGCTCCATTGAGCCAGGGAGGGAAAGGCTGCAGTGAGCTATGATCGTGCCACTGCGCTCCAGACTGGGAGACAGAGCAAGACCCTGTCTCTTTTTTTTTGTTTTGTTTTGAGACAGTTTTGCTCTTGTTGCCCAGGCTGGAGTGCAACGATGGGATCTTGGCTCACTGCAACCTCTGCCTACCAGGTTCAAGCGATTCTCCTGCCTCAGTCTCCTGAGTAGCTGGGATTACAGGTGCCCACCACCAGGCCCAGCTAATTTTTTGTATTTTTAGTAGAGACGGGGTTTCACTATGTTGGCCAGGCTGGTCTCGAACTCCTGACCTCAGGCGATCCACCCACCTCAGCCTCCCAAAGTGCTGGGATTGTAGGCGTGAGCCACCATGCCCAGCTGAGGCTGTCCTTAAAAAGAAAAAAGAAAAAATATATAAATATTTCCATGAACAACCTGCTATCTTGTAAAAGTCTCATTTCTGATTATTTTCTTAGGCTAGACTCCTACAAATGGTGTTATTGGGTCAAAGGGCAAAACATGTGCAAGATTCTTTTTTTTTTTTTTTTTTTTGAGATGGAGTTTTGCTCTTGTCACCCAGGCTGGAGTGCAATGGTACGATCTTGGCTCACTGCAACCTCCGGCTCCCAGGTTCAAGCAATTCTCCTGCCTCATCCTCCCGAGTAGCTGGGATGACAGGCGTCTGCCACCATGCCCGGCTAATTTTTGTATTTTTAGTAGAGATGAGGTTTCACCATGTTGGCCAGGCTGGTCTTGAACTCTTGACCTCAGGTGATCCGCCTGCTTCAGCCTCCCAAAGTGCTGGGATTACAGACATGAGCCACTGCATCGGCCCAAGATTCTTGATATAAAATTTGCAAATTGCTTCCCAGAAAGATGAACCAACACAGGAAGTTAGTGCTGGCTTTCCACCTTCACCAGCACAAGCATTATTTTTAGTTTTTTCACTTTGGCAATTTGCTAAGCTCCTTCTGTGCCAGGTGCCAGTGCTAAGCATTATGTAATGTCATCCTTACCACCCCGGGAGGGGGCACACATTTCACCAAGGAGGAAACCAGCTAAGAGGCCTCTCCCCCAGCCAGTGTCACCTAGCCACAAGGCAGGGGAGTCACGATTCAATCCTGGACCTCTCCAACGCTAGCACCCAGATCAAGGTGTTAACATGCTTGCTTGGCAGCCTGGGCAGTCTTTGATTTTTATTTTTTAAAATGGAGTCTCACTCTGTCGCCCAGGCTGGAATGCAGTGATGTGATCTCGGCTGCAACCTCTGCCTCCCGGGTTCAAGCGATTCTTCTGCCTCAGCCTCCCGAGTAGCTGAGATTACAGGCGCCCGCCACCACATCCGGCTAATTTTTTTTGTATTTTTAGTAGACACGTAGTTTTACCATGTTGGCCAGGCTGGTGTCGAACTCCTGACCTTAAGTGATCCACTTGCCTGGACCCCCCACAAAGTGCTGGGATTACAGGGGTGAGCCGCTGTGCCCAGTAGAGCCTGGGCAGTCTTGACTCGCCCCTCTCTCCTCACTGCTTCTGTCTTGGTTTTCACGGGAGCGGGTTTTCTAATTGGCAGATTTGATGCTGTCACTCATGAGGTTCACACCCTTCTCCAGTGCTCCCTACCCTTAGAGGATAAAGCCTACTTCTCAGCCCAGCATTCGAAGTCCCCACCCTCCAGGCTGCCTGTTCACCCATAGGCGCCGACGTCCCCGGGGCCCTGGACGCCACCCTGCGCTCCGGCCTCGCTGAGTCACTTTCGCGCCTCTAAGTCCTAGCTCTTCCACGACTAGTCCAGGTTGAGTTAGGCTCCTCAGCCGCCGCCCATCTGCCGCAGAGCCAGTCCAGAGCTTTGGAGCGGCGCTCGTCACATGACTGCAGTGATTTATGGACGCGCGAATTCTGCTGCCCGAGCGCCCTCCGTCAACGCGCTCCGCCTGCCCGGGTCTGCGCGCCGCCAGTGCCCCCGCGCGCCCTGCCCGCCCAACGTCGGCGCGGAAGGCAGGGCGAGGAGTCGCCCAGGCTGTGACACGCACAAGGCAGGGAGCCACAGAAAAGGGAGCCGGAATTGCTACTTAGTCCAGGAGAGGTGGCTCACCCCTGTAATCCCAGCACTTTGGGAGGCCAAGGCAGGCGAATCACTTGAGGTCAGGAGTTCGAGACTAGCCTGACCAACATGGTGAAGCCCCGTCTCTATTAAAAATACAAAAATTAGCCGGGCGTGGTGGCCCGCGCCTGTAGTCCCAGGTATTCTGGAAGCTGAGGCGGGAGGACCACTTGAACCCAGGAGGCGGAGGTTGCGGTGAGCCCAGATCGTGCCACTGCACTTCAGCCTGGGCGACAGAGTGAGACTCCGTCTCAAAAATATAAATAAATAAAAAATAAATAAAAGAATTACTACTTAGTAGCCAAGGATTGTTACGGCGCGGGGATGGGGGGATACAGCGGTTGTTAAGGGGGTTCTTGGGGGCAGGACCATTTTAGGTGCAGGATAAGGGAGCAGGGCTCTGTTTTCCTCTCCTTTTCTTTTTAAAATTTTTACTTTTTTTTTTTTGACAGCTCTTGCTCTGTCGCTCAGGCTGGAGTGCAGTGGCGCGATCTCAGCTCACTGCAGCCTGTGCCTCCCGGGCTCAAGTGATCCTCTTGCCTTAGCCTCCCGAGTAGCTGGGACTACAGACGCCCGCCACCACCCTGGCTAATGTTTGTATTTTTTGTAGAGAGGGATTTCGCCATTTTGCCCAGGCTGGTCTTGATCCTCCAGCCTCGGCCTCCCAGAGTACTGAGATTACAGGCGGAAGCGCCCGGCCCCTAGGGCTATTTTTTGATAATTGGCCTCGACCCTCCTCACCTACTCCTTCCTTAGCCAAATCTACTGAGAAAAGACTTGGAGGGGGACTCTCCCTCCACCCCTCCGTGGGCAAACTCCTGACGGACTGTAAGACCTTGGCCGCCCTCTCGCCTGGCCTGGGTCCCTCGAATGAATGTACATCCGCCAACTGCGCGCCCCCTCTCACCGCAGCCCCGCGCGGGGCCCCAGGATCGCAGGACCGCGGCGGCCGCAGGGAGGTGGGTTGGGAACAGGAAGGAAGTCCCCCTCGATGCCCCGCGGGATGGCTGACCCTTCCGGGCGGCAGACGGACCTTGGTCTCCGAGCCTCCCCTTCGCGATGCGGAGGACGCGGGACAGAGGGTATGAGCCGCCCAGGACCCCCTCGCACCTGCTAGCGCCCCGCAGCCGCCCCCCAGCGTGACTTGTGCACTGGGCGGGCTCGGGTGGCGCGGCCGGAGGCGCCTGGACCTCCCGTCCCCCAGAGGGCGCTGCCCCGGCCGGCCCCGCCCGCATTTGGGCCTTACGAGCCCACAGGCCCCGGAGTAGCAGCGGGGAGGCCGGGAGCCCGCGGGCCGGAGCCGCCCGGCCGAGGCGTGGGGGCTGCGGGGCCGGCCCATCCGTGGGGGCGACTTGAGCGTTGAGGGCGCGCGGGGAGGCGAGGTGCGGGGCCGGGGGCGGCTGGGTCGTGGGGCTCCGCCTGCGAGCTGGCTGTGTCTGCGGAGGAGGCGGCTGGCGGGGTGGGAGCGGGCGGAGTGGGGCGCGAGGAGGTGGCGGTGGTGGAGAGAAGCCGTCCCACGGAGCTCAGGACCACGGTGACCGGGTTGGACGGGTGCCGATGTTATTGACACCCGGGGGCCCAGAGAGGGTTGCGGTATTGAAAAGGGGCTGTGAGTGAGGAAGTGATGGGCGCAGAGAGAGGCTGAGGCTGAGGGTGGGAGGATGGAGCCGCCAGAAATGGAGAGATGGAGGGACTTGAAGGAGGGGCTGTTGGCAGTGTCTGGGGGGCATTGGCAGGAGGGTGGTTGAATCTTGCCCCTAGCAGGACTGGAGGTAACTTGGAAGGATGGGCCAAGCGAGTGTGGCAGGCTCTTGGCAGGACTGGGAATGCAGCTGTGAAGCTCCTCAGCAGTCTCTGCGGGCTGTGGCTGCGGGGAGTGGCGGTGGATGGGAGGGGAGCAGGCCTGACTTATGGTGGGGACCCCTTGCCTCACTCTGCTTTCTGCCCCTAGCCACCATGTTCAGCCAGCAGCAGCAGCAGCAGCTCCAGCAACAGCAGCAGCAGCTCCAGCAGTTACAGCAGCAGCAGCTCCAGCAGCAGCAATTGCAGCAGCAGCAGTTACTGCAGCTCCAGCAGCTGCTCCAGCAGTCCCCACCACAGGCCCCGTTGCCCATGGCTGTCAGCCGGTGAGTTCCCCTCTCGGGCGCGATGGCTTCAGCCTTGCTACTCAGACCCATGTCTCGGAGCTCCCGATCCCCATCCTTTTTCCCAGTGCCATCCCCGTTTGAGTCCTGGAGATCACCAATTCCAGCCCCAAGGGGTCCTCTGTCTACCACAGAGTGGGGCAGAGAATGGAGGTGAGAAGCCTTGGGGAAGAAGGAAGGTCTGACTTTCCAAATAACCCTCTGACACCCCCTCCCAACACACAGGGGGCTCCCCCCGCAGCAGCCACAGCAGCCGCTTCTGAATCTCCAGGGCACCAACTCAGCCTCCCTCCTCAACGGCTCCATGCTGCAGAGAGCTTTGCTTTTACAGCAGTTGCAAGGTATGGATGGCCCCAGGCCTCTTCTCAGTCTCTTTTAGTGGTAGCTCCCTAGCAGCGCATTGCTCTAAATCTCAACTCCACACAGCCACCCTGAGAGGGAGCTATTCTTGGCATCCTAGTTCACTCATGAGGACACTAAGGCTCCAGGAGGTGAAAGTCCCTAAGCTGCTAATTTGAATGCAGATCTGTCTGATTGCAGAGGTGTGTCCTTGGCCATGGTGCTGGCTCTTTGGGCAATACTCAGCACACTTCACTCACATTCAGATTAGATGCCATCTGACAGGTGAAGAAGCTAAGAAGGGAAATCATTTGCCCTGCATCAGCAGTGGCTAAGCTGGGCCGATGCCTGGGCCTCTTGACCATCCAGATGTCTGAGTGGTTGTCTCTAGCCCTGTGCATTAAGTCTGTGGCCTTGTCTCAATTTCCCAATATGGAGAGCAGTCTCAGCTCTTCCTTCCAAGATGCTGCTCCTTTTTTTTTTTTTTTTTTTTTTTTTTTTTTTTTGAGACAGAGTTTTGCTCTGTCGCCCAGGCTGGAGTGGAGTGCAATGGTGCAATCTTGGCTCACTGCAACCTCCGGTTCCCGGGTCCAAGCAATTCTCCTGCCTTAGCTTCCCGAGTAGCTGGGATTACAGGTGCCCGCCACCATGCCCAGCTAATTTTTGTATTTTTAGTAGAGACGGGGTTTCCCCATGTTGGCCAGGCTGGTCTTGAACTCCTGACCTCAGGTGATCCACCCGCCTTGGCCTCCCAAATTGCTGGGATTACAGGCGTGAGCCACTGCGCCCAGCCAAGATGCTGCTCCTGATTCTACTGATAACCCCCTAAGGAGAGGTACAACCATGATCCCATTTTACAAATGAAGAAACTGAGGCCCAGAGAGGGGTCATGTGCCCAAGATTACATAACAAGTCGGTATTGATTAGATGGTTGTCACTCTGTGGACCTGTCAGGGCCACATGGATGTGGTCCTGGGAACTGACTTAAAAATGATAAGCAGGTAGGTAGAGAGAGAGAACCATACACAGGGACCTGCCACATATACATATACATCTTCCTTTTTTTCTTTCCCATTTAAAACATTACACCCTTCAGCCATGGGTTGTGGCTCACGCCTGTAATCCCAGCACTTTGGGAGGCCAAGGCAGGAGGATCACATGAGTCCAGGAGTTCGAGAACAGCTTGGGCAACATGGTGAAACTCTGTCTCTATTAAAAATACAAAAATTAGGCTGGGTGTGGTGGCTCACACCTGTAATCTCAGCACATTGGGAGGCCGACCGAGGTGGGCGGATCACGAGGTCAGGAGATCGAGACCATCCTGGCCAACATGGTGAAACCCCGTCTCTACTAAAAATACAAAAATTAGCTAGGTGTGATGGTGTGCACCTGTAGTCCCAGCTACCCAGGAGGCTGAGGCAGGAGAATCACTTGAACCTGGGAGGTGGAGGTCGCAGTGAGCTGAGATCGCGCCACCGTACTCCAGCCCAGCAACAGAGCGAGACCCTGTCTCAAAAAAAGAAAAAAAAAATTGGCTGGGCGTGGTGGCGTGCGCCTGTAATCCCAGCTACTCAGGAGGCTGAGGCATGAGAATTGCTGAACCCAGGAGGCGGGGGTTGCTGTGAGCCAAAATTGTATCACTGCATTCCAGCCTAGGTGACAGAGCGAGACCCTTTCTCAAAAAAAGAAAAAAAAAAAGGAAAATAACTCACACTCTTGGCCAGGTGCAGTGGCTCATGCCTGTAATCCCAACTCTTTGGGAGGCCAAGACAGGAGATTTGCTTGAGGCCAGGAGTTCAAGATCAGCCTGGGCAACTTAGCAAGACCCTTTCTCAAAAACAAACAAAAGAATAAAAGTCACACTCTTTAAAGTGGAAAAAAAGGTTAAAAATGGGGATAGGAAAACCCACAGTGTCATCTGTTGACTCACTCACCACCTGAAGAAAACCACCAGTCAGCATTTTTGTCTCTTTCATCCCATTTTTTTTCTAGGCACAGACTTGGGGATTTGTATCTGATGATTGTGATTGATATAAGTCCCAGGCTGTACCCTGTTTCTTTGTCACTGAATAGAATGGCATGATCGTTTACCATAGGATTTGATCATCTGTGTTAAGATTATTTTTAATAGCTGTTTAATATTGCACCAGAGGGCTATGCCTTTGTTTATCTAAACCTTCTTAGCTGTTTGGCTCTTTCCTTTTTTTTTTTTTGCTTTTTTCTTTCTTTTGCTTTTTTTAATTTTTTGTTTTGTTTTGTTTTGGGTTTTTTTTTTTTTTTTGCTGTTTTAAGTAACCCTGGGATGAATATGTTGTTTGAGATTGTTTTCTCACTGAGTCAGGGGGGATGGATGTTTTATGGCTCTTGATAAGTATTGCCGAATTGCTTTCCTAAAGGACTGGACCAGTTTGCAATGCCACCAGCCACGTATGACACTGCCGGTCTCACCATGCCCACAGCAACACTGGGTATTATATGCTTTTTATATATATATATAAATGTATATATACATATAATTAAGTTGGTTGGCAAAAAGAAGCTATGTCATGAATGTTTTACATTTCTTAGAGTGCTAGTGCAATTGAACATTTTATATTTGTCTGTTGAACATTTTATTTCTTTTTGTGACTTGTCCATGTCCTTTGTTCATTTTTCTTTTAGGTTGTTTCATCTTTTGTCTTATTGTTTTTAAGAGCTGGTTGGCTCTCTGCACATATGTGTATATGTATTTGTTTCAAGTTAATGTTAATTGAACATTTACTATGTACCAGGCACATTTGTATATCTCATTGAATACTCATGAAACATTGTGAGGCAAGTGCTATTATTATCCCCTTTTTACAGATCAGGAAATCAGGCTAAGCAGGGGGAAGTGATTTGTTCAAGGTCACAGAGCTTGCACTGTAGAGTCTGGATTTGAACCCAGCGCTCACAGCACGCCATGCTTTAACCTTTAACCCCTGTGCTTCCCATCCCAGCACTGGGGCAAGAGTTCCAACTGCCTTTCATCCCTTAAATACTTCCCAAGCTCTGGGCTTCCCCTGAGGTGCAGAGCTGAGTTAGATGATGTGAAGCAGAAAGCAGATAAGGAGCTGGATGTGGTGGCTCACGCCTGTAATCCCAGCACTTTGGTAGGCCAAGGTGGGCGGATCACCCTGAGGTCAGGAGTTTGAGACCAGCCTGGCCAACATGGTGAAACCCTGTCTCTACTAAAAATACAAAAATTAGCCAGGTGTGGTGGCGGGCGTCTGTAGTCCCAGCTAGTCGGGAGGCTGAGGCAGGAGAATCACTTGAACCCAGGAGGCAGAGGTTGCAGTGAGCCAAGATCGCACCACTGCACTCCAGACTGGGCAACAGAGCAAGACTCCCTCTCAAAAAAAAAAAAAAAAAAGCAGACAAGGAAAGTATGAAGTATGTAGCTCGTCCTAGAATAATTGGAAGCTGGGGCCTTTGGGGACACAGTCTGCAAAGGTCTCTTGGAGGAGAGATACCTATAGGGAGGTCTGAAGGGTGTCAGTGGGTAGAACAGCCCAGGCAGAGGGAACAGCATATTCAAAGGCCCTGAGGCAGGATGTCTGAAGGACGGCACAGGGACATGTGACTGGAATATAGTGGGGACATGTGGGGAGAATGGCAAGAAAGGAGGCTGGAAAGGTGGGAAGGGCCAGACCATGCAGTGAGGAATGGCCTTTGCTACCCAACAGCAGGGAGCTATGGAAGTGTTTGGGCAGAAGGGAGAGATGAACTCAGAATATGGTTTGCGAAAGATCGCTGTTTGCTGCCATCTTGTGCAAAAGCTGTGGCTGGAATTCAGGCAAAGGATCAAGTGGTTTTGGGAGGAGGCAGGGAGTGGGAGTGGGGATGGAGCGGGAAAGTCAGATTGGGAAGAGGCATAGGAGACAGAGTTGATAGTATGTGGGGATGGCTTGCATGGAATAGGGCAAAGAGAGGGAGGAATGAGGAATACCCCAGAATCCTGGCTGGGGCGGTAGGTGGATGGCAGTGTCCCTCGTAGCGACCCTGGGCAAGCTGCACCTCCACTCTGTCTCCGTTTTGTCATCGGTAGAGATAACACCCACCCTGAAACCTGCTGGGCCGAGGGACTGAGGCAGTGTGAGGAATGGGCTTAGCACAGTGCCTGACTCATAGTTGCTGCTGATAAAGGGTAGCTGGTAGGGGTGGGGGTGGGTGTCTTGTTATCCCAGGGACCAGCCCTCCTGCTGGTTCTCCCTATGGGCTGTGCTAAGTCTCTCACCTACTCTATGGCAGACTCTAAAGCATGCCTGAGGGTGAGCAGAGTTTTGGGGAATGCTAAAGGCAACACCCCCACCCCTAGCTGGGGCAGAAAAGAGCCCTAAAGCTTCCTTCACCATCAGTGCCCAAGATGGGGCTGAGCCTCAGCTCTCATCTCTTCCCTTTGGCTGCCCTTGGGTGGGAAGGTCCCTTTCAATTATCTGGGATGTTCCCATGATGCTCTGGGGCACTGATGCCTGACCCTACCTTCTGCCACCCGACCACATTGTGACCCCTCTTCTCCTGTCTTCTTGCCTGCAGGTAACCTCCGAGGCTATGGCATGGCATCCCCAGGCCTCGCAGCCCCCAGCCTCACACCCCCACAACTGGCCACTCCAAATTTGCAACAGTTCTTTCCCCAGGCCACTCGCCAGTCCTTGCTGGGACCTCCTCCTGTTGGGGTCCCCATGAACCCTTCCCAGTTCAACCTTTCAGGACGGAACCCCCAGAAACAGGCCCGGACCTCCTCCTCTACCACCCCCAATCGAAAGGTGAGTGGTAGGTGGGGATGGGAGTGGGCGGGAGGGGACCCTGGGTGTCAGCCCCAGTGCCACCTGCTCTGGCTCAGTCTGGGCCTTCGGACAGGTCACACTCCCTTTATGCCTCAGTTTCCTCATCTGTAAAATGAGGGGGGCGGGAATGGACTTGTTTAGCGTTTCCCAAACTTCAAATATTCTTTTATCAACGAAGGGATTTTTGCCATGCCCAAACACTACCAGTACTATCATTTACTTAATGTTTCTTTTTTGTTTGTTTTTTGAGATGAAGTTTCGCTCTTATTGCCCAGGCTGAAGTACAATGGCGCGATCTCAGCTCACTGCAACCTCCGTCTCCCAGGTTCAAGCGATTCTCCTGCCTCAGCCTCCAGAGTAGCTGGGATTACAGGCATGCGCCACCACGCCCAGCTAATTTTGTATTTTTAGTAAAGACGGGGTTTCTCCATGTTGGTCAGGCTGGTCTCAAACTCCTGACCTCAGGTGATCCGCCCGCCTCAGCCTCCCAAAGTGCTGGGATTACAGGCGTGAGCCACTGCGCCCAGCTTAATATTTCTTTTTAAATTATTGGTGTGGCCAAGCGTGGGGGCTCACACCTGTAATCCCAGTACTTTAGGAGGCCATGGTGGGTGGATCACCTGAGGTCAGAGGTTCGAAACCAGCCTGGCCAATATGGCAAAACCCCCTTCTCTACTAAAAATACAAAAAAGTAGCCGGGCATGGTGGTGCATGCCTGTAATCCTGGCTACTCAGGAGGCTGAGGCAGGAGAATCGCTTGAACCCAGGAGGCAGAGCTTGCAGTGAGCCAAGATTGCGCCATTGCACTCCAGCCTGGGGAACAAGAGCAAAACTCTGTCTCAAAAAATAAATAAATAAAAATAAAATTATCAGGGCATGATAGTGCATGCCTGTAATCCCAGGGACTTGGGAGGCTGAGGTGGGAGGATTGCTTGAGGCCAGGAGTTAGAGGCTGCAGTGAATTATGATCACACTACTGCACTCCAGCCTGGGTGACAAAGTGAGACCCTGTCTCAAAAAAAAAAAAAAAAAAAAATCAGCACTGCCCAGTAGAAATAAAATACAAGCCATATATGTAATTTAAAATTTTCTGGTAACCACATTATAAAGTAAAAAGAAATGGGCTAAATTAATATTACTAACTTATTTAACCCAATCCCATATGAAACTATTATCATTTCGACCTGTCATCAATATAAAAAATGAGGCATTTTACATTCCTTTTTTAAAAACTACAAAATCTTCACAATCTGGTGTGTATCTGATACTGACCTCTCAATTCAGCCCCGCCAGTTTCAGGTGCTCTCCTGAGGCTGTGGGGTGACTGTGTGGGAGAGCATGGCTTTGAATGAGTGAGCTTCCTTTCTGTTACATTTATTTGGAAAGGAAACATCATATCATAACCTGACATTCTAAAAACTATCTAAGTTAATTGCCATTCATAGAAGTATAAGAAATTGCTGGGTGCAGTGGCTCACGCCTGTAATCCCAACACTTTGGGAGGCTGAGGAGGGCAGATCATTTGAGGTCAGGAGTCCAAGACCAGCCTGGCCAACATGGTGAAACCCCGTCTCTACTAAAAATACAAAAATTAGCTGGGCCCTAGTGGCGGGTGCCTGTAATTCCAGCTACTCAGGAAGGCTGAAGTAGGAGAATCACTTGAACCTGGAAGACAGAGGCTGCAGTGAGCCAAGATCGTGCCATTGCACTCCAGCCTGGGCGACAGAGTGAGACTCCATTTCAAACAAACAAACAAACAAACAAACAAACAAACAAAAGTATAGGAAACATAACTAGGGTAGAACAATGCTATAAAATCCTAAGCTATACGCTGTTGCCGGCTATAGGTTCCAGCCCACAGCCCCCTGGCTCCTTGTGTGTTTGAGAGGTGTTTACCTTTCTCCTGGCATAAGCAGGAGATCTGCAAAGGGCTCACCCCCTCCCTAGACTGTCCTGTCCCTGAAGGTCTCCGCAGCTCCTGCTCACACCCTGCTTCTGGGTGTATTCCAGCGCAGGGGCAATGCCCCCTTTGCTGGCCACTCCAGGGCGGGCCACTTCTGGAGGTAAGGCATTTTCCTTCAGCGAGGGGCCCCGCCTCCAGCCTTCCAACGGGCCTGTCATCACAGATCTGGTCTAGTGTCTAACCCGCCCTGCCCTCATTTTTTTACGTATGGAAAAACCCAGGCTTAGAGATTGGGGTGCGGTTGGTCCTGCGCCCCACAGCTGTCTAGGTGGACCCAGAGCCCAGGCCTCCTGACTCTCAGGCTGGTGCCTGTTTCGTGCAGGGTGACAGCTAGGTAGTTTCTGAAGGGCAGAGTATGGATGTGTCCAGATTACCATTCCCTGCTCAGTGCTCATTCCTTGGGCTTAGCAGGAGGGAGGGAGGGAGGCTGCAGGCTTCTGGTGGCCTCCTGGGGTGCCTTGGACTGGCCAGAGAGAGCTGTGTGTTCATTTAGCAGACATCTGGAAGCCCCTGCAGGGGACTCCCTGGTGCAGATGATACATCTGGCCTGGCCCTCCCTGAGGTCTTGGACAGGAATGGGGAGGGTGGTGAGAGATATTAATGCAAATAATGCTCCAACCAATTAATTAAGACTGTGGAGGCCGGGTGCAATGACTCATGCCTGTAATCCCAGCACTATGGAAGGCCAAGGCAGGAGGATCAGTTGAGCCCAGGAGTTCGAGACTAGCCTAGGAAACACAGTGAGACCCTGGCTCTATGGAAGAAAAAAAAAAAGAATACAGAAATGCCACGAAAAGGAAGTAGGTTCTGGACCCATTCTGGAGTCTGGAGGGCTTCCTGCAAGAAGTGCTTCTGAGGCTCTAAGTGAAGGCCTAGGGGCAGGGACGGGCCTGGGGCTTGACCAGAGAGAAGGCCAAGGTAGATAAGCAGAGAGGGCTGGTTGCGGGGGCATGGCCGGGGCAGGTAGTGTGCAGAGGCCCGTTTGTGCAGGGAAGGGGTGGGTGTGCAGAGTGTTTTCAGGCTTGGCGTAAGGCGTGCACCAGGGCTGCAGGAAGCCATGGGAGGGCTTTAAGCCTGGAAGAAGAGACATGATCAGCTTTGCATTTTAGAAGGACCCCACTGGGCCAGGTGTGGTGGCTCACGCCTGTAATCCCAGCACTTTGGGAGGCCGAGGCGGGCAGATCATCTGAGGTCAGGAGTTTGAGACCTGTAGGGACCAGCCCCACAGGGTCGGTGCGTCTCTCCCTGTGTGCGGCGACGAGAGAGTGTAGAAATAAAGACACAAGACAGAGATAAGAGAAAAGGCAGCTGGGCCCGGGGGACCACTACCACCAATGCGCAGAGACTGGTAGTGGCCCCGAATGTCGGGCTGCGCTGTTATTTATTGGATACAAGGCAGAAGGGGCAGGGTAAAGAATGTGAGTCACCTCCAATGATAGGTAAGGTCACGTGGGTCACGTGTCCACTGGACAGGGGGCCCTTCCCTGCCTGGCAGCCGAGGCAGAGAGGGAGAGGAGACAAAGAGAAAGACAGCTTACGCCATTATTTCTGCATATCAGGGACTATTAGTATTTTCACTAATTGACTACTACTATCTGGAAGGCAGAGCCAGGTGTACAGGATGGAACATGAAGGCAGACTAGGAGCGTGACCACTGAAGCACAGCATCACAGGGAGACGGTTAGGCCTCCTGATAACTGCGGGCAAGCCTGACTGATGTCAGGCCCTCCACAAGAGGTGGAGGAGCAGAGTCTTCTCTAAACTCCCTCGGGGAAAGGGAGACCCCCCCCCCCCCCCCGCCTTTCCTGGTCTGCTAAGTAGCGGGTGTTGTTCCTTGACGCCTTTTGCTACTGCTGGACCATGATCCGCCTGGTAACGGGCGTCTTCCCAGACGCTGGCGTCACCGCTAGACCAAGGAGCCCTCTGGTGGCCCTGCCCAGGCATAACAGAAGGCTCACGCTCTTGTCTTCTGGTCACTTCTCACTATGTCCCCTCAGCTCCTATCTCTGTATGGCCTGGTTTTTCCTAGGCTATGATTATTGAGTGAGGATTATCATAATATTGGAATAAAAAGTAATTGCTACCAACTAATGATTAATGATACTCATATATAATCATATCTAAGATCTATATCTGGTATAACAATTCTTGTTTTATATTTTATTATACTGGAACAGCTCGTGTCCTCTGTCTCTTGCCTCGGTGCCTGGGTGGCTTGCCACCCACAGATACCAGCGTGGCCAACATAGTGAAACCCCAACTCTACTAAAAATACAAAAATTAGCCAGGCGTGGTGGCGTGTGCCTGTAATCCCAGCTATTTGGGAGGCTGAGGCAGGAGAATTGCTTGAACCCAGGAGGCAGAGGTTGCAGTGAGCCGGGATTGTGCTATTGCACTCCAGCCTAGGCCACAAGACTGAAATTCTGTCTCAAAAAAAAAAAGGACCCCACTGGCTACTTCATGTAAAACTGGGTGGGAAGTCAGGTCAGGAGGTAGCACTGTGGCCAGGAGAAGGCTTTGTGTCCTCCAAACCTGGGTTTATTTAACAGACAACTAGGTAGAATCCCCTAGACACCATGGTTGGGACATTTTTACTAAGATCATCCACTCGGCAACTCTGGGGCCAGGCCCACCAGAGGTCCTCAGGGCCCTGTCATCCCCTGGAGGATGGGGGGCAGCTGCCCTTGGGCAAGGGGGTATTGATAGGGGTGGGTATTGGATGTCAACATAGTTTCTGAAAGGAAGCAGGATTCTTCTTCTCAGACAATGCCTGTGGAAGACAAGTCAGACCCCCCAGAGGGGTCTGAGGAAGCCGCAGAGCCCCGGATGGACACACCAGAAGGTGAGGGAGGGAGGCTGCTGGCCCTTCAGAGGGACATGAATGGGGTGGGGCCAGTGGGCGGGTCAGCAGGTGATAGAGGCAGGTGTGGGAGGCAGGGGTTCTTGGTGGGAAGGCGGGGAGCCCAGGCCCCATCTCTTGGAGGTCAGAGATGCTTGCTCTTCCCAACATGAGTTCCCTCGCTCATGCCTCCATTCCAGACCAAGATTTACCGCCCTGCCCAGAGGACATCGCCAAGGAAAAACGCACTCCAGCACCTGAGCCTGAGCCTTGTGAGGCGTCCGAGCTGCCAGCAAAGAGATTGAGGAGGTAACTGATGCTGAAAACCTGACCTGCGCCCGGGTGCCCTGTGCTCTCATTCCTGCAAAGGCAGGGGTGGCAATGGCAGAGGGGGTGCACCATTCAGTGGAGCTGGAGCAAGGAAAGGGCCTTGGCCTCTGATTTGGAGGAAGGCCTTACTTATTTCCGCACCTGACCTGGGGAAGCTCCCAGCCAGACTCTGGTGTCTTCCTTGAGACTGAGCCACCTGGGGGCCAAGCTGGATGGCTGCGTGGGAGGGGTGAAGACGTTCATCTGGGACCGTAGTGGGCAGGCCATTTACAAAGCCAATTGGATACATGTCAGCAAGTTGTGGGAGGTGAGAACGATCCTCCCCGGTTTATTTAGGTGAATCTGAGGCCTAGACAGCCAAAGGAGTTTGCCCAAATCCCCAGCCTGTAAGTGGTAGAGCCAGCATTAGAAACCAAGTCTTGGGCTGTATGTGGTGGCTCACACCTGTAATCCCAGCACTTTGGGAGGCTGAGGCGGGCGGATCACCTGAGGTTGGGAGTTTGAGACCAACCTGACCAACATGGAGAAACCCCGTCTCTACTAAAAGTACAAAATTAGCTGGGTGTGGTGGCGCATGTCTGTAATCCCAGCTACTCCGGAGGCTGAGGCAGGAGAATCGCTTGGACCTGGGAGACGGAGGTTGTGGTGAGCCGAGATCGCGCCATTGCACTCCAGCCTGGGCAACAAGAGCGAAACTCCATCTCAAAAAAACAAACAAACAACAACAAAAAACCAAAAACAAACAAAAAGAAACAGTCTTGGGCTGGGCGCGGTGGCTCACACCTGTAATCCCAGGTTTCACCATGTTGGTTAGGCTGATCTGGAACTCCTGACCTCAAATGATCCACCTGCCTCAGCCTCCCAAAGTGCTGGGTTTACAGATGCGAGCCACCACGCTCGGCCTAGTTTTGGCCTTACTTGGGAGCCCCTGGGGCCTCTTTGAAGACATGACTGGGATTTTTTTTTGATCCTTCCTAGCTCAGAAGAGCCCACAGAGAAGGAACCTCCAGGGCAGTTACAGGTGAAGGCCCAGCCGCAGGCCCGGATGACAGTACCGAAACAGACACAGACACCAGACCTGCTGCCTGAGGCCCTGGAAGCCCAAGTGCTGCCACGATTCCAGCCACGGGTCCTGCAGGTCCAGGCCCAGGTGCAGTCACAGACTCAGCCGCGGATACCATCCACAGACACCCAGGTGCAGCCAAAGCTGCAGAAGCAGGCGCAAACACAGACCTCTCCAGAGCACTTAGTGCTGCAACAGAAGCAGGTGCAGCCACAGCTGCAGCAGGAGGCAGAGCCACAGAAGCAGGTGCAGCCACAGGTACAGCCACAGGCACATTCACAGGGCCCAAGGCAGGTGCAGCTGCAGCAGGAGGCAGAGCCGCTGAAGCAGGTGCAGCCACAGGTGCAGCCCCAGGCACATTCACAGCCCCCAAGGCAGGTGCAGCTGCAGCTGCAGAAGCAGGTCCAGACACAGACATATCCACAGGTCCACACACAGGCACAGCCAAGCGTCCAGCCACAGGAGCATCCTCCAGCGCAGGTGTCAGTACAGCCACCAGAGCAGACCCATGAGCAGCCTCACACCCAGCCGCAGGTGTCGTTGCTGGCTCCAGAGCAAACACCAGTTGTGGTTCATGTCTGCGGGCTGGAGATGCCACCTGATGCAGTAGAAGCTGGTGGAGGTAAGTGAGCACTGGCTCCCAGCTGGTCTGGTGATGGGACAGCTCTGCCCAGACCCTTCATTCCTCCCCTGACTGGGTGCTGCCTGGGACTGAGGGCTAGGCCTGGAACCCAGGTCCAGGGCCATCCATGCTGGGGGCCTCAAGGTTCTGGCTGCGGACGGAGAAGGCAGCTCTTGGGCCTGGGGACTCTGGGAAATACAGCACATCTGTCATTTCAGGCATGGAAAAGACCTTGCCAGAGCCTGTGGGCACCCAAGTCAGCATGGAAGAGATTCAGAATGAGTCGGCCTGTGGCCTAGATGTGGGAGAATGTGAAAACAGAGCGAGAGAGATGCCAGGGGTGGGTAGAGGCCCTGATGTGGCAGTGTGAGGGCCACAGAGCCCAGCAGGGTGGGATGGCCTCTTTCTGCCCCAGGCCACCTCAGGGCCTCCTTGTGTTTCCCCCACCGTGAAATGGGATGACAGCCCTCTGCCTAGGATGGGTGGCCAGACCAGGCTGGGCTTGATAGTGGTGTGCATGGGACCCTCTTGCTGTTGTGCTGTCTTCACATCCGTCCCTTCCAGCCTGCCCATCCCCAAGCCAGAGCCCCAGTCTCCTCGCATGGGTAATGTTGCTCTCGTGGAGAGAGCACAGAGTGGAAGCCTCTCTGTGGGATTTGGGTCCCAGCTCTGCGTAACTGTGGGCAAACCCTTTCCCTCCTGAGTCTGTTTCCCCATCTGTCATACAAGGGGTGGGATGAGTGGTACTTTAGGCCGACCTGGGTTCGCATCCTGACTGCAGTGCTTTCTAGCTGTGCAAGCTGGGGTAGTCAGCTAACAGCTCAGAGCCTCAGTTTCCCTATCATCAGGAAGATCTGATGAGACAACGTTGGCAGATGTTGAATGCTGGGCTGGCCCACTATAAGTACACAGTTGATGGAAGTTCAGTTCCTACTCCCCATGCAGGTATGGGGCGCCGGGGGCTCCCTGAAGGTCACCATTCTGCAGAGCAGTGACAGCCGGGCCTTTAGCACTGTACCCCTGACACCTGTCCCCCGCCCCAGTGACTCCGTCTCCTCCACCCCTGCGGCTACCAGCACTCCCTCTAAGCAGGCCCTCCAGTTCTTCTGCTACATCTGCAAGGCCAGCTGCTCCAGCCAGCAGGTACTGATACAGGAGATAAGGGTGGGGAGGGGTGGGGCCTGCGTGGAATGCCCAGCCTGCCCTCCCAAGAATGCCTCAGGCTGCAATGGGCCCTGCCCCAAGCAGCCATGCATTTGCTTGGGAAACATTTCCTGACCTGCCAAGAAGGCAGGTTTTGGTGGTTTTGTTTTTTGTTTTGAGACAGGGTCTTACTCTGCCTCCCAGGTTGGAGTGCAGTGGCATGATCTCAGCTCACTGCAGCCTCTACCTCTTGGGCTCAAGCAGGTTTTTAGAGTCAGTCAGACCTGGTTCATATCGGCTCTGAGTAGCTGGGAGACCTTGGAAAGCGAATTCCACCCTGTGCCTGTTTCCTCTTGCATCAGACAAAGGAAAGTTTAGGGTCGGGCACAGTGGCTCACGCCTGTAATCCCAGCACTTTGGGAGGCTGAGGTGGGTGGATCACAAGGTCAGGAGTTTGAGACCAGCCTGAACAACATGGTGAAACCCCGTCTCTACTAAAAATATGTGTTGGCATGCTTCTGTAATCCCAGCTACTCAGGAGGCTGAGGCAGAAGAATTGCTTGAACCCAGGAGGCAGAGGTTGCAGTGAGCCAAGATCATGCCACTGTGCTCCAGCCTGGGTAACAGAGCGAGACTCTCAAAACGAAACAAAAAAAAGAAACGTTTAGAATCCACCTCACTGGGTGGTTCTGGGGATTCAGCAATGTGACATTGGAGTCCTGAGCGCAGGCCTGGCCCAAAGTGAGTGTAGCAGTAATCATGATCGCATTGTACTTGTATTACTACTCTTGTGCTGTGAGCTGTGTTACTCTGTGCCTCACCTGGCACAGCCTTGGAGACCTGGATGCTAATCAGGCCGCTCCTTGTCTTTGAGGCACTCACACATTCTCTGGGAGGGGCAGAAGCTCGGGCTGGCATGTACCCTGTGTCTTAGTTTATCATGCCTGCTCTAGCCTACACAAGAGAGAAATGTGTGGTGAGAGAAATGGGCGCACAGTGATGAGGCTGGGGTCTGCCTCCCCAGGCCCCAGCCTTGCCCACTGTTCTGGGCTCACGCCCCAGGCCCATCCCTCTTTCCCTCCTGCTGCAGGAGTTCCAGGACCACATGTCGGAGCCTCAGCACCAGCAGCGGCTAGGGGAGATCCAGCACATGAGCCAAGCCTGCCTCCTGTCCCTGCTGCCCGTGCCCCGGGACGTCCTGGAGACAGAGGATGAGTGAGTGGGGGATCGTGGAAGCTCTGTGTTGGGGGGTAGGCAGTCTCATCGGCCAGGGCCTGAATCTACCATCTGCAGGGTTTACCTTTGGGTTAAGCACTGCACCCCCAGCCAGGCCTCCTCACACTGTTAACTGTGTGACCTTGAACCTCAGTTTTCCCTGCCTGTAACATGGCTTGGTGACGGATATAGTACAGGAATTCATGACATTCTCTTAAGGTTCCCTCTAGGCAGGAACAGTATGACCATCCCTGTGGGAGAGGACAGGTTGTGGCACAGACTCTTGCCCCCTGTGGCATGTGTGCTAACCCCGCTGTGGGGTGACAAGGCTGAGGATCAGGTTCTTTTGTGGTTGGAGGTTAGGGTTTCCCTGTGTCTCCCCCTTTCATTGTCATGGGAGCCTGTTTAATCAGAAACTTCAGCCCTCCTGGGGTCTGGAACTATACTGGGGTGGGAAGGCCTGGCAGGCAGCCAGAGGTGCTTTCAGGACTCTGTGGGCAGTCATAGAGGTGTGCAAGGGCTGGGATGTGTCATCTCAGCAGCAGGACCATGTTAGCTAGGGCCACAGCGGGGACACAGGCTCTGTCTCAGGAGACAGCTGCTTCTCATCTCTGGATCTCTTAGTTTTAAGAAGAATCCAGAAATCCAGGTTTGTATGTGAAATCTCCCAATTTCAAAATGTTAACAGCTAGTTCAGAATTGAAACAAAACAAACCCTACGGAGAGCAAATCAAACACTTTCATAGGCTGGACGGTCCCTTGAGTCAGTGGTCACGGGCTCTGTCCTAATTTTACAGAGGTCACAATTTGAAGCTTCCAGGTGGGGCTGAGGGGACAGGAAGGGCTCTTGGTTGGCCTCCGCTTGCCTGCCTTGTGTGACAGGGGGCTCTCGCTCTGCAAGGGCAGGCTGTGTCTCTGTTAGCTGTTTCTCCCTTTGAGAAGAGCGTCCTTGAGTGGTTTTCTACTTGGTTGAAATAATCATAAACACAGGAGAATGATGACTCACCAAGACGTTCTTTGCTATTAGTATCATGATGAAAAAATCTAACGGGAAATGATCTAAAATACTCGAAAGTAGGGGACTGGTTAGATGATGAAAAAGCCCGTCCAGCTCGTGGAACAATGAATAAATAGAATAACTGGAGAATTTATAATAATGTGGAAAGGTGATGCAATGTCAAAGTAAAACAGGATTCAAAATTGCATCTGCAGAATGAGCTTGTTTGTGTAAGAATAGATCTTGTGACACAGAAGAAAACTAAAAGGACATACGTAGCACAAGCTGTTAACAAACTTGAGGTGTCGGGGATTCATCAAACCCTCTCCCAATGTTATCTCTCCATGAAGTCTTCTCTTGAATCCTACTTGGCCCTGAGGCCATCAAGAACATTATGGTCAGGCGCAGTGGCTCAGGCCTGTAATCCTAGCACTCTGGGAAGCTGAGATGGGCGGATCACCTGAGGTCAGGAGTTCAAGACCAGCCTGGCCAACATGGTGAAACCCCCTCTGTACTAAAAATACAAAATTAGCTGGGCATGGTGGTGCATGCCTGTGATCCCAGCTACTCGGGAGGCTGAGGCAGGAGAATTGCTTGAACCTGGGGGCGGAGGTTGCAGTGAGCCGAGATCGCGCCACTGCACTTCAGCCTGGGTGACAGAGAGATTCTGTCTCAAAAACAACAACAAAAATTTAAAAAGTCCCTCCAGTCCCTACCTACGACCCCCTCACCTTGGTCCCCAACACAAAGACATCAATACTGTCTTCCTGCATCAGTGGGGGTTCTTCGCGGTTGTAAGTGAAAAAAATTCTAATTTCTATAAGACAGAAATTAGCTTGAGCAAAAAGGAACAATGTTTCTGGCTTAGGTTAGTGGGAATATAAGAGATACAGCTGGACCCAGGGGATACCATTTCTTAGAGAGGCTCCATCTCTCACTACAGTGGGCACCAGGTACCCACAGCCCCAGCCTCCCTGCACAGTGACTTCCAAGGAAGGGCAGTCACCTGTGTCTGCGGTAGCAGAACAGTTTCTAGTGGAAATGCTGGTTAATCTGATTGTGGTCACGTGCACGTTTCTGAAGCAATCCCCTGGCCAGGGATAAGGTGTTCTGACTGGCTAGGCCTAGGCAGGCCAGCTCTACCCAAACCACATGGAAATACATTTCCCCATGGAAGGCAGGGGGGTGTTCCCAGGAATGGGGCTGAAGGCTGGATCCCAATACCCTAGCTGGTGGGGGTGCCCGTCTCCTCCCTCCTCAAAGCCCCCAGGGCAGGTGCTGTGAACTAAGCCCTTGCCTACCTTAGCTATTTCTTTGTTTTTTTTTTTTGTTTTTTTGTTTTGTTTTTGAGATGGAGTCTCGCTCTGTCACCCAGGCTGGAGTGCAGTGGCGCGATCTCGGCTCACTGCAAGCTCCGCCTCCTGGGTTCACGCCATTCTCCTGCCTCCGCCTCCCGAGTAGCTGGGACTACAGGCGCCTACCACTAGGCCCGGCTAATTTTTTGTATTTTTAGTAGAGACAGGGTTTCTCTGTGTTAGCCAGGATGGTCTTGATCTCCTGACCTTGTGATCTGCCCGCCTTGGCCTCCCAAAGTGCTGGGATTACAGGTGCAAGCCACCATGCCCGGCCCGCGTTGGCCGTTTCTGGGCAGCCTCAGACGTGACACTGGCACAAGGTGTCTGCCTGTTTGATGACCATGTTCTCTCCCCACCCCCTTTCTTCATTTGTTGTGTTTTTCTCTCACAGAGATCAAAATGCACATTGAAAAATAGAGCCAGGCTGGCATGGTGGCTCACACCTATAATCCCAGCACTTTGGGAGGCTGAGGTGGGGGGATTGCTTGAGTTTAGGAGTTCAAGACCAGCCCGTCATGAGACCTGTGTCTCTGTAAACTATAAAAAAATTAGCCGGCCGGGCGCGGTAGCTCACGCCTGTAATCCCAGCACTTTGGGAGGCTGAGGCGGGTGGATCATGAGGTCAGGAGATCGAGACCATCATGGCTAACACGGTGAAACCCCGTCTCTACTAAAAAATACAAAAAATTAGCCGGGCGTGGTGGCAGGCGCCTGTAGTCCCAGCTACTTGGGAGGCTGAGGCAGGAGAATGGCCTGAACCCAGGAGGCGGAGCTTGCAGTAAGCCAAGATCGCGCCACTGCACTCCAGCCTGGGCGACAGAGCGAGACTCCGTCTCAAAAAAAAAAAAAAAAAAAAAAAAAAAGAAATTAGCCAGGCCTGGTGGCATGCACTTGTAGTCCTGGCTACTTAGGAGGCTGAGGTGGGAGGATTGCTCGAGCCCAGGAGGTAGAGGCTGCAGTAAGCCTTGATCATGCCACTGCACTCCAGCCTGGAGCAAGCTGCTTTAAAGTCTGATTTTGTTGCTTGCAGCAGTATTAAGAAGATTTTACTGAGGACAGTAAATGTCCCTAAATCCTAAAATCTAAAACCTGGTACTCTCACTGTGTGGCTGATGTGCCTTTTTTGACTACAAAAAAATTTTTTTTTCTGATTTTAAAAATAATTCGCTCATTATATAACGTTTTGAAAATACAAGGACACAGACACATGAGAAGATAAAAATCACCCATAATCCCATTACCCAGAGATAAACACTGTTTACATTTTGACCTAGTTCTTCTTGTGATCCTTTCTGGATTTATACAATCTTTAAAAATAAAAATCGGAATCATGCTACATGACAACACGAACACTTTCTGTCTCTAAGCAGCCCTCCCCAGCAGAGCTCTTACAGGGCTTTATCAGTGGACATGTGTCCCCTAAAATTTATGAAAACTTGTGTATTTGCATATTTTATAGAGAGTCCTTATTTTCGCTGAGTGAGACACTTTTTTTGGTTTTTTTTTGAGAGGGAGTCTCGCTCCGTTGCCCAGGCTGGAGTGCAGTGGCGCAATCTTGGCTCACTGCAACCTCCGTCTCCCAGTTCAAGCAATTCTCCCGCCTCAGCCTCCTAAGTAGCTGGGATTACAGGTGCCTGCCACAACGCCTGGATAATTTTTTTGTATTTTTAGTAGAGACAGGGTTTCACCATGTTGGCCAGACTGGTCTTGAACTCCTGACCTCAGTGATCCGCCTGCCTTGGCCTCCCAAAGTGCTGGGATTACAGGCGTGAGCCACCATGCCCAGCCAGGGTTTTACATGTATTTGGCTTTTCTTTTTTCTTTTTTTTTTTTTTTTTTTTTTTTTTTTTTGAGACAGTGTCTCACTCTGTCACCCAGGCTGGAGCGTAGTGGTGTGATCACAGCTCAATGCAGCCTCAGAACTCCTGAGCTCAAGGAACCCTCCTCCCAAAGTGCTGGGATTACAGGCGTGAACCAGCGGTATGCCCAGCCTTGGTTTAAGAAGCTGCCTACATAAAGGATACACTCTGGCCAGTGATAGCACAGCCCTTGTCATTGACATTTGTTTGCTTTTTAATTTTCTTATATCTTTCAACATGTAGAAGTTTTAAATTTTTATGCAATCGGATCTATCAGTTTTTTCCTTTATGATTTCTGGCTTTGATGTTATATGTTGCAATGATCTTTCCCAACCCAAGATTAAATAGTTGCTCTCCCCTTGTAAAATAAGTATTATTTTATTTATTTATTTATTTATTTTCTGAGACGGAGTCTTGCTCTTTTGCCCAGGCTAGAGTGCAGTGGCGCGATCTTGGCTCACTGCAACCTCCGCCTCCTGGGTTCAAGCAATTCTCCTGCCTCAGCCTCCCGAGTAGCTGGGATTACAGGCGCGTGCCACCACACCCGGCTAATTTTTTTTTTTTTTTTGTATTCTTAGTAGAGATGGGGTTTCACCATGTTGGTCAGGCTGGTCTTGAACTCTTGACCTTATGATGTGCCTGCCTTGGCCTCCCAAAGTGCTGGGATTACAGGCGTGAGCCACCGTGCCCGGCCCTATTTTATTTTATTTTTTGAGACCGGGTCTCTCTCTGTCACCCAGGCTGGAGGGCAATGGTGATCTCGGCTCACTGCAACCTTAACCTCCTGGGCTCAAGGAATTCTCCCACCTCAACTTTCCAAGTAACTAGGACTATAGGTGCACACCACCATGCCTGACTAATTTTATTTTATATAGAGACAAGATCTCACTATGTTGCCTAGGCTGGTCTTGGACTTCTAGGCTCAAGCGATCCTCCTGCCTCAGCCTCCCAAAGTGCTGGGATTATAGGCATGAGCCACTGCGACTGGCCCCCTTTTTATTTATTTATTATTTATTTTTGAGACAGCGTCTTGTGTTGCCCCAGCTGGAGTGCAGTGGCAGTCATGGTTCACTGCAGCCTCGACCTCCTGGGCTCAAGCAATCCTCCCACCTCAGCTTCTGAGCAGCTAGGACTACAGGCATGTGCCACCAAACCCAGCTAATGTTTTTTATGTTTTGTAGAGATGGGGTCTTGCTGTGTTGCTCAGGTTGGTCTCAAACTCCTGGGCTCAAGCAGTCCTTCTGCCTTGAGGACTGGGATTACAGGTGTGAGCCACTATGCCCGGCCTCCCTTTTTAAAGTATATGGTTTTTATTTTTATGCCTGAATCTCTGGTAGTTCAGCTAGAATTCATTTTCAAGTAAGGTAGAAGGTGGAAGCAGAAGGCGTTTCTTCTCCAAGTAGACAACAAATTGTTCTGACATAATTTGTTGTATAATCTATGCTTTTCAATACCAATTTATCAGAAGCAGAATTCTTTTTTTTGAGATGGGGGTCTCACCCTGTCACCCAGGTTGGAGTGCAGTGGCGCTATCTTGGTTCACTGCAACTTCTGCCTCCCAGGCTCAAGCCATCCTCCCACCCCAGCCTCCTGAGTACCTGGGACCACAGGTGCATGAGCCACCATGCCTGGCTAATTTTTTGTATTTTTGCTAGAGATGGGGTTTCCCCATGTTGCCCAGGCTGGCGAAGCTGAATTCTTACCAATATTTGAACCTGTTTAGGACTTTCCATTCTTTCCCACTGATACACTGTCAGGATGTACATCACACTACACAGTTTTATCTATTGTAGCTTGTGGTTTTCATTTTAAAGGTTGGTATCCCCAGTGCTTCATTCCCCTTCCCCCTAAAGTTTCCTGGGTTATTTCTGCTTAAGTACTCATCCAGATGAACCTCAGAACCATTTTGTTAAGCTTCCCTAAGAGATCCTGTGGGAGTTGCTATTGGAATGGATTACACTTATGGAGCGCTCTCAGACAGCTGCTGTCTTTCTGGCGTCACATTGTACTTGCTTTGACTGTTGTCATTCAGGGAGCCTCCACCAAGGCGCTGGTGCAACACCTGCCAGCTCTACTACATGGGGGACCTGATCCAACACCGCAGGACACAGGACCACAAGGTAGGAGGGCCTGCACGCTGCAGAGGCACCCGCACTGCCGTCTGCAAGTGGAGTCCAGACAACACAGAGCCCCAGTTGGAAAGTAAACGTTCCTCTTTGCCCCTGCACACCCATAACCCACAATGCAGTTTCTGGAGGAGTCAGTCTTGTTTCTTCTTCGGGCTTCAGGTTCCCCATCTGTCCAGTGTAGGCCAGGCCCCATCTCACCTGCCATTCAGCCACGGGGCTCACAGGGGTTATTTGGGCAGCTGCCCTCTCTCTCGTCTTCTCTCTGTGTCTGTCCTGTCTCTGTGTTGCCATCTGCCATCCTATCTCTCAGCCACCCACACCACGAAGAGATGTGTTTGCCCACGTTCCAGTGCAGGGGTGGAGCACAGCCCGGCTTGTTACAGATATGGTGGGCCTGCCCGGGGGAGGTGAGCTCTTGCTGGGCCCTGCCTGGGTGCTAGTCAGGGGGCTTGCAGCTGGGGACACTGCTTGGTTGGCCTGCCTTTTTCCAGATTGCCAAACAATCCTTGCGACCCTTCTGCACCGTTTGCAACCGCTACTTCAAAACCCCTCGCAAGTTTGTGGAGCACGTGAAGTCCCAGGGGCATAAGGACAAAGCCAAGGAGGTAACCTGAGCTCCCTCAGAGGACATGGGCCCAGAGAGGTACAGAGCCTTGGCCAAGGCTGTGTAGCAAGTTGAGGTTTATCCCAGCCCAAACTCACAGCGGGTCTGGAGGGATTGGGACTCTCAGGGGAGGGGTGGGGTGGGTAGGGCATGGCCCCCTGGCTGTTCAGAGCTGACCTGAGCTCCTTGCCTACTCCCTGGGCAGCTGAAGTCGCTTGAGAAAGAAATTGCTGGCCAAGATGAGGACCACTTCATTACAGTGGACGCTGTGGGTTGCTTCGAGGGTGATGAAGAAGAGGAAGAGGATGATGAGGATGAAGAAGAGATCGAGGTTGAGGAGGAACTCTGCAAGCAGGTGCTGGGGGGAGGGTGTGGGAGGCGGGCTTGGTGCTGGATTCCCAGCCCAGGACAGACCTCATCCCACCTCCCGGAGGCCAGACACTGGGCTGGCATCTGTGGGCACTAATGCATGCCACAACTGATTACTGTCAACTGCCTTCTGCATGACTATGTAATTATGCATGATGACTAGAGAGTGGCAGTTAAAATATGCAAAGCCTGACTGAAATTTGGACCTGTGTGGAGGAAGGGAAAGGGAACAGCATCAGTAAAGGCACGGAGGTGGGAAACTATGTAGTGTGCAAAGGAAAAGTCAGATGATGGTGATGATAATGGAGAGACTGACAGCAGCAGACATCTTTTTGAGCACTTAGTGTGTTCCAGGTGTGTGTACCAAGCACTATCCTGGCTGAATCTCATCAGATTGGATGGCAGGAAGTAAAACTTCAGAGTCCATGTTTCCAATGCCGCAGCTACCCTGTCTCTCATGAATGAGGAGCTGGAGGAGCTTGGATTCGTTGCAGTTTTTTTTTTTTTTTCTTTTTTTTTTTCAAGACGGAGTCTCGCTCTGTCGCCCAGGCTAGAGTACAATGGTGCGATCTCAGCTCACTGAAACCTCCACCTCCTGGGTTCATGCGATTCTCATGCCTCAGCCTCCCAAGTAGCTGGGATCACAGGTGCCCACCACCACGCCCGGCTAATTTTTGTATTTTTAGTAGAGACGGGGTTTCACCATATTGGCCAGGCTGGTCTCGAACTCCTGACCTCAGGTGATCCACCCACCTCGGCCTACCAAAGTGCTGGGATTACAGGCGTGAGCCACCATGCCCAGCCAGATTCTTTGCAGTTTAACACGTTTCCAGAGAGTGTGTTCTAGGTCAGGCCCTGGTGCTGGAAGCAGGGACCCATGAGGGCCAAGGCCTGGTCCTTGCCCTCAAAGGCTGACCCAGTTATAGTCCAGGGTGGTGAGGGGCCAGCTGGGGCTGCTCATAGCCTCTGGCAGCCAAAGTGGGGTATTGAGGGGCTGGGGAGGAAGCGTTGTGGTGGGGGGGCCTGCAGTCCTAGGCAGGGTAGTATGAGGCCCAGCTTCATTGCTCAGTAGTCACATCATCTCAGGCAAGCCACTTGGCCTCTCTGAGCCTCAGTTGCCTCTGCTCAGAAGTAACAACCTGAACTTGGACTATCAGGGAAGCCCAGGGCCCACAGCTTGGTCCTAGGAAGGGCTTAGCAAACGGGGGTGGTTGTCCTTCTTGGAAGCCACATTTGTTTGCCTGGTGAGTGGTGGAGGGCACTGCTAGGCCTGCTAGGGCTGACACGGCCAGAGTCAGATGACCTCATCTCACATCCAGCAGGTGAAATGCAGTCTTTGATCCCTTGAAACCCACCCTCTAGGACCAAGGTCACTGCAGTATTGGATAGGACCTCAGGGAGTTAGCAGGGGGCTCATGGTTAAGAGTGTGAACTACGGCTTAGACCTACAGGGTTCCCTGCCCAGCTCCTCCACAAACCAGCTGTGCAACCCTAGACAAGTGAGTTAATGTCCCTGGGCCTCAGTTTCTTCTTAGTAAAATGTGTGTAGCCATAGAGGGCTGTTATGAGGATTCAGTCAAATGACACATGATGTCTTGGGCACACCTGGCGTGGATTATGGCGCCTGTAGGAGCAGGAGGGCTTCCTGGAGGAGGGGGCTAGTTGAACAGAGTCTAGAAAGTATAGATTGGGAAGAGCACTCTGGGAGGCAGGATCACCATGTGCAAAGGCTCAGAGAATGCCACCCACTACCTCCTGGAAATCAAGGGGATTCTGTGTGTCCAAGGGCATTGGTGGTCTCTAGGCCCCCGACCTGTGTCTGGGAGGTGTCAAGGGGAAGCCAGATCCGAGGCCCACACTTGCATGTTTTCAGGTGAGGTCCAGAGATATATCCAGAGAGGAGTGGAAGGGCTCGGAGACCTACAGCCCCAATACTGCATATGGTAAGGCCCCAGCTCTGAGCCCACCTGCAGGAGCTTCAGCCCTTGGGCCCAGCCTCCACATGACCCTCCCATATCCCAGCCATGGCATTCTGGCTGGGAAGCCTTCTCTTCTGCCCCTGCCTAGAGGGTTGGGGAGCACATGGGCCCCTAGAGAGGGAGGGACACCTCGCTGGTACAGGGATGTGAGTGCAGACCCTGCCATCCCATCCTACAGGTGTGGACTTCCTGGTGCCCGTGATGGGCTATATCTGCCGCATCTGCCACAAGTTCTATCACAGCAACTCAGGGGCACAGCTCTCCCACTGCAAGTCCCTGGGCCACTTTGAGAACCTGCAGGTGAGCCGGACATCCTGCCCTGTCCTCCCCTGGCCACAGACTTAGTCTTAATCCAAGCTGATTCGGGTGGCTAGTGGCCACTCCCTCTTGTGCAGGGCCTCAATCCCCAGGCACCACCCCTGCACCAACAGGGAGAGAATTAGAGCTGGGGTGGGGTTGGGCTCTTATTGTTCAAGGGGATGCTGAGTGCCAGGCTGTTAGCTCCAGAGACGGCCCAGAGAGGCCGAGTGCATCACGCAGGGTCACAGAGCACACTAATACTGTCTCAGCCAGAGCTGGGGAAGTAGCTGCTGGCCAGGAGCATACCATGTAGGGAGGAGACCCTGACCTTACCTGCACCTTCTGTATCCAGAAATACAAGGCGGCCAAGAACCCCAGCCCCACCACCCGACCTGTGAGCCGCCGGTGCGCAATCAACGCCCGGAACGCTTTGACAGCCCTGTTCACCTCCAGCGGCCGCCCACCCTCCCAGCCCAACACCCAGGACAAAACACCCAGCAAGGTGACGGCTCGACCCTCCCAGCCCCCACTACCTCGGCGCTCAACCCGCCTCAAAACCTGATAGAGGGACCTCCCTGTCCCTGGCCTGCCTGGGTCCAGATCTGCTAATGCTTTTTAGGAGTCTGCCTGGAAACTTTGACATGGTTCATGTTTTTACTCAAAATCCAATAAAACAAGGTAGTTTGGCTGTGCAGTTCCCACCAGTACTTCTGTCTGGGTGGATAGGGGAAGGGGGGCACCCCAGCCAACTCTCAGCCAGCACCCAGCCTCTCTGGGCCATGTGGTGGCAGAAACAGAAGGCCAGACAGGCTCCCTGGGAACCAGGGACTCTGGATCATGAGGCACTTCACCTGTCTGAACTTGGGTATCCCTCTTTTAAAAAAATTTTTAGGCGGGGCGTGGTGGCTCACACCTGTAATCCCAGCACTTTGGGAGGCTGAGACGGGTGGATCACCTGAGGTCAGGAGTTCAAAACCAGCCTGGCCAACATGGCAAAACCGTCTCCACTAAAAAATACAAAAATTAGCTGGGTGTTGTGGCGGGCGCCTGTAATCCCAGCTACTCGGGAGGCTGAGGCAGGGAGAATTGCTTGAACCCGGGAGGTGGAGGTTGCAGTGAGCCGAGATCGTGCCTGTGCACTCCAGCTTGGGCAAAAGAGTGAGACTCCATCTCAAAAAAAAAAATTTTAATTTTTGAGCCAGGCGGGGTGGCTCATGCCTATAATCCCAGTACTTTGGGAGGCTGAGGTGGGCGGGTCACCTGAGGTCAGGAGTTTGAGATCAGCTTGGCTAACATGGAGAAATCCCGTCTCTACTAAAAATACAATTAGCCAGGCATGGTGGCGCGCACCTGTAATCCCAGCTACTCGGGAGGCTGAGACAGTGAGGCAGGAGAATCGCTTCAACCTGGGAGGCAGAGGTTGCAGTGAGCCGAGATCGTGCCATTGCACTCCAGCCTAGGTGACTCCATCTCAAAAAAAAAATTTTAATTTTTATTTTTATTTATTTTTTGAGATGGAGTCTCGCTGTCTCTCAGGATGGAGTGCAATGACCCGATCTCAGCTCACTGAAACCTCCACCTCCCAGGTTCAAGTGATTCTCCTACCTCAGCCTCCTGAGGAGCTGGGATTACAGGTGCACACCACCACGCCCAACTTTTTGTATTTTTAGTATAGACAGGGTTTCGCCATGTTGGCGAGGCTGGTCTTGAACTCCTGACCTTAAATGATCTGCCTGCCTTGGCCTCCCAAAGTGCTGAGATTACAGGCGTGAGCCACCGCACATGGCTAATTTTTATTTTTTTGAGGCGGGGTCTGGCTGTGTTGCTCAAACTGGAGTACAGTGGTGCCAATCTTGGCTCACTGCAACCTCTGCCTCCCAGGCTTAAGCCATCCTCCCACCTCAACTTCCCGAGTAGCTGGGACCACAGGCGTGCGCCATCACGCCTGGGTAATTTTTTGTATGTTCTTGGTAGAGATGGTGTTTCGCCATGTTCCCCAGGCTGGTCTCAAATTCCTGGGCTCGAGCAATCCGCCCACTGTGGCATTCCAAACTGCTGGGATTATAGGTGTGAGCCACTGTGCGTGGCCAAGTTTCCCTCTTAATAACGTATCAGAGCTGGGGAAGTTCCTTTGGCTGGAGGCCTAGCAAGGTCAAGTGACTTGCTGAAGACCACGCAGTTGGTAAGTGGCTGGGATTTGACCCGGGCCTGAGCTCTCCGACCCATGCTGGCCTGTCTCTCCAGCTGCACCCTTTGGAGTGCAGGAGTGGGGTCCTTGCTGCTCAGGCCCTCTGGTTCTCTTCTTGGTTCACTAGCAGGCACCCCACCCTCCTGGTCAGGCGACCCTAAGATGAATCATGGGTGGATGGGGCCTGGGCTGAGTTGGCCCTTTACTTCTGCTATTTCCTCATTAGAAAGACCCATAGAGATAAACGACCAGACCAACCCTATTACTGGGGAGACAGGCCAAGAGTGGGAGGGCAATGCTGAGGCTGCATAGCATGTCTTAGCATGTTGGCTGTCTTGGTGAAAGGCCCTAGTACCCAGAGAGGCTGAGAGCATCACACAAGGTCACACAGCATGTCCAACAGTCTCAACTGGGCTTCTGGGCTAGGAAGCAGCTGCTGGCCAGGAATGTATCAGGTAGGGAGGAAGCCCTGCCCTCACCTGCACCTTCTGTGTCCAGAAGTACAGGTGACCAAGAACCCCAGCCCTACCACCTGGCCTCTGAGCCGCCAGTATAGGATCAACACCTGAACACCTAGACAGTCCTGTTCGCCTCCAGCAGCTGCTGGGGTTCTCGTCCTGGGATACAGAGGAGAGAGGCACAGCGGTGTGGGAGACCCATTTAATGTGGACACTCAAGGCCTGGGCAGAGTGGGGAGCGCCCAGGAGTTGGGTGGGCAGGCAAGTGGGTGGGTTGCAGGCCCACTCTTGGCCCCAGGAGGGCATGCCAGGTGGTGGGGGCTGGCCCAGGTAGGCCAAGGGGAGGCCCAGGCAGGAAGGGTGGCCCAGGCAGGCAGACCCACCAGGGGTCCCTGAAGGCCAGCCCTTGAGAAGGTGTCTAAGCCAGGGGGTGAGTGCCCAGGCCAGAGCCTAGCCCAGGGAGGCAGGGTTGGGTCCCGGTTGGGGGCTCTTGGAGCCTAGGGGCTGGCATCACTGGGGGCCTCCCCGAGCTGCTGCTGGAACTCCAGGCGTGTCTGCCGGTTGGACTCCAGCAGCTCCTGGAGGCGGGCGTGGAGGTGGTCATTCTTCTCCTCCAGGTGGTCCAGACAGGAGTTGATCTGGTCCAGCATGGAGTTGATGGCAGCGTATTCTGGGAGGAAGGCGAAAGACAGAGCCCAGATCCTGTGTCTCCTTGGGGCTAATGGACACCCTCCCTCCACTGTTTCCCAGCCTGCTTCCCAAAGGGCTTTGTGCAAGTCCCTACTGCTTCCTGAGCCTCAGTGTCACCGTCTGGAAAATGGGTGGAATACCAAAAGAGGAGTGGCTTTGAATGAATGACACTTTAGTACTGCATCCTTTTTTCTAGGGTTAGGGTGGTCATAGGGTGGCGAGCCAGTGTCCTACATGGGAAGTCCTGCCAGATGCCAAGTCTCTGCACTTCCTGCAGCAGCTGCTTAGTGGCCAGAGCCCACATTCCTGAGTTGGGCATTCAAGGCCTCTGTCCCCAGATGGGCCCTGTTCGCCAGCCCTTCTGTGGCTCCCTCAGGATAAAACACCCAGCGGAGTCTCCAGCCCCTGCCTCCTAGCTAGCCCTGCCTCCCTGCCTCTTCCTTTCCTCTCTCACACCTGCCTTTACCTACCTCAGGCCCTTTGAACATGCTGCTGTCTCTGCCTGGAAGGTGCTGGGTCCTCCCATCTTCCTTCCCTTCTCTCCTCCTGGATGAGTCCCACTCATCCTTCAAGTCTCAGTATGGATGTCACCACCGGGAGCCCACCCAATGCCCCAGACTGGATCAGGCCTCTATGCTGAGCCCCTAGCCCTCCTCAGCCCTCCACGACCTTCTCTCCAGGATTGACTGCTGTGCTTATCTGAGTGCTGTTATGTTTCCCCATGAAAGATGAACGGTCCTGTGTTCGCTGCTGGCTCCCTGGTGCCCTCACAGTTTTGCAATAAGCATTTGTTGAATGACTGAGTGAGTGAATGAATGAAGCCTCTGACTTTCCAGCCTCTCCGCCATTGCTCAACTATCCCTGCAACCTAGAATGCCTCAACCACAACAGCCCTTCAAGGACCAGCTCAAAATGCCTCCTCCAAGAAGCCTTCCCTGGTCTCCACTAGAAACCATCACTCCCTCCCCTCCACGGCCACTCCAGAGCTGCCCTGCTCAGCAACACAGTGTCCCTGAGGACTCAAGGTCTGGGCCTGTGCCCACTGCGGGACCCAGTTCTGAGCCAGCCCATGACTCACATACACTCAGCTGCCAGCTTGAGACCAAGGGGGAAGCAGCCGGTGGAGGAGCTGGAGGAGCGTATCTGGGTTATGGGTGCATATGTGCCTGTGTTCTAGGAAAGGGCACCCGTTGCCTAGAGCCAGCCACCCTCACAGACGACAGCGTCCTGGGAAATCGGCTGCATCTTAAAGTCCAACCCCCTCATGGTATATAGCTAGGGAAACCGAGGCCTCAGAAGGAAGGAACCTGCCCAGGGTCCTCCAGGTTGGTAACAGCCGAAACTCAGGATTGGACTTGGGGGTCAGGGTCACTTGGGTTTGAATTTCAGCTCTGCTTTACCCCAGCAAGTTGTACCTTTCTGGAAAAAAGGGAAAATAAAAAAGGTTGTGAGGATTCAAACACATCAAGAGTTCAGACAGTGGCCGGTGTGGTGGCTCACGCCTGTAATCCCAGTACTTTGGGAAGCCAAGGCGGGTGGATCACCTGAGGTCAGGAGTTCGAGACCAGCCTAGCCGACGTGGTGAAACATTGTCTCTACTAAAGATGTATAAAAATTAGCCAGGCGTGGTGGCAGGCGTCTGTAGTCCCAGCTACTCGGGAGGCTGAGGCATGAGAATCGCTTGAACCCAGAAGGCGGAGGTTGCAGTGAGCCAAGATCACGCCACTGTACTCCAGCCTGGGCAACAGAGCAAGACTCCGACTCAAAAAAAAAAAAAAAGCTCAGACAGGATCTGGCCACAGCAAGTACTTAGTGGATGGTCATTATTATCAATATTTCGAACTCTGTGTCCTGGGATACAGGCTAGGAGGAGGAATTGGGGAGGCAGGTGCCCCACACCCCTCCAGGCCAGGCTTTATCTGTGTCAAGGGTACTTCCCAGTTCCAAGCCTTTGCTTCTGCCTGGGACACCACCCTCCTCCCCACTGTTCTAAGTCCTGTCTGCCAACATCCACTTAATGTGACCTCCTGGGAAGCTCTTCCTGATGCTCCCAACAGCATTGCCCAATGCAGAGCTACCTGAAACTATTGTGATGGATGTACAACCCTGGGAATACACAAAAGCCTACTGAACTGTACAGTATGGGTAAGTTGTATAGCTCAATAAAGCTGTTACGCCAAACAAAACAAAGAGCATGCACCATACTTACACCACATTTACTAAATCCTCAGTGTATGTTAACATGCCAATCTTTACTATACCAAAGATAATAATGACGATAACCATTTACTGAACTCTTGCATGCTAGAACCTGCTAAGGATTTTCCTTTTTTTTGCATTTAATTCTGACACATCCCAGTGCAGCAGACACTAATCGTTATTCCTATTTTATAGAGGGGGAAACTGAGGCTGAAGAAGGTGAGAAGGGAGCCGATGGTTCTCTTCACACCCCACCCCTGCACTCGTAAGCACGCAAAAGGCTGCTCTGTAAGCTGCTGACATTTGGCAAGGCTGTGAGGCTACACCAGCAAAGCCGGGTGGCTGGGGATGCTGAATCGGCAGAGCGACGCCCCCGCGTCCCCAACTCCACGTCCCGGCCCGGCCCCTCCGCTAAGCTCAACCCTGCCTCCCTCAGGTGCCTCGGTCTCCCCCAGGACTGAAGGAAGTGGTGGAGCAAGGCCCACAAGGGCGAGTGTCCCCGAAGCTGCCTTAGTTTCCCCATCTGTAAAACGGGACTGGTGACCTGCAGCTCTCACGGGGCTGGGAACCGGCTCGCGGGTGCTCGCCCTGCATCCGAGACAGCACCTACAACTCCGGACCCGCTCGGGGCGGAATGGGTGGGCTCTTTGTTCCCTTCCGAGACCCCATCTCGATTCCCCTTCCCGGGAGGGCAGCCCTGAAAATGCAAGGTTGCTCCAGCAGCCCCCTCGGGTCACCTGCTTCCCCGAAGCCGTCCTCCTCGCCTTCCGCTCCCGCCTCCACCGGCATCCCCAGGTCTCCGTTGGGGCCCGACATTGCGGGCTCGGGCGCCCGAAGGGCCGCGCGACGATGGAACGCGGCGACCGTCGCGCCGAAAGCCGGCGCCGGATGGAAGGTGGAGGCGGCGGATAGAACACGGGCCGGAAGGGTAGAACGCGGCAGCAGATCTCCGCCCAGAGGCCGGTGCCCCGCCCCTGAAGCCGGAATCCCGCAGCTCCCGCTCCGCCCCGCCCCGCCCCCAGCCGGAACTCCGCCCCCGCCGCTGTTCTGGCCCCGCCCTACCTCCAGACTCCACCCCCACCACCGGACTCCCGCCTCCACCTCCCTCACAGTCGAACTCCGCCCATTCCGCCCCCGGCCTCGCCCCTCTCCCGGGCGCTGGGCGGGGCCACCACGGGGCTGCCCCTGGAAAAGCCCAGGAGTAGGGAGGTCCGGGAGGAGCGGCGGGAGACCGTCCAAGCCCATCTGCTGCTTCGGCCCCTCCGCGTTGGCGAAATCGAAAACGGGGTTTCCTTGTTATTTTTTGAGATAGGGCCTGGCCCTGTCTTCCAGGCTGGAATGCAGTGGGGTGATCTCTGCCTCCCAGCCTGAAGCGATCCTCCCACCTGAGCCTCCAGAGTAGCTGGGACTACAGACGGCTGCACCACGCTGGCTATTGTATTTTTTGGAGACGGGGGGGGGGGGGGGGGAGGGGTTTCGCCATGTTACCCAGGCTGCTCTCGAACTCCTGAGCTCGAGCCATCCACCCGCCTCAGCCTACCAAAATGCTGGGATTACAGGCACGAGCTACTGGGCCCAGCCTTGGAAACGGGGTTTCCACACCTCTTGTGGCTTCCGGATATACCTCTTGTGGCTTCCGGATATTCTTCTTCACAGCCTCGCTGAGAGTCACGAAGGGTCTCCTTCCTCTTTGCCTCTCTGCCTGCACCCCAGTGGAGAGGACCCAACACCCCTACCCCTGGATCTGGGCCTTCCTGGTCTTCAGCGCTTCTCTTAGGGCTCATTGGTTACAACCTGTGGGTGGGAATCAGGCTGGACTCCAGCTCTGGACAAGAGAAACAGGAACATTAGCTAGGCGGGGTGGCTCCCACCTGTAATCCCAGCGCTACGGGAGGCCGAGGTGGGAGGATTGCTTGAGCCTAGGAGTTGGAGACCAGCCTGGGAAACATAGTGAGACACCCTACTCCCACCCCCGCCCACTCAGCCCCCCCCACCCCCGTCTCTACAGAAAGCACAAAAAAAATTAGCCAGACCTGGTGGCATGCACCTTAGTTGCAGCTGTTTGGGAGGCTAAGGCAGGAGGATCACTTGGGCCCAGGAGTTCGAGGCTATAGTGAGCTATGACTGCACCACTGCACTACAGCCTGGGCAACAGAGTGAGACCCTGTCTTTAAAAAAAAAAAAATTAATTAATTAATTAAAAATAAAATGTTTAATTAGCCAGGTGTGGTGGTACACGCCTGTAGTCCCAGCTACTCAGGAGGCTGAGGCAGGAGAATCACTTGAACTGGGAGGCAGAAGTTGCAGTGAGCAGAGATCGTGCCCTTGCACTCCAGCCTAAGCAACAGAGCAAGACCCTGTCTCAAAAAAAAGAAAAAAAAAGGCCAGGCCTGGTGGCTCACGCCTGTAATCCCAGCACTTTGGGAGGCCGAGGCGGGCAGATCACGAGGTCAGGAGTTTGAGACCAGCCTGACCAACATGGTGAAAACCCGTCTCTACTAAAAATACAAAAATAAGCCGGGCGTGGTGGCGTGTGCCTGTAATCCCAGCTGCTCAGGAGGCTGAGGTGGGAGAATCACTTGAACCCACGAGGCAGAGGTTGCAGTGAGCTGAGACTGCACCACTGCACTCCAGCCTGGACAACAGAGCGAAAATCCGTCTCAAAAAATAAATAAATAAAAAGTTTGGCCTGGAGCAGACCTACCTTTGTTTGTTTGTTTGTTTTGAGACAGAGTCTTGCTCTGTTGCCCAGGCTGGAGTGCAGTGGCATGATCTCAGCTCACTGCAACCTCTCCTTCCCGGGTTCAAGCAATTCTTGTGCCTCGGCCTCCTGAGTAGCTGGGATTACATGTGCCTGCCACCACACCCAGCTAATTTTTTTTATTTTTAGTAGAGACGAGGTTTCACCATGTTGCCCTGGCTGGTCTCAAACTCCTGACTTCAGGTGATCCACCTGCCTTGGCTTCCCAAAATGCTGGGATTACAGGTGTGAGCCACCATGCCCGGCCTGGACCTACCTCTTTTTTTTTTTTTTTTTGAGACGGAGTCTTGCCCTGTCGCCAGGCTGGAGTGCAATGGCGCAATCTTGGCTCACTGCAACCTCCACATCCTGGGTTCAAGTGATTCTCCTGCCTCAGCCTCCTGAGTAGCTGGGACTACAGGCACACGCCACCACGCCCAGCTAATTTTTGTATTTTTAGTAGAGACGGGGTTTCACAATGTTTGTCAGAATGGTCTCGATCTCTTGACCTCGTGATCAGCCCACCTCGGCCTCCCAAAGTGCTGGGATTATAGGCATAAGCCACCGCGCCTGGTCCCTGGAGCTACCTTTTTAAGTTGAACTTTGAGAAGCCAAAGAGAAAAAAAGATTAAATAAAAATTTAATTTTTTTTTTTTTTTGAGACAGAGTCTCACTCTGTCACCCAGGCTGGAGTGCAGTGGTGCGACCTTGGCCCACTGCAACCTCTGCCTCCCGGGTTCAAGCAATTCTCCTGCCTCAGCCTCCCGAGTAGCTGGGATTACAGGTGTATGCCACCATGCCCGGCTAATTTTTGTATTTTTAGTTTCACCATATTGGCCAGGCTCGTCTCGAACTCCTGACCTCAGGTGATCCACCCGCCTTGGCCCCCCAGAGTGCTGGGATTACAAGTGTAAACCACCATTCCTGGCTAGATTTAATTTTTTAAAAAATAAAGAGAAGTAGGAATAGTTCATTTTAGGGAGAGCCCCTTAACTGGGACAGGGGCAGGACAGGGGTGAGGCTTCCCTTAGTTCAAGCTCACCTCAAACCCACCCAGGACTGTGTGTCACATTCTCCAATAAAGGAAAGGTTTGCTGCCCCCGCCTGTGAGTGCTGCAGTGGAGGGTAGAGGGCCGTGGGCAGAGTGCTTCATGGACTGCTCATCAAGAAAGGCTTCATGACAATCGGCCCAGCTGCTGTCATCCCACATTCTACTTCCAGCTAGGAGAAGGCGGCTTGCCCACAGTCACCCAGCCGGCAAGTGTCACCCCTGGGTTGGACCCAGAGCTATGATCCTGCCCAGGGGTCCAGCTGAGAATCAGGCCCACGTTCTAGGCAGAGGGGCTCACCTACTGGGACTCCAGTAGCTGTAGTGCATGGAGGCATCATGGCTGCAGCAGCCTGGACCTGGTCTCACACTGGCTGTCCCTGTGGGCAGGCCATCCTCAATGCCAGGTCAGGCCCAAGCATGTATCCCAGACAATGACAATGGGGTGGAATCCTCTCTTGTCCCAGAAGCCACCCTCACTGTTCTACCTGAGGAAGGCAGGGGCATGGTGGAATCTGAAGCCTGCTGTGAGGGTCTCCAGCGACTTGCACATGGTCAGCCCTGCCTTCTCCTCCCTGAACTAGATTGAGCGAGAGCAAGAAGGACATTGAACCAGCACCCAAAGAATTTTGGGGAACGGCCTCTCATCCAGGTCAGGCTCACCTCCTTTTTAAAATTTAATTAATTAATTAATTAATTTTTTTTTAGAGACAGAGTCTTACTGTGTGGCCCAGGCTGTAGTGCAGTGGCACAATCATAGTTCACTGCAGCCTCAAACTCCCCACCTCAGCCTCTGGATTAGCTGAGACTACAGGTGCACCACCACCACACCCAGCTAATATTTTTATTTTTGTAGAGAGAGGGTTTCACCATCTTGCCCAGGCTGGTCTCAAACTCCTGGGCTCAAGTGATCCTCCCACCTCAGCCTCCAGATTAGCTGAGATTACAGGCATACCACCACCACGCCTGGCTAATATTTTCAATTTTGTAGAGACAGAGTTTCACCATCTTGCCCAGGCTGGTCTCAAACTCCTGGACTCAAGTGATCTTCCCACCTCAGCCTCCCCACGTGCTCAGATTACAGATGTGAGCCATGGTGCCCAGCCTAGCCTGCCCTCCTTGGCTGAGAGTGAGGCCCTCAGCAGAGAAAGAGATTTGCTGATGCTCCACTGCCTTTGAAGGAGGAAGGAGCCACAGGCTAAGGGGTGCAAGGAAGATAGCATGAGAAGCTGGGAAGGGCAGGGAGCAGCTTCCCTGAGAGCCTCTGGAGGAAGCACAGCTCTGTGGACCCTCATTTCTGCCCAGTCAAACTGATTTCAAACTTCTGACCTCCAGAATATATAGGTGTTGTTTTAAACCCACAGTTTGTGGTGATTTATGATAGTGACACAGGATTTTTCTTGGTCATTCTGCCGGCCGGAGACCCCCAGCCAGTGACACCCCTGTCCAGGAAGATGTCAGCCCTGTTACCTGCTCTGGCCTGTGGCTCCAGAGCTGGCTCAACCCTAGCACTGTTACAGCTTTCTTTGTACCCTCACTTGGTGGGTCTCAAGCTCTTGTCCGGAGTCCAAGAAGAATGAGGATACGCTGACAATCAAAGGGTGAGGAGGACAGAGAATAATTTTGTTGAGTGATGGAACAACTCTCAGCAAAGAGGGGATGTGAGAGTGGTCCCGCACCCCAAGTTGGGCAGTCTCTCCCTCAGTGTGGCTGGGTCTAGGGCTTTTCTGGACTCAGAATGGGGAGTGCATGCTGATTGGCTTGTGAGTATGCAAAACGAAGGCTAAAACAAAGGCACCACTCAAAGGTGGGCATGACAGTGTAAAAAACCAATTAGGCACTTTGGGAGGCCAAGGGGGGGGCAGATCACAAGGTCAGGAGTTCGAGACCAGCCTGGCCAACATGGTGAAACCCCGTCTCTACTAAAAATACAAAAAAAAAATTAGCTAGGCATGGTGATGGGCACCTGTAATTACAGCTACTTGGGAGGCTGAGGCAGGAGAATCTCTTGAACCTGGGAAGTGGAGGTTGCAATGAGCCAAGATCATGCTACTTCACTCCAGCCCGGGTGACAGTGCAAGACTCCATGTCAAAATAAAACAAACAAACAAAAAAAAACACAATTAGGGATGGGGAGGTATATGTAAAATAGGAGAAGGGTGGGGATCAATCAGAGGAAAGCGTGCCAAATGGATGACAGGGTCTTAATCTGGTCCATGGATTTGAGTTGTAGCGTTGCTTTCAGGCTTTAAACTGTCTTTGGCTTGGAGGTGGGGTTTCACTGGGGACTTGCCCCTATCTGCCAAGATATTTGTCTGTCTCCTCCTGCCACTTATTTTTTTTTTTTTTTTTTTTTTTTGAGACGGAGTCTCGCTCGCTCTGTTGCCCAGGCTGGAGTGCAGTGGCGCAGTCTCAGCTCACTGCAACCTCTGCCTCCAGGGTTCAAGTGATTCTCCTGCCTCAGCCTCCTGAGCAGCTGGGACTACAGGCGCACGCTGCGACGCTCAGCAATTTTTTTTGTATTTTTAGTAGAGACAGGGTTTCACCATGTTGGCCAGGCTGGTCTCGATATCCTGACCTGGTGATCCGCCCGCCTCGGCTTCCCAAAGTGCTGGGATTACAGGTGTGAACCACTGCGGCTGGCCATCCTGCCTCTTTCAATAGTGGCAATAGGAAACTCAAACCTATGGCGACCTGGAAGGAAACACAAAGCCCTTCTAGGCCCTAAGGGTTTGATCCTCAAAGGCTCAGCAGGCCCAGGGGGTGACAGGAAGCTGCCTTGCTTGGGCCAAGCTAGGAAACTAGATCTGCTGCCCCACTTGGAGCCCAAGGGCCAGGCGTGCTGGGTGCACTTTCCACCCCCTTGGCCAGCTAGCAGTCCCTGGGTGACTTTCTCAGCCTGAGCCTCTCTGGGCTTGGGAACAGTCCCATCCCTCTCTCAAAGCTGGGGCTGCACCAAGCTGGCCTCTTCCGGGAGTCTGGACCAGACTTCCGAGGCTTTGGCAGCATTTGGTGGGCCTGGGTCTCAGGCCTGTCCTGCTCCTTGGGGTCCGAGGCTGGGGCTGGTTCACAGTGCCAGCATCTCTCCTTAGCCCAGCCGAGGGTGAACGAGGGTTAGGGTTAGGGTTAACCCTAACCCTAACCCTAACCCTAACCCTAACCCTAGCCGAGGGTGAACGGGGTGGTGTGTCTGTCCATGGGGTTTCCTCAGAACCCCACCCACTCTGGCCTCTGAACTTGCACGGGGAGAAGGGGCTGGGGAGGGAGTGCCTGTGCATGATGCGGACCTGGAGAGGTTGCCTCTGCGGCCAGTGGGGGACCAGGGGCTTGTCAGGCCTGACACAGGCAGCCAAGTGATAAGTGCAGGCCTGGAGCCCTCTGAGTCCTGGGGAATTGGATTCTTGGCGGCACAGCCCCTCCTCACTTCCCCCTGGCCCTGCCCCTGGCTTCAGAATGCACCCCCAAGGTGGCCTGGATGTCATCAGGCGGGGAGGTGTGGGGTAAGGGGCAGCACGCTCTGAAACGGGGTTAGCATGGACATGGCCCCTCACCCACGGGGCCCACAGTGGGCTGGCAGAGGGGCAGGGGACCATCCCCGCCGAGCCGACCCTCTGCCTGGAACAGCCTCCAGCTGTGCATGCCCCTGTCGCACTCTGATGGGGTGTGGCCCACCGTGTCTGCGATGGACTGGGCACCCTCCTAGGCAGGGGAATGTGAGAACTGCCGCTGCTCTGGGGCTGGGCGCCATGTCACAGCAGGAGGGAGGACGGTGTTACACCACGTGGGAAGGACTCAGGGTGGTCAGCCACAAAGCTGCTGGTGATGACCAGGGGCTTGTGTCTTCACTCTGCAGCCCTAACACCCAGGCTGGGTTCGCTAGGCTCCATCCTGGGGGTGCAGACCCTGAGAGTGATGCCAGTGGGAGCCTCCCGCCCCTCCCCTTCCTCGAAGGCCCAGGGGTCAAACAGTGTAGACTCAGAGGCCTGAGGGCACATGTTTATTTAGCAGACAAGGTGGGGCTCCATCAGCGGGGTGGCCTGGGGAGCAGCTGCATGGGTGGCACTGTGGGGAGGGTCTCCCAGCTCCCTCAATGGTGTTCGGGCTGGTGCGGCAGCTGGCGGCACCCTGGACAGAGGTGGATATGAGGGTGATGGGTGGGGAAATGGGAGGCACCCGAGATGGGGACAGCAGAATAAAGACAGCAGCAGTGCTGGGGGGCAGGGGGATGAGCAAAGGCAGGCCCAAGACCCCCAGCCCACTGCACCCTGGCCTCCCACAAGCCCCCTCGCAGCCGCCCAGCCACACTCACTGTGCACTCAGCCGTCGATACACTGGTCTGTTAGGGAGAAAGTCCGTCAGAACAGGCAGCTGTGTGTGTGTGTGCGTGTATGAGTGTGTGTGTGTGATCCCTGACTGCCAGGTCCTCTGCACTGCCCCTGGGCAGCCCCTGCCCCACCTGGCCCAGCTGCAGAAGATATGGGGGTTCCTTTCAGAGATGGGGCAACAGAGGGGTGGATGGCAGGGCAGGGGATGTGGGAGAAAGGCCTGGGGAGGGGCTGCCCTGAGTGAGGCCCAGCTCCCAGGCTCCTCGGGCACCCAGGTCTCCTGCCTGTTTACCAGTCCAGGCAGTCTCTCAGCCTGGGGGAGGCCAGTGGCTCTCTGAATGGCCTGGCTGGAGCCTCCTGCCCAAGCCAGGCTCCCTGGAGTCAAGGACAGCTCCCAAGTCAGTGGTGAGCAAGTCCCCAGGGGAGAGAGGACAGCCAGGACAGCAAAACCCAGGGTGACGAGGCCTGGGAGGGTCGGGGGAGATGGCCCAGAACAAGGGGGCCTGGGAGGGTGGCCAGAGGTGTCAGGCCAGTGAGACTGAGAAATGGATACTCAGGCCTGGGCCTGAAATCCTTGTCTGGGCAGACCCGGGCTAAACTGCCAGGAAAGAGCACTTGCGGCCTGGGTCCCTGGGAGTCCCATAGACCCTGGGGTGGGGCACAGTCTTCCTGGGCCCAGAGTGGCTTCCAAGGAGCTCCTGGACCATCCACTGCTCCAGTGACTGAAGCTGAGGACGGAGTCCCTCCTCTCCCTGATCCCTGGTAGGGAAGCATCCTGCCTGAACAGTCCCCATGTCCCCGTCCCCTCATCCAGACTGGCCATTACCGATTGGGACAGGGAAGACGATGTGGTTTTCAGGGAGGCCCAGAGATTTGGAGAAGCGGATGAAGTTCTCCTTTAGTTCCGAAGTCAGCTCCTTGGTTCTCCCTGTGACCAAGATGGCCAGTGAGTGGCTGGCAGACACCACATAAATATCGTTGAATGAGTAGATGAGGCCTCAGATCCCTTCCTCATGGGGGACCGGCCTCCCCTCCCACTAAGTGTGATCAGGAGCCAGTCCCCGAGGGGATGGGAGAGGACCCACCGTAGAGGGTGATCTTGAAGTACTCCCTGTTTTGAGAAACTTTCTTGAAGAACACCATAGCATGCTGGTTGTAGTTGGTGCTCACCACTCGGACGAGGTAACTCGTTAATCCAGGGTAACCTGCAGGCGTGGACGGTGAGGGGTCAGCCCTGCCCTGGATGGGAGGAGGGAGCTGTCCCCTCCCTCCCCAGCCCATCAACGTGGGCTTCTCCCCATACAACACATCTGTGTGGAGGGGCAGGAAGGTCTGTGCCCCTACCCAGCTCCCCGGAGCCCCAACTCAGTGCCCCACCTCACTCAAGACTCACTCTTAATGTTGCCCAGCGTGAACTCGCCGGGCTGGCAACCTGGAACAAAAGTCCTGATCCAGTAGTCACACTTCTTTTTCCTTGGGAGGGAGAGATGGGTGGGTGAGAGGGGAGACAACCCAGGCTTGGGCCTCCTGTGCTGGACAAGGTGGGGCCAGGGCAGCAGCAGGGTTCTGTTGCTCTCAGTCCGGCCCAACCCGTGACAGCTCATCCCCCACTACCTGGAGGGGCCCTACCCCACCCAGCCGAGATGGGCCTGGGCCTTCTCCCTGAGCTGACACCAGGCTGTCCCTCCTGGCCTGCCTGGGGCCCCTGGACCCCACTCAGACCCTCCAGCACCCGATGTCCTTCTTTCCTTTGGCTGCCTCCCTGGGTGGCTTTCACCCCCCCCGCCACCCAACACACAGAAACCCTGCATTTCTCCCCTGCACTCAGCTTGCTGCTTCCCTTCCTATACCCTCTCCCGGGGATCCACCTCGGTACTTCCAGTCTGCTCCATGCCAGCCGTTCCCCTAGCTCTCGGGTCAAACCTGACCCCATCCTTGAGTCCTCCCACTTCCCATCCCCTGGCACCCCAGGGCTGAGCTCCCCAACCTGTCTGTATTCTGCTCCTTGCTCCACAAATGCCCCAATCCCAATCCACTCAGCTGCCAGAGTCAGAAACCCACTGGGGGCGGCTGATCCCTGGCTCCCTGCCTCTTCACCCTGCGCCTGTTCTCTCACACCTGTGACGGCCCCGCTTCACTTTCGCTGGTCTCCCGACCCCCTAGGCTGCACCCCACCAAGTCTCCCCACCCTGCGGCCCAAGAGCCCTGCTCTAAGCCACTCCGCAGCAGATCCGCTGGGGCGGGGCCTGAGGACCGTGCTAGGTGCTAGCGTGGCCACCTGCCCCTCCAGGCTGCTCAGCAGCTCTGCTCAGGGTGACCCTGCGATGGCTTGCTCCTTCCTGAAGGGGGGGCTCTCTCTGACTCCAGCCCCTGCCGGGAACACCCCACATTTCCTTTTGAAGCAGGTTGGCTCTTTTAAGGCCACCTCCCTGGAAGCCTTCCATGAAGGCACTGGGTGGGGTTCCAGGCTGGATCCAGTGTCCCCTCCTCCCGCTCCCAGGCACCCCTCCTCTCTCCGTCTTGTTTTCTAACGACTGTGCATGTCCATCCCCACCACTGTCTGTGTGTCTGCATGGAAATGTGCTATAAACGTTGCTCTAAGGAACAGAGGAAGGATGAACACAGATGAATTCCGGGCAGAACAGCGAGGTGAACGACAGGATCCCTCAGCTTTGGCCATCCCTTGCCTGTGACGTCAGTCTGACTCTCACACCCCCAGGAGATGTCGGCCCTCACCTAAACAGGACGGAGGTGACATTGTAGCTCTTGTCTTCTTTCAGCTCATAGATGGTGGCATACATCTTTTGCGGGTCTTTGTCTTCTCTGAGAATTGCATTCCCTGCCAGGCCTACCACATACCACTTCCCCTGGAACTGCAAGGGACTGATAAGAGGCACAACCCAGGAATGGCCCTAGGAGCCACCCCTCCAGCTCTGTCCCTGTGGCACCTCTGGGCCGCCCAGCTTGGAACCATGAGCCCCTCTAGCTGGGCAGCAGGGCCCAGGCTGGGCCTGCACTGGTGAAGGGGCAGGAGCAGGAGGCCATCAGTCCAGAAGGGAGTCCTGGGGGAAGAGGCGGTTCTGAGTCTGGCAGGGAGGAGGGTGACCTCCTCACTGGAGGAGGCATGTGGCTGGTGGGCCTTCCTGAGCCTCAGTTTCCTCATCTGTGCAGGGGGACTAAAAGTGCTCCCACCTTCTTTGGACAATGGGGGTTATGGGAGAGGGGATGTGGACCTGGGGGAGTCTGTTCAGGCTGAGAGGGGGTGGGGATGGGGGGAAGGGGCATGGTTTCCACCAGGGGACCCTGGTGGCACAGAGTGAGCTGAAACCTGGACCCTGGACTCCTAGAGTCCTGCCCAACGCTCTTCCTGAGTCTCTTCACCTCTCCTCCCCTCTGCTCCCACTCTTCCCCAGGCCCTGCCTGCAGGTGCCCCTCTTGGCCCCTTACTTGGTTGTCCTGGAAGTTCTGCTGCAGAGGGACCTTGCTCAGAGGTGGGGCTGGGATCAGGTCTGAGGTGGAGTCCTGGGCCTGGGCATGCAGAGCCCCCAACAGGGCTAGGCCCAGCCACAGGAGACCTAGGGGCATGATTTCAGGGCCGAGGAAGCAGGCGCTGTGGTGGCTGCTGGGCCTGGCAGGGGTGGAAGAGGAGGTGGCGAGTGAGAGGCTCACCTGGGTGGCCCTATTTATGGGATCTAGGGTGGGTTGATTCATTCTTTGCCAAGGCCAGGAATGTGAGGCAATTGCCAGCAACTCCTGCGGAAACACTTGGCAAGATTTCTGCACCTGGTCAGGATTGGGCAAGACAGAGGGACGGGGAGAGTGAGGGACATTCCCGGAGTGCTGCACCTCTGGCAGGGACAACGACTCCCTCTGTGCCTTCCTTGTGCTGTTTCTTTCTTCTGATTGCCCTGTATGTGGGCCGGTGGCCTGTGAGCCGGAAGAGCTGTCATCTCTGACCCCCCTGCTCAGCTGGATCCCAGGGTGGGGTATGTGCCCTGTGGTCCCCTCCCCACACCCACAGAAAGGAAAGAATGAATGCCTCCTTCCAACAGATCATGTGCTGTTTCCTGGTTCTTTTAAGGGTCAGGGAAGGGTGGGGTGGCTGACAGTGGACAAGGAAAAACAAGGCGTCTGCTCTGAACTCATGGAGCCCAGAATCATGGCCCTCCCAGGAGCCCCAGTCCAGGACCTGCATGTGCTCCAGGGGCCTTGAGACAGCCCCTTGCCCCTCTCCTTGCCCCATTTGCAGGAGGGGACCCCAGTGGACCCCTGAGGGACCCTTCCTCTCCTGTGAGTGCAGTGGGAAGAGACCCCACACAGGGCACATGGGTTGAGTGCTGAGGCTACAGTCCCTGTCCTGGGTGAGTTGGGCTGATGTGTGGGGGCGTGAAGGCGCCACACTGCTGCTCTGGACACCTGTTGCTTTGGGTCACTGACAGTGCAAGGATCTGGCCTTATCCTTGAGGTCACTGAGACCATCCCCCTGACTCTAGTCACAGCCTTTTTCCATTGAACCCAGCAGCCCAGGCCAGGGGTTCTGGAACTGTCACCGAGATGGCTGGTCCCAGCCTTGTCCAGCAGGGAAGCAGTTATCTCAACGGGGGCCTGGCTGGCATCCTCGGGAGGCAGCGATGGATCGTAGGCCCTGTGCAGTGTCCGCAGAGATGGCTCACCCATGAGGGCTGAGGCCGTCCTGGATGCCTGACCTGAGGCTGGACTGAGGGTTCGCTGGTTTTAGAGCTTTCAATGGGACTAACGGGGACCTCACTGGCTCTGCCTACGTGCTGCTTGGGATCCCCAATCTGGGCTTGGGGGCAGCAGGGCCTCAGGGAAGGGGCTCTGGGAGTCCTGAGCTGGGGTTAGTCTAGAGAGGCACCCACTGGATCCCTGCCCCCTCAGGCCCTGTCCTGCCTGCCCGATTGGATGATGAAAGGGCAGGAAGCAAAGATGAGTAAAACTGCAGGGGAACGATGTTGCACCAAAGCCTTCCCTTTCTAGAGGTAGCCAGTGGCTACTCGCTCCCTCCGAACCCCCTCTTCCCCTCATGACCCTGTTCCCAGGAACTCCACCTCTGCTACTGTCTTTGACCTTAAAAAGTATCCTCTGCCAGGCCGGGTGCGGTGGCTCACATCTGTAATCCCAGCATTTGGGAGGCTGAGGCGGGTGGATCACGAGGTCAGGAGTTCGAGACCAGTCTGGCCAACACGGTGAAACCCCATCTCTACTAAAAATACAAAAATTAGCAGGGCATGGTGGCAGGCGCCTGTAATCCCAGCTACTCGGGAGGCTGAGGCAGAAGAACAGCTTGAACCTGGGAGGCGGAGGTTGCAGTGAGCCGAGATCACGCCTTTGCACTTTAGCCTGGAACAGAGCGATATTCTGTCTTAAAAAAAAAAAAAAAAAGGTATCCTCGGCTGGGCGCAGTGGCTCTCGCCTGTAACTCCAGCACTTTGGGAGACTGAGGCGGGTGGATAACCTGAGGTCAGGTGTTCAAGACCAGCCTGACCAACATGGTGAAACCCTGTCTCTAGTAAAAATACAAAGATTAGTTGGGCATGGTGGCGCATGCCTGTAATCCCAACTACTCGGGAAGCTGAGGCAGAAGAATTGCTTGAACCTGGGAGGCGGAGGTTGCAGTGAGCCAAGGTTGCGCCATTGCACTCCAGCCTGGGCGACAGAGGGAGACTCCATCTCGGGGAAAAAAAAAATGTATCCTCAGGGACTAGCCTGGCCAATATGGCAAAACCCCGTCTCTACTAAAAATACAAAAATTAGCCAGGTGGGGTGATGCATGCCTATGATCCCAACTACTCAGGAGGCTGAGGCAGGAGAATGGCTTGAACCCGGGAGGCGGAGGCTGCAGTGAGCCAAGATCGCACCACTGCACTCCAGCCTGGGAGACAGAGTGAGACCCTGTCTGAAAAAAGAAAAAAAAAACCACGTATCCTCGGGGAGGCTGAGGTGGGAGGATCACTTGGGCCCAGGAAGCCGAGGCTGCAGTGAGCTATGATTGTGCCACTGCACTCCAGCCTGGATGATAGAGTGACCTAAATCTAAAAAGTACCCTCTAGTCTACGGTGACTGCTTCACGTAGCTGAGACCAGCGGGTGGAGCCCCAGAGAATTTGAAGTTGGGGGTGAGGCAGTGTCATGGATCTCTGAGGACCCAGGACTCCAGGGTATGAATGTGGTGGGTGAGCAGGGCACTGGGTCCACAGTGGGAAGACACCAGAGCCAGGTGCAGAAGGGGAGATAGTCCCGCTTGGGGGTCCCCCAGGCTGGCTTGAAGCCTGGCTCCTCCGCATGCATGCAGATCTCTGCCTAGCTCCCACACAAATCAGGCGCTCCTCTGTAGAGAGGGCAGCTCTGCGCTTCTGTGAGGTCATGCATGGACAGCACCGGGCCCCAGGGTGTCCCTACACAAGGCTGAGTTTCTGATCAAACCCATGCAGGGCTCATTCCTCTCTCTGCACCAGCTCCAGACCTGTCTCCTACCCACTGGCCTTGGCTCTCTTCAGAGTCTAGCAGGGCTGCAGGGAGGGGGTCAGCTCTACATAGACCCACCACACAAGCTTCAGGACTCAGCACTAGGAAGGTTGGGTAAGGACTGTGGTGTAGACCTCCCATTCAGACTTGACCGACTCCAAGGGCTCCAGGGTCAACAGGACACTGGGGCCCCATTCCTCACCCACCCCCTTTCCACTGGGCCCCATTCATTGGGCCCTAGCCAATGAGGGTACACAAGTGTTCACACTGCTCAGCGCTTGGGGGAGTCCCTGGACCCCGGGGCTCTTGGGACAATCTCCACGACACGTGTGGCACTGTGCATGGCATGACAGGCACCCACCTGCCTCCCCTCGGCCCCTCCTATGGTTTCCACCGTGGCCCCTGGACTGGGCCTGCTTTCTCTCAAGGAGCTGCAGGTGCCTCTAGTGAGCCCTCAACGAGCCACACAGAAGCAATGGGGCCAAGCCCCTCCTGAGAGGAGCTGGGCTGGGCTCCCAAGTCCTGCTGTGCAGGTCGGCTTAGCAACAGCAGGAGCTTAAAGACAGGTCCCTGCCTGGGTTTTCCGTGGCCAGAGACCAGAAGTACTCCGGCTGCTCCCGACCTCCCCTCGCAGTCTCTGGCAGGCAGCTGTCCCCACTCTCCACGCCCAAGAGTGGGTGCTCCCTGGAGACTGCAGCAGCCTGTCCTCCCATGGAGAGGCCCAGGTCTCATCCATGCATGAAGGCAGCAAGATGCTTCCTGGCGGTCCTTACATCTCAGGAATCCAGTCTGACTCCCCATTCTGGTTTCCGGATCTTGTGAGTAGTGTTCAGCGTGGCCATGAATGGTTAACCCTCTGACGTGTTTGAAGGCTGGGCAGGAGGTGACTGGCTAGGCTTCTAGGAGCCAGGTACCACACCTGGAAGGAGTCTACAGTCAAGATGCCCCCAGGAGGCCCAGTCACAGATGCAGGAAGTCTTGGTGTCTGCAGATCAGCTCTCCTTGGTCACGGCAGGTCCGGGCTGGGCACCCGACTCTCAAACACCCAGGAACGGGAGGGGCTGTTTAGTGTGAGGAGCTTGCCCTGCCAGGGTCTTGGGCTGAGTCTCCTGTTTCCAGAAACAGTTTTCCAACCCCCATCCTCTCTCATGCCAAGGCTCGCCAAGGGGCCTTGAGGTCCTCCTGCCCCTTCTACCTGACAGGGACCCTGCCCGCCTGTGAAAATCCCCTCCCAACCCTCCCCCAAGTACACCCACTGGATTCCTCCCTCTGGTGAACCCCTGGGGTCCACCAGACAGGGGGAAGCGGGCCCTGCTGCTTGAGGTCTAGGCCCAGGGCCCTTGCTGGTTCCATCCCTTGGTGCCTGGCCCAGGCATGCTGCTTAGATGGGTGCTCTGCCTTTTACTCCAGAGCCTGGACTCCTATGCGGGCAAGAGGGCCCACAATGATCATAGGTGGCAGCGGAGTGGACGTCAAGGCTCTGAGCAGGGTCTAGGGTGGACACAGGCAGCGGCAGGCAGTGGTGGATGCCAGGCTCCCATGGAGCTGGGCCGCAGTCCCTCTGTCATAGGCCTCTGTCCCACATGGTCCTGGTGCTGCTCAAAACCAATGCTCCTCCCAGCTCTGCACCCCTCCTGCCCGGACTGCAGCCCCCAGCACCCCAGGAAAGGGGCATCTCCACTGCGGCCACCCCTGCGTTACCCCACATGCTCCCGTGCTCCCTGCTCTCCAGGTCCTTGGCTGGGCCTCCGCTGGCACCATCAGAGGTGGCTGGGTGAGAGGACCGGTCTGGCTCTCCTGAAAGCTGGTTCTCCCGAGAGCCCAGGACAGTCCAGGAGCGTGCCCAGCCCAGGGGGCAGGGTAATAGGTTCCGGAAGGGTCAAATGAGACCAAATGTCCCTGAAGACATCCCTGGCTTCAGAACCACAACACACAGCCTCCTGCCTGGAGCCCCTCTGGTGCCCTGCGGGGGCTGAGGATGGAACAGGCTGCAGCCTCTATGCCCTCCACTTCATCCCAGTGGTGGATGGACATCGCAGACCCAGCCCCCACTCCTCCTTGGCAGCACGTGTTTATTTCAGCTGAGGGGGTGGGTTCCATGGCTGAGCCTCCCTCTTTGGGGGAGGGGGACATGAACAAGGCTGTGACAGGCAGCGAGGACCAGATCTCGCTCCAAAGGGAAAGCGTGTCCACCTTCAAAAGGAGGGGACAACTTGGACCAGTGCAGAGTTGGGTGAGGGGAAGGGAGGGCAGTGCCAGCGGCAGAGCAGCAGGAGATGCCGAGAACACCCAGAGACCTTGGCCTTCACCTGGCCACTGTCCTTCTCAGCCCGATTCTCAGAGGGCCCAGGTCAGAGGTCTGAGGGGGAAGTGTGAGTTTCTGGGTACAAAGTTTGGTGGCCCAGACCTTGGGCCGGAGGGAGGACCACTCCCTGCCCTGTCCTGTGACTCTCAGAATCACCTGTCAGGAGGGGGAGCCCTCTGCATTGCCATGATGGGCAGGCCCAAGGCTGCAGGGCACAGGTCTGGGTGCCTCTCCCTGGGCCCAGACTCCCTCAGGCCTTGGGTGGGCACTGGCCTCTCCCAGGTCACTGCAGTCCCAAGCGCCCCTCCCTGGGAGCTCAGCCTGGATCTGCCCCAACTGAAGCGTCTCGTGGTTCTCCAGGTTCTGCCTACAATCCGAGGTCCCCCTGTCCTGGGCCACCTCCCCACACCACTGGGTCCCACCTCTTCCTGACACTCTTGGGTCCCCTGTCCTGAACTACCTCCTCCCACACTGCTGGGTTCCCTTGATTCAGGTCCCTTCCTTCCCATACCTCCGGGGCCCCTGGCTTGGCCACCTCTTCCCCACATCCGCAGGCCACACCCTTGGCTTTCTCTCAAGAGTTCACTTTCTTAACAGTGAATTTCCTATTGTTAGCATCTTCTGCAATCTAGAGAAGCTGAGAATTTCCCAAATCATCAAATTACTACAGCAAATTACCACAAAGTTGCAGTGAGCTGTTATCACACCACTGCACTCCAGCCTCAGTGACAGAGCGAGACCCTATCTCAAACAAACAAACAAACAAACAACATCCAAAAGGAATGAGAAAATTCTTGCCCTTCAGGAGAGGAAAAACATCTGGGCCACACCACCACCACCAACAACAAAAAATAGCTTATGTGTCATTTGCCTTTGAGTAATATACATACGTCATTCATTCACCTTAAAAATCAGGCATTAGGTACTGTAACAAATGTGCACCAAGAAAAGAACAGGCATTAGGATGTTAACCATTATGAAATTAAAAAAAATAATAAAGAATAAGATCCTTAATCATTTGCAAATACTTTTTTTTTTTTTTTTTTTTTGAGACGGAGTCTCGCTGTTAGCTAGGCTGCAATGGCGCGATCTTGCCTCACTGCAATCTCCGCTTCCTGGTTCAAGCGATTCTCCCACCTCAGCCTCCCGAGTAGCTGGGACTACAGGTGTGTGCCACCATGCTTGGCTAATTTTTGTATTTTTAGTAGAGATGCACTTTCACCATGTTGGCCAAGCTGGTCTCGAACTCCTGGCCTCAAGTGATCTGCCCACCTCAGCCTCCCAAACAAAGTGCTGGGATTACAGGTATGAGCCACCATGCCCAGCCTTTGAAACCTTTTTCTACATAAAGTTACATTTACATTATTCATTTACATGGATATATTTTGGGGGCCATTTTGCAGCCAGCATAGTCTCCTTGACCCCATAGACCCCTTCTCCCCACACCCCAGATTCCTCTTGTCCTGGGCCACCTGCACTACAGACCTCTTCACAAAGGGACTTGGACTCTTCTCAGGAGGGGACCCGGGTCATGGGCAGCCCCGCCTGTGTAGACAGCTGCAGCTGGGCTGCTCAGAGAGCCCCCAGCCCAGGGCTGAAGAGCTTCAGGGCTCAGCTGTGTCCCAGGCAGGTGCTGGGGCTGGGGGGTGGGAGCCTGGCCCTTCTCCCTCCCACTGTCTCCTTCTCTTCTTTTTTTTTTTTTTTTTTTTTTGAGACTGAGTCTAGCTGTGTTGCCCAGGCTGGAGTGCAATGGCGTGACCTCAGCTCACTGCAACGTCCGCCCAGATTCAAGCAATTCTCGTGCCTCAGCCTTCCTGAGTAGGTGGGATTACAGGTGCATTCCACCACGCCCGGCTAATTTTTGTGTTTTTGGAAGAGCTGGGCATTGTACCATGTTGGCCAGGCTGGTCTCCAACTCCTGACCTCAAGTGATCCTCCTTCCTCCACCTCCCAAAGTGCTGGGATTATAGGCATGAGCCACCGTGCACAGCCTGTCTCCTCCTCTTCCTGCCTCCCCACACCCTGCCTCATCCCCTTCCTGTGTAGCTCAGGGTACATACAGGCACCGAAGTGCACATCCAATGTGTCCCCGCCTACTAAATGTGCTGTGAGCATTACAAGCCACCCAGAGGGCCTTGCCTCCTAAGCAAAGGCCTCAAAGGTCCTTCCTTCCTGACCTGAGTCTCTCTCCTTCTAACTAATTATCCTCACTAGGAGCAGGCACTAGGAGAGAGCCGCTTCTCTGCCTCCTGCCCAAAGAGGGCCATTTCAGAGAACCACAGTAGAGGAGGAGCTGACTGCCAGCCTTGGAGCTTGTGGACTGGGGTCCAACTATTGCCAAGAAAAGTCTAAAGGTGAGGGATGGGCTGGATCTGCTCTTGCTGGTCAGTGGAGAGGAGGCTGCCCAAGGTCTACCACTCCCCAAGGGCAGGCAGGGGTGTCTGGTCTTCCTGTGGCCCAAGCGAACCTTGGGGAAGATCCATTCAAAAGCAATCCTGGCTGAACAGGAGTCTGGAAACTTTGAAGACCTCCTTCTACCAGACAACAGGATCCAGTAAGAAACAGACTCTGAGGCCGGGCATGGTGGCTCATGCTTGTAATCCCAACACTTTGGGAGGCTGAGGCAGGCGGATCACCTGAGGTCAGAAGTTCCAAGACCAGCATGGCCAACATGGTGAAACCCCATCTCTACTAAAAATACAAAAATTGGCTGGGTGTCATGGTGCACACCTGTAATCCTAGCTACTCAGGAGGCTGAGGCAAGAGAATCACTTGAACTCGGGAGGCGGAGGTTGCCGTGAGCCAAGATCGTGCCACTGCACTCCAGCCTGGGTGACACAGCAAGACCCTGTCTCAAAAAATCATAAAATAAAATATGTTTAAAAAGAAGGAAAGAAAGAAAACAATCAGGAGAAGAAATCAAGAAGAGAGAAAGATCTTCCTATTTTATGGGACTATCGAAGCCAAAAGTTGACTCTTGGAAAAGACTAATCGAATAGAAATTTGGAGAAATTTCTCATGACAAAAAGATATAAGACACAAATAAACAACCATAGAAATAAAAAAGGAGGCCGGACGCCATGGCTGACTCCTGTAATCCCAGCACTTTGGGAGGCCGAGGTGGGTGGATCACAGGGTCAGGAGATCGAGACCATCCTGGCTAACACGGTGAAACCCCGTCTCTACTAAAAATACAAAAAATCAGCTGGGCGTGGTCGCGGGCGCCTGTAGTCCCAGCTACTGGGGAGGCTGAGGCAGAAGAATGGCGTGAACCCGGGAGGCGGAACTTGCAGTAAGCTGAGATCGCGACACTGCACTCCAGCCTGGGCGACAGGGCCAGACTCCATCTCAAAAAAAAAAAAAAAAAAAAAAAAAGAAATAAAAAGGGAGCAGAACTATAGAGTTCTAGAGCTATTAAAAAGGTAACGAAAGAATGCAATAAATAAGGAAATGGGAAATTTCCCAGAAAACTATAACTTACAAAAGAGATTCAAGAAGAAAAAAAACATCTGACTTCTGGCAGCCCCAGCCCTGGGGCTACCCGATCTGACAAAGCCTTTTCCATTGTATGCGTCAGAGAGAGAAAAGATGGCAGCTGGACTTTTAACCCAAACTGTGGGGCCCTGGCTGAGGCCGGTGGCCTAAGTCTCTAAACAACTAGACAGGGTTTCTAAAGGATGGCCCCCCTGTTTGAGGGCCTTGGCAGAACTGCCCTGCTAGTACAAGAAGTAAATAAGCTGACTCTTGGGCAAAACCTGAACATAAAGGCCCCCCATGCTGTGGTGACTGAGAGCCAGCCCCTCTTCCCCCGCTGGCTCTTAGGATCCGCGGTGGACTCACAGCCTGTTTACCATATTGTGAGTAAGATCATCTCCCCCTCTGGAGATTATGAACTGTTTCACAGACGGGTGTACACCCTCGGTGTACAGAGGGTGTACACCCGTCTGTATTGGGAGTAATATCATCCTCTTCCTCCCTGAATATTAAGAACAGTATCACAGGGGTGTTTCTACTCCCTGCGATATCGCGTGTCATATCCTCCTCTCCCACGTTGCAATTAGAAACAATATGAGTGGGGGCGTGTCCACCTTCTGTCATATTGACAGTCATATCATCTTCTTCCCTCCAGCATCGTGGGAGCAATATCCCTGGGGGGTGTCCACTTTCTGCCATCTGTGTAGTCATATCACCCCCTCCGCCTTGGAATATTATTAAGGACCATCTCACACGGGGGTGTATACTTCCTGCGATATTGGGAGTAATACCAACCTCTCGGCCTCTGAATATTAGGAAGAATATCACAGGGTGGGTGTACACATCGTGCTCTATTATGGGGAGTCATATCTGTCTATTATGGGGAATAAGAGCATCCTCTCCCTTTCAGGATATCAAGGACAATTTCCCATGCTGGGTGAACAGCCTGCGATGCTGGAATTATTACCACCCTCTCCGCCTCTTCCCCCCCTGGCCCTTAGGACCCCCATCGCAGGGTGGGGAGGCACCCACCGCGACGCAGGGACTGAGAGCCAGCCCCTCTTACCGCCTGGCTCTTAGGACTCCCATCGCAGGGGGGGGAGGCAACCCCCGCGAGTTGGGGACTGGGAGCCAGCCCCTCTTCCCCCGCTGGCTCTATGGAATCCCATAGCCGGGGGGTGAGGCACCCCCCGCGAGGCGGGGACTGACAGCCAGCCCCTCTTCCCCCCTGGCTCTTACGATCCCCCATCGCGGTTGGTGGGGAGGCAACCCCCGTGAGGCGGGGACTGAGAGCCAGCCCCTCTTCCCCCCTTGGCTCTTAGCACCCCCATCGCAGTGGGGGGAGGCACCAGCCGCGAGGCGTGGACTGAGAGCCAGCCCCTCTACCCCACCTGGCTCTTAGTACTCCCATCGCAGGGTGGGGAGGCACCCCCCGCTAGGCGGGAACTGACAGCCAGCCCCTCTTACCCCCCTGGCTCTAAGGACCCCCATCGCAGGGGGGAAGGCACCCACGGCGAGGCGGGGACTGTGAGCCAGCCCCTCTTCCCCCTCTAGCTCTTAGGACCCCCGTAGCAGTGGGGGGAGGCACCCCCCGCGAGGCGGGGACTCAGAGCCAGCCCTTCTTTCCCCCCGGGCTCTTAGGACCCCCATTGCAGTAGGGGGAGGCACCTCACGCGAGGCGGGGACTGAGAGGCTGCCCCTCTTCCCCCCCTGGCTCTTGAGACCCCCATCGGAGGGCGGGGGAGGCACTCCCCGGGAGTCGGCGACTGAGAGCCAGCCCCTCTTCCCCTCCTGGCTCTTAGGACGCCATCGCAGCGGGGAGGCACCCCCAGCATGGCGGGGACTGAGAGCAAGCCCCTCTTCCCCTCCTGGCTCTTGGGACCACCGTCGTGGGGGGGGAGGAACCCCCCGCGAGGCGGGGACTGAGAGCCAGCCCCTCTTACCCCCCCTGGCTCTTAGGACCCCCATCGCAGTGGGGGGAGGCACCCCCCACGAGGCGGGGACTGAGAGGCAGCCCCTCTTCCCCTCCTGGCTCTTAAGACCCCCATCGAAGGGGGTGATGCACCCCCCGCGAGGCGGGGACTGACAGCCAGCCCCTCTTCCCCCCCTGGCTCTTAGGACCCCCATCGCAGTGGGGGGATTCACCCCCCGCGAGGCGGAGACTGAGAGCCAGCCCCTCTTCCCCCGCTGGCACTTGGGACCCCGGTCGCAGGGGGGGAGGCACCCCCGCGAGGCGGTGCCTGAGAGCCAGCCCCTCTTCCCCCACTGGCTCTTAAGACCCCCATCGCAGGGGGGGCAGTCACCTCCCGCTAGGCGGGGACTGAGAGCCAGCCCCTCTTCTCCCCCTGGCTCTTGGGACCCCCATCACAGGCGGGGGAGTCACCCCCCGAGAGGCGGGGACTGAGAGCAAGCCCCTCTTCCCCCGCTGTCTCTTGGGACCCCCATCGCAGTGGGGGGAGGCATATTATCAAGGAGGGACCATGGCAGCCCCTGGAAGATTCTTTCCAATGCCCCATGCCTGGTGGTCTCGCTCTCCTGAGGGGTGGGAATGGAGGTTTTTCTGCTGCTCCACTGGCTGTTATCCCTCTGCCCTCTGGGCTGTGCTTGTAAGATCTGGAAGGCTTCCCTGGCATCAGAGTTCCCTAGGGACAGGATGCTGACAGGTGCACTGACCTTGGGCGGGGCCATGTTGCACCAGGAGGCTCTGAGCTGTCCAGAGAGTCCACAGCAGCTGTGGCTGAAGTTGGAGGTGGACTGGCAGAAAGTGACTTTTGGCACCTGAAGGGTCAGCCTCAGCGGTTTGGGGAAGGTTTCTCAACATCTTATACTCTCCATTTCAGCATCTATCACACAGGGGCTCCCAGGGAAGGGTGGCAGGGCCAGCAGTGGTAGCCTCTGGCCCCACCTGGACCTACAGAGTCAGAAATCTGCATTGAAGCCAACAGCCCAGGGCATTGTGATGCACACTAAAGCTCGGGAACCACTTACCTAGAACTGCTTCTCTTATTGTCATCCCTTTCTCTACAGTTAATCCTTGGGTGCATATTTATTGATGTCCACCATGAGAGCGGCTCTGTGCTGGGCCGCAGGGAGACAGAGGCAGGAGACAAAGTCCCTGTCCTCACAGCCCCACAGTGTTTGGGAGAGCAGGGAACACATGGGCTGTCCCTGTGTGGAAAGGGCTGTGAATGGGGAGCAGTGGTACCGGTGGTGCAGAGAAACAGGAGAGGCCCATTTCTGAGCCTCTACCACACACCAGCATCCTGAGAGGGGTGTGTAGCCAGGCGCTCCTTCAACTTCCTACCAGCTCTGCATAAGGGGCCCTGTGGTCCCGTCCCACAGCTCACCATTTTGATGCAGGGACCATGCAGCAGTCTCTGGATGAGGGAAGGTCTGAGCAGAGCTTTGGAGCGTGATGAGAAGTGACCCAGAAGATCCAGGGCACGGTAGAGGGAAGGGCTGTAAGAGGTAGGGCTGGGACCACTGGTGCTTTGTTGAGTCACTGCCCAGTCACGAGAAGCAGCCACCTCGTCATGTTGTGTGAAGACGAAATGAACTCTGATTGTGGTCAGCCACTGTCAGTTAGGCATGATTTAGTGGAAAAGTGAGCTCAGCCTGGTGGATTACAATACATACGGAACATTTATGAGGATCGATGTGTCCAAGACCACACCTCAGAGCCGTAAGAACCCAAACATGTCTGGTTGGACAGCTGCCTGGGTAATGGGCAGGGAGCTGGAAAGAAGGCATACCTGGGAGGTGGGCCCTCGGCTTAGCGTCGCACATGCTGAGCTGGTTAGGTTAAAGTCCTGTCCACAGAGAAGCAGCGAGCAGTGGTCTGCGTCTGGGATGCAGAAGACAGGTCTGGGAAGAACACCCAGGGGTGGGAGTTGCTGGTATGTGGATGGTGAGGTTGTCCAGGAGAAGAGGGTTTAGATACAAGCCCCCATGCACACCAGCACTTCATGGAAGGGCAGAGGAGAGCACCCACAAAAACAGCTCAGTGAGAGGAGCTGGAGAATACCTCATCAGAACACAGGCAAAAGAGCTCTTCCAGAAGCCTGTAGTCAACAGTACCAAATGCTGCCTGGGCAGGATGAGTGAGGAGCTTAAAAAGGGCCCTTGGTCTACATGAAGGGATATCCTAGTGGGAGTAGTCATTATTTACTTTTTACTTTTTTTTTTTTTTTGCTGTGGGCATAGCCAGAGATGAGGCCTTTATGGTGTGCAAGTGGCTGCGGCCTGTTGGCATGCTACAATATCATGACATCTGTGAGGGGACAGCCTTGAATAATTAAACACGTATAGCAGAGCTATGAAGACTATGAGCAAGGAGATAAAGGCCTGGGCTCAAGCTGAAATCCTCTACTTACCAGCTAGGTCACCTGGGCAAATTGCTTAAGCATTTTATGCCTCAGCTTTCTCATCTGTAAAATGGGATGATAATAGGACTGATTGCACAGGTTACTGAAAGATTAACTGAGCTAATACGCATCTAGTGTGCAGAGCAGTGTCTGCATGCAGTAAGTGGGCAAAGATGTTGGCGATCACCCTTTTATCTCGTAGAATTTCGCTGAGTTTGGGAGATGACATTTCTCAGTAAGACTCTATTGTTCCACAGGCTCCTTGTTAAGAATCACCAGCGGCACTTGCTAGAGACGTGGATTTCTGGGTTCTAGCCCAGATGTTCTGCCTGGATTCACAGGGAGATGATCCTGGGACTCTGGCTCCAGCAAGTCCCCAGGGGTTCTCATGCTTGGAGAAGGAGAGCAATTCTGCTGGAACAGAATGGGGCACATGTTATAAAAAAGACCTGTGCACAAGGGCCCTAGAGGCCAGATGGAGGTTGGGAGGCCTCATCAGAGGAAAGGCAGTATTGATGTGATTTAGTGAAAGGGAAAGGCTGTGCAGGAGTGATGTCAGCAGGACAGTGGCCTAGGGTGCTGTAGACCCTTGCTCCTCTGTGGAAGCACCAGGCGAGGGGCAATGCATGGCTCCAGGTCGCCTAGTGGGAACTCCAGGAACTGGTTAAGGATCTGCAGCAATCACGCCAACTCCCAATGAGGACAAAACCACACTCAAAGCAGCAGGAAATGTTGTGGCATTTGGCTCACCTCTGCCCCACCTCCTTCCCAGCACGGTCAGGAGGAGGCCACCCTACTCCTGGTACCTCCCTGGGGACACAAGGGAAAGACCGAAACATGTTTACAGGGTTCTGGCTTGTCTGCGGGCTGCCTGTGGAACTGGTTTCTGTCCCACGCATCTTGGAGTGTTGATGCGAAGGGCAGCCTGCTTGGGATATCAGGATGGAGACCCTGGGGGCAGTACTGACTGCTGCCATATGTCAGAGCTGCAGGGGGTACCAGGACAAGGATCAGGGGAAGAAATAAAGCAGAAAGTCGAAGGCTTTCAACAGATGCAAAAATGAGGGAGAAATTCAAACATTCCCAGATATACAGCATATAAAAATGTATGCCCACCATTGAGCACCTAAATATATAAAGTGAATGTTAGCAACCCTGAAGGGAAAAATTGACAGGAGTACAACAGCAGTAGGGAACTTCAGTACCCCACTCTCAATAATGGACTGACCGTCCAGACAGAAAATCAAGAGGAAACACTGGGCTTGAACTATACTTTCCACTAAATGGACCTAACAGTCATATACAGAACATAGCATCCAACAGCAGCAGATGGGGCATTCTTCTCAAGGGCTCACAGGGAATGTTTTCCAGGACATATCATATGTTAGGCCATAAAACTAGTCTTAACAAATTCAAGAAGATTGATATCACATCAAGGATCTTTTCCAGCCACAATGTTATGAAACTAGAAATCAATCAAAGGAGGAAACTGAAAAATTCACAAAAGTGGAAATGAAGCAAGAAGCTCCTGAATAATCAGTGGGTCAAAGAAGAAATCAAAAGGGAATTCAAAAAATATCTGGAAACAAATAAAAATGGAAATATCACACACCAAAGTTTATGGGATGCAGTGAAACCATTTCTAAGAGGAAAGTTTATATTGATAAATGTCTACATTAAGAATAAAGAAAGGTCAGAAATAAACAACTTGACTTTACCTCCAAAGGAACTAGAAAAAGAACAAACTAGGTCCAAGGTTAGCGGAAGAAAGACAAAAACAAAGATCAGAGCAGAAATAAATGGAATAAAGACTAGAAAATAATACAAAAGATTAAAGAAACTGAGAGTTGGGTTTTTGAAAAGATAAACAAAATTGAAACACCTTTAGCTAGACTAACTATGATAGAAGTCTCAAATAAAATCAGAAATGAAAGAGGGGACATTACAACTGATACCACATAAATGCAAAGTATGATAAGTGAACATTATAAACAATGATATGCCAATGAATTGAATAACATAGAAGAAATGGATAAATTTCTAGAAACATACAACCTACCAAGACTGAATTATGAAGAAATACAAAATTTGAACAGACCAATAAGAAGATTAAATCAGTAATCAAAAGGAGATTGGAGTAGCAATCAAAAATCTCCCAAGAAAGAAAAGCCTAGGACCTAATGGTTTTACTGGTGAATTCTACCAAATATTTAAAGAAAATATAATACTAATCCTTCTCAAACTTTTCCAAGACACTGAAGAGGAAGGACCACTTTAAAACTCATTCTATGAGGCCAGAATTACCCTGATACCCATGCCAGACAAAGACACTACAACAAAAGAAAACTGCAGACCGATGTCCCTAATGAATATTGTTGCGAAAATCCTCAACAAAATACTAGCAAACAATTCAACAGCACATTAAAATGATCATAGACCATGACCAGGTAGGATTTGTTCCCGGAATGCAAGGATAGTTTCTATGGCACTCCTTTTGGAAAACGGTATGGTAGTTCCTCAACAATTAAAAATAAAATTAGCATGTGATCCAGCAGTTTCACTCCTGGATGAGAATTCCATGAGAGAATTGAAAGCAGGGCGTTGAGAAGAGATATTTGTACACCTAAGTTCACAGCAGCATTTTTTTTTTTTACAATAAATAGCCAAAAGGCTATTTCCACCAGTTAGGTGGTGGAAATGGGGAGTTAGTGTGTAATGGGGACAGAGTTTCAGTTTTACAACATAAAAAGAATTCTGGAGATGGAAGGTAGTTATGGTTGCACAACAATGTGAATGTACTGAGGCCAATGAACTCTATATTGAGAATGGGTAAGATGATGAATTTAGTGTTATGTATATTTTACCACAATTTTAAAAAGTTACCCAAGTGCCCACTGATAAATGAATGAACAGAAGGTGGCATATACATTTTACGAAATATTATTCAGGTTTAGAAAGGAAGGAAATTCTGACATGCTACAACGTAGGTGAACCTTAAAGGTATTCTGTTAAGTGAAATACGCCAGTCACAAAAGGACGAATAGCTTTTTGTGATTCCACTTACATAAGATCTCTTCAGTAGTCAAATTCACAGAAACAGAGCTCAGGATGGTGGTTGCTAGGGGCTGGGGAAAAGGGAAATGGGGAGTTAGTGTGTAAAGGGGACAGAGTTTCAGTTTTACAAGATAAAAAGAGTTCTGGAGATGGAAAGGAGTTATGGTTGTACCACAATGTGAGTGTGCTTATGCCACTGACCTCTATATTGAGAATAAATGAAATGGTAAATTTCATGTTATGTGTATTTTACCACAATTTTTAAAAAGTGAAGAGCCTTGAAAATGGTGAGAATTTATTCAAAAGGCAATGGAGGGGTCTCCAGACATAAGGGAGAGTGTGACATGGCAGTAGGGGATTTGAAATGGCAATTCTGCGTGTGTAGAAAACATGACTTGGAGGAAGAAACCCGTGGGAGCAGGGAGCCCAGTCAGGAGTTAGCCTAGAGGTCAGTGGTTCTCAAACATTCAGATGCACCAGGATGGCTGGGGAGCTTGTTAGACGCAGGTATAGGTGCCCCAGGGACTTGCATTCAGTGGTTGTAGGGAGGACCTGGGAATGCACGATTCTGACAAGCTCCCAGGCGATGCTGATGCTGCTGGTCTAGGCACCCCAGTTTGGGAACTATTGGTCAAGGGAAAGGAGGGGGGTTATCAAGAGGTGCTGGAAGCGAATAGGGCAGCCAGCCCAGGGGCAGAAGGGTCATGCCCCTGACTATTCCCGGGGACCTGGACATCTGGCCTGGTCTGTTTATACTAGTGAGCTTCAAGGTTGACAAAAAGCCATATGAGGTGGATTTACTTACTACCCACTCACCAGAGCGACATCAATCCATAAACAACCCCAAATGATCCATTTCCTGGACACCCTAGGTTCAGCAAAACTTCCACCACCTGGCCTCTCTGAGAGGCTTCCTTATGCTTTATTAACCTCTTTTGTGGGCCTGGTGGGAGCAACTCTGACCTCAGGGATTGCTTTCTCGTCTATCATGTGACCTGGCATGATAGCAGTCTGCACCCTATGTGCTTCATGCCTTTGATGCTTTTGAGAGCTGAATGTAAGCGGCTGCCTTTAAAAACCCAGAGTTAATAATTCTCCAAGGCAGAAGCCAGGATTTGCACCCTGGGGAGGCCTGACTTCAGATTGGATGATTCCACAAAGCGTGCCGGGAAGCCTGTGCGACATCTGGTCCCTGGCAGGGTTTCCGGGAGATGTAGGCGACTGCTGCTTCCTCCTTTCCCATCCTGGAGACATGTTACGATTCCAATAACCTCTGCAGCTGCTGAGAAGATAGCAGACCGTGCTCTGGGGTCTTCCAACCTCAGAGCACACACTGGACAGGATATTGGAATGCCGGGGTTGTTAGGGCCAGTCCCGCCCCACCTGGGACCTGGTAACTTGGTCACACCAGTCTCCTCTGAGCATCTATAACGTGGGGTGGGGGTGGGGATAGGCTTTTTGCCTTATGAATGTCTGTGTAGCACTCATTTCCTGGGACCCTCACCACTGGGGAGCTTATGCAGATAAAATCTACCCTCAAACAAGAACATCTCACCAGCAGCTGGCGGTGGACAGGCAGGCATCCAGAGACTGGAGCAGATGTTTCTCAGCTCTGGCCAGTGAGTGCCCCTTGATCCCTGTGGCCCAGCCTGGAGCTTCCAGGGACCCAAGAGACCTTCCTTCCCAGGTTCCTTCTTGCTCTCCCTGCTCTGTCCTCTCCCCATGGCTGCCTCCCCTTGTGCCATGGCTCAGGGGGAATGTCCTTCCTATTCCCAATGGCCACCTTCTCGCCCTGATGGACACGTCTCCACCTGTTTCTCTGTGGAGTGTGAGCATCAGGAAACCCTCTGTGCTCCCAGCGAGGCTGCCGGTGAGTGGAATCTGGCTTTGGGAAGCATCTTGAGTGCAGGACACCAACAGCATCAGAAATTTCTGAACAGCACCTGCCTTCTAGCGTGTAACGAGGTGCCACAGGGAGAGCCCCAGTGCTTGGCACACTGTAGGCATGTAGCAGCTTTTCGTGGAACTAAGGGACAAAGGTGCGACTTGCAAGGACACAGTGGCTTTTCTTCTTTTAGGAGAGCCCAGAGGTGCTCCTTAGGCAGGCCAATAATGGGAGCTGAGTGAGGGGGAGGAGGAAGAGGGTGGCTTTGCTTCCCTGGGGTGGGGGGTTCTATTCCCTAATGGCCATTGGAAATCAGCATTCATACTTGGCAAGAAATAGCTAACCTCTACCTTGGGGAGCATAGGCTTGGAGAGGATGTGCCTACTGCAACCACTGGCTTTCAAAAGACTGGGCTTTCTTTGCTGATGCTGGATCAAACGTACTGAGACATGGCCACAGAAGCTCTGCTGCTTTATGGACATGAAAGGTGGGTGACAAAGCCCTGAAGAGGGGACTAGGGTATCCTAAATTCTGAAATCTGTCCCCAGATGCACAAGCCTCCACGTGGAAAAGGGAGAAGGACTGCTTGCATGGTGTACGGCCTTGGGTGCAGTGACGGATGGCGCACACCTGCCCCAGTGCCCTCCATTGAGGTTTGGAGCAGTGACCTCACCTCTGCACAGACCCACCTGCAGGGTGGGGGGATAGGACGGGGCTATCTCAAGTGTGGGGGGCACCAGGGCAGGGCACCTTGGAAGTATTGCCAGGATAACTAACTGAAGACCAGTGGTTAGGGCAGGGCAGCCCTGCCCCTGTTCTCTGTCCTGTCTCTCAGGAACTGGCGTGAGATGGGGAGATCAGGTGCACAGTGAGGGGCGTAGCTGTGGATTGAACATAGCATGGTCAGGCTTCTGTCTTTTATTATTTATTTATTCATTTATTTATGATATATCATAGTTGTACATACTTTGGGGGTACATGTGATACTTTGATACCTGTATGAAACATGTAATGATCAAATCAAGGAAATTAAGATCTTCATCACCTCAAACATTTATCTTTTTTGTGTGTGGGCGGCAAGCCACCCAGGCACCGAGGCAAGAGACAGAGGACACGAGCTCTTCCAGTATAATAAAATATAAAACAAGAATAGTTATACCAGATATAGATCTTAGATATGATTATATATGACTATCATTAATCATTAGTTTGTAGCAATTACTTTTTATTCCAATATTATGATAATCCTCGCTCTATAATCATAGCCTAGGAAAAACCAGGCCATACAGAGATAGGAGCTGAGGGGACATAGTGAGGTGTGACCAGAAGACAAGAGTGCGAGCCTTCTGTTATGCCCACACAGGGCCACCAGAGGGCTCCTTGGTCTAGCGGTGACGCCAGCATCTGGGAAGACGCCCGTTACCAGGCGGATCATGGTCCAGCAGTAGCAAAAGGTGTCAAGGAACAACACCTGCTACTTAGCAGACCGGGAAAGGGAGGGTGGGGGTCTCCCTTTCCCCGGGGGAGTTTAGAGAAGACTCTGCTCCTCCACCTCTTGTGGAGGGCCTGACATCAGTCAGGCTCGCCCGCAGTTATCTGGAGGCCTGTCTCCCTGTGATGCTGTGCTTCAGTGGTCACGCTCCTAGTCCGCCTTCATGTTCCATCCTGTACACCTGGCTCTGCCTTCCAGATAGCAGTAGTCAATTAGTGAAAATACTAATAGTCCCTGATATGCAGAAATAATGGCGTAAGCTGTCTTTCTCTTTGTCTCCTCTCCCTCTCTGCCTCCGCTGCCAGGCAGGGAAGGGCCCCCTGTCCAGTGGACACGTGACCCACGTGACCTTACCTATCATTGGAGGTGACTGACATTCTTTACCCTGCCCCTTCTGCCTTGTATCCAATAAATAACAGTGCAGCCAGACATTCGGGGCCACTACCGGTCTCCGCGCATTGGTGGTAGTGGTCCCCCGGGCCCAGCTGCCTTTTCTCGTCTCTTTGTCTTGTGTCTTTATTTCTACACTCTCTCGTCGCCGCACACAGGGAGAGACCTACCGACCCTGTGGGGCTGGACCCTACAGCGCCCTGTGTCACCTCGGCAGCTTAAGCACGTGCAACTGGTTGCTCTGTAAGCTGCTCACATTTGGCAAGGCTGCGAGGCCACACCAGCAAAGCCAGGTGGCTGGAGATGCTGACCCAGCAGAGCATCGCGCTCCCCGCCCCGGGCCAGACCCTCCTACTAAGCCCAGCAGGCCAAACACGGACCCGCCCCCCTCAAGTGCCTAGGTGTCCCCGGGGCCTGAACACATCAAGTTACATTTTGATGGAGTTAGAATCCGGAAAATCAAGAGTGTGGAAGATCAGGAGCAATTAATGTAAACAGGAGGAGGATGAAGCTGGGAGGAGCAGGAGCTAGCAAGCAGGAGCTAGCAAGCAGGAGCGTGAGAGTGGCGCTGGGAGAAGGCCTGGATAGGGATAGAGTAGAGCACAGAACATGGGGGTCACCCTCAACCACCCCTAAACACTCTAAGCTCGAGCAGTCCCTCAACTCCTGGTCTGTAAAGTGGCTGAAGGAAGTGGGTGGAGCAAAACCCATATGGGCGAGTGTCCCAGCAGCTGCCTCAGTTTCCCTATCTGTAAAACGGGGCTGGGGACCTGCAGCTCTCACGGGACTGGTTACCCGCTCGCGGGTGCTCGCCCTGCATCCGAGACAGCACCTACAACTCCAAACCCACTCGGGGCGGGTCGAGGTGGGCCCTTCGGTCCCTTCGAAGCCAACATCCCGATTCCCCTTCCCGGGAAGGCACCCCCGGAAACGCCAAGGTCGCTCCAGCAGTCTCCTCGGGTCACCCGCTTCCCCGAAGCCGTCGTCCTCGCCTTCCGCTCTCGTCTTCACCGGCATACTCAGGTCCCCGCTGGGGACTGACACTGCGGGCTCGGTCGCCGCAAGGACTGGAAGGAAGGTGGAAGATGCGGGGCGAAAGCGGAGCGAGAAGAGTGGGACGCGGCGGAGCAGCAGAGCCGGGACTCAGAGCTCCCCCCTCGCCCCGCCCCTCTCCCCGCCCACTCTGCGAGTCCCGCCCCCTCTCGGGCGCCGGGCGGGGCCATCCCGGGGCTGTCCGCGGAGACGCCTATGCGGTGGAGGCTCCGGGCTTCAGCTAGGGCGGGGGAGCCCAGCAGAAGGACCGAGCAGCCTGGCACCCCACTTTGCCATCCTCTCCCTGGAAATCTCGGGGTCGGCGGGCCGGCCGCTTCGCGTGGGCGAAATCAGAGACACGTGGTTTCCAAGGCCCCTTCGGGTTCGGGAAAATTTTATGGTTCGGGTCACAGTAGGAAGCGGACAATGAGGCGGGAGGGCAGAGAGAACCGCAACACCTGGTGCCGGGTCGGGTCGTTTCCGGGGCTTTCAGTGGCCGGAAGTCGCGGCGCCTGTACTGACTCTAGGAAGGGCTGGAGTTGTTTTGAATGGGCGCCCGTAAGAGAGGTGGGCAAGTACGTGTTACAGACGGCCACGCCGCCCTTTAGGCGGTCAAGGTGGGGCGAGGAGACGTTCGCCCCCCTGCAGTCGGCCGGGTCACTACCCAAGAGCCTTTGGAGGCGGAAGCATGGAACGGTCTGCAAACGTTCCCGAGCGGGCCTCTGCGGCTCTGGCGGGCGTTTCGAACTTGGGCGCCGGGCACACGCCCAGTCCCGAGAGCGCTGAGGGTTCCCTTAGCGTCGCCCTCACCCCGGCCAACCCGCGGGGCGCCAGAGTCCTGGCCCTTTAAACGCCGCGCGTGCCTCGGCGTCTTCGTTTCGCGCGCCCGCCCGCGGCGCCGGCGGAGCGAACATGGACCCGGCTGCGCGGGTGGTGCGGGCGCTGTGGCCTGGTGGGTGCGCCTTGGCCTGGAGGCTGGGAGGCCGCCCCCAGCCGCTGCTACCCACGCAGAGCCGGGCTGGCTTCGCGGGGGCGGCGGGCGGCCCGAGCCCCGTGGCTGCAGCTCGTAAGGGGAGCCCGCGGCTGCTGGGAGCTGCGGCGCTGGCCCTGGGGGGAGCCCTGGGGCTGTACCACACGGCGCGGTGGCACCTGCGCGCCCAGGACCTCCACGCAGAGCGCTCAGCCGCGCAGGTAAGGCCTGGCCCGGCCGGGGATGGGGATGCTGATCAGCGCCGAACTCGGGACTCCTGGGAACCCGCAGGGTCAGGAGTTGCCTCTGCCTGCTTGTGACCTTGGGCGAGTGACTTGGTCTGAAGTCTCCGAACCCTCTGTATTCTTTTGTGTAAAATAGGGGCACTCCTGATGCCTACTACCTGGAATTGTTCGAGTTCTCATAAAATCGTTCTTCTACCGTGGTTTTTTTTTTTTTTTTTTTTTTGGTTTGTTTATTTATGTTTTCGAGACAGGGTCTCGCATTATCGCCCAGGCTGGAGTGCGATCGCGGCTCACTGCAGCCTCTGCCTCCCAGGTTGAAGGGATCCTCCTGCCTCAGCCTCCCGAGTAGCTGGGACTATAGGCTCACCCCACTGCGCCCTGCTAATTTTTGTATTTTTTGTAGAGATAGGGTTTCACCATGTCGCCCAGGCTGGTCTCGAACTCCTGGCCTCAAGTGATCCGCCCACCTTGGCCTCTGAAAGTGCTGGGATCACAGGCGTGAGCCACTGCGCCCAGCCTTTACCATGTTTTAAGGAGACTTTTTTTTTTTGAGACGGAGTTTTTTTTTGCTCTGTTGCCCAGGCTGGAGTGCAGTGGCGCGATCTCGGTTCACTGCAACCTCCGCCTCCTGGGTTCAAGCAATTCTCCTGCCTCAGCCTCCCCAGTAGCTGGGATTACAGGCGCCTGCCACCCAGCCCGGCTAATTTTTGTATTTTTACTAGAGACGGGGGTCTCACCATGTTGGCCAAGCTGGTCTCGAACTCCTGACCTCAAATGAGCCACCCGCCTCGGCCTCCCAAAGTGCTGGGATTACAGGTGTGAGCCACGGAGCCCAGCCTCTACCGTGTTTTAAGACTTTTTTGATTAAGAGATGGGAGATCACAGGAAAGGGAAAGCCTTTTTCACTTTCCAAACGTTCATCATCCTCTCTCCCCACTGCCCCCAAATCCTAAGGCTGTGTATTTATTTAGTAGTAGTGGTGGTACCTTTATGGAACTGATGACTTAGACTCCAGGCTGAAACAGGAAGAGGTAGAAAGGTGCCCCCCCCAAGTGGTGACCCCCTAAGTGGTGGCCCAGCTGCCTTGAGACACTTTATACCTACCCCACACCTTGCAACTCTTCATTACTTGACTTCCCACCACCCGCCCACAGATGCTTATTTGCTGGACCAGAGGGAACAGAGGTGGGTAAAAAGGGCATGGAGTACTCTGTGTCTCCCTTCCTGCCTCCACGGTCCAGCTTCCCCTCTGAACACAGGGGGATGGTCTACAGTTGTGGCTTCCCGGCATGAACGTGCAGCAGGCTCCCCTGGGGGCTTTCCTGCGGAGCTTGCCACACGCAGGCCTTGGCTCAGATACCACCCTCCCCCTCGGATATTTGAGATAGACTTTGGCTGGAGGATCACATGAACCCCGGAGTTCAAGGCTGCAGTGAGCTGTGATCAAGCTACTGCACTCCAGCTTGGATGGCAGAGTGAGACCCTGTCTCCAGAGAAAAAAACAAGAAAGAGATTGGAGGTAGACCCCACTGGTGAACATGAGCCTGGGTGGTAGCCCAGCTCTGCCCCCAGAGGTCCCTGGGGTTAGAGGAGTGAGAGTGAACAAGTCAAGTTGAAACAGTTGTTCCATGTCTGTGGGAGTGGGGTGTATACCCTGGGGCTGTCTGGTGTCCCCTTGGGACTGGAGTGAGAAAAGAGGGGTCTGTCCAGTATGGGACAGAGACTAGAAGATTCCTCCTACACAACCTCGCAGCAAAGGGTGGGACTCCTGCTTGGGGACCGTGCTGGCCAGGGGCTTAAACCTGGGCTGCTGTCCAGTGCCTCCCTTTCCCCTACCGCCCCCTTCCATCTCTAGTTCCTCTTCCCGATGTTCTAGCGTCATTTCAGAAGACTCCTCTGGAAAACACCCTTGGGGGCAGGGCCTGGGCCTGGGGGTGCCAGGTCTAGAAGCCTTTTCCGTCTGCTGCCCGCAGCTCTCCCTGTCCAGCCGCCTGCAGCTGACCCTGTACCAGTACAAGACGTGTCCCTTCTGCAGCAAGGTCCGAGCCTTCCTCGACTTCCATGCCCTGCCCTACCAGGTGGTGGAGGTGAACCCTGTGCGCAGGGCTGAGATCAAGTTCTCCTCCTACAGAAAGGTGCCCATCCTGGTGGCCCAGGAAGGAGAAAGCTCGGTGAGCCCCAGGGAACCCCCTGCATCCTTCCTCCTTTCCTGGGTTGTCCTGGAGCGCCCCCTAGCCTGGCCTGGCTCTGCAGCCTGGGAAGGAACTTGTGATCCTTGTGCCTGTAAGGACTATGGGGGAAGTAGCTGCATACGGTAGATGCTCAATAAATGTAGGCTCTCTCCTTCCGTACCAAAACCAAACACCTGCTGGGTCTCAGGGAGGCAGAACACCACAGCTTAACAACATAGATTCTGAAATCAGCGATCTGGGTTTGAGGTGTGATTCACCCACTCACTAGCTGTGTGACTTGGGGCAAGTCACTTAGCCTCTCTGCGCTTGCTTGCTTCATGAGTCAACAAGGGACCATATTCTGGCTTGCAGGGACGGCAGATATGAAATGCCTGGCACAGTGCTTGGGGTCTAGTATGTAGCTTCCAGAACCCACCCTGCCCCTCTACCTGGGAGGCCAAATGGGTGAGTGGGCTGGGGCTTAGACCCCACGGCTTTCCCACACCTTCCTCCCCATTGGCCACAACCACGTCTCCCTACTTAGGATGGGTGCCCTGAGGGCAGGGCGGGGAGGACTCCGGGCATGTCCCCAGGAATGGATAAACAATGCCCAGAGTGTCTTGTTAAAGAGCCCCTGGTGACTCCCAGCGGCTGGGTTGCAACCTCTGATTAAACCACCCTTTTCTCTTCCAGCAACAACTAAATGACTCCTCTGTCATCATCAGCGCCCTCAAGACCTACCTGGTGTCGGGGTAAGGAGCCCCTCGGAGACCAGGTGGCCATTGCTTTTGGTGGCTTCCTCCAGGGAGGCCTCCCCTGAGTTCCCTCCTGGGAGCACGTGGAGCTGCTGCTTAGATTTCCAGAGTACAGAGTGGCTCGCACCTGTAATCCCAGCACTTTGGGAGGCCGAGGCAGGCAGATCACCTGAGGTCAGGAGTTCCAGACCAGCCTGGCCAACATGGCGAAGCTCCATCTCTACTAAAAATACAAAAATTAGCCAGGCATAGTGGCGAGTGCCTGTAGTCCCAGCTACTCAGGAGGCTGAGGCAGGAGAATCGCTTGAACCCGGGAGGCAGAGGGTTGCGGTGAGCCAAGATCGTGCCACTGCACTCCAGCCTGGGTGACAGAGCGAGACTCCGTCTCAAAAAAAAAAAAAAATGATTTTCCAGAGTAGCCCGTGGCCGTCCTCCTCCAAGCCCCCTACTTTGTCCTCCCCACACCTCCCTCTCTTGGGGAGGTAGCCCTGGCATCTACTCCAAATCCCTCTTACTGCAAGAGTCCGGAGAGCCTTTGTTGGTCCTGGCTCCACTCTGAGGCTGGGGCAGCGGGGTTGGTCGGCCACAGGGGACGGAGGGGGAAGGAGTTGGGGTGATATTGTGGCTCTCTCCGAAGGCAGCCCCTGGAAGAGATCATCACCTACTACCCAGCCATGAAGGCTGTGAACGAGCAGGGCAAGGAGGTGACCGAGTTCGGCAATAAGTACTGGCTCATGCTCAACGAGAAGGAGGCCCAGCAAGTGTATGGTGGGAAGGAGGCCAGGACGTGAGTGGGGCTGGGGCTGGCGGGGGAAGGTGGTGACCGCAGGGGTCTTCTGTAGAGTAGGACCAAGCTGAGCAAGATGGCGTGAGCAGGGAGCAGCATGGGAGACCAGCGGGGCTGGGGCCGGGCCATGCCGGATTTCAGTAGAGACCTTCCTGCAGCCGGGCGTGGTGGCTCACTCCTGTAATCCCAGCCTGTTGGGAGGCCGAGGCAGGCAGATCACCTGAGGTCAGGAGTTCAAGACCAGCCTGGCCAACATGGCAAAACCCCATCTCTATAAAAATGCAAAAATTAGCTAGGTGTGGAGGCACACACCTATAATCCCAGCTACTAAGGAGGCTGAAGCAGGAGAATCGCTTGAACCCAGGAGGCGGAGGATGCAGTGAGCTGAGATGGTGCCATTGCACTCCAGCCTGGGTGACAGAGCGAGACTTTGTCTCAAAAAAAAAAAAAAGACCTTCCTGCTCAGGCTTCAGCTTCCCGCCCGTGCAGTGGGTATGTTCTAGAGAATGCAGCCTGCTCCCAACACAGCCCGGGTCCTGGCTTAGGAAGTCCCTCCCGTGCCCGCAGGGAGGAGATGAAGTGGCGGCAGTGGGCGGACGACTGGCTGGTGCACCTGATCTCCCCCAATGTGTACCGCACGCCCACCGAGGCTCTGGCGTCCTTTGACTACATTGTCCGCGAGGGCAAGTTCGGAGCCGTGGAGGGTGCCGTGGCCAAGTACATGGGTGCAGCGGCCATGTACCTCATCAGCAAGCGACTCAAGAGCAGGCAAGTGTGTGTGCACATCCGGGGCCTGCTGTCCCCGAGCCTCCGGTGCCACGAGCAGTGGTGATCCCATCACACCCCTCAGGAGACCAGCGGGAGGCCGAGGCCTAGGGCAGGTGGGAAACGCATTATGGATTATGGGTCCCTTGGCCAAGATGGGACTTGGACCCAGAGCTCCTGCTCACCTCCCCTGGGGACAGCAGGGCTGGCCTTGAAGCCGGAAGCCTGGGCCCTGACTGGCGCCTCCTCTGTGGCTTTCTCCCTGGCCTGGTCTCTTGCCTTTACCACAGCCTCCCCGTCTGGGACGGATGCTCCCTGAGGCGTCTGCAGATGTGATGCTCTCACCTGGGGTGCCGTCCTGGCTTCCACACCTCCCCCCTCTCCCCAGAGGAGACCCTCTTCCCTGCTGGGCTGGGAGTGGGGGCTCCCCTGAGGGGCTTTTCCCTTCCCCGCCCAGGCACCGCCTCCAGGACAACGTGCGCGAGGACCTCTATGAGGCTGCTGACAAGTGGGTGGCTGCTGTGGGCAAGGACCGGCCCTTCATGGGGGGCCAGAAGCCGAATCTCGCTGATTTGGTGAGTGTGGTGGTGGCAGGTGGTGCCTGGACCGAGGGTTCTGTCCTCAGAGTGGGGGAGGTTTGCAAGGGAAAGCCTGGACGGTGCTTGCATCTTGCCAGAGGAACCTGCCTCTCTCTGCCATCACGGACAGAAACTCGCCTCGAAGTGGCTCCAGGAGAGAAACAGATGACCAGGAACCGCCTTGGTTCACATAACTGACAAGTTCAGGGAACGGGTTGGCTTCGGGCCCTGCTGGATCCAGAGGCCCGGGTGGTGTTACCAGAGCCCAAGCTCTACCTGTCGCCATCAACACTGCCCTCCCTGGAGTTGGCTTCAGCCTCAGGCGGGCTGGGTCCGGTGCTCCAGGCTTCTCCCAGAAAACCCCTGGGAGGGCGTCTCACTGGCCTGGCTTCACTGCCCTTTTTCCTTTTGTTTTTTTTTGTTGTTGTTGTTTTTGTTTTTTTTTTGAGACCAAGTCTCACGCTGTCACCCAGGCGGGAGTGCAGCGGTGCAGTCTTGGCTCGCTGCAACCTCCGCCTCCCAGGTTCAAGCAATTCTTCTGCCTCAGCCTCCTGAGTAGCTGGGATTACAGGCCTGTGCCACCATGCCCGGCTAATTTTTGAATTTTTAGTAGAGACAGAGTTTCAGTATGTTGGTCAGGCTGGTCTCGAACTCCTGACCGCAGGTGATCCATCCACTTTGGCCTCCCAAAGTGCTGGGACTACAGGCGTGAGCCAGCGTGCCTGGCCCACTGCTCATTTTTAAAACTGTCCTGCCCCTGGGTGACCTGGGTCTTGAAACTGGGTGGTGGGGTCTCTTCTCCCCCATCTCAGGACCTGAGATGAGGGGAGGGCATTTATCCCAAGGAAACTTGCTGGGGGGCAGGGTCTGTGGCCCAGAAAAGGGGGTACAGATGTGAAGCAGGCGAGACCTGCAGCCACCCCACATGCTTTGTTCAAACCCTCACCTGTGCTGTTGGCCCTTGAGTGGGTCACGAGCTCCAAGGGGGGAGGGGACGGGACCTGGCCACACAGCTGGCAGGGAACGAAGGAGGTCTGGATGCCTGTCAAACCAGCTATGGTGACACGTTTCTGTTCGTGCCCCAGGCGGTGTATGGCGTGCTGCGTGTGATGGAGGGGCTGGATGCGTTCGATGACCTGATGCAGCACACGCACATCCAGCCCTGGTACCTGCGGGTGGAGAGGGCCATCACCGAGGCCTCCCCAGCGCACTGAATGTCCCCGCGCAGAGCAGAGGGAAGGCAGCGGAAGACGCCAGCTGCCAGGGCCTGGGGCCACTGGGCCAGCGCCTGGCGATACTGGTTGGGGGCAGGATCATTCTGCCCCTTGTCCACGCACCCCCACCAGCCCTCTCGCTTCTAACACAGGGCACCTGCTGGGGCTCAGGGATGTTAGGGACGAGTTCCAGCCCTGCCACTGCCCTGGGGCGACCCCTCCCTGTCCCTGCCTCCCTGCTCTGCCGCCCCTCTTCCTGGACCCTCAGTGGCTGTCCCATGGCTACATCCTGTGGGTGGGGGCCCTCGACAGGACAGCAGGACGGTTTGTTTTCAGTGGAATCCCATCCCTGGGTTCCCCTGGTTCCCACTCTTCCCAAGCCTCCCGGGACTGGGACATGTTTGCAATAAAGGAAAGGTTTGTGGCGCCTGTCATGGCAGGCATCTCATGGAGCTCCGTGTGGCTGAGTGCTGCGTGGGGCTGGCGGTCAAGGGAGGCATCAGGCTTGGGCTGTGCCAGCCCTTGTGGTAACTAACCGCTGGCCTGGGGCTTCCCAGGTGTCAGGCACGGTACGGCTCCGCAGGCTTTGTGTGGCATCGTCCCCAGGATACCACTCAGGGCACACAGCTGGGCCGTGGAGCCCAGCAGCCAGAGTGCAGGTCGGGGCACCCTACCCACGGTGGGGCTCTGCAGTGGGGTCACTCATCAAGCCTCAGTTTCTTCGTCTGTCCCCGCCTTGTGGGAGAGTTCAGTGATAGGAGCAGGTGCAGTGCACAGAGCCGGGTCACCTGGTCCAGGGCACCAGGCTATTCAGACCCCTGCTCTACAGACAGAACCAAGCCCTCTCAGGTGGCGGCCCCGGGCTTCAGCTCCAGGCTGGGCCAGGCTTTATGGGAGAAGAGGCTCTGCCTTCCAGGGTGAGTGTGGGTTGTGGGTGGGACCCCCTTTCCTGCACAGAGTACCCAGGATGGGGCTCCCCAGTCCCGACTTAACTGAGGTGGGGTGGCCTGCTAGGGACCCTCCAGAGGCCAGTGAGCCCAACTCCACCCACTGGCCCTTCCGACTGGGGGGACTGGGCAACGTCCCCATACCCTCTTGAGAAACTTTTTTGTTGTTTTTTTTTATTTTTTGAGACAGGGTCTCGCTCTGTCACCCAGGCTGGGATGCAGTGGTGCAATCATAGCTCACTGCAACCTCGACCTCCCAGGTTCAAGTGATCCTCCCACCTCAGCCTCCAAGTAGCTGGAACAGGTGCACACCAACATGCCCAGCTAATTTTTTGTTTTTTATATTTTGTAGATCCTGGGTTTTGCTGTGTTACCCAGGCTGGTCTCGCACTCTAGGGCTCAAGGGAACTGCCCGCCTCAGCCTCCCGAAGTGCTGGGATTACAGGAGTGAGCCCCGACGCCCAGCCAGGAAACTTTTAAAGTTTTATTTTCTTTATTAGTATTTTTAAAACAAAATAACTCATGTTCCTGTAATAGCTACCATTTGAGTAAGGTAGAAGTGAGCGCTCGAGGCAGGGAGTGTGACGTTTGGAAGCAGGTGGCTGTGCAGTTGGTGACCTCCGTTTTTCCCACGGGGTTGGTCTGCCACCGGCTGTGTTCTCATCCCCATCCTGGGCGTCTGCCTGTCGGCGTATGTCACATTGGCTTGTTCTCATGGCGCATAGTGCCCTGCCGCCTGGATGCACCACAGTCCTTCAGCCAGCCCCCACTGTGTGCCCTCTGTGGGTGTTAACTCCAGGTACTTGGGCTGCAGGGTAGAGGAGGCAGCCAGGCCTGAGGCTGTGCCCATCTGTGGCCTTAGGAGTCACAGCAGCCGCTTCTGAGAGGCCAACAGGTATCAGGGCACCCAGAGCCACCACTGTGTCCAGAACGGCATTTCCACTTCACTGGCCAGGTCTAAAGTCCTGAGGGGCCTTTGCTCCAGGGACCCAGGGTACCTCCCTCAGCAGGGCAGGAACTAGGCCAGGAATACCATGGGGCACTGAAGGAGGAGCCTCCCTCTATCCCTGTAACCCTCCATCCCTGTACCTCTCCATCCCTCCATCCCTGCACCCCTCCGTCCCTGTGCCCCTCTATCTCTCCATCCCTGCACCCCTCCATCCCTGTACCCCATCCCTGTACCCCTCCGTCCCCCATCCCTGCACCCCTCCATCCCTGTACCCCTCCATCCTTCCATCCCTGCACCCTCCATCCCTGTACCCCTCCATCCCTCCATCCCTGTACCCCTCCATCCTTCCATCCCTGCACCCTCCATCCCTGTACCCTTCCATCCCTCCATCCCTGCATCCCTCTGTCCCTGCACCCCTCCATCCCTCCATCCCTGCACCCCTCCTTCGTTGTACCCCTCCATCCTCCATCTCTGCATCCCTGCACCCCTCCATCCTCCATCCCTGTACCCTTACATTCTCCATCCCTGCATTCCTCCATCGCAGCATCCCTGCATGCCTCCGTTCTCTGCATCCCTCCACCCCAGTATCCCTGCACCTCTTCATCCCTCCATTCCTGCATCCCTCTATTTTTCCATCCCTCCATTCCTGTATCCCTGTGCCCTCCATCCTCCATCCCAGCATCCCTCCATCCCTGCTCCCCACTCTCACTTCCCTTCCCTTCACAGACAGGCTTTTCCTGCCATCCTCAGACCCCACCCAGGGTTACCTGATGCCTTTCCAGCTGCACACGGGGACTGACTCACCTCTCTCTTTCTCAGTCCCAAAGTCCCGAAAGAGAGCATCTGATGTGGTCAGCTTGTGACAAGGCGTCCACCTTCTGTCCATGACATGGAGGCCAGGGGAAGGTCTCACTGCCCAGCACCCCACCCTGTGCTCCCAGGCCTTTTGAATGTTCCTCCTGCTCAGCCCAGTGACTGCGGGCTGTGGCTCCTCCTCCAGCCTCCCCTCGAGGTCCTGGTCTTACTTAGGAGGCCCCGGGTGTAGATGCCTTCCCACCCACCAGGCATTGCCCCTTTTCCTGGCTTCACAGACTCGGGAATAAAGTTTCCTTCTGTTTCCCCTCTTGCAGAAGGAGATCCGGTTGGCAGCTAAACCGCGCTGGGAACAGGGGCCTGAGTCCTGGACTAGGGCTCTTTCCCCGGGGCTGCTGCAGATGGGGAGGAGCCTACACCCGCCTCCCGAGTGCTAATCAGACCTGACAGGCTGGAGAATGGCCAGTCAGCCTGAGGCCACCGCGGGACACCACCTAGGCCCAGCTTCTCCCCGTGAGTATCTCTCTCCCAAGAGGTAACAACTCCACTTCAGTTTCCCCAATGTTTCTCCGTCAGACTTCTTGGCGTGTTTTCCCGCAGCCACCAGAGGGCGCCAGAGCCCGCCAAGCCTCGTAGGAGATGGCAACAGGGCCTGCTGCTGCCACCTAGCGGCCAATTCCGGGAATGAATCTCGGCACGCTCATTACCCAGCGACTCTGCCCATCTGTAAGTAAAATGGGCTTAGCTGTAAGGGTCCAAAGATGAGTGGCTAGGAAAAAACATGTCTCTTGAGGTTGGGCACAGTGGCTCATCCCTGTAAGCCCGGCACTTCAGGAGGCTGAGGTGGGAGGGTCACCTGAGCCCAGGAGTTTGAGGCTGCAGTGAGGTTATGATTGTCCCACTGCACCCCAGCCTGAGTGACAAAGTGAGACCCTCTCAAAAAAAAAAAAAAAAGAAGAAGAAATGTCTCTTCTTAGGAACGGGCCCCAAGCCAGGATTCCATGGCCCATTAGTGCCATCCTCAGGTCACGGCATGGCCCCTGTGGTCATTTTTTCTTTCTTTGTTTAAAAAATAGAGGCCGGGGAGGTTGCAGCGAGCCGAGATTGCGCCACTTGCCCTCCAGCCTGGGCAACAGAGCAAGACTCCGTCTCAAAAAAAAAAAAAAAAAGAGGCCAGGAGCAGTGGCTCACGCCTGTAATCCCAGCACTTTGGGAGGGTGAGGCGGGTGGATCACTTGAGGTCAGGAGTTTGAGAGAGCAGCCTGCCAACATGGCGAAACCCTGTTTCTACTAAAAATACAAAAATTAGCCGGGTCTGGTGGTGGATGCCTGTAATCCCAGCTACTCAGGAGGATGAGGCAGGAGAATCGCTTGAATCTGGGAGATGGAGGCTGCAGTGAGCCAAGACTGTGCCACTGTATTCCAGCCTGGGCGACAGAGGGAGACTTCATCTCTAAACAAATAAATAATAAAACATAGAGACAGGTTCTTGCTATGTTGGCCAGGTTGGTCTGAAATTCCTGGCCTCAAGCAATCCTTCCGCCGTGGCCTCCCAAAGTGCTAGGATTGCAGGTGTGAGCCACCATTCACGGTCCCCTGTGGTCTTGATGGCTTCAGAAGGCCTGAGTTCAGGACCCGGCCGCTGCCCACTGTGCCCTTGGGCAAGCCCCTTACTGACTGGGAAATGGCATTAGTAAACCTCCGTGGGCGGGTAAGGCCAGGGCTGGGAAGGTGTTTTGGATGACGATACACAGAGTCAATATTCGAGGGGTCTATTTATGAAGCTGGTAGGGTCTGCTGTCTGTTCTCAGAACACATGCCCTGCTGTGTTCCCCACTGGCTTAAAGAGCTCCAGGTCAAGGACTCCAGGAAGTAAGAATGGAAAGAGTCCTGAGAACAGCAAGCTCCGTCCTCCCTGAGGAGAGTGAGCTCATGGGGAGGGTGCGGGTTTGCTTTTGTGTGTCTGTTCATTTTTTTTTTTTTTTGAGACAGGGTCTTGCTCTGTTGTCCAGGCTAGAGTATAGGGGCACGATCATGGCTCACTGCAGCCTTGAACTCCTAGGCTCAAGTGGTCCACCCACCTCAGCCTCCTGAATAACTGGGACCATGGGCACGTGCCACCATGCCTGGATAAGTTTTTGTAATGTTTTGTAGATATAGGGTCTCACTATGTTGCCCAGGCTGGTCTCCAACTCATGGGCTCAAGTGATCCTCCGGCCTCAGCCTCCCAAGTAGCTAGGACCACAGGTGTGTGCCACCACACCTGGCTAACTTTTGTATTTTTTGTAGAGATGGGGTCTCACTGTGTTGCCCAAGCTGGTCTCCAACTCCCGGGTTCAAGCGATCTGCCTGCCTTAGCCTCCCAAAGTGCTGGGATTACAGGCATGAGCCGCGGCTCCCAGCCATTTGTGGTGTTGGAAGTCACCAAGTGTGTGGTTATTGGTTGCAGCTGCCCCAGGACACTCATACACAGATTTAAGCCCGGTGTAGTCAGGGAAGAGAAACAGCGATGGGGCATGTGGTGACCTGGGGAAGTCCCAGGGTTTCCAGCCTGTGCCAGGTTCCTCATCTGTAAGATGAGGGGGTGGGAGGCTGGGCTCTTCAGTTCAGCCAGGGGTGCCCCGTACTGACTAGCATGGGTGGGGCCAGCTCCGTCTCTCATCGGCCTCAACAACTGCCATGGGAGATAACGGCTCCTCCTGGGCCACGGGGCTGTGCTGGTGGGTGATAGCAAATGACCAAGAGAACCATGTCCTGCGGCTGTTCCCTGGCCTGCCCCTGCGTTCAGAGGAGCTGAGAGCAGGAGGCCTAGGTTTATCTTGCCCCTCGGGGAACTGGGGCAGGCCTGGGGCCCTCCCTGGCCTCAGTTTACCCATCTGCAGGATGGAGGTGCTATCATACCATGCCCTTCCTGCTGCCCGCTCCTGGCCAGCCCAGGTCACGTGGCCTGCTGCTGCTGCTGCTGCAGAGAGCAAGGTCCACACCTGGGCGGCCGGGCCCAGCACACCCGCCCCACCTGTTTCCACCCTTCCCCTACTTTCCAACGCACTCAGACCGGTGAAATCTGGACTAGGGCGGCACAGGGTGAGGCCCAGGTGAGAACAGGGCTTCCGTGTCAACAGAGCTGCTTTGAATCTGTTTCACAGTGACCCTTTATGTGAAGCAGAACAGCCGCTTCCGCAGTGAGCTGTCAGAAGGCGTCGTGCCTGTCTTGCTAGTGGGGAAACTGAGGCTCAGAGAGGCAGAAGACTTGCCCAAGATCACACCACCGGGACCCAGGATTCAAGCGCAGGCCTGCCCAGGCTCTCTGTGGCCTCCTGGCTGCGAGGAGGCAGCCAGGGACCAGGTGCCACCCTTCTGAGGTGAGGCAAGGAATGCCTGTCCCTTGGGCACGTCTAACTTGGTGAAGGTCCCACGGGTGGGTTGTGGCATGGTTCCAGCTTGCCGGGTCCGATGTGGGCAGCAGCTCTCTGCCTTGCCCCAAGTTCCTGGTGGGCGGCCCCAGCAGAGCCCGCCGCAGCTTCACTCCCCTGCGTGCCACCTGCCAGTCGGGGGTCCACTGCATCCTAGGTCCTGGGCAAGTCCCCTCCCCTCTTGAAACTTTAGTTTCCTCCCCTGTGAAATGGGGACGTGGCGGTGGTGGCACCTCCTACACCTGCTGAGAGCTAAGTGAAGTCGTGCGTGAGCAGTGCCCCTGCGAGGGGGCCCACCGGACCACACGGCTCAAGTGGCTCTGGATTTCCTCGCAGACACCTGAGATCCCAGGCCCGAGAGGATGAAGGCGGGATTACCTGGAGCGTGTCTGAATGCTGGAGGAAGAAGGGCAGCTGGGAGATGAAGCTGTCAGGATGGGCCGCATCCCATTTCCTGCCTCGTTTCAGTTCAACTTTCCAACAGACCTCCCTGGCTCGTCTTGCTCTTCTCTAATGGACAAACAAACAGGCTCAGAGAGGTGGTGTGACTTGCCCAAGGTCACTCAGCTTGGATGCTATGGAACAGGGACGTCCACTGTCCCAGTCTGTTTATGGGAAGCCGCTCTGCAACTGTCCTGACCCACCACATGCCCCACCGCTGTTTCTCTTGCCCTGACCCCTTGTTCCCTGGACCAGGGTGGCACAGCTCCAGGCTCTTGGGCCCTTCCCGAGGGCAGGCACCTGTGACTGTGTCCCCAAAGACCTGAGTGGCTGAGGGGGCCCCACAGAGCTTGGACTTCCTGGAGGACAAGGAGGGGTCTGCCAGCCACCCCCACCACGCCCGCCCCAGGGCTCCCCTGGAGCTTCCATGCCAGCCGGACTCAGGTGGGTCTGGAGGAGCACCGTGCCTCCAATCAGACCTTGAGATGTGCCCCCTGCCCCCACTGTGCCCTCCCCTGCCCAGGAGTCTGGTTGCAAACCCTGATTAAGGGGATTTTATCTCCACCAGAGGGCCAGTAGGTGGGAAGTAGCTTAAACAATGCAGGTTTATAATCTCACAGTTCTGGAGGTCAAGAGTCTGAAATGGGCCTCATGGGGCTAAAACCAAGGTGTCTGCAGGGCTGTGTTCCTTCTGGAGGCTCCAGGGCAGGAAGGGGAGGATCCACTTCTGTGCCTTTCCAGCTTCTAGAGGCTGCCTGCGTTCCTTGGCTCGTGGCCCCTTCCTCCACCTTCAAGCCAGCAGCGGAGGCCTGAGTCCTTCTCATGCCATCTCTCTGTTCTCTCTCCTGCCTCCTCCTCCACACTGAAGGACCCCTGTGATCACACTGGCCCCCCCACCGGATGACCCAGGATAATCCATCTCCCTGTTTGAAGGTCGGCTGATTAGCAACCTTCATTCCATCTGCCTCCTTCATTCCCCCTGGCCATGTAATGGGATTCACAGCTTCTGGGGATTAGGACATGGACATCTTGTGGCGGGGGCATAATTCTGTCGACGACACCAAGAAACACTTGGATGTTAAGGATTCACCGAACACTGTTCAGGCTCCAGGTGCTGGGAGCAGCAGTGAACAAAGCCAACAGACACTGCCACCCTCAAGGAGTTCACGTTCATGGGCGAGGGAACAGATGAGAAACCCGGCAATGAAAGTAAGTAGCATAATTGACTTGAAAAGTGCCGGGGAGAAAGAGAAGATGGATGGAGAATGACACCTGGCCCCTTCTCTATTTCTTTATTTGTTTCACTCTTGTTGCCCAGGCTGGAGTGCAATGGCACAATCTCAGCTCACTGCGACCTCTGCCTCCCAGCTTCAAGTGATTCTGCTGCCTCAGCCTCCCAAGTAGCTTGGATTACAGGCATGCACGCCCAGCTCATTTTTTTTTTTTTTTTTTTTAGTAGAGACGGGGTTTACACCATGTTGGCCAGGCTGGTCTCAAACTCGTGACCTCAGGTGATCCACCTGCATCGGCCTCCCAAAGTGCTGGGATTACAGGCATGAGCCACCGTGCCCAGCTCCCCTTCTCTATTTCTAAGGTGACCCAGATTCCTTTACTGCTTTCTGGCAAATCCACCTCTGGCCAGGCAGTAGGCCGGCAACGCAGGGCTTGAAGGCCATAATGGGGACGTTTGTCTAATGGTGAGAAAGGAAACACTGGAAGGTTTTTGCTTCCCTTTTTAAAAAATTCAGGTATGGCCGGGCACGGTGGCTCACACCTGTAATCCCAGCACTTTGGGAGGCCAAGGTAGGCTGATCACCTGCGGTGAAGAGTTCAAGACCAGCCTGGCCAACATGGTGAAACCCCATCTGTACTAAAAATACAAAAATTAGCTGGGCGTGGTGGCAGACACCTGTAATCCCAGCTACTCAGGAGGCTGAGGCAGGAGAATTGCTTGAACCTGGGAGGCAGAGGTTGCAGTGAGCCGAGATCATACCATTGCACTCCAGCCTGGGCAACAAGAGTGAACCTCCATCACAAAAAACAAACAACAAAAAAAATCAGGTATAATTACATACAGTGAAACATATGGTGACTCAAGTACACAGTTCAGTGTTTTTTTTGTTTTTGTTTTTTTTTAAGATGGACTCTTGCTCTGTCGCCCAGGCTGGAGTTCAGTGGCGCGATCTTGGCTCACTGCAACCTCTGTCTTCCAGGTTCAAGCAATTCTGCCTCAGCCTCCCAAGTAGCTGGGACTACAAGTGCACGCCACCATGCCTGGCTAATTTTTGTATTTTTAATAGAGATGGGGTTTTTTTTTCTTTCTTTTTTTTTTTTTTTGAGACAGGGTCTCACTCTGTCACCCAGGCTGGAGTGCAGTGTCACAATCTCGGCTCACTGCAACCTCTGCCTCTTGGGTTCAAGCAATTCTTCTGCCTCAGCCTCCTGAGTAGCTGGTAGCTGGGACTATAGGCACGTGCCACCACACCCAGTTAATTTTTTGTATTTTTAGTAGAGATGGGGTTTCACCGGGTTAGCCAGGATGGTCTCAATCTCTTGACCTCGTGATCTGCCCGTTTTGGTCTCCCAAAGTGATGGGATTACAGGCGTGAGCCACCGCGCCAGGCTGAGATGGGGTTTCACCACGTTGGCCAGGCTGGTCTGGAACTCCTGACCTCAGGTGATCCGCCTGCCTTGGACTCCCAAAGTGCTGGGATTACAGACGTGAGCCACCGTGCCCGGCCAGTTCTATGAGTTTTGATGAATGTGTCCTGCTTCTTCCCAGGCTCCACCATCTCTTCCCCTAAAGGCAACCACCATTCTGATTTCTCTCACCAAAGACTGGAAAAATATCCCAATACCTGGATGTATGCCTCACGTGTCCCGCTGGCCCCAGCACCCAGGTATAGTTAGTTACTGCTGTGCCTGGCTTCACTCTCACTTTTTTTTTTTTTTTCTTTTTTTGAGACATAGTCTCGCTCTGTAGCCCAGGCTGGAGTGCAGTGTGGCACAATCTCAGCTCACTGCAACCTTCACCTCCCAGGTTCAAGCGATTCTCCTGCCTCAGCCTCTCGAGTAGCTGCGACTACAGGTGCCCACCACCACACCTGGCTAATTTTTGTATTTTTAGTAGAGATGGGGTTTCACCTTGTTGGCCAGGCTGGTCTCGAACTCCTGACCTCAAGTGATCCACCTGCCTCAGCCTCCCAAGGTGCTGGGATTGCAGGCCGGCCTTACCTGGTATGGTTTTTAGGTTCATGTTGATGCCTGGAGTTTCAGTAATTCCCTCCCATTCGTTGCTGAGTAGCACTGCAACACATGCAGGCAGCTATTTGGGGATCTTTTCACCTGTTGATGGGTGTCTGGACTGTTTCCAGTTTTTGGCTGTTACAAATGAAGCCTCTGTGAGCCACGTACAAGTTCTTCTGTGGATGTTTTCATTTAGGGAAAGGGGTAAATAGGAGTGGAAGTGCTGGGTCACAGGGCAAATGTCCATTTGAGTTTATTAGAAACAATTCTCCAAAATGATTGGCATTTTACCTTGTACTAGCAGAGTCTAGGAGTGTGGCTGCTCCCAGATTCTCATCAAACTACAGTGCTGACATCTTTAGTTCTAGGCCTTCTAGTGTGGATGCACTGGTATCTTGTTAAATGCTTTTAACTGTTTTGGTAGAGATGGGGCCTTGCTGTATTGCATAGTCTGGTCTTGAACACCTGGCCTCAAGTGATCTCCAGCCTCACCCTCCCGAAGTGCTGGGATTACAGGTGTGAGCCACTGCTCTGGGCCTCATTCAGTGTTTTGCTTCTCCCTGACAACTAATGGAGTTAAGCTCGTTTTCATGTTTATTGGCCATTAAGTCATCTTGCTTTTGGAAGTGCCAATTGTTAACTGGCTTGTCCTCTTCTTTTTGCCTTACACAGTTAATACATGCTGGAGATTACATGTACTGCAAAGATTTTCTCCTAGCCGGTGACTTGTCTTTTTCGTTTTTGTTTCTGTTTTTTTTTTTTTCTTTTTTTTTCTTTTCTTTTTTTCTGAGATGGAGTCTCCTCGCTCTATCGCCCAGGCTGGAGTGCAGTGGCATGATCTCAGCTCACTGAAACCACTGCCTCCCGGGTTCACGTGATTGTCCTGTCTCAGCCTCCCGAGTAGCTGGGATTACAGGCATGCGCCACCAAGCACAGCTAATTTTTGTATTTTTAGTAGAGATGGGGTTTTGCCATGTTGGCCAGGCTGGTCTTAAACTCCTGACCTCAGGTGATCCGCCCACCTCGGTCTCCCAAAGTGCTGGGATTACAGGCGTGAGCCACCGCGCCTGCCCAGCTTATCTATTCATTGGAGGATCTGAGTGACATGAGAAACTTAGGTTTTCTTTTTTTGAGACAGAGTCTTACTCTGTCGCCCAGGCTGGAGTGCAGTGGCATGATCTCGGCTCACCACAACCTCTGCCTCCTGGGTTCAAGCCATTCTCCTGCCTCAGCCTCTGGAGTAGCTGGGATTATAGGCACCTGTCATCACACCTGGCTATCCACTTAGGTTTTCAAAGGGCCCCTTGGTCTTGGGGTGGAGAGTGAAGGGAAGCAGGGGGAAGAAGTTTAGGTCTTGCAATCATCCAGGTGAGACATGATATTGTCTTTGATCAGTGGCAGGGGTGGAGGTCGGGAGAAGCGGCCAGAGAGCAGATCTATTTTGCGGGTGGGGCTGACGGTATTTGCTGGTGGACTGCCCTGGAACCAGAGGGAAGTACAGAGTCAGGTTGACTACAAGGTGTTTGGCTTAAGTTCGTAGAAGAAAGGAGTTGCCATTTGCTGGCATGAGGAAAATGAAGAAGCAGATTTTGGGAGGAAAATGAAGGGTTCGGCTTCTGACATGCTGAACTCGAGGTGCTGTTTAAGTGGATGTGGATTTCACAGTTGTACTGATGAAGCTGGAATTCGTTCAAGTATCAAAGGAGTGTCATCTAAATATAGATATTGAAGGTAATCCTCAGTCAGATGAGGTTACTGAGAGGGTGTGAGGAGGCAGGAGCGGGGTGAGGCTGGGAGGGGCAGCTGGGGGGAGGGGAGAGAAGCCCAGCGACGTCCTCGGTGTCTGTGAAGATGGCACTTCCGGCGGAGGGAGAGATCCCCCGCACCCTGCCTGAGACAGGCTGAGGAACGACCCTACACAGCAACTCAGGGCACCCCAAATCGAACACGCAACCATTAAAGAGGGAGCGCCTCTAAGAAGCCGAAAGGGGGCACCACCAGGCTCCAGAGGGGAAAACAGGGCGCATTTTCTAACATGTCAGCACCCCCAGACCACCCAGGCCCCCGTCAGAAAAATACTGGCTCCATGATCAGCTTTGAAACAACTTTATTAGAAGGCTGCTTTAAATGACAACTTCTAACGTCCAATTCTTTCTTAATTTGCTTTTTGACGACTCCAGTTATATGTTCATATATAACAATTTTTGCATTGATCTTTGCATCCTATTGAAGATTTCCTCATCAGGTCATTCTGGTGGAATGGAAGTGCAACCGTGAGGTCGCCAGTTGGCCGGCATTGTTAAGCAAGGGCAGCAGAAGGCTGGGAGGGACGGAGCCAGTCCCCCACCCTCTCCTCCAGCCCCCGCCCACCACAAATTCACAGTGAGAGGCACCTCACTGCCTTGACATTCAGAAAAGAGTGAAATAAAGAAACCCTCGCAGCGCAGGAAATAACTGGATTCCACCTTCAAGGTTATTGAGGTTCCTCCCTCTCTCTCCACGCCCCCAGTCAAACCCTGAAATCCTAAGGCTGGGGGCAAGCCCTTCCCCAACCTGCCAAAGGAAAGGAGCCAGGGCTGCTGCCTTCTGGCCGCTTTTCTGCCTCCAGTCCCAAAAGGAATTTCTCTGGACAGATGTGACTGCAGCGGCCCAAGGCCCCCCTTCTCCTCCTCCTCCCATCCCACTGGGCGGGCTTGGGAAGGTACAATCAACCATGAACATAAATATGAATAAAAAATGAACTTGAAAATGACAAGCTATTAATTAAACAAATCTATAAAAATAGTTAGGACATAACTCTGTTCAAATAAATACAAAATAAATAGGTTCCAAGCAGTGACACAAGTGGAATGTGGGGCTGGTCCCGCTGCGCCCCTGCTGGGGTTGGACAGGAACCCCCAGGGCGTCAGAACAGACTCTGAGCAGTCAGCCAAGCTCCTGCTCCCTCGTCTTCCTCTGGAAGCACAGAAGTCGCTCATTTGTCCGGCTTGTCCTTCTGGACAAAACCCTTTTCCCAACAGTCCATAATTAAGGCCTCCAACACCTTTTCCTTCCCTCCCCAGAACACACAAACGCTCTGCCCTTCGCCCTCAAACATGGTGCTCCACTGCCCTCATGCCACAGTGGGGACAGTGAGTTTGGTTCTGAGGTGGGGCCCATCCTGACAGGGTCCAGGCCAGCTCAGAGCACCATGAGCCCCAGCACTTGCCTTCTGTGCAGCCAGGCCAGGCAGCCCGAGCCCCCTGCACTCCCAAGCATGCCCGAGAGCCCCAGCCATCAGCAGGGCTCAGATGCCAGTGACCACAAGGCCAGATCCTTTCCTCTTCCTTCACAGCCAAGTTGGCGTCAATGCTGTAGGTTGGGAAGTCAGGCCTGGGAGGCCACGTGACCTCACCTTTCATCATGGATTATGGGATTGGACGAGGGGGTGGGATGTGGGCTGTAGCCCTCCTCCCACCTTACCTCAGCAGACAGGCAGGCAGCAAGAGGGCACAGGGAGATGCACGGCAGACCAGAGGGCAGGGGCCGTGGCCAACAGCTGGCTGCAAGGGTGAAATGGAAGAACTAAGCCGGCCTCCAGGCTCCAAGCTCGCTATTGGCAGGCACTGCAGAAAATGTCCTGTCCTTACACATGTGAGCCCGGAGCCTGCTGACCCTGGACCCTAAGGAATGCCTGTGGTCTTCGCTGGAACCAACAGGAGGGTCTGCTGGGGTCAGCAGGACAAGCCCTGGGCCTGCCAGCTCTCCCCACCCTCCCTGCGGGTGCGTCTAGGGTTTTCACAGCTTGGCTCGAGACAGCTTAGTGTTGGCACATTCACAGAATGAGATGGCTGCACACCCCAGGCTGCGGCCCAGGATCAGCGAGTCCACTGCCGGGCGGCCCTCCCCCCGTCACCGCGACTGCACGCCCAGGGTGATCTTCAGGTTCTCGTAGACCACGTAGCTGATGCTCACAGCTGGGATGACCTTCATGAAGTTGGGGGCCAGCCCCCTGTACAGCCCGAAGGCCCCCTCGGTCCGCAGGATATGTTTGAAGAGGCTGCTCATGGTCACCTCCGGAGCGCCCTCAATAGAGGCTGCAGGATGGAGGCCACCAGTCAGATGCTTCTGTCCGCTCCCCCCGACCTCCCAGGGGACTGTCCAGGGCCAGCCTTACCTTGCGCCTGCATCCGGGTCCTGACTAGGGCCAGGGGGTAGCTGGCCAGCTGGCCACAGGTACTGGACATGGTGCCACAGGCCAGGAGCACAAACACGCCGGGGTCCGCGCTGTTCACTGCATAGTGCTGCAGCCAGGCATTCTTGAGCGTCTAGAAGGAGAAGGGAGCATGGGATAAGCCCTAGGAAGGGCTAGTGAGGCAGCAAGAGACGGGGCTGTTACTGGGTCCTCAGGCCACTGGAACCCGACTGCCGCGCCTGGGGCCTGGCTGGGCTCCTAGCCTGGCTGCCCTGTTTCTGCTGTCACTGGGAATTCCGGGACAAGGTAGAGGGAACACCTCCTTCCCCACACAGAAGGGCTGACTTCTGGGGTCTGTCTAGAGTGTGCTGGGGCCTGTGAGCTCCTGGGGGCCACCCTGCTCTGGGGATCTGCCTGCTGAGCCTCTGGGGATGCAGAGCCTGGGTGCAGGGCTCACAGGAGCTGCTGGGGTCTGCCAGGGGCAGGCAGGGTGAAGGAAAGCTGCAGTAAACAGAAGAGCAGGAAGGAGGCGCAGTCTTTGATGCAGTTTCCTGCACTAACCACGCGTCCGTCAAGGAGGGAGACAGCAGGTGGAGGTGTGCTGGGAGGAGGTTTCTAAATCTGTCCAGCTTGGGCCTCACCTCGTAGACTGCAAGGTCGATGCCGGCATAGGGGATGATGCCCAGCATGTTGGGGACATAGCCTTTGTAGAAGGCGGCCACCCCCTCTCTGGCCAGGATCCTCCTGGCGCAGTCCAGCATTCCTGAGTACTGGCCTGTCTTCCGCAGCGCCATCCGGGTCTTCAGGACCTGCACAACAGGAGCAGCGGGACGCGTGAGCACAGCCTGTGCCTCTCCCCAGTCCTGTGCCCACTGCCCGCCCCAGGACCCAGGCGGCCCCTCACCTCCATTGGGTAGATGCTGCTCTGGGCGATGGCCCCTGCCAAGGACCCTGCCACAAGCCTCTCGTGAATCCTCAGAGTCTCCTGGTCACTACCAACAAGGCGCTTGATCTAGAACCAGGAACAAACAAACCACCTGATATACCCAGAGGTTGGGGCACCTGCTGCTGCCCCTCCCTTCCAGGAGTCCCCGGCACATTTTATGCTACCCAGAAATGTAAGGAACTCGTGGTGAGCCTGGGCCTCCTGCCTCGCCCTGCTGTCCCTGGGGTACCACGGCTGGCTCCAAGTGTCAGGGAGCTCAGCCCAGGGAAAGCCAGCAAGTCCAGGCAGTGAGTAGCCACTGGCCGGTGACCCTCCTGAGGAGCTGGGTCCTCACCTGCTCATAGGCCATGAATTTGATGGCTGATTCGGGGGCAATTTTGAGGACGTTGATGCCATTGCCCCGCCAGAGTGACCTGGCCCCTCCTTCTCGAATCATCTGAGTGAAGCCACCAACGATGCCCATGTTGTTGCTGCGGGAGGCATGGACCTGGGAGGGAGGACCGAACAGTCAGACGGACCCGGGGGGCCACAGGCTGCCTCACCCGGCCAAGAGCCTCTGCTGGCCAACCGGCTGCGGCCAAAGGGAAGGCCCTTTCTTCCGTGCATTTTGAAGACAAGCTTGGAATCATGAGCCCAAAGTAACCCAACACGGCTAAGTGAGGCTCAGCTCCATCGTACTGGGTATCTGCTGGTTGCCAGCCTTGTCCTGAACATCTCCATAAAGATGACTTAAAAAAAAAATCAAGGCTGGGCGCGGTGGCTCATGCCTGTAATCCCAGCACTTTGGGAGGCTGAGGCAGGTGGATCACTTGAGTTCAGGAGTTCGAGACCAGCCCAGCCAACATGGTGAAACCCCGTCTCTACTAAAAATACAAAAGTTAGCCGGGCGTGGTGGCAGGCACCAGTAATCCCAGCTACTTGGGAGGCTAAGGCAGGAGAATCGCTTGAATCCGGGAGGTGGAGGTTGCAGTGAGCCAAGATCGCGCCCCTGTACTCCAGCCTGGGCGACAGAGCGAGACTCTATTTTAGAAAAAAAAAAAAAAAAAAAAAAAAAAAAGGCCGGGAGTGTTGGCTCACATCTGTAATCCCAGCACTTTGGGAGGCCGAGGTGGGCAGATCACATGAGGTGAGGAGTGTGAGACCAGCCTGGCCAACATGATGAAACCTCGTCTCTACTAAAAATACAAAAATTAGCCTGGGGTGATAGCGCATGCCTGTAATAATCCCAGCTACTAGGGAGGCTGAGGCTGTAGAATTGCTTGAACCCAGTGAGGGAGGTTGCAGTGAGCTGAGATCATACCACTGTACTCTAGCCTGGGTGACAGAGCGAGACTGTCTCAAAAAATATAATAATAATAATAATAATAATAATAATAATAATAATTTTTAAAAATCAAAGTTTTTCATTATTAAAAAAACTTAAGACATATTAAAAAATAGAATGAATGCCCACTCAGCTTAGACAATGATCAAACCACAGCCAACCTCTCTCTCCTGCTGCCCCACCCATGCTGGTTTAAAGGCACACGCCAGGCATTTGATTTCACCCAAGGCCTGCTTTCAATCTCTACAACATTCCTGATAATTCTGCTAAAAAAACAAAAGGATGAGGCAGTTGTTCAAGCCCCTATTTTCACAGAGGAGGGGAAGTCCTGGGAGGGAAAGGGGTTTGCTCAAGGCCACAAGAGGGAGGGAGGCAGCTGTGGTGGTGCCCTGGGCAGAGTCCAAGCCCGAGGCATTCTGCCCTGAACCACCTGCTTCCTTTGTCTCTGTGCAACACAGGGAGGCCCAGCAAGGCAGACTGGGGAGAGAAAGGAGGCAGCTCTTCCAAGCCGGGCTCCTGGCACAAGAAGTACTAGGTACGGGCAAGGGGACAAGTGGTGGCCAGTCACCATTCAGACATCAAAGTCCACCAGTGTCGTTGTGTGGGTCAGTTTCACAATTCTGCCTTGACATCAGCCCAGCTTATCTCTGCTGTGTGGACATGGATTTGCGTACCTGGCCAAGGTAATGGCGTGGCTTCCCATTGGCATCTGGGTCAGGTGAGGCTCTGCTGGCCCCAGTGTGGGGTAACGTACACAAAACGTACTTACAGAAATTGGTTCCTGCCTCACCCCAGTCTCGCTAGCTTCACCTGTCCACATTATGCCCCTGTAATGTGATGCCTCAGATAAAATTAGATCCGCTCTGCACAAAATGTCACCTACAGTGACATTTTGGTACCCCCTGTCTGAGCAATAATTCTAGTCTAATTTATTGGGTTAGAAAAGTTTGGGCCCAAAGCAGGCACCAGCCAGAGAAAGGGAAAACTAGCCAAGCAGCATCCCCCAGGTGGAAACTGGCCCCCCAGGGGTCTGGGGCCTTTTCCCTACATACCTGCATGAGCACCTTGAGCCTGTCCAGGGGGGCCGTGCAGGTTCTGGATACGGCCCCTGCCCCACCTCCTGCCACCAGGTGTCTCCACCACATCCCCGTCTGCCTCTCCTCCACTGTGAACTCATCCGGGACCGTTAGATTCTCACCCACATCAAAGATCTGTGAGGAAAGATGGCACAAGCCTGACTCAGGACCCTTGGGGCAAGGCTGCTGGCACCTGTCGCCGTCTACCCTCTAGCACGGCTCCAGGCCAGGGACCACAGGACAGGGAGAAGGCCAAGGACTCTGGGTGGGAAGCGGGCTGGGGTCTTTCCCTTCACTCTGAAGGTAGCAGAGCTCTCACCCCTGCTGGGGTCCTGGAGAGGCACAGGTATAGAACCTCAGCTGAACACAGCCGGGAGGTGCCGGTTAGAAAACCATTCACCGGCCCTTTCCAATGCTGCCAGGGAGCTACTGCAAGAACAGCTCACAGGCCTGTGTGAGATTGCCAGGCTGGCTGCGCTGAAGGGATCAGGCCGGGGTGAGAGCCGTCTGAGATCTCACGTGTAACCAGATCACGCTGGCAGAACATTATGCAACGCCTCAGCAAACACGAGGGCTCGCTGCCTGCGTAACCTTTCTCCGGGTGACATCCGGGCTGATCAGAGCCACCTCTGCTCTGATCCCAGGGCTAAAGGCCAGAGCTCTGGGCCAGCTACTCCCACCCCTGGAGCTGTCCATTTAATCTCACCTAACAAGCCCTGGCCTGGCACTGCGAGAGGCAGATGAGGAGCGCCTCTGGCCTCCCCTCCTGGAGCGGATGGTCCAGAGGGACAGGACTGCACACCAGGACTCAGAGAGGGACACGCCAAGCATGAAGGGCTCGGGGCAGAGACCAGCACAGACTCACATTTCTGAACATGAAACCACAGTGGACGGGGGCGAGAGGGCAGCAAATGTGTGACCGTGGGGACACCTCACAGCTCTGCCTAGGTGTTCTCTGTAGAGTAGCTTCTGCCCCAGCCCCCTCCCACCGGGGGGAAGGCTCATACCAGCTTTGGGAGAACAGACAGCATCATGGGAAGGGGTATTTGAAGTGGCCCATGAGGAGCAGGGAGCAGGGAGCATGTGGGGACGGAGGGTGTTCCTGGAAGAGGAAGCCTGTGTGTGTGAACGATGGGGCTGTTCAGGTTGGCTGGAGTGCCAGAACATGGGGAACATGCGGACAGCTCTACTGGGCTGGCAGAAGAGGGGACAGTCTCCTGTGGAAGAGGAGGTGGCTGGAAAGCCCCAGCTGCACTCTGGGATGGGGACGACTGGGTGACTCTGGGCTAAGGGTCCCTGGGAGCAGATGAGGGCCCTGGGCACGTGGGGCTCACCGTGGAATGCTTCCAGTAGAGGATGATCTCGGGGATGTTTTCCACGGGGTGGAGGAGGTGGTAGTCTCTCCACTCGTTCCAGTCAATGGTCATCGTGCCGTTTTTATCCATGCTGCAAGACAGAGGCGAGGCTGCCCACGTGCCCACATGCCCATCCGCCAGCTGCATCCCCCCACCTCCCAGTGAGCCAAGGGCAGGCATTCGGATGCCCAGAAACCACACGAGGTGCCTCTGCCCCCAGGAGAAAGAGCAGGGGGCTCCACACCCCACTTAGCACAACAATGGCAATATAATGGCCCACAAGAATCCCGCTCTGATCAGGCATGGAAGTCAAGGGAGGCAGTCATGAGCGACATGGATACTTACTAGGTGACAGGGCCCCAGAAATGGCCCGTTCGTATTCTGACAGACAGACAAAGGATGCGGAGGAGAGAGCAGAAACAACACGCATAAGTGCTCGGAGCCATGTTAGTGAAGCAAGCACACACCCAGAGACAGGGGCACAGCACGGCACGAGACGAGCCCGCCACAGCAGCTGAGCCCAGGGCTGCTGTCCCCGAGGACCAGCCAGTGTTCAGACCGCAGGGTTTCCGGAAGGTCCAGCCAGGACAGACGGCAACTCCCAGGGCTGTTCCATGAGATTTCCTGGCAGCCGCCCCGCACCAGGGAGCTATCTTTTGGGGCAGCGCCTCTGACTAAAGTGTTAAGTGCAAGTTACCAGCATGGGGAAGAAATTCACCTGGGAACGAGGCTGCAGTGTGAGCCCCCCGCCCCGCCCCGCCCCCTCCACACGCACAGGTGCTCCTTGCTGGCCTTTTACCTATTTGAACCACCCCCAAATTAGTTTTCCCTTCATGGGCCACTGGCCGATGGGCAAAATTCCAGGTGATCTGTGATTCTTCCAATGAAAGCAGGCCTGCAACCCTGGGGAGGGGCTGGCCTCCCACAGGGGTTACTTATTCATCCTTTCAAACCACGAGAAGGCCAAGTTCAGGGTCAGCCCAGGGAATGGCATCGGAGGGTTAGTCTCAGAGCCTTCCCTTCATCACACTTAAACCAAACACAGAGGCTGGCTGAGCACTCACCTCTTGAGAATTTTTTCTGCCTGCTGTTCAGATATCTTGACTCCCAAGTCCCGCAGGGACTGCATGATCTCCTGCGCGTCAATGCGTCCTGCAAGAACAGAGGCCGTGAGCAGGAGCCAGGCGCACGGGGAGGCCCGAGGCTGGACCGGCCACAGCTCTGAAGGCAACACTTACCATCATTCTTTTTGTCCAAACTCTTAAACACCAGCCTCAGCTTCTTCTCATGATCTTGGAGATAATGGACAAATTCTTCAAAGTCTAGCTGCCCATCAAGGTCCTTATCTCCAGCTTGTACAATTTTCTAGAAAAGAAAGGTAACATTTTGTCTTTTGGCTCCTGGACCAGCCTTTCCTTGTCCCTTGTGGGGCCCCATCCCCAGGCAATGACTTCACTAATTGCGAGCAGAGCTGGCCCCAAGGACCCAAGATGCTTCTGCTCCACTCTCAGAGCCACCATGGCAATCGACTTACATGCCAGAGCCACCACCTAGAACCCCAGGTGCTGGCCAGAACCCAGGCAAGGGCCAATCTTGTCTCCCTCTCAAGCAGAGAGGAAACAAGGAGCCTGGGAAGAGCCCTCCGGACAGAGGCCGACAGGGACAGCTGGGCACTTTCTCAGTCTGAAGACCTGCGTGCCGTACAGCCAGGGTGAGCAGGGTGGCTTCGCTGCAGCGCCGTCCCTGGGTCCCTGGACCCAGGCTTCAACCACACATGCTCCCTGCTGAGACTTGGGGATGGCCATGGAGTCCAGTTTCTGACAGGAACTCTGCAGCTCGCTGTTTCTCTCCTAAAACTGGCATTGGTCCGAGAATAATTTGGTGGGCAGGTGAAAATCGGGGGCAGAGCCAGACTCTGCCACAGCACCCGAGGCCGGGGAAGTGTAAGGAGCCAAGGGCATGTGTATGATGGTACTGCCAGTCCCTGCTCTCAGGGAAGCCAGGTGATAGAGCTGCCCTGGCTCTCCCGCTCACTCACTGAAAAGCACTTTAGTGTCCCAAGAAGGCTTTGAGAGACTGTTCCTTGGCAATGAGGTTCCAAAAGTAACCCCCCCCGCCCCCGCCTCCCAGGAGGTGGGCTTTGTTCAGCAGCTGTTAATGGTTGGCAACTGGGACAGCTCCACGAGAGCACACATTTCCCCAGCACCTAGCACCGGCCGCAGGGCGTGCCAAATGCTTTACTTCTAGCAACCCACTTACCCCCCTCGCAAACAGCTCTAGGAGGTAGGAAATGTCATTTCCCCCATTTTACAGAGAAGGAAACAGGAGTTCCGAGAGCCTAAACATTTACACAAGGTCAGACAGCTAGGGAAGTGGTGGGCGGGATGCAAGTTGGGCCGTGGTCCTCCCAAGCCGCCTCCCTGCACATCCTGCCGCCACCCTCAAGGCTAACCTTCAGAACATGGGGGATGAAAGTGAGTCACCCCAACTCAGCAACGCCCTGAATCCGGAACCCAAAACTGGGACCGAGAATCTCCCAAGGAAGATGGTATAGTCTTCCTGTGTCCTCCGGATTTCTCACTGGGAGAAATCAACTGACAGCCAGCTGGGGTTTGGAAATGGATGGCCCACTGGCTAGCTCGCGTCCTCAAAGGATCACCACCGCGCCTCTCTCTTAGACACACTACTGACAGCGCCTTGTGATTCCTCAGCTGCCAAAGGTGTCAGGGGCAGGGAGGCCTGAACAGATACCCCATGACCTGGCGCGATCAAAAGGCTAATGTGAGGGGCGTGGCTGGAATGTAGGACAGATGCAGGTACATATTTTATCTGCTGAGGTTACATTTAACTTCCTGTGGACATCTGTGCTCTCAGACAAGAGTGACATAAATCACCTATAGGGTGACTGCTCCAAATCTCTAACAGGAATGGAAATAGAGTGGACAAGCCATTTAGGCAGGAGGCGAACATCAGGCATGGAGCCCTCTGGGACCCAGCCGCCTGCTGCCAGGGTGAGCCACATGCCTCCCTGGGGTGGGTGCTGTCGCAGACACCCAGAGCAGAGGGTGTGCTCACCGCAGCTGGCTTCAACGCATTCTCAAAGTGCTTGCTTCTGCCTCACAGGGCCTGGGCCTCCTTCTGTCTCCTTCCTTGGATCTGCAAATCCCCCTTGGTGCACAGTGGGCACTGGGGGTAGCAGGGAAACTGATTAACCGAGAAGCCGAGGTGGCAAGGGGCCTCCGGACTCTGCAGCTCGGCTTCCTCACTTTCAGGGCAGACACAGGCCCTGTTCCACAGCGATGTCTGAGAGTCGAGAAGGCGGGAGGCTCCCTCACCCCCACACCAGGGACGGGCAGCTCCACCACGCAGCACCCTCAACTCCTGGGCCTCCCTGCCTTCTCCTCCCATGCACTACTGGCCTGCCCCCCAGGTCCCTTTCTGGCTCTGTACTTCTCAGGAACACCCCCCTCATTCCAGCAAAAGGAATTTCCTTTCTGAAAGTCCATTTCTCACAACAGCCTTCGCTGGAATTCCAGCCTTCCTGGGAAGTCACATGAAAACCGGTCACTCCTGTGACGTACACGTGCCGGCCATAGCCGCATGGCAATGGGAAAAAACTGCTACATTTCAGACATTCTTTCCTCTCAGTGGGGGATGGTTCATGCATGCTCAGCCATTCACTCAACAAATACCGGTTGAATGCGCCTCTCCCTTCCGCGCGGTCACCCCACAGACCTGCTTCCACTGGCGGTAGGTGGAGAATTCCTGGGAGGGGATGAAGACACTGAGCTTGAAAATGGACTTCAGCTCGGCAGGGAGCCCCTTCGACTCAAAGTACTGGAACTCGGTCTGGGCTTCCCCGATGACCGGCACATACAGGCACAGACAGAGCATGTTGGCGGCCTGCTGGGTGCTCCACTGCCCTCACCACCGGGAGCAAGTTCCCTAAATGCTGCCGGTCCCGGGAAACTTGCATAAGACAAGCCTGGCCTCAGCTGTCATTGGCTGCTTAAGCCCTGCCCTTTTACTTAATTGAAAAAAGAAAAAAGCCCTCCCACGGCAAGTCCTGCCAACAGCCAATGAACACAGAGCCCGGGGGAGAAGGTGGCATCAGGTTGCTCAAGTGAGAGGCACAAAGATCAGGGCTGACGTCACCGCTCCCTCCCTGCAGTTAACTCTTGGAGAAGAGGCCGGGTGGTGCGTTCTGCCTGCCTGGGTACCAGGTACAGAGCCCAAACAAACCTTCACCCTCTAGCTGCCAACCCCTTCAGATGAACAAACAGCCTATGGCTGCTTTCACACAAGGTCCCCAAACGTGTCACACAACAGTTTTTCTCCTTTTAGTAAATCATTCCCAACCAAAAAATCAGTAGTTGGAGAGAGACAGAGCTGATTGCCACTGCAAACGGGCCCAGTTCAGCTGTGAGGATAGGAGGCTGAGGGGTGGCCGAGAGCCAGGTGCCTAGCCACCCTGGAAAGTGGACCCCCCTATGGGCCCATGTATCCCACAGGGGAGCTGCCCTGGCCACACACGGCTCCAGGCACAGTTCTAGCTGGCTCCTGCTCCAGGGAACCTGCAGCCCTCCACAGCCCACATTGCATTGAAACCTCTTCCAGGCCATTCTGCAATGTGAGCACCAGCCTTCACCTAGGAGCCCCAGAGTGCCCAGGAGCTGACATGATGGGGTTGGTAAGAGGACACCATGCCAAAGGACTCCCCAGAAGCATCAATCTGGGGTCAGTCGAGGCCTCACATGAGACCCACAGTCTTCAACGCCCACGTCCGCTCAGAACACGTAGGAGCCCAGTCTTAGTCACAGCTAGAACTTTGCTGTTCAATACAGAAGCTTTTTAAATGTAAAGTCATAGCCAGGCGTGGTGGCACACGCCTGTAATCCCAGCTACTGGGGAGGCTGAGACACGAGAATTGCCTGAACCCAGGAGGCGGAGGTTGTACTGAGCCAGGATTGTGCCACTGCACTCCAGCCTGTGTGACAGAGTGAAACTGTGTCTCATGCAAAAAAGTAAATTCATTAAAATGACATGAAATTACAAACTCAGTTCCCCAGGATAGCCACGCATAGTCACTGGGCATTTCTGCCACAGCGGAAACTTCACTGGGCAACACAGCTCGAGAACGACCCTTTCAGGGCAGGACGACCCTCTCTGCAGGCCGGCCTGAATTCTCCACTCATTCCTTCCCCACAGATTCGTGCTGCGGAGGAAGAGACCACGTCACCAAGATGAGAACAGGCTCAGTCTCACCCTTGTTCCTTCTACAGTGCGCCACTTCCTAATATAGACTATATCTTCCCACTACCGGGATGGATAAAAATGGATAGTTATTACTTGGGGATCACAGAAGTAAAAGGACTTTTTAATGCACTAAAACGCTTGTTGTTAACTCGTAAAGAGGGTGTTACAAGATGTTGATACTTACACACAACATTATGAAACAGAGATTATGACAAGTGATATGACATTTGGGCCTTCTAACAGAGATCTGATAACGAGTCTGTGAGAACAGGTCTTGGGCTACCCTAGTGACGGATCCTATGAGGTCGCACTGGATTATCCAGGCAGATTCCTGCTCAGCCTCCGCTAAATCCATGACACTCAGCTATCTCTTAAGCTGCCCAATCCAGAATGTTCTGCCTTGGGCTATTTTAACACGCCTCTTATCTCTACCACCAGGGTCCTTGAAGGTAGAAGGCTCTTACTTCAAACCCTTGGACCTCCTTGTCTGGAAATAACCTCCTGCCTTGATCAAATAAGGTGCTTCATGAACAGCTTCCAAATGAGTGAATTAGCTCAGGGGGCTCTAAGACCCCAAGAAACAAACTTATAACCATGCTTGATGAAGGCCTATTTTTCTGAGCATCTGCAAATAGAGTTGTCAGGGCATTATATTCAAATGGACAAGATAATGTATCATTATTATTATTATTTTTGAGACAGACTGTCACTCTTGTCACCCAGGCTGGAGTGCAGTGGCACGATCTCGGCTTACTGCAACCTCTGCCTCCCAGGTTCAAGCGACTCTTGTGCCTCAGCCTCCCGAGTAGTTGAGATTATAGGCGCCCACCACCACGCCTGGCTGATTTTTGTATTTTTAGTAGAGACTAGGTTTTACCATGTTGGCCAGGCTGGTCTCCAACTCCTGGCCTCAAGTGATCTGCCTGCCTTGGCCTCCCAAAGTGCTAGGATTACAGGTATGAGCCACTGCGCCTAGCCTCTATTATTTTATTTTAAAGGAGGTTCACATTTATAAATAAAAGCTGAACCCTAAAATGCTGGTCTTTAGGAATGCTCACTCTACTTTATAAAATGAGATGTTGCCCTATTAAAAAAAATGCTGGTCTTCCTTTGTTAAATTATTGTTTGCTTCTGAAACTAAATTATACAGATCTGTTGAATATCTCATTTTAGTGATGACTGCAGTCATTCTAATATAAAAAAGCAAATATTTTGACTGAATAAGTTCAATTGGAGATTTCACTTTCTATTAAAGTATATTTTAAAAATAATTATGGCACATATTACTGTACCATTGAGTTTTATAATGTATTTAACAAAAGAAATCTGAGATTTGAAAATGATACTAAATAAAAGTGAAACCTGTATTCTTCTTCTTTTTTCTTTGTCTTTCCTAAGATGGAGTCTTGCTCTGTCGCCCAGGCTGGAGTGCAGTGGCGCGATCTTGGCTCACTACAACCTCCACCTCCTGGGTTCAAGCGATTCTCCTGCCTCAGCCTCCCGAGTAGCTGGGACTACAGGTGCCCACGAGCACACCCAGCTAATTTTTAAAAGGGTTCTAACTTATTTGCTGCTGTGACTGAGTCTCATGGAATGTCTTCATTGGATAAACTTCAATTGGCATTTGGTTTTTTAAATCATCCATCCTACTGAGTTTCACAGGTAACTCAAGACTCCATGTTCATATAAAAATGGAGAGTTCTACCCAAATAAGCCCATCTCTAGGTGCTAGTGTCCAGGACAACTGCTGTATTCCTGGAACTGCAGACTGTGGGGGCCCAGAGGGGCTCTGGGATCATCCCTTAATCTCCGAGTTGAGCAAACAGGCCTGGGAGAGGCGACCTGATTTGCCCAATTCCCAAAGCCTGTCAAGGGCAGGGCAGGGCCTTGCACCCAGGGTTCTTGTTACAACATCCACTTCAAACAGCACCCAAAACAGATTTTAGTATTCAGTTCCCAAAGGATGCCGGTAAGCCAGACAGTAGGTGATACCTCATACTGGAAGGCGGCAGGTGTGTGGGAAAGGTGTAACTTGAGCAAGTTGAGCCCTAGCTAAATACAACCAAAAACGGTGTTTGTGTCACAGCTTCTGAATGCCTCTGTGAGAACTAGATTATGGAGGAACTAAAGCAGGCCTCGGGTTTCAGCCCTGATGCTTCACACCGGCCTTCTTGACACTCCAAGATCTGGGCACAACGCGCATTGTGTGCGATGCCTCGCTGCTCTTTATTATTCTGACTTTGTGGCACAGACCCTCATCTGTTTCAGCTCCTCCGATGTCCATTCCTATGACTAGTATTCGGAAACAGTGACAGCAACACTAGGTCCCTTAGGATTCAGTGGCATCAGATTGCAATTAATCTATAAAGTAGCAGTTCCTCTCCTGAGCATCTTCTCACAGCAAATCTGCCAATGCCACCAAAAGCTTTCCTTGTTCTACCACTATGTTACATGCCAGAAGAAAGCAGGTGCTTCAGGTAAAGGCCGGAATACCATGAATAAGAACAGGGCAGGTACAGTGCCTCTGGGAGTGTAGCATTAGGTCAGAAAGTTCCTCTCCCCTCCTCTGCAATGACTCAGGCTGAGCCAGAAATATTAATATGAGGAAGCTTTGCCAGCATCCAGCCGCTCAAGCCCCACCCACCCTTAAGGCTCTCAAACCTCATTGGCGGCTGTGGCCACAGTGTCATTTGATGATCAGGTTGCCATGACAGCCTAGTGTAGCCAGTTTCCAATGAAACCTGCCTACACTTGGCAGTTACACACACAATAAGCAAAATTCTCTGTGCTTCCGAGAAGACAGCCCCTCAGGATTTGAAAGCTTGAATGCCGCTGAGGGCACCTCCCACTCCAGAGTAATGGCTTTCTTCTCCAACTGAAGATTAACTGTAAGACAAAGATAAAGGGAAAAACTGGAACAGTTCCTAGAATAAAAGCTTGCAGGAACCTGACTCACTAGCAGACATATTTAAACAGGGGAAGTGAGAGCAAAACAAAGTAGTGCTTCTGGGACACTGAGAAGCCCGAGAACCAAAGTGAACTTTTCTTTTTTTCTTTTAAACAGAGTCTTGCTCTGTCACCCAGGCTGGAGTACAGCGGCACAATCTTGGCTCACTGCAACCTCCGCCTCCTGGATTCAAGCGATTCTCCTGTCTCAGCCTCCTGAGTAGCTGGGAGTACAGGCACGCACCACCACGCCCAGCTAATTTTTGTATTTTTAGTAGAGACGGGGTTTCACCATATTGGCCAGGCTGGTCTCAAACTCCTGACCTCGTGATCTGTCCACCTCAGACTCCCAAAGTGCTGGGATTACAGGCATGAGCCACTGCGCCTGGCCTAAAGTGAACTTTTCAAAAATGTTTCCAGAACATTCTGGAGGTCCTTTTTGTGATTTGGTGAGGCCAGCCCCAATCAGCCAGTGATCACAAACCCCAAACACCTTCAGAGCACTGTTCTGGAAAAGGATGCGGGCTGCATCCATGTTCCTGTTACTCCAGTTCTTGGTCTATCTGCTTTGAGAGTCTATGCTTCTCAGATTTGCTTTCTCTCTGGCTTCAAGCCCAACCAGCTGCCCCATATCCCACTTGGGGCTCCCCCAGTTTGCAGCCAGCTGAACTGTCTCTCTTTTGGGGATCAGCCAGTAAAAGGTGTGGGTCTCTTGATTCTGCAGGCCAGGAACTAAGCTGTTCAGAACAGACAGTCCTATCCTAGGCAGTCCCTGGGGGGAGAGCTGGCAAGGGGGTACTGTATGATGCTGAAAAATAGAGCAGTTAACTGCTAAAGACAAAAATAGGTGATTTTAAAAGGAGCCGGCCATTCGAGGTAGTAATAAGGCAAGCAGGTCTATAGATAAAAGTTCCTCACAAAGCTAGTGCCACAGCCATTCCAATCTTGTCTAAAACAATCAAAAGGTACAAAGTGACACCCTCTCTTTGAATATTAAGCAAAGACATCTCAGGCATAACAGTCTCTGAGAGACCCACTGCTTTGCTCAGAAGGAACCCATCAAAGACGAAGACTTCTCCCCAGTGCCCACATGACTGCAAATGTTATTACATCAAAAGTCCCTAGTAGCAAAGGCAAAATGAGCTTTTATTTCTTAAATGTAGCAATTCATCTTAACATCTCTGTGGTATCTATAATGTGCCAAACGGGCAGAATCTCCTTTTCTTCTCTGATTTTTCTCCTAAGTAAAAAGATTGAAAATAACCAAAGCTCAGGAGGTGAACGAGGTCACTCCTACAGCAGGGAGGAGAAATCTGAGCCAAGTGGCAATTTCCTTTCTAATACTGAGCACTCCATTAGTCTCCTTAAAAACTGCTTTCCTAAGGGGAAAACGAGGCAGCACAGGACAAGGATTTGGGGGTGAAATCTCAGCTCCACCTCTCTTTAGTTGTTTAACCCTGGGCAAATAATGTAACCATTCTGCACCTCAGTTTCTTCATCTACGAAATGGGGATACTACCACTTACCTTGGCTCTTGTGAGGATGGTAACTCACGCTCTGGGCTCAGGAAGGATGAAAGACCCCACAGTTGGCAGACCCGCAGCGGCCGCAGTCATTTCCAGAGGGGCACCAGCCTCTGCGCCTCATGACTCCAGCCTCTCCTCGGACCCAGTCTCATGCCTTCACTCTTCCTCCCAGACCCAAAGGAGAGATGGGTCGGACCCAGGCAAGGGGACTGTGACCTTCAGGATGCCAAGACCACCCCCACAGCTCCAAGCAACTGGGTTCCACGGTCGAGGCACACTCTCTCGCCCCTTTAGCTTCGCCCTTCCTGAGCTGTTCGGATAAGCTAAGGCACACTTTCACAGGCTGCCCCTCACTTTCAAATGGCTTTCTTCAGCCAAACTAACAAATCCTAAGGCAAGTCTATTGCAACCTTCCTTCCCTCAACAGCCACACTGGGGTGCTCGCAGTGGGTAATGCAGCTTTCACAGGGGCCACAGAAAGATTTTAGATTGCATTTGTGGGCTTCCTCATTGCCTACCACTTCTCCCTGAACCCCGAACTAACGTTGTGAGTTCTCCCTTCCTCCCCACACTCGTTTTTTCCCCAGGAAAATGATCCCAGACCAGGCCCTAAACTAGGAGGTCCTCTTGAGGCCAACATTACCTTAGGAAACTGCTCTGCAGGTCCAACCACCAGCAAAATGGTGGGTCTTTTTTCCGTGGCCTCAGCCCTTCCGTCCTGTTTCCCCAAAAAGCTTGCCATCTGGTCTCTCCAGGCAGGGGCTGGGGTGCCTCTGACTTCACGATCGTCCCCCTCTCTGGAGCCGTGGCACCCAGCCCTGGGGAAAAAGCTAGCTAGGAAATGCCACAGCATCTGCAACATCACGGTCTCCTCCAAACGCCTCTGATGGCGACTGTTCACTTTTGAGGGATGTGACCACAGTACCAACGCTCTCTGGCTACACAGCTGCTGGGAGGACGGGCCTGGGGTTCTCAGGCTGGAAGCTCTGCATGCAGGGGCGGTTTCCTGCTTTTTCAAATGTGCTAGCACTGCTGTCGTGCCCGGCCTGAGAAGTAGCTCACTCTAAGGGAGGCTTGCCAGGCTGCCGGCAATAAGGAGAAAGCAGCTGGAGCTTCTTCAATAAAAACTCACTTCTGCAGGTGATGGTGAGCAAACGTTTGGCTTTTTTTTAAAAAAAAAAAAAAAGAAAAGGAAAACGCGACAGCCAAGCAGACCACTCCCGGAGGCAGCAAGCAACTTCGAGCTCCCAGTTATTCAGCTGTCCTCGCTCATCACCCAAGCCGAGGACCCGAGCATCCAGTCTGCATTCTCACTGCAGCAGAGCCCGGCCAATCACCTCTGCCGACACTACCAAGTTCATTATCCCTACCAGCACCAGCCCTCCAATCACAGGCAGCTGATTGCCTGCATGAAGCCCGGCAATTCTGCAGGGAGGTGCGGACTCAAGCTCCAGATGAGGCTCAGCTTACAGAATCCACTCTGAGCTGGCTCCGTAGCAAAAGTAACTCCCTGCCCTCCACTCGGGTTGCTTCCAGAAGGCATTCACCATCAAGTGCAACACCATCAAGAGTCCTTGGCAGCATGTCCTAAGAGCATTCTAGAAACATTTTTCCTTGTTTCAAGATCCAGTTTTCTCCAGCAGAGCACATGCCACATCACAGCAGCTACTTCTGCTGCGTCTCCCTCCAGAAGATGAGCTGCCTGGGGGCAGGGACCAAGTCACAGACCTTTCTACCCCTAGGACCAGGCACAGATTAAGTCTGTAGACCGAACTGAGTAAAAGGTCATAAATAAAAAGGAATTAATCTATGGTCATTTGTTTCTTAGTTTACTAACAGATAAATGCACTGGCTACTGTCATTCCTCGCTGAGGTGACCCTCTGATAGTGTTCACAACCTTTATTGATTGATTGATTGATTGAGATGGAGTCTCGCTCTGTCATCCAGGCTGGAGCGCAGTGGGTCGCTCTTGGCTCAACGCAACCTCCACCTCCCAGGTTCAAGCGAATTCTCCTGCCTCAGCCTCCCAAGTACCTGGGATTACAGGCACCTGCCACCATGCCTATCTAATGTTTGTATTTTTAGTAGAGACGGGGTTTCACCATGTTGACCAGGCTGGTCTCAAACTCCTGACCTCAAGTGATCCATCCACCTTGGCCTCCCAAAGTGCTGGGATTACAGGAGCGAGCCACCGCGCATGGCCCCACAACCATTATTTTAAAAATACAAACACAAGGCCGGATGTGGTGGCTCATGCCTATAATCCCAGCACTTTGGGAGGCCAAGGCAGGCGGAGTTCAAGACCAGCCTGGCCAACATGGTGAAACCCCGTCTCTACTAAAAATAGAAAAATTAGCCGGGCATGGTGGCAGGCGCCTGTAATCCCAGCTACTTGGGAGGCTGAGGCAGGAGAATCACTTGAACCCAGGAGGCGGAGGTTGCAGTGAGCCAAGATTGCACCATTGCACTCCAGCCTGGGTGACAAGAGCGAAATTTCATCTCAAAAACAAAAAACAAAAAAAAACCAACTTGTTAAATGACAAAGTATAGAAGAAAGGGGATTGTGTGCTGCCATTTATTCCTAGCTTTTATTTGTGAAGACGGCCTCTGGAAAGATAATTAAATTGAAGAGAGGGTGTGGGGCGGGGAGGACACTTGGGGCTTTGAGAGGAGAAAGGCAGATGAGAGACGTGTTTTCACCGAACATCCTCTTATATCTTGCGAAACTGAACCATAAGCATGTATGACCCAGGCATACACACATACACATGTAAATAAAACAATCATTGAAAAAGAAGGCCGAGCGCAGTGGCTTACACCTGTAATTCCAGTACTTTGGGAGATGGAGGTGGGCCAACTGCCTGAGCCGACGAGTCTGAGACCAGCCTGGACAATGTGGAGAAACCTGCCTCTTCAAAAAGTAAAAAAAAAATAGCCAGGCATCGTGGTGCCTGTTGTAGTCCCAGCTACTCAGGAGGCTGAGAGGTGGGAGGATCACTTGAGCATGGGTGGTCAAGGCTGCAGTGAGCCATCATCGTGCCACTGCAGTCCAACCTGGGTGACAGGGAGATCCTGTCTCAAAAAAAAAAAAAAAAAAGACAATCTGGAGAGAAAGTAAGATGGTTGAGATGGGGTCCTAAGGCTTGTTCTGAAAGCTGAAGGAGCCTGTATCAGTTGCCCTCTCACTAGATAAACAGAACTTGTCCAGAAGCAGTTTTGCATGTTGATTAAATGCACAGTCACTGGAGCCAGACCCCAAATTCCAATCCTGGCCATCACTTATTAGCTGTGTAATCTTGGCTAAGATACTTCAGCTCTCTGTGCTTCACTAGCCTTATGTGCAAAATGGAGTTAGTACTTCATAGAATTGGTTAAAGACTAAATTAGAGAATATATAAAGTTCTTAGGACAGTACATGGAGCTATTAGCTATTTTATTATTATTATCTACAAAATGATTGCGATTCATGCAACTAGATCATTTTAATACTAAAGAAGAGCCAGTCCACAGCCAAAAACCCTAAGTAAATAAAAATCCTTTGGCCAGGAGTGGTGGTTCACGTCTGTAATCCCAGCACTTTTGGGAGGCCAAGGCAGGTCTTTTGAGCCCAGAGTTTGAGACCGGCATGGCCAACATAATGTGACTCTGTCTCTACAAAAAAATCAAAAATTAGCTGAGCATGGTGGTGCGCACCTGTAGTCCCAGCTACACGGGAGGCTGAGGTGGGAGAATCACCTGAGCCTGGGAAGTGGAGGCTGCAGCCTGGCTGACAGAGTGAGACCCTGCCTCAAAAATAAATAAATAAATCCTTTAATGAATGTGAGCCCTGTTTTTAGGCACAGAAAGTCTGGCCAGATGGAGGAGATAGTGATGTTTTGGCCTCCCATCTACACACATAAGAGAAATCCCTTATTTAGTAGATTACCGCTTTTTGATTTAATGCACTTCCTCCTACCACAGAACTGAGTTATGAGTTCAAGGGCTTCCGGCAAAGATAGGAGTAACAGGGACTAAGTCACCTTCCTGCCTATAACTACAAGTGCAAACAAAACATAGAAAACAATCTTTCCCAGCCGCTGGACAACAGGCTAAGGACACTGATTCCTGAGAAATGTATACAATGTATACAAACGAAGCCAGGAGCGCCTCCCATTGCCCCAGCTTCCTGCCTGGAGCTTCCAGTCTAGGTGCAGAGCAGAGAAGCCAGGTGGAACCCAGCAGCCTCCTGATGTTCAAGAGATGGGGCTGAGAGGCTGGGGAGGCCAGGCCAGGGCAGCTAGAGTGTGCCAGACAAAGCGCCGGAGAGGAGAGAGCTGCACAGGGAGTGAGCTCCCCCAAGGGTCCCCAGGGAGTCACAGCGCATGGGTGGGAGGAACCTACCTGAGCATGGGGAAAGAACCATCCCAAAGGATTACAGGGCTAGGAATAGTTCCCGTTCCTGTCAGCCAGAGTGGAAAACCTCAGAATACAGGGAGGTTCAGAAAGAGTGCTCAGAGGGTTTTGCCTCTACAGTGAGGCAAAGCCAGCCCTAGGCTAAATGCTGTCCTTGTTCCGCCCAACAAAGCAAGCCCTGCAAGGGTCAAACTACTCCAAGATAAAGCTCAAGAATATTCATAGGAATACACTAATAACCAGCACCCAAGAGGGTAAAATCCAGTAAAAAACGAATAGGAACTACAAAGAAGCAGGAAAAGGTGACCCATAATGAGGACAGAAATCAATAAAGACTGAGCAGAAATGACATGTATGATAGACTTAGTACACAGGGACATTCAAAATTATCATAATTGTACTTCCTATGCACAAGAAAGTAAGGAAAGATCAAGTGTGTCAAGTAGAGACTCCGCAGATTAAAAAGCTCCACCTCAAACTCTAGGTAAAAACTACAATGTCTCAGATGAAAAATGATTTTAACAGATCAGACACTGCAGAAGAAAATATTAATAAACTTGAAGACACAGCAATAGAAGCTTCCTAAAATAAAACACAGAGGAAACAAAACAAACAGAGCACTGGTGAGCGGTGGGATGACCCAAACAGGTTAACACCCATAGCTGGAGTCCATGAAGGAGGGGGCTGAAAAAATAGTTTAAAGAAATAATGGCCAAATATTTCTCCAAATTTATTAAAAGCTACAGATCTACAAATCTAAGATGCTCAACAAACCCTAAGCACAAGAAACATCGAAAAAACGAACTCTGGCACATCACAACTAAATTTCGGAACACCAGTGATAAAGAGGAAATCTTAAAAGCAGACAGAGAAAACAAGACCCATTACATACAGATAAGAATGACTGGGTTCTGGCCAGGCATGGTGGCTCATGCTTGTAGTTCCAGCTACTCAGGAGGCTGAGGCAGGAGAATCGCTTGAACCCAAAAGGCGGAGGTTGCAGTAAGCCGAGACTGCGTCACTGCACCGCACTCCAGACTGGGCGACAGAGTGAGACTCCGTCTCAAAAAATAAAATACAATAAAATAAAAGAATGACTGGGGGCCGGGCGCGGTGGCTCACGCCTGTAATCCCAGCACTTTGGGAGGCTGAGGCTGGCTGCAATGGTGCGATCCCAGCTCACTGTAACCTCTGCCTTCCGGGTTCAAGCAATTCTCCTGCCTCAGACTCCCAAGTAGCTGGGATTACAGGCACCCGCCACCATACCCAGCTAATTTTTGTATTTTTAGTAGAGATGGGGTTTCACCATGTTGGCCAGGCTGGTCTTGAACTCCTGACCTCAGATGATCCACCCACCTCGGCCTCCCAAAGTGTTGGGATTACAGGCATGAGCCACTGCTCCCAGCCTATTTAAGTATCTTTAAAAGATAAGTGACTATTTAAAGCAAAAATAAAACAATACACTGTGGGTTTATAACGTGTGTAACAGTAAAATGCATGAGGACCACAGCTCAAAGGCTGGGAGGATAGAAATCAAAGTATACTGTTTAAGATTCTAAAACTAGGCCAGGTATGGTGGCTCTCACCTGTAATCCCAGCACTTTGGGAGGCTGAGGCGGGAGGATTGCTTGAAGTCAGGAGTTTCAGACCAGCCTGGGAAACAAAGTAAGACCCTGTCTCTAGAAAATATACAAAAATTAGCCAAGTGGCCAGGCACAGTGGCTCACGCCTGTAATCTCAGCACTTTGGGAGGCCGAGGCGGGTGGATCACATGAGGTCGGGAGTTCGAGACCAGCCTCACCAACATGGAGAAAACCTGTCTCTACTAAAAATACAAAATTAGCCGGGTGTGGTGGCACATGCCTATAATCCCAGCTACTTTGGAGGCTGAGGCAGAAGAATTGCTTGAACCTGGGAGGTGGAGGTTGCGGTGCGCTGAGATCGCGCCATTGCACTCCAGCCTGGGCAACAAGGGCAAAACTCTGTCTCAAAAAAAAAAAAAAAAAAAAAATTAGCCGAGTATAGTGGCTCACACCTGTAGTCCTAGGTACTCGGGAGGGTAAGGCAGGAGGATTGCTTGAGCCCACAAGTTCAAGGTTGCAGTGAGATATGATCACACCACACATTCTAGCCTGGGCAACAGAGTGAGATCTTGTCTAAAAAAAAACAACAACAAAAACAAACACCCAACTTGACCACACTGACATTTACAAAATACTCCACCCAACAACAGCAGAATACACATTCTTTTCAAGTGCACTCAGAACATATTCCACCCATAAAACAAGTCAACTCATACAAAGTATGTACTTTGACCACAGTGGAATTAAATTGGAAAAAAATGACAGGTACGCACCTGTAGTTCCTGCTACTAGGGAGGCTGAGGTGGGAGGATCGCTTGAGGCCAGGAGTTCAAGACCAGCCTGGGCAACATAGCAAAATCCAGTCTCTTAAGAAAAAAAAGATATTTGGAAAATACCTAAATATTTGGAAATTAAATAATACAACTGTAAATGATTCACGTGATATGTCAAAGGAGAAATCAAAAAGGAAATTAGAAAGTATTTTGAATGGTGAGAAAGCACAATGTATTAAAATTTGTAGGATGCAGCCGCAGCAGTACTTAGAAGGAAATACCTATATTAGAAAGGAAAGGTCTCAAAATCAGTGACTTCAGTTTCCACCCTAAGAGATCAGAAAAGAACAAATTAAATGCAAAGCAAGCAGAAGAAAAAAATAATAAACTAGGTGTTAGCGATCATGCCTTATTTATCTTAAACTTCCCTAGACCAGCACCTAAGACAGGAATCGATGGAAATGTGTTCAATTGAATACCTTGCCTATATGTGTTTAAATATATATATTGCATATATGCAAAGATAGGGTCTTGCCATGTTGCCCAGGCTGGTCTTGAACTCCTGGGCTCAAGTGATCCTCCCATCCTGGCCTCCTCACCTTGGATTACAGATGTGAGCCACCACACCTGTTCCAATTCTTTTTTTTTTTTTGAGACGGAGTTTTGCTCCTGTTGCCCAGGCTGGAGTGCAGTGGTGTGATCTTGGTTCACTACAACCTCCGCCTCCTGGCTTCAAGTGATTCTCCTGCCTCAGCCTCCCGAGTAGCTGGGACTACAGGCGCCCGCCACCACACCCAGCTAATTTTTATATTTTTAGTAGAGACGGGGGTTTCACCATGTTGGCCAGGATGGTCTTGAGCTCTCGACCTCAAGTGATCCTCCCACCTTGGCCTCCCAAAGTACTGGGATTACAGGTGTGAGCCACTCTGCCCGGCCCAATATATATTTTTTAAAACATTTTTCTTGCGTCTTTGATTTCCTTGTAGGTTAATATAGTACATTTCTTTCCTTTCACATGTAGCTTTCTTGGGTAGGATGAATCACCCATATCCAAGGATAGACTGCCAAGTGTAACCCTCTTGTAAAAGTAGCTTATAAACATCAATAGAATCTGGTTAAGAGGAGGTTAATACCTGCAGAAATAACCACTGTTCTAAGAATCTAGACAATAGAGGCTGATGGTGTCAATGAAAAGAATCGAATTCTGTAAAATATTTAAAGAGGTTTATTGTGAGCCAAATATAAGTGACCAAGGCCCATGATACAGCCCCAGGAGGTCCTGAGAACATGAGCCCAAGGTGGCTGGGTGACAGGTTGATTTATACATTTTAGGGGGACAGAAGTTACAAGAAGACATCAGTCAATACATGTAAGGTGTACACATTGGTTCAGCCCGGTAAGGTGGGACAACTTGAAGGCGGGGGCTTCCAGATCATAGGTGGGTTCAAAGATTTTCTGATTGGAAATTGGGGTTGAAAGGGTTATTATCTAAAAACCTGGAATCAATAAAAAGGAGTGTCAGGCCAGGCGCGGTGGCTCACGCCTGTAATCCCAGCACTTTGGGAGGCCGAGGTGGGCGCCTGGAAACCCAGCTACTCGGGAGGCTGAAGCAGGAGAATCGCTTGAACCCAGGAGGCGGAGGTTGCAGTAAGCCGAGATCGCGCCACTGCACTCCAGCCTGGGCAACAGAGTGAGACTGTATCAAAAAAAAAAAAAAAAAAAATCTGTTTTAATGTTAATGCTGGTCGGTTGTGCCTGAATTGCAGAGAGGAGGGTATAATTAGGCATGTCCCTCCCTTCCCATCATGGCCTGAATTAGTTTTTCGCGTTTACTTGGAATGCCCTTAGCACCCTGAGGTCCATTCAGTTGGTTGGTGGGGCTTAGAATGGGTACTTTTCAGAGAACAGTAATGGAATACACCTCTAGAGGGAAGTAGTGAGTCGAATCATGGGCACTTGACTTATTCCAAATTACCCTGATAAAATGCCCAGAGTATAAAGGAGCCTGGAGCACCACACACAAAGACAATTGGAGATGCCCAAGGGAGTCTTAGAAGAACAACGCAGAAAGCGAGTTCTCAGGACTGACCAACTCCACGGCAATCTCCAGGTCTCATCACCTCCTTGCTTAACTGCCTAGTACCTATCTTAGAAATATTAACACTCAGCCGGGCACGGTGGCTCACGCCTGTAATCCCAGCACTTTGGGAGGCCGAGGCGGGCGGATCATAAGGTCAGGAGATAGAGGCCATCCTGGCTAACACGGTGAAACCCCATCTTTACTAAAAATACAAAAAAAAAAAAAAATTCGCTGGGCGTGGTGTTGGGTGCCTGTAGTCCCAGCTACTCGGGATGCTGAGGCAGGAGAATGGCGTAAGCCCGGGAGGCGGAGCTTGCAGTGAGCGGAGATCGCGCCACTGCACTCCAGCCTAGGCGACAGAGCAAGACTTCATCTCAAAAAAAAAAAAAAGAAAAAAGAAAAAAAAAAGAAATATTAACACTCAGAAGCCATGAGAGGGAAGAGTAGTAACACTTTTTAGAAAGTTAACAGATGAAGCGAGATTTTATTTGACAGAAAGTCAGAATGATTAGGCTGATTGATTTGATGAGGACTGGCACAGCCAATATGGTCATATAAAAGGCCTTTTCCATAAATTAAATGAGTCATATATGCAGCTCTAAGATTTTGGCCAAAACCAGAACCCAAACCAAAACAAACAAAAAAAAACACTTTTATTTATTTATTTTTTTTTTTTGAGACGGAGTCTCACTCTGTCACCTAGGCTGGAGTGCAATGGTACTATCTCGGCTCACGGCAACCTCCACCTCCCGGGTTCAAGCAATACTTCTGCCTCAGCCTCCTGAGTAGCTGGGACTACAGGCGCCCGCCACAATGCCCGGCTAATTTTTGTATTTTTTAGTAGAGATGGAGTTTCACCATGTTGGCCAGGCTGGTCTTGAACTCCTGACCTTGTGATCTGCCCGCTTCAGCCTCCCAGAATGCTGGGATTACAGGCTGAGCCACTGCGCCCGGCCTCAAACAAAAACATGTAAAGCAGATGTACAGGCCGGGCGTGGTGTCTCACACCTGTAATCCCAGCACTTTGGAGGCGGAGGTGGGTGGATCACCTGAGACCAGCCTGGCCAACATGGTGAAACCCCATCTCTACTAAAAATACAAAAATTAGCCAGGCGTGGTGATTCTAGCTACTTGGGAGGTTGAGGCAGGAGAATCCCTTGAATCCGGGAGGCGGAGGTTGCAGTGAGCCAAGATTGCGCCACTGCACTCTAGCCTGGGCAAAGAGCGAGACTGTCTTAAAATAAAATAAAATAAAAATAATAAAGCAGATGTACAAAATGTGCAAGGGGATATGCTGTTTTCAAAATTATTTTTGGGTGGTACAGGAGTCAAGAGTTTGAAGACTCTCTTTTATATACTGATATATGGCAGTGCCAGGCTATTCCAGAGGCAGGACTGTAGCAGGTGAATGTCAGTCTCCGCTGGAATGAACCAATCAGCCAACGGAAAAACTCAGCTCCTATGTGCTGCCTGCGCTGGGCGGCTGGAGTTTCAGGCTGTAAGGCAGGACTCTTAAACGCCCACCTGATGTGACTCAGCAACAATTGGACAATGAAGAGGAGCCACAACTCACCTCATTTGGCACAAATGAAACTAAGGTATGGCAGATGACAGAACTGCAATAATGAAAAAAGGAAATCCATGATCTATTTCCATTTTAGGAAACAGAACCGGAAAATCTAGCTTTGACAAAAACTCCCTAAAGAAAACTCCTGTAACTGTGGAAGGAAAAGAGAAGTCCGGCATGAAAACCCTCAGTCTTGTGGATGGCTTCTGTTTACTCCTGGTGAAAAGCCAGTCCCCTTCGAGGTCCCAAGTTCAAGGTGAATGCATATTAAAGATGTCTTTTTCTTTTCTCTACAAGAAAGTTAGAGGCATACAAAATTTACCCAACTCTTAAGTGTAGGATTTTAAGATGTAACAAGTCAAGTTCTACAGAAGCAAGGGTCTGCTTGGAAATATGGGATTTCTACTTTATTTTTTTTGAGACAGGGTCTGGCTCTGCTGCCCAGACTGGAGTGCAGGTATGATCATGGCTCACTGCAGCCTCAACCTCCCAGGCTCAAGGGATCTTCCCACCTCAACCTCCCAAGTAGCTGGGACCACAGGCATGCCTGGCTAATTTTTTAAAATTTTTTGTAGAGATTGGGTCTCCCTATGTTGCCCAGACTGGTCTCGAACTCCTGGCCTCAAGCAATCCTCCCACCTCAGCCTCCCAAAGTGCTGGGAGTACAGGCATGAGCCACCGTGCCCGGCCTAATTTCTCTTCTTTTTCTGCTCTTATAAGAGCATGATTCTCCTTTAGATTAGACATGTGCACCAAGAGTAAGGAGCAGGGGGTGAATATGGTATGGAGGCCAGCATGTGACAACCCAATCACCTAAAATGTTCAAAAAATTTTGAAGCAACCCAACACTGGCCAGTGGGAGCCACACAATTCGTCCATGTGAGCCTACTTGTTGTACCCACCCTGTCCTTATCCTCTCCTTTCCTTCTCCCACGTGAAAAAGCAAACCAACAAATTTATTACTAAAGCAACATAAAATGTTTTTAGTTTCTGAAAACAGATCTCAGGATTGCACTCACACTGAGATGATCTGACTCAACACAAACTTAACTCTCACCAGCTGCTTGCTCTGCTTTGCACAAGGACTGCAGGCAGGAGAGAGGTCAAGGGGGTGAAACCCTCCCTGGGCTGCCTTACACGCAGCACAGCTGTTCAGGGTGGGAGGGCAACTGGATGAATGCCGGCTAATAGCTGGTTTAAACCAAGCCAGCTCTCCTAAACAATTCAGAAAAGGAATTCTTTAGCTATAGAACTATCTACCTTTAGATCCTATTTTTCCTTCTTCTGTAGGTTAGAGAGGAAGAGACTCTGGCAAACAAAAAATACACCCAAGTCGTGAATGAAAAAAGGAAAAAAGTTAACTGTGTCCATAAATGCATCACTAAGGGGTGCTGAGGAACCTTGTCTTTCTCCCTAAGATCCCCCCTACAATGCCTTTATAGGACACTGGACAAATTGCTTAACTTCTCCAGCCTGTAAAATGTGGGGAGTGAACTGAACAACCTTGAAAACGCTCCAGTTCTAACATTATATGGATTCCAACTCAATCTAAAGGCCTTAACCAAAAGCAACAACAGGGTTTTGGGCAAGTGGGATAGAAAAGGCCAACAATGGCTGGGGGTGGTGGCTCACGCCTGTAATCCCAGCACTTTGGGAGGCCGAGGTGGGTGGATCACCTGAGGTTGGGAGTTCGAGACCAGCCTGGCCAGCATGGTGAAACCTCATCTCTATTAAAAATACAAAAAAAAAATTAGCCGGGCACGGTGGCGCATGCCTGTAATCCCAGCTACTCCATGCCTCCATGCACTCCAGCCTGGGCAATGAGAGCAAAACTCCGTCTCAAAAAAAAAAAAAAGCCCAACAAGGTTGATGAAGGTGTGTACCATAGCTGGTTTTAACCAACAGGACCATTCCACTGTGTCCTATCTACTCTACAGATAAGGACTTAACAGACAGTTGGTTCTTTTTTTTTTTTTTTTTTTTTTTTGGGATGGAGTCTTGCTCTGTCACCCAGGCAGAAGTGCAGTGGCACGATCTCAGCTCACTGCAACCTCCACCTCCTGGGTTTTTTGTGGGTTTTTTTTTTGTTTTTTTGTTTTTTTTTTTTAGATGGGGTATCACTCTGTTGCCCCGACTGGAGTGCAGTGGCGTGATCTCGGCTCACTGCAACCTCCACCTCCCAGGTTCAAGTGATTCACCTGCCTCAGCTTCCCAAAGTGCTGGGATTACAGGCATAAGCCACCATGCCCGGCCCCTCCTGAGTTTTTTTAAGCGATTCTCCTGCCTCAGCCTCCCCAGTAGCTGGGATTACAAGCACGCACCACCAGGACCAGCTAATTTTTTTTTTGAGAGGGAGTCTCGCTCTGTCAGCAGGCTGGAGAGCAGTGGCACGATCTGGGCTGCCTGCAACCTCTGTTTCCCAGGTTCAAGCGATTCTCCTGCCTCAGCCTCCCGAGTAGCTGGGACTACAGGCGTGCACCACCATACCCGGCTAATTTTTGTATTTTTAATAGAGACGGGGTTTCACCATGTTGGCCAGGATGGTCTCAATCTCTTGACCTCGTGATCCGCCCGCCTCGGCCTCCCAAAGTGCTGGGATTACAGGCGTGAGCCACCGCGCCTGGCCCCTCCTGGGTTTTTTAAGCAATTCTCCTACCTCAGCCTCCCCAGTAGCTGGGATTACAGGCATGCGCCACCAGGCCCGGCTAATTTTTTTTTTTTTTTTTTTTTTTTGTATTTTTAGTAGAGACAAGGTTTTGCCAGTTGGCCAGGCTGGTCTCGAACTCCTGACCTCAAGTGATCCACCTGCCTTGGCCTCACAAAGTGCTGGGATTACAGGCGTGAGCCACAACGCCCAGCCAGTTGGTTCTTATTCTTGGTGATCTAAACTACCCTCTCTCCACCCTTTTTTTTTTTTTTTTTTTTTTGGCATCAGCAGCATTTCAATCAATGGTTTTTGAGAGTCTTCTTACACAATGTAGGCGGTTCTGTGTTTTGGAAGAAGTGTCACATTAGACTCCAGCCAACAGGGAGGGAGGACAGGAGGAAAGGTATGGAGCCAGAGTGTGATGGAACAACACTGAAAGCTTCAGGCACCGGCAGGAACAGGGACAGCCACCTCTCCAGTTTCCCCACTGACCCTGCAGAAAATGAGTCATGATTTATCTCCTCAAACTTCCTGGAAAAGCCAGCCAAGAGCTTAAAGTAGATAAGAAGCTCCTTATGGCCTACCTTTGTTATTCATTTACTTTAAAGGAAGATGCATCTTTAAGACAACAGCTTCTTTTGTCAGGTGTGGTGTTGAGTCTTTTATATCCCGTATTAGGAACAGTGTACCTATCATTTTAGTCACGGCTTCCTGTGCACCACCAGGGCCTTAAAATGCTGAGACAGAGTTATGCACAGGTATGTCAATGTCATAAACTATGAAAATAAATGTGGCCAAGTTTTAAAGGCAAGTTAAGTGTCCACAGTCAAAGAAGGAAGGCGGCACTGCATTGAGCTAAATGGGGCAGAGTCAAAATCCTGGGTTCTGGAACTGGCTTGGCCTCCAAGCAACCCAGCCTCCGAGCCTTAGTCCCACTTCTGCAAAGTAATGCTGGTTAGTGAGATAATCTCCAAAGCTTTGAAGTAAGCTCCACTTGAGCTTCCACTTTCACAACTTCAAGGTCAACTCTGTACTTAGGAAAGACGATCCACGGCTTCTGAGAGGGCAACAGGCTTGCAAGATGAGGAGGTCCGGTTTCTGTCCAGGGAAAGCATGCGGGCCCCAAAGACGTCTTTTTGTGTAGATAGAGTGAGTGAGTCTACTACAACTTTTTATTGTTTCTTTGCTCATTTTGATGTCCACAGAGCCCAGGTTTTCCACAGCGGACATCCCCTTCCACACCACGGAAGCTTCTCCCTCTCCAGGTTGCTGGGGTGGGGCTATGTCTCCCTGGGTGCCACACACCCTTTAATGCTGATGTCCCCAGGCTTTGCCCTCCCTTGCCTTTCGCTTTTCACCTAAGCAAACTAGGGGCAAAATATAGGTGATTCTGACCAATTCTGGGCACCTTATTTTCAAAGAACCAATGGGGAAGTCACTTGGTGAATATGTGCCAGACCCAGTCCTGGGCTCTTTCTATGCTTTATCTAATTTAACCCACACACCCCCCTTATGCAGTAGGTCCTCATACCAACAAGTTTCTGATAAGGAAACAGACTTGGAGAGGGTGAGTCATTTGTTCAAGGTCACTCAGCTAGCAAGCAGCAGAAGGAACATTTGAACCCAGGTCTCATACCATACAAATCACCCTTTTTTTTTTTTTTGAGACAGAGTCTCACTCTGTTGACCAGACTGGAGTGCAGTGGCGCAGTCTCGGTTCACTGCAACCTCCAACTCCCAGGTTCAAGCAATTTTCCTGCCTCAGCCTCCCGAGTAGCTGGGATTACAGATGTGTGCCACCATGCTCGGCTAATTTTTGTATTTTTAGTAGAGCTGGGGTTTCTACATGTTGGCCAGGCTGGTCTCGAACTCCTGACCAGCCTCCCAAAGTGCTGGGATTACAGGCATGAGCCACCCATTTAAAGTATACAGTTCAGTGGTTCTCAGTATCTTCACGGATATGTGCAACCATCACTCCAGTCAACTTGAGAATATTTCCAACACCTCAAAAAGAAACCTCATCTCACCTTCCTATCTCTCTACCCGCCAGTACCCCACTCCCAGGTAGGCAAGTACTACTCAATTTTCTGTCTCTGTAGACTTCTCCATTCTGGACTTTCACCTAAATGGATCATACAGTGCATGATCTTTGCGACTGGCTTTTTTTTTTTTTAAGACGGAGTCTTGCTCTGTCGCCCAGGCTGGAGTGCAGTGGCGCGATCTCGGCTCACTGCAAGCTCCGCCTCCCGGGTTCACGCCATTCTCCTGCCTCAGCCTCCCGAGTTGCTGGGACCACAGGCGCCCGCCACCGCGCCCGGCTAATTTTTTTTGTATTTTTAGTAGAGACGGGGTTTCACCGTGGTATCGATCCCCTGACCTCGTGATCCACCCGACTTGGCCTCCCAAAGTGCTGGGATTACAGGCGTGAGCCACCGCGCCCGGCCGCGACTGGCTTCTTTCAATCAGCGTAACATTTCCGAGGAAAGTCTGTACTATAAACCCCATGGGTTATTGTCTCAGCTAAGGGAACTGTAAGGTATGGACAGCACGTCACCTGAGAAGTGCATGATGATACCTGTTTTTAGCAGCAGCAGAGATTATAGGAAGATAAGACCACAGATTTCAGATAAAGGGCCCTTGGATCACTTTTCTGTCTTGCTCCTGAAGGTACACATGGGGCAATGGGCAGCAGCAGATACAAGATTTCAGTCTAACATGACAGAGAACTCACAGTGACTCCAATTAGGTTCACAATAGAAAGGGCGGATGACCATCTGCGAAGGATGCTTCCGGAGAGCTTATCTCCATGTTGGGTGGAAGGCTGGCTAGTGACCATGATGGCCCGTCACCCATCCAAGACTAAATTCTATGGTTCTGCCAAATTCGCATTAGTATAATTAATGGTTAAAAACAAAAAGTTAGGGCCGGGTGTGGTGGCTCACGCCTGTAATCCCAGCACTTCGGGAGGCTGAGGCGGGTGGATCACGAGGTCAGGAGATCGAGACCATCCTGGCTAACATGGTGAAAACCTGTCTCTACTAAAAAATACAACAAAAATTAGCTGGGCGTGGTGGTGGGCGCCTGTAGTCCCAACTACTGGGGAGGCTGAGGCAGGAGAATGGCGTGAACCCAGGAGGCAGAGCTTGTAGTGAGCTGAGATCACGCCACTGCACTCCAGCCTGGGCGAGAGAGAGAGACTCTGTCTCAAAAAAAAATAAAAATAAAAATAAAAATAAAAATAAAAATAAAAAAAAAGTTAGGCTGGGCGTGGTGGCTCATGCCTGTAATCCTAACACTTTGGGAGGCCAAGGCGAGAGGATCACATGCGTTCAGGAGTTCGAGACCAGCCTGAGCAACATAGGAAAACCCCGTCTCTACAAAAAATACAAAAATTAGCTGGGCATGGTGGTGCACACCTGTAATCCCAGCTACCTGGGAGGCTGAGTGGGAGGATAGATTGAGTCTGGGAGGTCAAAGCTGCGGTGAGCTGTGATTGAACCACTGAACGCCAGCCTGGGTGACAGAACAAGATTCTGTTTCAAATAATAAATAAATAATAAAAAGTTGGCTGCCAGGCACATGTCATCAAGACCCCTGAGGCTGTGTCACAGGCATAATAAAATAAAATAAAATAAAATAAAAAGTTGGCTGGGTACAGTGGCTTAGGTCTGTAATCCCAGCACTTTGGGAAGCCGAGATAAGAGGATCGCTTGAGCCCAGGAATTCAAGACTCAGCTGGAATAGAAATGAAGAAATGAATACCAGCAAAATATTTGTTTCTATCATTCCCTTGTGGGGATGTGAGACTTCAACAAGTAATAACTCTTTTTTGTTTTTTTTCTTTTTGAGACAGAGTCTCGCACTGTCACCCAGGCTGGAGTGCAGTGGCGCGATCTCGGCTCACTGCAACCTCCGCCTCCTGGATTCAAGTGATTCTCCTGCCTCAGCCTCCCGAGTAGCTGGGATTACTGGTGCACACCACAACGCCTGGCTAGTGTTTTTGTATTTTTAGTAGAGATGAGGTTTCACCATGTTGGCCAGGCTAGTCTCGAACTCCTGACCTCAGGCAATCTGCCTGCCTCAGCCTCCCAAAGTGCTGAGATTATAGGTGTAAGTCGCCACACTTGGCCCCCATTTTCTTTTCTTTTCTTTTTTTTATTTTATAAAAAACAGAGATGGGGGTCTCGCTATGTTGCCCAGGCTGGTCTTGAACTCCTGAGCTCAAGCGATCCACCCATCTTGGCCTCCCAAAGTACTAGGATTACAGGTGTGAACCACTGCATCTGGCCAGTAATAACTCTTTGAACATCAAAAAAATTCATCTAGTTGAAGCTCCAGATCAGACAGGCTCGTGCTCTCTCATTCTCTATTTATATCTATTTTGAGACAGGGTCTTGTTCTGTTGCCCAGGCTGAAGTGCAGTGGCACAGTCTCTGCTCACTGCAACCTCAGCCTCCCAGACTCAAGCGATCCTCCTGCCCCAGCCTCCCGAGTAGCTAGACTACAGGCATGGGCCACCATGCCCAGCTAATTTTGTTGTTGTTGTTGTTGTTGAGATGGAATCTCACTCTGTCTCCAAGGCTGGAGTGCAGTGGCGTGATCTTGGCTCACTGCAGCCTCCGCTGCCCGGGTTCAAGCAATTTTCCCTCAGCCTCTTGAGTAGCTGGGACTACAGAAAGGCATACGCCACCATGCCTGGCTAAGTTTTGTATTTTTAGTAGAGACGGGGTTTCACTATGTTGGCCAGGCTGGTCTCGAACTCCTGACTTCAAGTGATCTGCCCACCTCAGCCTCCCAAAGTGCTGAGATTACAGGTGTGACCCACTGTGCCCAGCCAATTTTTGTATTTTTTGTAGAGACAGGGTTTCACCAAGTTGCCCAGGCTTGTCTCGAACTCCTAGGTTCAAGCCATCTGTCCACCTCAGCCTCATAAAGTGCCATCATGGCCAGCCTCATATGTTCTTTTTTGTTTTGTTTTGTTTTTTGAGACAGAGTCTGGCTCTGTCGGCCAGGCCCGTGTTGGCACGATCTCAGCTCACTGCAACCTCCGTCTCCTGGGATCAAGCAATTCTCCTGCCTCAGCCTTCCGAGTAGCTGGGATTACAGGCGTGTGCCACCACGCCCGGCTAATTTTTGTATTTTTAATACAGATGGGGTTTCACCATGTTGGCCAGGCAGGTCTTGAACTCCTGACCTCAGGTAATCCACCTGCCTCGACCTCCCAAAGTGCTGGGATTACAGGCATGAGCCACCACACCCAGCCCTATTCTTATTTGTTACTTGGTTTTAGGATCAGGGTATGGGACTGCATCTTTCCAAATATCAACTTATTAAAAAAAAATCTTCTCAGCTGGACATGGTGGCTCACGCCTGTAATTTCAGCACTTTGGGAGGCTGAGGTGGGCGGACTGCCTGAGGTCAGGAGTTCGAGACCAGTCTGGCCAACATGGTGAAACTCTGTCTCTACTAAAAATACAAAAAAGTTAGCCTGACGTGGTGGTGTGCACCAGTAATCTCAGCTACTTGGGAGGCTAAGGCAGGGGAATTGCTTAAACCAGGGAGGTGGAGGTTGCAGTGAGCCGAGATTGCACCACCGCACTCCAGCCTGGGTGACAGAGTGAGAATCCGTCACACACACACAAAAAAATCTTCTCAAGGACAGGCATGGTGGCTCACACCTGTAATCCCAGCACTTTGGGAGGCTGAGGCAGGTGGATCACTTGAGGCCAGGAGTTGGATACCAGCCTGGCCAAAATGGCGCAACCCAGTCTCTACTGAAAATATAAAAATTAGCAGGGCATGGTGGCGCAGGCCTGTAATCCCAGCTACACCAGAGGCTGAGGCAAAGAATTGCTTGAACCGGGGAGGTAGAGGTTTCAGTGAGCTGAGATCACGCCACTGCACTCCAGCCTGGGTGACAGAGGAAGACTCTGTCTCAAAAAAAAAAAAAAGTATTCTAGTTGACTTGATAATTATGACTTTGAGCCAGGGACCGATTATGCAACAATATAACACAATTAGTTTAATATATGAATTTAATCCAATCTGTGAAAAGCATTTTTCTTTTCCTAAAGGGCCATTATATTATAGCGAATAATGTCTATCTCTTGGAAAGGAGCTTTCTTCTGTAGACTGTCTTATCTAAGTCTGGCTCTTTTGATAAACATCCACAAATGGCCAAACATTTAAAAAGTATAGAGTTCAACAGTCTGTCTGATTAAGCAATACCAACTTGACATTACTGATCTCCATTCAATAATTTCAAGTCAATAGGGATTGCCTCATGTGCACTGCTCGGGTCAGGGAGAGAAATGGGGGAGGGCGGATTCTTGTTCTTTGACAGGGTAAACTGGATAATCTTGAAACCTATACTTTGGGAGCAAAATATGTGGTTCTAAATTATCTCTCCTCCTCTTTCTCAAGTTTCCCCAAAAGAACTTGAGAATTCTCTTCATGTTCCTGAAAAAAACTGTGTTAAGGAGGAGAGGAGCAGGAATCAGAAGATGGTTCCAATTCCTTCTCTGGTCCAATTTCCTTGCGATCAAATGATCTTTGAGGTTGTTCCATTGTCTTTTTGAACCATTGTTCCTTCCCTAGTAAAATGGAGTGAAAATCATTTTACTGACTTGCTTACTTAACAAATTTTTGTGGGGCTCAAAAGAGATGGTGTGGATGCCAGTCTCTAAATGAGCAAACTGCAGCTCATCTAGAACCTCACCTGCAATAAACACCAGCCCCTTACAAGAGCCCCAAAGCCTCAGCTGGAGAGACAACTGTTTACACAGAATACAGCTTGCTTTCTTCCTCTAATTGGCTGCCTGAGTTCTAACCTATGTTTTAAATTTGTTTTAAGACACAGATTGTATTTGGTCACATGAAAATGCCTTAAATAGGCAATCTATAATTAGCTCTGGCTGAGTCTCATCTCCCAAAGTCACTACTGTTGTCGTCATCTTTTTTCTTTCTTCTTTAATGAACTCTTCCCTTTTTTTGTCCCAGAACAAGCTTCTCGCTTACATGCCCTTTACAAAGAAAATTTCCCTGGCTGGCTGCCAACGGTTTCTCTGCCCACTTCCATTTTAAGCAATTTTTATGAGTGTCCCATCTCTTCTCAAACAAAGGCAGATGGCAAAACTTGCTGGTTTACTTTTAAAGAAAACTTGACCCAGACTGTTATAAGCTAAGAAGAGGCTTTGTGAAGTCACATGGCCTGGGTTTACCCATCACCCCCTGATAAGCACTCACAGCTGATTCCCGTGCAAACCCCAGCATCTCACACTGGTTTCATATGGGCCATAGGAAGCACCTTCCAAAGTTTGATGTGTTCTTCAACATCTATTCCCATGGCAGATGACCCATTTTGACCCAAAGGGCCCCACAGTTCTCTTTCGGCTCCTGCTAGTTCTGCAAAGCCTCAGCACTGCTTTTTCTGTAGGCAGTTAATACTAATGCTAATTCAACAGGAAGTGGTATGGGGGTACAAGAGGCAGGATGTCTTCCTGTTGCCCAGTTATTTACAAAAAGGCAGATCTTCTCTCCAAGACTTCAAACGTTCCCCACAGGACTAACTTGTGCTCCTTTACAGGTAATGAGCTAATAAATTATTTCTGATCTCAAAGCTGTATAACAACTGAATTTGTTCAAAAGCCAAAAAAGTAGTAGAAATACAGTCTATACTGCCTGGTGCAGTTGCTCGCGCCTGTAATCCCTGAACTTTGGGAGGCCGAGGTGGGTAGATCACTTGAGGTCAAGAGTTCGAGACCAGCCTGGCCAACATGGTGAAATCCCTTGTCTCCTAATAGTACAAAAATTAGCCGGGCCATGGTGGCGGGCGCCTGTAATCCCAGCTACTCAGGAAGCTGAGGCAGGAGAACTGCTTGAACCCAGGAGGCAGAGGTTTCAGTGAAATCACACCATCGCACTCCAGCCTGGGCGACAGAGCGGACTGCTTCTCAAAAAAAAATAAAATAGATAAATAGGCCAGGCGCGGTAGCTCACGCCTGTAATCCCAGTGCTTTGGGGGGCCAAGGCGGGCAGATCATCTGAGGTCAGGAGTTTGAGACCAGCCTGGCCAACATGGTGAAACCCCATTTCTACTAAAAATACAAAAAAAAAAAAAAAATTAGCAGGGCGTGGTGGTGCGTGCCTGTAGTCCCAGGGAGGCTGAGCCAGGAGAATCACTTGAACCCAGGAGGCAAAGGTTGCAGTGAGCTGAGATCATTCCATTGCACTCCTGCTTGGGCAACAAAAGTGCAACTCCATCTCAGAAAAGTAATAATAATAATAGATAAATAAATGAAATACACTCTATACTAAACCCACACACCAAAAGAATAAAGAAATGCTTCCTATCATAGAACTTAGATCTGTCATGGAGTCAAAGATTTTAGAGTCAAAGTGACCCCAAGGGGCTAGGCTCTCTTTGGTTAATAAAAGTTTTCTTTCAAAACCAGAAAGAAAAATGATCACTTTCTCCTTATTTGCCCCGAGAAATTCACCACTAAAAAAACAGATTAGGATCAATATCAGATGTGCCTTGAATCTCGAGAACATTGTGACTCTAGTTGATGCACAAAGCATGGGGCAGACATTTAACATGCTCCCGCAGCCAGACGTTCTCAATGTGCCTGGCAGCAATGCCAAGTGGGTAGGTTCACAAAAGCAGAAACAGAAACCCTCTGGGTTTAGCCTTCCTATTTTTTCTTTTCTTTCTTTCTTTTTTTTTTTTTTTTTTTTTTTGAGATGGAGTTTCACTCTTGTTGCCCAGGCTGGAGTGCAATGGTGCAATCTCAGCTCACCGCAATCTCCGCCTCCCGGGTTCAAGCGATTCTCCTGCCTCAGCCTCCCGAGTACTGGAATTACAGGCATGCGCCACCACTCCCCGTTAATTTTGTATTTTTAGTAGAGACGGGTTTTCTCCAAATTGGTCAGGCTGGTCTCAAACTCCTGACCTCAGGTGATCCACCCGGCTTGGCCTCCCAAAGTGCTGGGATTACAGGCGTAAGCCACTGTGCCCGGCCAGCCATTCTACCTTTTCAAGTGAGTATTCATCAGATACATACAGGAAAATCTCCAGTTCACAACACTATTTTGTGTAAAACTGACTGGAAACATTACAAAACAAAACAAAACAAAAAAAACCTGTCTCTAGCCGGGTGCGGTGGCTCACGCCTGTAATCCCAACACTTTGGGAGGCCGAGGCAGGTGGATCACCTGAGGTCAGGAGCCCGAGACCAACCTGGCCAACATGGTGGAAGCCTATCTCTACTAAAAATACAAAAATTAGCTGGGTGGCCGGGCGCGGTGGCTCATGCCTGTAATCCCAGCACTTTGGGAGGCTGAGGCGGGCGGATCACAAGGTCAGGAGATCAAGACCATCCTGGCTAACACGGTGAAACCCCATCTCTCTTAAAAATTCAAACAAAAAAAAAATTAGCTGGGCATGGTGGCGGGCACCTGTAGTCCCAGCTACTAGGGAGGCTGAGGCAGGAGAATGGCGTGAACCCCGGAGGCGGAGCTTGCAGTGAGCCAAGATCGCACCACTGCACTCGAGCCTGGGTGACAGAGTGAGACTGTCTCAAAAAAAAAAAAAAAAAAAAAAAAAATTAGCTGGGTGTGGTGGCACATGCCTGTAATCCCAGCTACTAGGGAGGCTGAGGCAGGAGAATGGCGTGAACCCGGGAGGCGGAGCTTGCAGTGAGCCAAGATCGCACCACTGCACTCGAGCCTGGGTGACAGAGTGAGACTCTCTCAAAAAAAAAAAAAAAAAAATTAGCTGGGTGTGGTGGCACATGCCTGTAATCCCAGCTACTGGGGAGGCTGAGGCGGGAGAATCTCTTGAACCCAGGAGGCGGAGGCTGCAGTGAGCCAAGATTGCACCAATGCACTCCAGCCTGGGAGACAGAACCAGACTCCGTCTCAAAACAAACAAACAAAAAAAACTTGTCTCTAAATCTCCTGGACTTAACCATTCTATCTTGCGTAGTGTTACTCTTGGTCCTCCTAGGCTGATCCTAATAGTTAGCGCTAAATACCTTGGATGTTGATCCAAGAATCTTGAACATGAGTTAACAACACCTATGTACACCCACCCAACAAATTGGTTTAATTCATTGGCGGTTTACCAGATTCTTTTCATACTTGGCTACGAGATTCTCTAATTGTCATGTGTACAAATGGACCAAACTAACTCAGCAGTGAAACAGGTTCTTAGGTAAAGTACTCAGGAGTCCTATTCCAGGCTGTAAATCAGGCTAAGCTACAGTAAATGAAATACTTGGGAAAATGGCAGCTACACCCGCCAAGTCAGACTGAAGGGGGAAGAGACAGAAGGGAAAGAAACAGCCTCTGCTCTGAGGTTCTCATACAGAAAGGCCAGCACTTCTCTTCCTGGCAGGCCCAGGGATGACCATTTCTCTGCGCCCCTATGCCCACACCTCGGCCAAGAGCCCACAATAGTAACAATCTCGCTTTGACTTTTAGAAAAAAAATTTCCCCCGGATTCTTTCACTCCGTCCACACTCCAACCCCGCGGGGATCACGATCCCATTTTCTGGATAAACAGGGCAATGGAGATGAGCCTAAACCATGAGAACTGTCAGTCTTCGCCGCCAACGTCCACACGGATCAGCCTGAAACCCCAATACCAATTTTTTTTTCAACTCCCACATGTTCCTGAGAGGAACCAGATCAGGGCCCACGGCTGGCATGGAAACGAGAGGGAAAGGAGGGGGTGCTGCTGGGGACTGATGGATGAACCCATCCTTGGGTGAAGGGAGCGTCCAGCTTGGCCTTGAGGTCAGGAGGTGACAAAGGCACACTCCTGAGACCTGGCCTTCTACTCTGGGCAAGAAAGGGCTTTTCGCCCATCAGAAAGCCCATAGGATGCCCACCTGTGTCCACGAAGAACCCGGCTCAAGCACCCAAAGAAGTCAGGAAGGAGCCCCGCTCCCACCAGGGCATAAGTGGGGTGTCCCTCAGTGAGTCAGGGGGCACCCTTCCTCTGGACAGTGGGGGTTCCGCCCAGCCCAAGGGGCCGTCCCCCGAGACCTGTCACCCGGCCCTCGAGGGGCTCCCTCCCCGCCAGTGCTGAGGACGCGCGCAGCCTACCTGGAGCTCGCCCTCGGTGCGGTGCAGTCCCAGGCGCCGCAGCCCCACCGCCAGGTCGTTGACACACAGGCCGCCGTCCCGGTTGACGTCGAGCGTCTGAAAGAGTCTCCACAGGCGCAGCCGGTGGTCCGGGCCCCCGCAGATAGCGCCGCCGCAGGGGTCCCCCACGGACGCCGGCGATGAGGCAGACGAAGAGGCGGCGGTGGCGGCGGCGTCCGGCGGCGGGGAGGCCACACAGCGGCACAACACACTGCTCACCATCGGGCGCGAGGCAGGGGCTCCGGGCGCGGGCGGGAGCGGGGGCGGCGGGCCGGCGGTGACCGCGCGGGAGGCAAGCCAGGCGCTCTGCAGCTGGGAGCGCGGGCTCGGAGACGCCGGCAAGCTGGCGGAAGGGGCGGCTTCCGGGAGCCCCGCCCCTCCGCGCCCCGCTTCGCCGGCCACGCCCGGGCGCACCGAAGGCCAGTCACAGGCTCGGATGGGGAGGAGGGAGGGGCGGAGCCTGTCTAAGGACAGCCCACGCGCCACGGACTACCCGGATCAATGGGGTGGGCGGGGTCACCCGGCTCCGCCTGGGGCCGATTCAAACTGAGGGAGGCGGGGATTGGCTGAGCCGGGGGCCAAGAGAGAGAAAATCACGCAGCGATAGGCATGAGTAATGTGATTGGCAGGCGGAAGGCCCCGTGTCCAGTTTCCATTGATGAACTAACTCTGTTTAGACTGCGGGATCTTAAGGATGGGAGGAGCGGTAGTGTACGGAGAGATCGTAGCCTCCAGTGGGAAACAGGATTTGTGTGAGAGCATTTGTGAACTGCAGTTGCGAGGCAGAGTTTGTGCCGGTGGGAGGAATTAAAAGTTAATTGACCCATGGGTCACGGCCGAAAGCACTAAGTATCCTCAGGAAGCAGGGTTTTGGTAATCTAACTCCCTAAACCACCAATAAAATAGCTGAATTTAACGGCTTAATAGTCGTAATACTGACAATTGAACGACAGAATGATTTTCCAATGGAAGTGAATAAAGGTTAGGTGGGCGGGGCCCTCTGGGCGACGGACACAATTTTAGACCAATGATCAGGCGAATTACAGTAAGCAGGCGTGCTCTTTAGCTGAGCGACAGATCGAAAGAACCAGTGATCGACGTGATATTTGAGCAGCTACCAACCGGGAAGGCCGGTTTTCCCGGAGAAGCGCTGGGAGGCGGGAAGAGGGGAAGTGGGCGGATCTCCGCACACCTCGGCGGAAGAGGCAGATTCAGGAAGCCATTACGCTGCTGGCTGGCAGCGGCCGGGCCGGTCGGGGCTGGGCCCTACGCACTTTGCGTAGCGAGGGGGGTTACCAAAGGCCTAGTGCTTGGCCTCGAGCAAGCCTGGCCTATCCCCTGTAGGGGGTGGGTGAGGGGCGAGGCTGAGGAAGAAGAGAAGGGGAATTGGGGCGCTTGAGGGGATTATAATTTCTTTAAAAAGAGGGGAGGGGAGAGGCCATGGCCGTCCCAGCCAAGAAAAGGAAGATGAACTTCTCAGAGCGGGAGGTGGAGATCATCGTGGAGGAGCTGGAGCTGAAGAAGCACCTGCTGGTGAACCACTTCAACGCCGGGGTACCCCTGGCCGCCAAGAGTGCGGCCTGGCACGGCATCCTGAGAAGGGTCAACGCCGTGGCCACCTGCCGCAGAGAGCTGCCTGAGGTCAAGAAGAAGTGGTCTGACCTCAAGACCGAGGTCCGTCGCAAGGTTGCCCAGGTCCGGGCCGCCGTGGAGGGTGGTGAGGCGCCGGGGCCCACTGAGGAGGACGGAGCTGGGGGGCCTGGGACAGGCGGTGGCAGTGGTGGCGGTGGCCCAGCTGTAGCCCCAGTGCTGCTGACCCCCATGCAACAACGTATCTGCAACCTGCTGGGCGAGGCCACCATCATCAGCCTGCCCAGCACCACAGAGATCCACCCTGTGGCCCTCGGACCCTCGGCCACCGCAGCCGCAGCCACGGTCACCCTGACACAGAGTGAGTGACCTCTCCTGCCCAGGCGGCGTGCATAAGTGGGAAGGGCCAGCAAGCTCTGGGGTGGCCTGGGGAAGGTTGGCTGCCAAGGGTCAGAGGTCAGATGGGGGTCTTGGAAGACCATGAGGCCTTCCAAGAGCAGCACCCAGACAGAAGTGATCTTGCTCTCTTTGGGACTTCCTCAGCACGTGGGCTGGACTTCTGACGTGCTGGATAGCTCGCCACTGAGCATTGCCACCATGTTTGTCCATGACTTACCTCCACTTGCCGAACTGGGTGGTCCTTGAAAACAAGAGACCGTGTCTGTATCCCCACAGGACTTTTCACAGGGCCCGGCTTGTAGTAGACAGCCAGGCCATATTTGTTGAAAAAATTGATGGGAATAATACTGCCCAAGTGAGACAACGATTCTGGATTCTGTTTTCAGTGTGGGGGATCTTTCATCAGGTGCTGCTCAGGAGCCTCATGGTTCCTGGTGTTAATCTACTCCATTCATTCATTCATTCATTCATCAAACATTAGCACTTATTCTGTACCAAACCCTGTGCTGGGCACTGGGATTACCAAGTTGTCTAAAATACAGGCCAGTTATGTTCTAGTAGGACAGAGATGACACATATAGGAATAGCTTCGCCATCAGTTGGGAAAACCTCAGGCCCCGGAAGAGGAAGGGGGCTTCTTGGTGGCATAAGGACACATAGCTGACATTGGCGTTGAAGGGTGGAGGAGCTTGACCTCTCCCACATGCGCGGAGGCCCATACAGCCCAGCCAGGATCCTTTCCGTGGTTCTCAGGAATGACAACAGAACTAACTTTGGTTGGATTTTTTAGTTCAAAGAAGAGTTTGTGCCCTGTTACCTCTGCTCGTTTGTGATGACCGTGAGCTGGATCATTCAGTGATTCTCAGTGGGGGTTGGGGGAGTTGGGTGGATGTGCGAGTGCCATCCCCTCACAATGCGTATTTCTCAAGAATACACTGGGGTGGGGTAAGGGGGACAAACACGGGTCTAGGTCAGATGCTGTTCTGGAACAGGAAGGATGTTTAAGTATCGGATTGACCCAGATGATGACAGACAGGGAGACATTGACTGGGTACTTTAGCTACTGCTGCCCCATTCCCACCTCCTTTTCTGCTTCGCCATAGGGGCCTAGGAAGTCAAGTCAAGAAAGCATCAAAGGGCTGGCATGGTGGCTCACTCCTGTAATCCCAGCACTTTGGGAGGCTGAGGTGGGCAGATCAGTGGAGGTCAGGAGTTCGAGACAAGCCTGGCCAATATGGTGAAACCCTGTCTCTACTAAAAATACAAAAATTACCCAGGCTTGGAGGTGGGCGACTGTAGTCCCAGCTACTCGGGAGGCTGAGGCACAACAATCACTTGAACCTGGGAGGCAGAAGTTGCAGTGAGCCGAGATCGTGCCACTGAACTCCAACCTGGGTAACAGGGCAAAAGAGCAAAACTCCGTCTCAAAAAAAAAAAAAAAAGCAGAAAGCATCAAAGGAGGTAGGACTAATGTGGCTGCAAAGAGCGTGTGTAGAGTCCCACCCAAGATGCCTGCTGCATGGTACCACAGAGAGCATGTGACCCAGCCTCTGGGGTGCCTTTCTTTCTTTCTTTCTTTTATGAGATGGAGTTTTGCTCTTGTTGCCCAGGCTGGAGTGCAATGGCATGATCTCGGCTCACTGCTGCCTCAGCCTCCCAAGTAGCTGGGATTACAGGCATGCGCCACCATGCCCGGCTAATTTTGTATTTTTAATAGAGACGAGGTTTCTCCATGTTGGTCAGGCTGGTCTCGAACTCCTGACCTCAGGTAATCCACCCACCTCGGCCTCCCAAAGTGCTGGGATTACAAGCGTGAGCCACCGCGCCCGGCCGGGGGTGCCTTTCTTAGCTAGGAGCAGCCCAGCGTGGAGGTCAGGAGCACATCGGGCTCTGCTGTTGGGGAGACCTGGGTTTGCCTCTTGGCTCTGCTGAATGAGCTCTGTGACCTTAGCAAGTCATTCTACATTTCTCAGTCTGTTTCCTCATCTCTGAAAAATGAAGATGACAGCACCAACCTCTTGGTGTCATTTTGAGGATTTGTTGAGCTAATGAGTACAAAGTGCCTGACATGTAGTAGTTGCTCTAAAAGTTTTGCTAGTATTATGATCAACATCTTTGCTTTTGCCAGATCCAGGGCTGGCCCTTTGATTACCAAGTAGATTAAGATTCTGAACCCCGGCCAGGCGCGGTGGCTCACGCCTGTAATCCCAGCACTTTGGGAGGCCGAGGCGGGCGGATCACGAGGTCAGGAGATCGAGACCACGGTGAAACCCCGTCTCTACTAAAAATACAAAAAATTAGCCGGGCGCAGTGGCGGGCGCCTGTAGTCCCAGCTACTCGGGAGGCTGAGGCAGGAGAATGGCGTGAACCCGGAAGGCGGAGCTTGCAGTGAGCGGAGATCGCGCCACAGCACTCCCGCCTGGGCGACAGAACGAGACTCCGTCTCAAAAAAAAAAAAAAAAAAAAAAAAAAAATTCTGAACCCCTTAGATTCTAGATTTATATGTGAATAGCTATGCAGCCAGGGGAGGCCTGGATTCCCCTTTATGTCCCTCCAGGACAGGACTTTATGGCCTCCTCCCCACCCCATACAGCCAGCTTTATTCCTTCCAGAAAGTGACCTCCCTTGGCCTCTGTTCTTTCTACTGTGCAGTCCCCACAGAGACCACCTATCACACGCTGGAGGAGGGCGTGGTGGAGTACTGCACGGCTGAGGCGCCCCCACCTCTGCCACCAGAGACCCCTGTGGACATGATGGCCCAGCATGCAGACACGTCGGTCAAGCCGCAAGCGCTCAAGAGCCGCATTGCTCTCAACTCCGCCAAGCTGATACAGGAGCAGCGGGTCACCAACCTGCATGTGAAGGAGATCGCACAGCACCTGGAACAGCAGAACGACCTACTGCAGATGATCCGCCGCTCCCAGGAAGTGCAGGCCTGTGCCCAGGAGCGCCAGGCCCAGGCCATGGAGGGCACACAGGCTGCCCTGAGCGTCCTCATCCAGGTCCTCCGGCCTATGATCAAAGATTTCCGCCGCTACCTGCAGAGCAACACAGCTAACCCGGCCCCCGCCTCTGACCCTGGGCAGGTGGCCCAGAATGGGCAGCCAGACAGCATCATCCAGTGAGGGCAGGGGTCAGGCCAGCCTTCTGCCATGATGGGATGAAAACTCCATGGACTTGTAAGTGGGTCCTGTGATTGGCCTTGGCCTTAGACCGGCCACGTGCACAGCTCCCTCTTTAATAAACGCTTAGGGGTTGCACTGTTTTTGAGAAGAGGAATTTGTTGGGCTCCTGGGACCCAAACTCATACTCCCCCTACTTGAGCTGCCTTGCTAAGATCCAGAAGATTGGTTAGCAGGGGGTCACGTGTGCATGTGATGGGACATGTGTTGTCATGACCCCGGGCTTGTGACATGACCCAGCCTTGGTCTTGGACAACTGTAAGGAACAACACAACGGGCTGTCACTGGGGGCCGTCACCCAGCCTGGGTCTCTACTGAGCTGCCCAACCCCAGGTGCCATCCTTTCGAGTAGGGTAATGTCACTGATGCTGGCAGTTGAGCAATAATATCTTCCTCCTTTGGGAGGTAGTGTGACTGAGGAGGAAACCCCACCCTTTTCTCCTCACTGTGCCTCAGTTCTCAGGGGACTCCAATGACTGTTGTGCTCTCCCCCGACCCCACCCCAGGCACAGCGCAGGCCCTTGTTAGGTAGTGTGCTGGGACGCCTCCGTAATACATGCAGTGTGCAGCCAGTCTGGCTCAGGAATGCTGTGTATGGTGGGGACGGTTTGGCCACTCTCTGGTTTTCAACAGCATCTCTGGGCAGCCCTTTGGTGGTTTGTCCCTAGAGCTTTTGACTCAGGTCAAGCTTTGGATGCTGTAAATTTTTGAGAAAGCCAACTAGTGTGGAAGCTTGCTGCCCCACTGCAGTGGGTCTGAGTGACCTGTTGGCTTTGTGCGGAGGCTTGCATCCAGCCAGTTGTATTTATTCTGTGTGTGAACCCCTCCTAGGAAGGCCTCCAGGAAGGCTGCCCTGTGGCCACACCCATCCTCCTTTCCTCTCTGCTGACTCCACATTTCCAAAATTCAGTGCAAAAAAAGCCCTGCTGAGCATCACATGCTGGACTCTTCCCCTGCCACACCGCTCAGTGCCTTCTGTTCTCTTGAGACTCCCTCTGAGTAGCTGAGTGAATCCAAAGCCATAATTGACCCTGAACGTAGGAGGAGGAAAAGGCGAAGCTGACCTAAGAAGTGGGACCCTGGCCGGGCGAGGTGGCTCAAGTCTGTAATCCCAGCGCTTTGGGAGGCCGAGGCGGGTGGATCACGAGGTCAAGAGATCAAGACCATCCTGGCCAACATGATGAAACCCCGTCTCTACTAAAAACACAAAAATTAGCTGGGCGTGGTGGCACACGCCTGTAGTCCCAGCTACCCGGGAGGCTGAGGCAGGAGAATCGCTTGAACCCAGGAGGCGGAGATTGCAGTGAGCCGAGATTGCACCGCTGCACTCCAGCCTGGCGACAGAGCGAGACTCTGTCTCAAAAAAAAAACAAAGAAAAAACCAAAAAAACAAATGGGACCCTTTGGATTCTATGCTCAGGGAAGAGCAGGCAGAGCCTTGGAGTGCTGAAGGAGGTGCTGTTCCCTGTTCCATCTTTACACTTTCTCTTCTGAGATGTCTGTAAGGATTTTACCCAGATGCCATTTGTCTGTTTCATTTTCAGACTCACCATCAATTACCAAGGCCCTTGCATCTCCCCAGATCGTTTCCCAAGTTTGGCGATTTGCTGTCGGTGCCTCAGCCACATATGACCAATGGTTACAACTCAGGGCTCCAGACCTCAGCTAAAAAGAGAAGACGCTGCCCTCCTGGGCACGAACGTTTAGAATGCTCAACTCCTCTATTGTGACCACAGGAAGGTGGCCCTGAAGATGCACCGAAGACAGCTGGGAGGTGACTGCTGTACTGTCAGCCTCTCTGTGGAGGCATTCGTGCAGTGCCAGCTAAAAGGGAGGTGAAGGGGGATATCGGACCCAGCGAGGGAGTTGCTGGTAGAAGGAAAGCTCTTCTCAGTGTGGCTGGATTAAGAGCAGCCTAGCAGCTTGGGCACCTCCACTCTGTGCGGTCTGATGGCCCCAGCAAGGTCGCTGCAGGGACTTCCTGAGGACTTGGTTTGGTTTTTTTCTGGGGTTGGAAATCTGAGCCAATATTGTGTCTGTTCCATTTGGGTATGAAGAGGAAGTCTGGATCACTTAAACTGACTAGTTATTTCCGGGTCATAATTTTAAATTAAAGACATATCACTTTTTTATACACACATCTCTGTGTCTTTATTGCTTATATATAGAAGAGAACCAGGGACTGGCAGACGATGGCCCACAAACTCAAATCAGGCTCACCACCTATTTTTATAAATAAAATTGTATTGGAACACAGCCACACCCATTCATTTATGAACCTGTGGCTTTTTTTTTTTTTTTTTTTGTACCACCAAAGCAAGAGTTGAGTAGTTACAGAGACATCTGGCCCACAAAGCCAAAAGTGTTTACTCTCTGACCCATTTACAGTAGAAGTCAGTCTATTCCTGGTTTAAGGCAGTGTTTGGGACTCTTAAGAATTACCTGAGGCAGGCCAGGCACTGTGGCTCATGCCTGTAATCCCAGCACTTTGGGAGGCCGAGGTGGGCAGATCACGAGGTCAGGAGTTCGAGACCAGCCTGACCAACATGGTGAAACCCCGTCTCTACTAAAAATACACAAATTAGCCGGGCGTGGTGGCATGCACCTGTAATCCCAGCTACTCAGGAGGCTGAGGCAGGAGAATCACTTGAACCCGGGAGACAGTGGTTGCAGTGAGCCAAGATCATGCCATTGCACTCCAGCCCAGGTGACAGAGCAAGACTCCGTCTCAAAAAAAAAAAAACAAAAGAAAAAAAAAAAGAATTACCTGAGGCATTTCTTAAATATACCCAATCGCAGGCCTCACTCAAAACCTGGAGGGAGGACTCTATGCATTGTAAACAAGCCCTCAGTACAAGCCCTCAGTAATCCTGATACTTTCTGAAGGTTAAGAATTTTTTTTTTTTTAAAGACTGGATCTGGCCAGGTGTGGTGGCTCATCTCTGTAATCCCAGCATTTTGGGAGGCCGAGGCAGGTGGATCACGAGGTCAGGAGTTTGAGACAAGCCTGGCCAACATGGTGAAACTCCGTCTGTACTAAAAATACAAAAAATTAGTTGGGTGTGGTGGCGGGCACCTGTAATCCCAGCTACTTGGGAGGCTGAGGCAGGAGAATCGCTTGAACCCGGGAGGCTGAGGTTGCAGTGAGCCGAGATCACGCCATTGCACTCCAGCCTGGGCAACAAGAAACTCTGTCTCAAAAAAAAAAGACAGGGTCTTGGCCAGTTGGCGGTGGCTCATGTCTGTAATCCCAGCACTTTGGGAGGCCAAGGTGAGTGGATCACCTGAGGTCAGAAGTTTGAGACCAGCCTGACCAACATGTAGAAACTCTGTCTCTACTAAAAATGCAAAAATTAGCTGGGCATGGTGCCACATGCCTGTAATCCCAGCTATTGGGGAAGCTAAGGCAGGAGAATTGCTTGAACCCGGGAGGCTGAGATCGCACCACTGCACTCCAGCCTGGGCAACAAGAGTGAAACTCTTATCTCAAAAACAAAAAAAACCATGGTCTCACTCTGTCACCTAGGCTGGAGTGCAGTGGCAGGATCACAGCTCACTGTAGCCTTGACCTCCTGGGCTCAACTGATCCTCCCACTTCAGCCTCTCGAGTAGCTGGGACTACAGGCATGCGCCACCACACTCAGCTAATTTGTTTTTTTTTTTTTTTTTTGGTAGAGATGGGGTTTCACCATGTTGCCCAAGCTGGTCTCCAACTCTTGGGCTCAAGTGTTCCTCCTGCCTCTGCCTGCCAAAGTGTTGGGATTACAGCCATGAGCCACTACTCCAGGCCGGTTAAGAACCTTGGCTCAGAGACTGGAAGACTTAAACTCAGCTGGAATCCGGATCCTGCACCAAGGATGACTGCTTCTCTGGAGTTTCTGCTGAACAGTTGGGAAGTCCTGCCAAGCAGGGATACTCCTTTAAATAAGACTGGCCTTCCTTCTGGAGGGATCTCAGTATTCCTGGGCATAGCTATCACTCTCACCAGTATTTAGTAACAATAAAAACTAACAATTATTGGCCAGGCGTGGTGGCTCACGCCTGTAATCCCAGCGCTTTGGGAGGCCGAGGCGGGCGGATCACGAGGTCAGGATATCGAGACCGTCCTGGCTAACACGGTGAAACCCCGCCCATCTCTACTAAAAATACAAAAAATTAGCCGGGCGTGGTTGCAGGCTGCTGTAGTCCCAGCTACTTGGGAGGCTGAGGCAGGAGAATCACTTGAAGCCAGGAGGTGGAGGTTGTAGTGAACCAAGATCACACCACTGCACTCCAGCCTGGGCAACAAGAGCAAAACTCCGTCTGAAAAAAAAAAAAAAAAAAAATTGGAACAGGTGTGGTGGCTCACATCTGTAATCCAAGGTGAGGAGGTCAAGATGGGAGGATCACTTGAGCCCAGGAGTTCAAGACCAGCCTGGGCAACATAGCAAGATCCTATCTTTACATATATGCAATATATATATTTAAATACAGGATGAGAATGGCGTGAACCCCGGAGGCAGAGCTTGCAGTGAGCCGAGATCGTGCCACTGCACTCCAGCCTGGGCAACAGAGCAAGACGCCATCTCAAAAAAAAAAAAAATTAAAAACTAACAATTATTGGCCGGGTGCGGTGGCTCATGCCTGTAATCCCAGCACTTTGGGATGCCGAGGCGGGCGGATCACGAGGTCAGGAGATCGAGACCATCCTTGCCAACATAGTGAAACCCCATCTCTACTAAAAATACAAAAATTAGCCGGGCATGGTGGCGCATGCCTGTAATCCCAGCTACTTGGGAGGCGGAGGCAGGAGAATCCCTTGAACCAGGGAGTTGGAGGTTGCAGTGAGCCGAGATTGCGCCACAGCACTCTAGCCTGGCGACACAGCAAGACTCCGTCTCAAAAACAAAAACAAAAACAAAAACAACTAACAATTATTGAGCCCCTAGTCTACTGAGGCCTTATAAGCATTATCTCATTGACTCCTTGCAACAGCCCCAGGAAGTAGGCACTAACATTGTTCTGTTTGCAGGTGAGGACATTGAGAATCAGAGAGGATTAACAATTTGCCTAAAGTCCCACAGCTACCTTATTACCCAACGTAGCCCATGCTGTTAGCTACTGTTCTTAACTACTCTGACCTTGCTGCCAGTAAGATTTGAGGTCACCTAGAGATGATTTGAGCCTGACCTGACCGGGAGGAGTAGTGTCTAGATCAAACGAGGCCTAGAGGCAGCTTGTGTTAGTATTCTTTTTTTTTTTTTTTTTGCTCTGTCGCCAGACTGGAGTGCTGTGGCACGATCTCGGCTCACTGCAGCCTCTGATTCCCTGGTTCAAGCAATTCTTCTGCCTCAGCCTCCCAAACCTTTTATATTTTAAACCCTTTTGATAGCCTTTTGGAAAGGCATGCTTTGTAAACTGTATTTTAGGGGAGAGTACTTTCTTTTTTTGTTTATTTGTCTTGAGACAAGTTCTCACTCTGTTGCCTAGGCTGGAGTGCAGTGACACAATCATGGCTCACTGCAGCCTTGACCTCCTGGGCTCGAGAGATCTTTCCACCTCAGTCTCCCTAGTAGCTGGGACCACAGGAGCCCATCACTATGCCCAGCTAACTTTTATATTTTTTGTTGAGACTGGGTTTTGCCAGGTCAGCCAGGTAGTCTCGAATTCCTGGGCTCAAGTCATCTTCCTGCCTCGGCCTCCCAAAGTGCTGGGATTACGATGTGAACCGTGGCATCCGGCCAGTTCTTTCTTCAATAATGTTTGCCCAACAGATCTACAAGGCAGTGCTGGGAATAGCTCATGCTCAATAAATACAGCTGCTGTCATCGTCATTACAGTGGCCGATAATCCGAAGTGGTAACTACCAAGTCTTGATGTCACAATGGGAGCTCTGTGGTTTGAATGGGATTACAAAGGATGCGACCCTGGAACTAGAAGGTGGCAGGGGCACAGAAAGCAGAGTGGGAAGGACTTAAGGCTGACTGGGGACATGGGAACCAAGGCCAGTACAGGGAAGAGGCCACCGCCAGGAGGCTGTGGCTGCAATTGCTCTGAAAGAGGCGGGTGCGCAAGTTGGAGACTGCTGAGCTGTCCCCTTACCTTAGTCCATGAAGACAACAGGCTACAGTGAAAGTAACAGTGAAGCCTGTAATTGCTTACTATGCTGGCGTAACCAAGAGGAGAAAACGCCACTCCCCTTATGTTCCATTTTTTTCCCCACAGGACAGCACCAGGTAAGGGTGAGATGTATTACACAAGGGGGTGTCTTCTCACTGCTGAGGGAATCCTCAGGAAAAAAAGACTCCTGCTGTTTTATGGCCTTGGTGGGGGTCGGAGGGGACAAGAGGGAGAAGGGCTAGGAGTGGAAAATTACTGATAGTAAAGAGTGTTCAAGATTCCTTTCACTGGCTGGGCTTGTGTAATCCCAGCATTTTGGGAGGCCAAATCAGGAGGATCTCCTGAGCCCAGGAGTTTGAGACCAGCCTGGGCAACAAGGCAAAAATCTGTCTCTACCCAGAAAAAAAATAATAATAAAAATTAAAAAAAGAGGGAAATACAAAAATTAGGCCAGGCACAGTGGCTCATACCTGCAATCCCAGCACTTTGGGAGGCCAAGGAAGGTGAATCACTTGAGGCCAGGAGTTCGAGACCAGCCTGGCCAACATGGTGAACCCTGTCTCTACTAAAAATACAAAACTTAGCTGGGAGTGGTGGCAGGGGCCTATAATCCCAGCTACTCAGGAGGCTGAGGCAGGAGAATCACTTTAGCCCGGGAGGCAGAGGTTGCAGTGAGCTGAGATCACGCCACTGCACTCCAGCCTGGGCGACAGAGCAAGACTCTGTCTCCAAAAAAAAAAAAAAGGAAAGAAAAGATTCCCCACATGCCACACTCCTGCCAGGAGGTCCTGGCAGAGGCACCTGGGTAAGGCTTCAGTTGAGACCCCCTGATAGGGGCCACCGAATAGAGGCACCTGGGCTGGGTCTGCAGTATGTGCAAGGGCATGACCGGCTGGGGAGCTGACTCCATGACTGCAACTCACTGGTTGTGTCTCAAGTCTGGTGTGGGGAGGGCAGCTGCCCCCTCCTGCCACCCCACTGAGGCCTGCCAGGCTCAGCCTTTGTCATTGCTTCTGGTTGGGACTGAGAGATCACATGTAGGCTTGTGGCCAGGAGCCAGGCTCCTCACAAGTAAATGTGGGGGCTTCAGAGTCTGCCTGTCTCTAACTTCCCGACTGTGCTCTAGGATGGGATTATTTAATTTCTCTAAAAATCCTTCTCTGATAAGGAGGATGGGTGAAGTTAACAAGCTGTTGCTCACAGAACACAGAACACAGTGGGGGACACACGGCAGGTACTCAACACCAGTAGCTGCTTGCTTCAGTTGTCTTTGCTGTGTAACAAGCCAACTTGAAACTTAGTGGCTGAAAACAATGATCATTTATTTGCTCATGATTTTGCAATTTGATCAGGTCCCAGAGGGAACAGCTTGTCCTTTTCTCAGTGGCAGCTGGACCTGCCCCTCTGGGGCTGGGCCTCTACCCCTAAGACGGCTCACTCACATGCCTTGCTTGGAAATCTCCCTGAACTGCCTTCCTGACCCTTGCAGAAATTCTAGACCAATCAGTCGAGGTTCTCAGAGGGTGCGAAAGAGTGCCTGCTGGGAGGAACTGGCAGGGACAAACCCAGTCTTTTGGTTAGAGATGATGAACTAACTTCAGTATGGAGGTTTACAAAGGGGGATGTGGTTCTCAAAATGGTCTGTCCGGTGGCAGAGCCCTAGAGGCTGTGCCAGAATGTGCTGGTTCCCTGCCCCACCTCTTCCCCTGCCCAGCTCCTGGGTAGCCTCCAGGGCTCTGCTTATTTCCTCAAGAGGTCTTTTTCCAGCTCCCACCGGTCCAGGCTAGCTCTCACTGCTGCTCATGCCCATGGCCCCCTGGACGTCCTCTCTCTTAACTCTCATGCTACCTGGAGTCGCTTCTTCCCTTCCCTCCCCTCCTCCCTCCCTTCCCTTCTCTTCCCTTCCCCTCCCTTCTTCTCCCTTTCCCTCTCCTCCCCTTCCCCCCTCCCCTCCCCTCCCCTTCCTCTCTCTCCCTCTCTCTCTTTCTTTTTAGAGACAGAGTCTCGCTCTGTCGCCCGGGCTGGAGTGCAGTGGTGCGATCTTGGCTCACTGCAACCTCCACCTCAGCAATTCCTTCAAGCGATTCTCCTGCCTCAATTTCCCGAGTAGCTGGGATTACAGGCATGCACCACCATGCACAGCTAATTTTGTATTTTTAGTAGAGACGGGATTTCTCCATGTTGGTCAGGCTGATCTTGAACTCCCGACCTCAGGTGATCCGCCCACCTCAGCCTCCTAAAGTGCTGGGATTACAGACATGAGCCACTGCGCCCGGCCTATTTATTTTTTTAGACAAAGTCTCGCTCTGTCACCCAGGCTGGAGTGCAGTGGCGCGATCTTGGCTCACTGCAAGATTCGCCTTCCAGATTCAAGCGATTCTCCTGCCTCAGCCTCCTGAGTAGCTGGAATTACAGGTGCCCACCACCATGCCTGGCTAATCTTTGTATTTTTAGTAGAGACGGGGTTTCACCATGTTGGCCAGGCTGGTCTCGAACTCCTGACCTCAAGTGATCCACCCACCTTGGCCTCCTAAAGTGTTGGGATTACAGGCGTGAGCCACCGTGCCCGGCTGAGTTGCTTGTTTTCCTCACTGGTTGATCTTTGGCTCTGGGACCTTGTCTATCTTGCTCCCTGCTGCAGTGGAACTCTGGGAGAGGCACTTTCATTCCGTTACCCAAGCTGGACACTTGGATGCCTTCCTTGGTCCCACCCACTGTCTCTCTTCTCACATCTTGTTCTGAAGATGCTCTTCCTCCCTCCCCCACTCCCACGTTCTCTATCACCCATGATACCCACAGCAGCCTCCTTACTGGCCTCCTGCCTCCAGGCCCTGCTGAGGAGGGTCTTCAGAAGCAAATCTACCCATGCTGCACCCTGTTCCATCCTTCAATTATGTCCCTTAACTCCCCGGATAAAGTATCAGCTCCTTAATGTGACCTATCGCCACTTCCCTCCTTATACTCTGCATTCCAGTCACATCAAGAAAGTTTACTTCCTTAAAAATATTGGGCTCTTCAAGATCATGCCACTGCATTCCAGCCTGGGTGACAGAGCAAGACTCCATCTCAAAAAAAAAAAAAAAAAGGGCTCTTTTCCTTTGTTTGTTTGTTTGTTTGTTTTTGAAACAGGGTCTTGCTCTGTTGCCCAGGCTTGAGTGCAGTATGGCAATCTCGGCTCACTGCAACTTCTGCCTCCCTGGAATCAGCGATTTTCCTGCCTCAGCCTCCTGAGTACCTGGGACTACAAGGGCATGCCACCACACCCATCTAATTTTTTGTATTTTTAGTAGAGATGGGGTTTGCCATGTTGGCCAGGCTGGCCTCAAACTCCTGACCTCAAGCCATTTACCCGCCTCAACCTCCCAAAGTACTAGGATTACAGGTGTGAGCCACTGCGCCTGGCCCAGGCTCTTTTTCTAGCCTCCAAATCTTTGCCTTTGCTGTTCCTCTTACTCAGAACAACTTTCTTCCTCATTACTTTCGTAACTCCTATTCACCCCTCACATCCAGCGTGGATCTCATCACTTTCTATAGGGAACTTCGTTGGGTCACACCCGGCCTGTGTTTCCTCTCACGTGTTTAGGCACACACATGTAATCGTACGGTTTAAATGTCTGTGTCCTGCTATAGGAGGGTTTCTCAATCCCAACACAATTAACATTTTGGGCTGGATATACTCTTTTTTTTTTTTAATTGAGACGGAGTCTCGCTCTGTCACCCAGGCTGGAGTGCAGTGGCGCGATCTCGGCTCACTGCAAGCTCCAACTCCCGAGTTCATGCCATTCTCCTGCCTCAGCCTCCTGTGTAGCTGGGACTACAGGCGTCCGCCACCATACCTGGCTAATTTTTTTTTTGTATTTTTAGTAGAGACAGGGTTTCACCATGTTATCCGGGATGGTCTCCATCTCCTGACCTCATGATCTGCCCTCCTTGGCCTCCCAAAGTGCTGGGATTACAGGCAGGAGCCACCACGCCTGGCCACTTTTTTTTTTTTTTTTTTGAGATGGAGTTTCTCGCTTTTGTTGCCCAGGCTGGAGTGCAATGCCATGATCTCGGCTCACCGCAACCTCCGCCTCCCGGGTTCAAGTGATTCTCCTGCCTCAGCCTCCAGAATATCTGGGTTTACAGGCATGCACCACCACACCCAGCTAACTTTGTATTTTTAGTAGATATAGGGTTTCTCCATGTTGGTCAGGCTGGTCTTGAACTCCCGACCTCAGGTGATCCGCCTGCCTCGGCCTCCCAAAGTGCTGGGATTACAGGCGTGAGCCACTGTGCCCGGCTGGATACAGTTTTTATTGTGGGGGCTGTCCTGTTCACTGTAGGATGGTTAGCAGCATTCCTGGTCTCTATACACTTGATGCCAGGAGTAACCAGTCCCCATTCCAGGTTTTTGTTGTTTTTTTTTTTTGAGATTGAGTCTCACTCTGCTGCCCAGGCTGGAGTGCAATGGCATGATCTCAGCTCACTGCAACCTTTGCCTCCCAGGTTCAAGTGATTCTCCTGCAGCCTCCCGAGTAGCTGGGACTACAGGCACATGCTACCACAGCCGGCTAATTTTTGTATTTTTAATAGAGACAGGGTTTCACCATGTTGGCCAGGGTGGTCTTGAACTCCTGACCTCAGGTGAGCTGCCCACCTTGGCCTCCCAAAGTGCTGGGATTACAGGAACAAGCCACCGCGCCCGGCCCCTCCAGTTGTGACAATCAGAATATATTCAGACATTGCCTAATGTCCCCTGGCGGGGGGGGCAAGATCACACCAGTTGTTTTGCCAGCTGTCCTACAAAGACAACATCTGTTTTATTCCCACTTTTCGAGTGCATAGCATAGTCCCCGAGCTGAGAATTTAATATACCTTTTATTGTGATGTCGGTTGCGTTGAACGCTGACAGGCTTCCTGTAAACCATTTTGCATTTTCCACATTTGAGACAGGAAGAGACTAAAGAGCCAAAACTCACCTGATGCCACAGGTTTTGTAAATGGCAAAGCTGGGGGTCCGCCCCAGGTGTGCCTGGCTGCACAGCTGCCTTTGTGAGTCAACCTCCCATGACAGCGTGAGCATGAATCAGCCTTCCGGAGCTGCTCCTGTCCCCTGGACCTGGGACAGGTGGATCAGGAGCCCCACCTAGAGTAGCCCGGCCCCATATGGGTGCTGTGACCTTGGGGAAGTCCCACTTCCCTCGCACCTCCATAGTGCTGCCAATTCCCCACCTGTGTGGCCTCTGAGGGCTGATGAGAAGACTCAGTGAATCAGTGAAGGCCATAAATGGTGTCAGGAGCTGCACACGGGTGAGGAGGAGCCCCAGAGCCCTGCACAGGGCCTGGCCTGAAGACAGCAGGAAGGGCCCCACCTGAGGACCCATCATGACTACACAGCTCTCCAAGGATTCTGCCAATCCCAGCAGCATAAACTCAACTGCCTGCAGCCTACAGCCACTCAGGCAAATATCCCTGGGCTCAGACAAGGGTCCGAAGCTTGCTCCTGTAGGAGGCCGGTGGAGGTTGAGCCTGGCTTCAGGTGATCTTGATGATCAGGAATGTGGGCCTGTCCTGCCTGTTTCTTTCTTTCTTTCTTTTTTTTTCTGAGACGGAGTTTTGCTCTGTCGCCCAGGCTAGAGTGCAGTGGCGCCATCTTGGCTCACTGCAAGCTCCGCCTCCCGGGTTCACGCCATTCTCCTGCCTCAGCCTCCTGAGTAGCTGGGACTACAGGCGCCCGCCACCACGCCTGGCTAATTTTTGTATTTTTAGTAGAAACGGGATTTCACCGTGTTAGCCAGGATGGTCTCGATCTCCTGACCTTGTGATCCGCCCAACTCGGCCTCCCAAAGTGCTGGGATTACAGGCGTGAGCCACCGCGCCTGGCCTTGCCTGTTTCTTTTTACAAAAGAAGCCAGAATTCCAGGTTTTAACAGGAAGCTCCCAGTTTACACATATTGACTACTAAGTATTTGTAAGCCTCCTATAAGACAAACAAAACACTCCGGTGGGCTGGCTTCAGTCCATGAAAATCTGTTTGCAAGTTCCAGACCTTAACCATTTGGGGCCAGTTGTAGCCCACTGGGAGGAACCAGAGGTAGGCAGCTGGAGGCAGAGGTTGGTAGCCAGGTGGCCTGGGTGCCAGACCCCTTTTCCCCTGCACCTCACTCTCCCCATCCATACAAGGTGGGGTTGGCCATCTGAGCTACAATGGTCCCTAGTAAGGATGCCTCCTCCTTTGCCCAGGCTGGCCTGACTCACTGGGACAACTAGGCTGGGCTTTTTGCTTTGCTCTCAGCTGAGTCAGTGTGGATGCATGCTGGCAATAATACATGACAGGCCACCTGCCTGTCAGGAATCAAGCGCGAAAGAGAACTGGCTGCCACAAGGAATCCCACTGAGGCTGAGGCCAAGGTGGGGTCCAACAGTGTCCTGATCTTCCCGAATTTTTTTTTCTTAAGACAGAGTCTCACTCCATCACCCAGGCTGGAGTGCAGTGGCATGATCTTGGCTCACTGCAACCTTCACCTCCCGGGTTCAAGCGATTCTCCTGGCTCAGCCTCCCAAGTAGCTGCGATTACAGTCATGTACCATCACGCCTGGATAATTTTTGTATTTTTAGTAGAGATGGGGTTTCACCATGTTGGCCAGGCTGGTCTCGAATTCCTGACCTCAAATGATCCACCCACCTCAGCCTCTCACAATGCTGGGATTGTATGCATAAGCCACTGTGCCCAGGCTTTTTTTTTTTTTCCAGACAGAGTATTGCCCTTTCGCCCAGACTGGAGTGCAGTGGCATGATCTCGGCTCACTGCAGCCTCTGCCTCCTGGGCTCAATTGATTCTCCTGCCTTACCCTCCTGAGTAGCGGGGACTACAGGAACATGCCACCACGACCAGCTAATTTTTGTGTTTTTACTAGAGACAGGTTTCTGCCATGTTGGTCAGGCTGGTCTTGAACTCCTGACCTCAAGTGATCCACCTGCCTCGGCCTCCCAAAGTGCTGGGATTACAGGCTTGAGCCACCACACCCGGCCCTTCCTGATCTTTTCTGGCTGTTTTAATGCCTGCTCAGTACTCAGGCCTCATCTCAGCGGTGGCATTTGGTCTTGTTTTGGGGAACCATCTTTCCTCCACTCTTAGTTGTAAAATGAAACAATCCAAATGTAAACTAACTCAAAGCCGTTTGAACTTTAAATCATTCTGAGCCTGAAGAGAAATGTGGCTATGCAGCCTGAGTCTTGTGATATACAGCTGTCACTTCTGCCTTTTTTCCTGTAAATAATTAGGACTAAGTGGCACCAGAGATAAGAACCCCTCAGATCATTGCCCCTCCTCAGGGAGTAATAAAGGAAACTTCTTTGGAATGTAACAGTCTGTAACCAATCAGATCACTGGGGTGTATGCACGGGTCTTCTGTGGAAAATGTAATCCTGCTAAAATTTCTGCCTCTGCCTATGTAAGTGAAACCTTAACTTCTCCACTGTCTTTTTTTCTTTTCTTTTCTTTTCTTTCTTTCTTTCTTTTTTTTTTTGACAGAGCCTCACTCACTCTGTCACCTAGGGTAGAGTGCAATGGCGTGATCTTGGCTTCATGCAACCTCCACTTCCCAGACTCAAGTGATTCTCATACCTCAGCCTCCGGAGTAGCTGGGATTACAGGCGTGCACCACCATGCCGGATAATTTTTTATTTTTAGTAGAGACGGGATTTCACCATGTTGGCCAGGCTGGTCTCGAGCTCCTTACCTCAAATGATCTGCTTACCTCAGCCTCCCAAAGTTCTGGGATTACAGGCGTGAGACACCGTACCCGGCCAACTTCTCCACTTTCTTTTTCTTTTCTTTTCTTTTTTTTGAGATGGAGTTTCACTCTTGTCGCCCAGGCTGGAGTGCAATGGTGCAATCTCAGCTAAGTGCAACCTCTGCCTCCCGGGTTCAAGCGATTCTCCTGCCTCAGCCTCCTGAGTAGCTGGGATTACAAGTGACCGCCACCATGCCTGGCTAAGTTTTGTATTTTTAGTAGAAACAGGGTTTTGCCATGTTGGCTAGGCTGGTCTCAAACTCCTGACCTGAGGTGATCACCCGCTTCTGCCTCCCAAAGTGCTGGGATTACAGGTGTGAGCCACCGCCCTCAGCCAACTTCTCCACTTTCAAATGCTGACCCCATTTGTTTGGATTTGGTGTTACCCAGGTGGCTATCCTCAAGCTTCACACTCAGAGAAATTCTCTAGTTAATCATATTTGCTAAATCTCAATATTTAAGGTTGACACAGTCCATGCAGTTTGGAGACAGGATCCCAATTCTGGCTCCCATGATGAGGATGTGACCCAGAGCTGGCCCACAAGGGTTACACATCCTCTGCCCATAGTGATTGGCTGACCCACAAGGGTTACACATCCTCTGCCCATAGTGATTGGCTGACCCACAAGGGTTACACATCCTCTGCCCATAGTGATTGGTTCAGGTATGAGCACATGACCCACCCAGACCAATGAGACTCCACCCTAGACTTTTGCTCTTTCCATTGAAGTTTTCAAGGTGGAAGGATCAAAACCTGAGGTGCTTGGGGATGGGGGTGTTACCCAGGGGAAAGCTAAGTAGAAGACAGAAAGATTTCAGCTGGATTTTTTTTTTTTTTTTTTTTTTGAGACAGAGTGTTACTCTGTCACACAGGCTGCAGTGCAGTGGCACAATCTTGGCTTACTGCAACCTCTGCCTCCCGGGTTCAAGTGATTCTCCTGCCTCAGCCTCCTGAGTAGCTGGGATTACAGGCATGTGCCACCATACCCGACTAATTTTGTATTTTTAGTAAAGACGGGGTTTCTCCATGTTGGTCAGGCTGGTCTCGAACTCCCAACCTCAGGTGATCCACCTGCCTCGGACTCCCAAAGTGCTGGGATTACAGATGTGAGTCACCGCACCCGGCCAACTCAGATGATTTATATTACTTGTAACCAAGAGATCCTTCCCTAAGATGTAGTTTATTTCAAGGTCTCAGTTTCCTTATCTGTAAAATGACAGTGCTGTGATTCAGGACACCCTCCTCCAACATGCAGCTGGTCCTCACAGAAGAGCCCCCACTGAAACCACACCTTCCAGCAGGAGAGGTCTCAGTGACATGGGGTACAGGGGACAGAAGGATTCTGCTACAACAATGTTTCTCAAACTTTGATGTGCAATGAGATTCCTGGAAATCTCCCCCCCAACTTTTTTTTTTTTGAGAGAGAGTTTTAGTTTTGTTCCCCAGGCTGGAGTGCAATGGCACCATCTCAGCTCACTGCAGCCTCTGCCTCTCCCGTTCAAGTGGTTCTCCTGCCTCAGCCTCCCGAGTAGCTGGGATTACAGGTGCCTGCCACCACGCCCAGCTAATTTTTGTATTTTTAGTAGAGACGGAGCTTCACCATTTTGGCTAGGCTGGTCTTGAACTCCCGACCTCAGGTGATCCACCTGCCTTGGCCTCCCAAAGTTCTGGGATTACAAGCATGAGCCACCTCACCCAGCCTAATTCCTGGAAACTCTTTAAAATGCAGATTCCCAGGCCCCACACATGGAATCTCTTCTATCTGTGAAAACATCACCATAATTAAGACCATGAGAATTGGCTTGGTGCGGTGGCTCATGCCTGTAATCCCAGAACTTTGTGAAGCTGAGGCGGGTGGATCACCTGAGGTCAGGAGTTCAAGATCAGCCTGGCCAACATGGTGAGACCCTGTCTCTACTAAAAATACAAAAATTAGCCAAGTGTGTTGAGGCAGAAATTTAAAGAAAAATAAATACTGCGTTTATTCACTCCAAGGAAAGTAAGGGTTAAGCGAAAAACACGTTTTTCACTGCTGCAAGCAAGGCTATAGACAGGTCGTGGTGACCTAGCCTGCAGAAATCAGCTCCAGACACCCCCGAGCAAAGTTAAAAGAAGAAAAACAAATTCCTTTACTGTCTCTCATGTACTGAACTATTAGTTATGGCCATGTTTGCCAATGGTTGTATTTAGTAAGATTTGCAAAGTTCCTGCTTTTCTTTCGATGCCACTGCTAGGCCACTAGCTATGCAAGGCCATAGGTTAGTGCCAGGTCAGCAGCTATACTATGGATTATGTGACTTGTCACTGTAAAATTCACTGCCTTTGTTTTGCTTTTGTATGCTAGCCTATATAAGCTAAAATCTGTTTTTGTTCAATGCTCAGCTTTTTGGATGTGAATCCACTGAGCCGGTGTGCACCTTAATAACCATCCTCCTGTATTCACCCATATTGGTCTCTCTGGTCCTCTGTTTCCTGCAACAGTGGTGGTGGACGCCTGTAATCCCAGCTACTCGGGAGGCTGAGGCAGGAGAATCACTTGAACCCGGGAGGCAGAGGCTGCAGTGAGCCAAGATCATGCCACTGCACCCCAGCCTGGGCAACAGAGCAAGACTCTGTCTCAAAAAAAAAAAAAAAAAAAAAAGACCATGAGAATTGTCATAAAAAGCTCCATCACTGCCAAGTTTCCTGGTGACCCCTGTATATAATCATCCCTCCTTCCCCATTCCCATTCCCTCTCCACGCCCTCCCGCCTCCACTCCAAGCAGTCACTGGTCTGCTTTCTGTCACTGTAGATTAATTGCATTTTCCAGAATTTTACATAAATGAAATCATGCAGCCTGTGCTCTTTCTCTGTCTGGCTTTTTTCACTCAGCCTAATTATTGTGAGATGCATCCATGTTGTGGGTCTTAATAGCTCATTCACAGCCTCGGCAACAGAGCAAGACCTCTCAGAAAAAAAAAAAGTTTGCTCCTTTATCACAGAATTGTTATACCATAATTTGTTTATCTATTCAATCGCTTTTTTTTTTTTTGAGACAGAGTCTCACTCTGTTACTTAGACTGGAGGGCAGTGATATGGTCTTGCAACCTCTGCCTCCCAGGTTCAAGCGATTCTCCTGCTTCAGCCTCCCGATTAGCTGGGATTACAGGTGTATGCCACCATGTCTGGCTAATTTTTTTGTATTTTTAGTAGAGACGGAGGTTTCACCATGTTGGCCAGGCCGGTATCAAACTCCTGACTTCACGTGATCTGCCCGCCTTGGCCTCCAAAGTGTCAGGATTACAGACGTGAACCACTGCACTAGGCTTCAATTGCATATTGATGGATATTTTAGTTGCTTCCATTATTTAGTAGCTATGAACCCTTGTTGTACAAGTCTTTGTGGGGACACATGCCTTCATTCCTCTTGGCTAAATGCCCAGGAGTGAAATAGCTGGATCATATGGTTAGTGTATGTTTAACTGCCACACTGTTTCCAATGTGGTTGTACCATTTTACATTAGTACCAACAGGGTATGTGAGTTCCAGTGGTTCCACATCCTTGCCAACATTTGGTGTATGGTCAGTTGGTCAGTCTTCCTAACTTTAACCATTTCTAGTAGGTGTGAAGTGGTATCTCATTGTGGGTTTTTTTTTTTTTTTTGGAGACAGGGTCTTGCTTCGTCACCTGGGCTGGAGTGCAGTAGCACCACCTCAGCTCACTGCAACCTCTGTCTCCCAGGTTCAAGCAAGTCTCATGCCTCAGCCTCCCGAGTAGTTGGGACTACAGGCGTGCACCACCATGCCTGGCTAATTTTTGTATTTTCAGTAGAGACGGGGTTTCGCCATGTTGGCCAGGCTGGCCTTGAACCCCTGACCTCAGATGATTCATCCAACTTAGTCTCCCAAAGTGCTGGGATTACAGGCGTGAGCCACCTCACCTGGTGTCATTGTGGTTTTAGTTTGCATGTCACTAAGACTAATGGGGTAGAGCTTCTTTTTAAGTGCTTATTTGCCATTTGTATACTTTTGCTTTTTTTTTTTTTTTTTTTTTTCTTTGAGACGGAGTCTTACTCTGTTGCCCAGGCTGGAGTGCAGTGGTGCAATCTTGGCTCACTGCAACCTCCGCATCCCGGGTTCTAGTGATTCTCCTGCCTCAGCCTCCGGAGTAGCTGGGACTACAGGCGCCCACCATGACACCTGGCTTTTTTGTATTTTTAGTAGAGACGGGGTTTCACCATGTTGGCCAGTATGGTCTCGATCTCTTGACCTCATGATCCACCCGCCTTGGCCTCCCAAAATGCTGGGATTACAGGCGTGAGCCACTGCGCCTGGCCTTTGCTTGTTTGTTTGTTTGTTTGTTTGTTTGTTTTGAGACAGGGTCTTGCTCTGTTACCCAGGCTGGGGTGCAGTGTCACAATCACGGCTCAATGCAGCCTTGACCTCCTGGGCTCAAACTATCCTCTCACCTCTCAGCCTCCGATTTGTTGGGACCACAGGTGTGCACCACCATGCCTGGCTAATTTTTGTATTTTTTTGTAGAGACAGAGTTTCGCCATGTTGCCCAGGCTGGTCTTGAACTCCTGGGCTCAAGCCATTCACCTGCCTCAGCCTCCCAAAGTGCTGGGATTACAGGTGTGAGCCACCATGCTCGGCCTGTTTTTTTTCTTTTAGAGACAGCATCTTGGCTTTGTTGCCCAGGCTGGAGTGTAGTGGTGCCATCATAGCTCACTGCAGCCTTGAACTCCTGGGCTCAAAAGATTCTCCCCGCTATGCCTCCCGAGTAGCTGAGATTATAGGTGTACACCACCATGCCCAGCTGAGCCGTCTGTGTATTTTCTTTGATTAAGTGTCTACTCTTTTTGAATTGTCTTCTTCTTACTAAGTGTTGAGAATTCTTCGTATTTGGTTGCTTAATTACTACTGGGTTAAAAAAAAAGAATTCTTTTTATATCTGTTTCCAAGTTCTCTGTCAGATATATTTTTCACAAATATTTTCTCCTAGTCTGTTTGCCTTTCTATTTTTCTTTTTTTCTTTTTCTTTTTTTTTTCTGAGACAGAGTCTCACTGTATTGCCCAGGCTGGAGTGCAGTGGCACGATCTCAGCTCACTGCAACCTCTGCCTCCAAGGTTCAAGCAATTCTCCTGCCTCAGATTCCCGAGTAGCTGGGACTACAGGCGTCCATCACTATGCCTTGCTAATTTTTTTATTTTTAGTAGGGACAGGGTTTCACCATGTTGGTCAGGCTGGTCCCAAACTCCTGACCTCAGGTGATTACCTGCCTCGGCCTCCCAGGGATTACCTGGGATTACAGGTGTGAGCTACCTCGCCCAGCCACCTTTCCATTTTTCTAGCAAGCTCCACAGACAGTGGAGTCTGAGAATCTCTCTTCAATGACAAACAGTGCAAATTAAAACAACAGCGAGAGGGGTGGCCTATTGGACTAGCAAAGACAAAAAAGAGGGTCCAAGGCATTAGCGGTGATAGGGGGTGGGGACAGCATTCCTCAGACTGTTAGGAGGGGTGTAAATTGGTGCAAAATCCCAAGAGGACAATTTGCTGATGGCGTCTCAAAAAATCTTTAGATGAAAGATTTGAAGTTCAGTACGTTCAGTTCAGTTCCAGAAATTTTTCCTGAAAAAGTAAGCAAGAACAGTAGGTTGTCTGTCCAGGATCTTCAGTCCTGGGGGTGTGCTGAGGGGAGGGGCTGCAGACGTGCCTGGCTGGCCGTCCTTGCGATCTTGGTGCTCTGTTCCCGGGTGGCTCAGGGCCCTTTTGCCGTCAAGCATGGTTGGAAGGCTCAGAGGGCCTGGGAGGTCAGTGGGGCTGGAATTCGATCTGTCCCCAGCAGAGTGGGTGGAGGAAGGCGTGTGCAGGTCTCACTCTATTGCATCCAGAGTCCAGATCCACTGTGGCCCTGGCCTGGCCATTAGAGGGCTCTGGGATTCAGGTTCTAACCAGCTACCACCAGTGCAAACTGGGAACTGGGGACAGGGCTGACACAGCTTCCTGGACCCTAAGAAGGGACAACCCTTTGCTCTTCAAGCACTAATAATTTCCCTGGGACTCAGGGAGCTGGGGCTTTGGCCAAGGTCTGGCCAGCTCTGCTGAGGATTGGTGGGAGAGGGGATCTGGGAGCCTGGACACCTGGGTTCTAGATTACATCCTGCCCTGCTGTGCTACTTAGGGCAAGCCCCCTCCCCTTCCGACGCACCAGTTTCCCTAGCTGGGCAGTAAAGGAGGTGGATCAGAGACTCAGTTCCCTCTGGCCCCTCCAGTGGGGATTGAAAGCACAGGTGCCAGAACTAGCCAGACCTGAGGCCTACTTCTAGCTCTATCACTTTCTTTTCTTTTCTTTCTTTTTTTTTTTTTCTTTTTGAGATGGATTCTCGCTCTGTCCAGGCTGGAGTGCAATGGCTCGATCTCGGCTCACTGCAACCTCCGCCTCCCGGGTTCAAGCGATTCTCCTGCCTCAGCCTCCCAACTAGCTGGGATTACAGGCACCCACCACCACGCCCAGCTAATTTTTGTATTTTTAGTAGAGACAGGGCTTCACCATGCTGGCCAGGTTGGTCTTGAACTCCTGTCCTCAGATGATCCCCCTGCCTCAGCCCTACAAAGTGTGGGGATTACAGGGATGAGCCACCGTGCCTGGCCCCCTTTTTTTTTTTTTTTTTTTTTTTTGAGACGGAGTTTCACTCTTGTTGCCCAGGCTGGAGTGCAATGGTGAGATCTTGGGACACTGCAACCTCCACCTCCTGGGTTCAAGCGATTCTCCTCCCTCAGCCTCCTGAGTAGCTGTGATTACAGGCACACTCCATCACGCCCGGCTACTTTTTGTATTTTTAGTAGAGACGGGGGTTTCACCATGTTGGTCAGGCTAGTCTCGAACTCTTGACCTCAGGTGATCCACCTGCCTCAGCCTCCCAAAGTGCTGGGATTACAGGCATGAGCCACTGCACCCAGCCACCTCCATCACTCTCTGTGACTCAGTTTCTTTCTCTACTTAAAGCGCTGCAGTGGCTCCTCATTGCACTTTGGGAAAAGGCTATGTGTGATCTCTGTTCCTTCCTACCTCTCTGGTTCCAGTTCCTGCCACACTGCCCTCATCCATCAGACCCCAGCCACACTGGCTGCACCGCCTTTCAATGCAGGGGGTCTCTAAATTCCTCCTCCAATCCCAGGGCCGTCGTAAATGCTCTTGCCTCTGCCTTGCCTGTTTTCTCCGACTCTCCCTGGAGAGCTCCTATTCATTCATCACAGCTCAGATGCAACTTCCTCAGGGCAACCCTCTGTGACGCCAGACACAATCACTCCTGTGGCTGACCCCTTTCATAGCACAGCTGTGATCATTAAACAATTTTTTTTTTTTTGAGACAGAGTCTTGCTCTGTCGTGACCAGGCTGGAGTGCAGTGGTGGGATTCGGCTCACTGCAACCTCCACCTCCCAGGTTCAAGTGATTTTCCTGCCTCAGCCTCCCAAGTAGCTGGGATTACAGGTGCCCGCCACCACGCCTGGCTAATTTTTTGTATTTTTAGTAGAAATGGGGTTTCACCATGTTGGCCAGGCTGGTCTCGAATTCTCGACCTCAGGTGATCCGCCCGCTTTGGCCTCCCAAAGTGCTGGGATTACAGGCGTGAGCCACCGCAGCTGGCCTCATTAAACAATTTTATCTGCAAGATTGTTTGATGTCTTCTCCTCTGTGGCTCCCTGATATCCCTCAGGGCAGGGCTGAGTCAGTCTCTTACCCCTTGCACAGGCTTGGCATAGAATAGGTGCCTGTTTCAGGAAAAACCCTCTCAAACCACCACAACAGTCATCAACATAGAAGACTTCTGTGACCAAATGTCTGGGGGGTTTTCCCCATGCACCAAGCATCAGACACTAGGTAGGTGTCCTCCAATTCACTTTGCACACCATCTATCTGGAGATAGTGTCAGATCCCACAGGTTGGAGAATCAGTCCCCAAGACTACCCACCACCCCCACTTCAGACACCAGCAGCAAGTTCAGGCCTCTGGAACTTCTGACTGATGGGCTTCAAGTTGGGGTTCCCATGATTCCCTCTTTGGGTTTGATTAATTTGCTGGAGTGGCTCACGGGACTCAGGGAAGTGTGTTTAGTGGTTTATGATATAGGATATTGCAAAGGATACAGATGAAGAGATGCACAGGGCGAGATACAGGGAAAGTAGCGTGGAGCTTCCATGCTCTCCCCTGGCAGCTGCCCTCCAGGAACCTCAGCATGGTCAGTTATGCGGAAGCTCTTAGAACCTAGTTCTCTTGGGTTTTCATGGAAGCTTCATGATGCTGTCATTCCTTCCCCCAGGGTGTGAGGTGGGACCCTCTCACAGGAGGAGAGCCTTAAAATCCAAGATCAGCTGCTATAAAGACACATGCACACATATGTTTATTGCGGCACTATTCACAATAGCAAAGACTTGGAACCAACCCAAATGTCCAACAATGATAGACTGGATTAAGAAAATATGGCACATATACACCACGGAATACTATGCAGCCATAAAAAATGATGATGTACAAAGGACATGATGAGTTCATGTCCTTTGTAGGGACATGGATGAAATTGGAAATCATCATTCTCAGTAAACTAGCACAAGGACAAAAAACCAAACACCGCATGTTCTCACTCATAGGTGGGAATTGAACAATGAGAACACATGGACACAGGAAGGGGAACATCACACTCTGGGGACTGTTGTGGGGTGGGGGGAGGGGGGAGGGATAGCATTAGGAGATATACCTAATGCTAAATGACGAGTTAATGGGTGCAGCACACCAGCATGGCACATGTACACATGTGTAACTAACCTGCACATTGTGCACATGTACCCTAAAACTTAAAGTGTAATAATTAAAAAAAAAAAATCCAAGATCAGAAGGGGCAAGGTGGTTCATGCCTGAAATCCCAACATTTTGGGAGGCCAAGGCAGGAGGATTGTTTGCCTCCAGTAGTTCAAGACCAGCCTGGGCAACTTAGTGAGACCTCATCTCTACAAAAAATAAAAAATTAGCCAGGCATGGTGGCGTACACCTGTAGTCCCAGCTCCTCAGGAGGCTGAGGTGGGAGGATCACTTAAGCCCAGGAGGTTGAGGCTGCAGTGAGCCTTGATTGCACCACTGCACTCCAGCCCGGGTGACAGAGTAAAATCCTGTCTAAAAAAGAAAGTTGGGGGGAAGATTAGATTAGAGTCCTGCCTTAAGGCAGGTGAAAGGAAGGCAGGAAAAGGTCAGAGGGATTCTGTTTCTTGAGGCCTCACACACCTAACATTATAACAAAAGAGTGCCCTAGTACTTTTGAACAAGGTACCGCTGACACCATCTTTCATTCACTCTCAGATGTGCTTCCCCCGCTTCCCATGTTACCATCTCTAAAATCAAGACATATTTTGTGATTGTTGTGACTGGGTGGCAACTATGCCATCTGCCTCAATGCTTGCACATGTGCATCAACACTTGCAGCTTGAAAGGACATTGGGGACAGCAGTGGTGTGCTCTGAAGAAAGCCTGCGTTTCCTGAGGACAAGATTGTCTGGAAAAGCACAGACTCAACAGCTGTGAATGAAAAATTGACCCGGGAAAGTCAGACTCTGCATGTGGAGTGTTAGGAACACCTTCGCTAAATTACCTTGATTGCAATTTCCTTTTTATTTATTTACTTTTTTTTTTTTTTTTTTTTTTTTTTTTTTTAGGCTGGGCACGGTGGCTCACGCCTGTAATCCCAGCACTTTGGGAGGCCAAGGCGGGTGGATCACCTGAGGTCAGGAGTTTGAGACCAACCTGGCCAACGTGGCGAAAACCCATCTCTACTAAAAATACAAAAATTAGCTGGGCGTGGTAGCACATGCCTGTAATTCCAGCTACTTAGGAGGCTGAGGTATGAGAATCACTTGAACCTGGGAGGTGGAGGTTGCAGTGAGCCATGATCACGCCATTGCACTCCAGTTTGGGCAACAGAGTGAGACTCCATCTCAAAAAATAATAATATAGCTACTAATTTTTCTTTCTTTTTGAGACAAGGTCTCACTCTGTCACCCAGGCTGGAGTGCGGCAGCACCATCACAACCCACCGCAACCTCCACCTCCCTGGGCTCAGGTGATCCTCCCACCTCAGCCTCCCGAGTAGGGGAGACTACAGGCACATGCTACCACGCCCAGCTAATTTTTGTATTTTTTTTTACAGACGAGATTTTGCCATGTTGCTTGGGCTGGTCTCAAACTCCTGGGCTCAAGCGATTCTCCCACCTCAGCTTCTCAAGTACCTTCAATTACAGACAGGAGCCATCTCATCCAGCAATTTCCTTTTTATGTATTCACAATGTATAGTAGATGATAAAAGCCTATTTAAGTAAGTTTAAATACCTGTGTGTTTAAGTGCCTTACCTGTTTAAGTAAGTTTAAAAGAGGGCCTTCGGTAAATATAAAATAAAGTTTCTTTTTTTTGAGACGGAGTCTCACTCTGTTTCCTAGGCTGGAGTGCAGTGGCTCGATCTCAGCTCACTGCAACCTCTGCCTCCTAGGTTCAAGCAATCCTCCTGCCTCAGTCTCCTGAGTAGCTGGGATTACAGGTGCATGCCACCACGCCCAGCTAATTTTTTTATTTTTAGTAGAAACGGGGCTTCACCATGTTGGTCAGGCTGGTCTCGAACTCCTGACCTCGTGATCCGCCTACCTCGGCCTCCCAAAGTGCTGGGATTACAGGCGTGAGCCACCGAGCCTGGCTAAAATAAAGTTTCTAAGTGATAAGGAAGCAATAGTTTTTTTTTTTTTTTAAATCTCGGCTCACTGCAATCTCTGCTTCCCGAGTTCAAGCAATTCTCCTGTCTCAGCCTTCCAAGTAGCTGGGATTACAGGCGCACACTACCACATCCAGCTAATTATATTTTTAGTATATACAGGGTTTCACCATGTTGGCCAGAGTGGTCTCCAATTCCTGGCCTCAAGTGATCTGCCTGCCTTGGCCTCCCAAAGTGCTGGGGTTACAGGCATGAGCCACGGTGCCCGGCCGTTTTTTCGTTTGTTTTGTTTTCAATTTTATGTTTTTAAAAATATAATTGAGATGGGGGTCTCACTCTGTTGCCCAGGCTTGTCTTGAACTCTTTTTTTTTTTTTTTGAGACAGAGTCTTGCTGTGCCGCTAGGCTGGAGTGCAGTGGCTCGATCTGGCTCACTGCAACCTCCGCCTCCCAGGTTCAAGCAATCCTCCTGCCTCAGCCTCCCATGTAGCTGAGACTACGGGCACGTGCTACCATGCCCAGCTAATTTTTTGTATTTTTAGTAGAGACAGGGTTTCACCATGTTGACCAGGATGGTCTTGATCTCCTGACCTCGTGATCCACCCGCCTCAGGCTCCCAAAGTACTGGGATTACAGGCGTGAGCCACAGTGCCTGGCGAACTCTTGGACTCAAGCAATCTTTCTCCCCAGCCTTCTGAAGTGTTAGAATTACAGGTGTAAGCCGCTGTGCCAGCCTTTTTTTTTTTTTTTTTTAAATGAGACACGGTCTCATTCTCTCTTTCAGGCTGGAGTACAGTGGCACGATCATAGCTCACTTCAGCCCTGAACTCCTGGGCTCAAGTGATCCTACCTCCTCAGCCTCCTGAGTAGCTGGGACTACAGGTGTGTGCCACCACACCTGGCTAATGTGTCATATTTCAATTTCAATTGGAAGGGTTTTTATTTTTCTTTTTTAGTGGCACAAAAATAAATGACATCCTTCAACATGGCATTCTTCAAAATGGCATCCTTCAATGGAAGGTGTGTTTGGTTTTTTAAATTTTTATTTTTTGAGACAGAGTTTCGCTTTTGTAGCCCAGGCTGGAGTGCAATGGTGGAATCTCGGCTCACTGCAACCTCCACCTCCTGGGTTCAAGCAATTATCCTGCCTCAGTGTCCAGAGTCACTGGGATTACAGGCATGTGCCACCACACCCGGCTAATTTTTGTACTTTTAGTAGAGATGGGGTTTCTCCATGTAGGTCAGGCTGGTCTCAAACTCCTGATCTCAGGTGATCCACCTGCTTCGGCCTCCCAAAGTGTTGAGAATACAGGCGTGAGCCACTGCACCTGGCCTGTGTTTGTTTTTTAAAAATATTTTTTGGCCGAGCATGGTGGCTCAAACCTGTAATCCCAGCACTTTGGGAGGCTGATGGGGAAGGATTGCTTGAGGTCAGGAGTTTGAGACCATCCTGGGCAACATAACAAGACTCTATCTCTACAAAAAATACAATAATTAGGCCGGGCATGGTGGCTCATGCCTGTAATCCCAGCACTTTGGGAGGCCGAGGCAGGTGGATCACGAGGTCAGGAGATCGAGACCAGCCTGGCCAAGATGGTGAAACCCATCTTTACTAAAAGTACCAAAATTAGCTGGGCGTGATGGTGGGCACCTGTAATCCCAGCTACTCAGGAGGCTGAGGCAGAGAATTGCTTGAACCCAGGAGACAGAGGTTGCAGTGTGCCAAGATCATGCCACTGCACTCCAGCCTGGGCAACAGAGCAAGACTCAATCTAAAAATAAAAATAAAAAATAAAAATAAAAAAATTAGTCAGGTGTGGTGGTGCATGCCTGTAGTCCCAGCTACTCAGGAGGCTGAGGTGGGAGGAGCCTTTGAGCCCAAGAGTCTGAGGCTGCAGTGAGCCAAGATTGTGCCACTGAACTCCAGACTGGGAGACAATGCAAGACCCTGTGTCTAAAAAGTTTTTTTATTTTTATTTTATGTTTTTTTTGAGACGGAGTTTTGCTCTTGTCACCCAGGCTGGAGTGCAATGGCGCAATCTTGGCTCACTGCAACCTTTGCCTCTTGGGTTCAAGCGATTCTCCTGCATCAGCCCCCAGAGTAGCTGGAATTATAGGCACCTGCCACCATGCCTGGCTAATTTTTGTATTTTTAGTAGAGACAGAGTTTCACCATGTTGGCCAGGCTGTTCTCAATCTCCTGAGCTCAGGTGATCCACCCATCTCAGCCTCCCAAAGTGCTGGGATTACAGGCGTGAGCCACTGTGCCCTGACGGTTTTTTGTTTTTTTTTTTTTTTGAGACAGAGTTTTGCTCTTGTTGCCCAGGCTGCAGTGCAATGGCATGATCTTGGCTCACGGCAACCTCTGCCTCCTGGGTTCAAGCCATTCTCCTGCCTCAGCCTCCCAAGTAGCTGGGATTGGCTGGGTGCGGTGGCTCACGCCTGTAATCCCAGCACTTTGGGAGGCTGAGCCGGGTGGATCATGAGATCAGGAGATCGAGACCATCCTGGCCAACACGGTGAAACCTCGTCTCTACTAAAAATATAAAAAATTAGTCGGGCGTGGTGGTGGTCGCCTGTAGTACCAGCTACTCAGGAGGCTGAGGCAGGAGAATGGCGTGAACCCAGGAGGTGGAGCTTGCAGTGAGCCGAGATGGCGCCATTGCACTCCAGCCTGGGCAACAGAGCAAGACCCCGTCTCAAAAAAAAAAAAGAAAGAGAAAGAAACCAAATAGCTGCCTGTCCCCCCTCCCCTGCCCCACCAGCACACACAGCTAATTTTATATTTTTAGTAGAGATGGGGTTTCACCAGGTTGGCCAGGCTGATCTTGAACTCCTGACCTTAAGTGATCTGCCTGCCTCAGCCTCCCAAAGTGCCGAGATTACAGGTGTGAACCACCGCGCCCAGCCTAAAAAGGTATTTTAAATTGATACATAATATTTTACATATTTATGGGGTATGTGTGATCTTTTGTTTTAAGTGTAGTGTATGTAATGACCAGGTCAGGGTATTTGGGGTATCCATCACCTTGAGTATTTATCATTTCTATGTGTTGGGAACAATTTATGTCCTCTCTTCTAGCTACTTTGAAATATACAATACATTGTTATCTGTAGTCACTCTACTCTGCTGTGAACAACAGAAGTTATACCTTTTATCTAACAACTACATTTGTATCCCTTATGAAAGGGTGTTATATTGATTCAATACTATAATGTAGTTCCTGCCTTAAGGGCCTGTGGTGCAGATCAGGGCAGAGGCTCATGCAGGGCACAGAGCTCTGGCCCGGGCATACCAGGTGCGATCCATGAATGGGCGTCTTCCCAGTCAGCAGTTTCTGGAATCTGGGGCTTGAAGCCATGTGGCATGTTGTTCTCAATATATCCTGTAGGTGGTGCTAGATAACCAAAGTCAGGTGCAGCCCTGGGCACAGACAGCCCTGAGTTTCAGGCTCTGGGTGGGGACTGGTGAGGCTGGAGGGAGATGGCTGGAAAGTTCTGGCCCTGTGCGGAGCAGGCTCTTCCTCCACCCCAGGGAGAGGACGTGGCTGGTTCTACCAGCCTGTCTAGCCCGGAGATGGCTCTGGTGCAGGGAGAAAGCTCAGGAACAGAAGGCAGGGGCCCATTCTGCCTGGGCAAGCTGTGCGATTCTGGCCCCCTCCCTTTCTTGGCCTTAATCTCCCTGCCACGCAGTGGGGTCATGGGAGCCTGCTCAGCCTGGGCCCTGACAGTCAAGGCTCTGAGGGGGCCAGACAGCCTAGACCTGCCCTGCCCAAGAGGCAGCTGGGAGCCCTGGGACAGCCCTCTCCCTATCAGACTGTGCCACCTCCTCTGAGATCATGACATTCCCTTATTCCCTAGATGGGGAAACTGAGGCCCAAAAGGATTAAGTGACTTTCCAAAGGCTATACAACTGAGGGGTTGGAGCCAGGAGTGAAAGCTGGAACTCCTAGCTCCTTCTGCCATGTCCTTGGGTCAGAAGCAGGTGCAAGGCAGGGTGGGAGAGAATTCTCCCCTGAAGAAAATGAGCTGAGAGAAATTCCTTGTTAAGATGAGGGGGCAATCATACATGCCTAATTTATCTTCCTACTAAAACCATGAAAAATATATTTATTTATTTATTTATTTATCACCCAGGCTGGAGTGCAGTGGCGCGATCTCAGCTCACCACAACTTCCCGGGTTCCAGCGATTCTCCTGCCTCAGCCTCCCAAGTAGCTGAGATTATAGGTACCTGCCACCATGCCTGGCTAATTTTTGTATTTTCAGTAGAGATGAGGTTTCACAGTGTTGGCTAGGCTGGTCTCAAACTCCTGACCTCAAGTAATCCTCCTGCCTCAGCCTCCCAAAGTGCTGGGATTACAGGCATGAGCCACCATGCCCAGCCAAGATTTTTTTATTTTTTATTTATTTATTTTTTTGAGAGAGTCTCACTCTGTCACCCAGGCTGGAGTCCAGTGGCGAAATCTCGGCTTACTGCAACCTCTGCCTCCCGGGTTCAAGCAATTCTCCTGCCTCAGCCTCCCAAGTAGCTGAGATTACAGGTGCCTGCCACAACGCCTGGCTAATTTTTTAAATTTTATTTTATTTTTATTTTTAGTAGGGACAGGGTTTCACCACGTTGGCCAGGCTGATTTCAAATGCCTGACCTCAAGAGATCCGCCCGCCTTGGCCTCCCAAAGTGCGAGGATTACAGGCGTGAGCCACCGTGCCCAGCTGTGGCCACGATTTTTTAAAGCCAGGCTAAGTGTGGTAGCGCATGCCTGTAATCCCAGCACTTTGGAAGGCGGAGGTGGGAGGATCACTTGAGCCCAGGAATTTGAGACCAGCTTAAGCAACAAAGCAAGACCCTCTCTACAAACAAGCAAACAAAAACTAGCCAGGTGTGGTGGCACCCCTGTAGTCCTAGTTACTCTGGAGGATAAGGCAGGAGAATTGCCCAGGAAGTCGAGGCTGTGGTGAGCTGTCATCATGCCACTGCACTCCACCCTGGGTGACAGAGTGAGACCTTGTCTTAGAATAGGTAAATAAATAAATAAATAAAATGGGTAAAATATTTGAACAGCTTCTTCACAAAAGAAGATATATGAATAGCCAATAAACACATAAAAAGATGTTCAATGGCTGGGCGTGGTGGCTCATGCCTGTAATCCCAGCACTTTAGGAGCAGGCGAATCACCTAAGGTCAGGAGTTTGAGATCAGCCTGGCCAACATGGTGAAACCTCGTCTCTACTAAAAATACAAAAATTAGGCAGGTGTGGTGGTGCAAACCTGTAATCCAGCTACTCGGGGGCTGAGGCAGGAGAATCGCTTGAATCTGGGAGGTGAAAGTTGCAGTGAGCCGAGATCATGCCACTGCACTCCAGCCTGGGTGACAGAGTGAGACTCTCTCCAAAAAAAAAAAGAAAAAGATGTTCAACATTATTAGTCATAAGGGAAGTACACATTAAGACCACAATGAGGCCAGACATGGTGTCTCACACCTGTAATCCCAGCACTGTTGGGAGGCTGAGGTGAGCAGATTATTTGAGCCCAGGAGTTGGAGACCAGCCTGAGTAACACTGTAAAACCCTGTCTCAGGCCGGGTGCAGTGGCTCACGCCTGTAATCCCAGCACTTTGGGAGGCTGAGGCAGGCAGATCACAAGGTCAGGAGTTTGAGACCAGCCTGGCCAGCATGGTGAAACCCTGTCTCTACTAAAAATAAAAAAATTAGCCAGACATGGTGGCGCATGCCTGTAGTCCCAGCTACTTGGGAGGCTGAGGCAGGAGAATCACTTGAACCCGGGAGGCAGAGGTTGCAGTGAGCCGAGGTTGCGCCACTGCACTCCAGCCTGGGCGACAGAGCGAGACTCCATCTCAAACAAAAAACAAAAAACACAAAAACAAAAACAAAAAAAAACCCTGTCTCTACCAAAAATACAAAAATTAGCCAGGCCTGGAGGTGTGCACCTGCAGTCCCAGCTACTCCTGAGGCTGAGGGGGGAGGGTCACCTGAGCCTAGGGAGGTCAAGGCTGCAGTGAGCCATGATTGTGCCACTGCACTCCAGCCTGGGCAACAGAGTGAGACTCTGTCTCAAAAATAAAAAATAAATAAATAGGCCGGGCATGGTGCCTCACGCCTGTAAACCTAGCACTTTGGGAGGCTGTGGTGGGAGAATCACCTGAGGTCAGGAGTTCAAAACCAGCCTGGCCAACATGGTGAAACCCCATCTCTACTAAAAATACAAAAATTAGCCAGGCATCGTGGCTCATGCCTGTAGTCCCAGAGACTCAGTAAGCTATGGCAGGAGAACCACGTGAACCCAGGAGGCAGAGGTTGCAGTGAGTCTAGATCATATCGCTGCACTCCAGCCTGGGCAACAAAGTGAGACTTGGTCTCAAAAAAAATTAATTAATTAAAAATAAATAAATAAATAAATAAAACCATGACTAGGCCAGGCACGGTGGCTCACGCCTGTAATCCTAGCACTTTGGGAGGCTGAGGGGAGGCAGATCATTTGAGGTCAGGAGTTCGAGACCAGCCTGGCCAACGTGGTAAAACCCCGTGTCTACTAAAATCACAAAAAAAATGTAGCCAGGTGTGGCTCACGCGTATAATCCCAGCTACTTGGGAGGCTGAGGCAGGATAATTGCTTAAGCCCGGGAGCAGAAGTTGCAGTGAGCCCAGATCATGCCACTGCACTCCAGCCTGGGCGACAGAGCGAGACTCCATCTCAAACAAACAAACAAAAAACCCTGCACCAAGCCATTCATGAGGGATCAGCCCCCATGATCCAAACACTTCCCATTAGGCCTCACTTCCAACACTGGAGATTAAATTTTAACATGAGACTTGGAGGTGACAGATATCCAGACCATAAAAACCACTTTAGAGAACAATTTTGCAGTTTTGTTTGTTTGTTTGTTTCAGACAGGGTCTCACTCTGTTGCCCAGGCTGGAGTACAGTGGCACAATCATGGCTTACTGCAGCCTCAACCTCCTGGGCTCAAGTGATCCTCCCACCTCACCCTCCTGAGTAGCTGGGGCTATAGGCAGTACACCACCACGCCTGGCTAATTTTTGTATTTTTTGTTGCAGAGACAGAGTCTTGCCACATTGCCCAGGTTAACCTCAAACTCCTGGGCTCAAGAGATTCACCTGCCTCGGCCTCCCAAAGTCCTGAGATTACAGGTGTGAGCCACTTGCAGTTCTTAAAAAGGTAAAGCCGTGGCTGGGCGTGGTGGCTCACACCTGTAATCCCAGCACTTTGGGAGGCTGAGTTGGGCAGATCACCTGAGGTCAGGAGTTTGAGACCAACATGGTGAAACCCCATCTCTATTAAAAATACAAAAATTAGCCGGGCATGGTGGCTCAGGCCTGTAGTCCTAGCTACTTGGGCTTGGGAGGCTGAGGCGGGAGAATCGCTTGAACCTGGGAGGCTGAGGTTGCAGTGAAGTGAGATCACGCCACTGCACTCCAGCCTGGGTAACAGAGTGCGACTCGGTCTCAAAAAAAAAAAAAAAAAAAAGGGTAAACCCACAAATCCATTTTTAGGCATTCACCCAAAACGAAAGACAACATATGCCTATCGGAGGCCTCAATCAGTAACGTTCATGGCAGCTTTACTCATAGTAGGCATAAACAACCTCAAAGCCCAGCCACAGGTGAGTGGCTCCCTCCCACACCACACCCCAGTGTGGTGTGTCCCTCCCACAATGGGTGCCATAATAGAACACTACTCAGTAATAAAAAGGAGTAAGCTATGGATACACACAACTAATAGATGAATCTCGAAATAATGATGCTGAGGGAAAAGGAATCAAAGTACATACTGCATGATTCCATTTATGCAAAATTTCAGAAAATGCAAACTCATCTATACCAACAAGTAGATCAGCAGTTGCCGGATGAGGTCGGTGGTCAGGGAGGGTGGGAAGGAAAGGATTACCAAGGGGCACGAGGAATTAATGATGTTGTGGAGACGTTCACCATCTTCACAGTGGTGCTGGATTCCCAGGTGGTCACATATGTCAAAACTTAAACTGTATATTTTATTTATTTATTTATTTATTGAGACGGAGGCTGCTCTGTCACCCAGGCTGGAGTGATCTCGGCTCACTGCAACCTCCGCCTCCTCGGTTCAAGCAATTCTCCTGCCTCAGCTGGGATTACAGGCACGCACAACCACGCCCAGCTAATTTTTTTATTTTTATTTTTATTTTTGTATTTTTAGTAGAGACAGGGTTTCTAGTAGAGACGGGGTTTCACCATGTTGGCCAGACTGGTCTCGAATTCCTGACCTCAGGTGATCTGCCTGCCCTGGCCTCTCAAAGTGCTGAGATTACAGGTGTGAGTCACCACACCTGGCCCAAACTGCACCTTTTTTTTTTTTGAGACGGAGTCTTGCTCTGTCACCCAGGTTGGAGTACAGTGGTGCAGTCTTGGCTCACTGCAACCTCCGCCTCCCAGGTTCAAGTGATTCTCCTGCCTCAGCCTCCCGAGCAGCTGGGATTACAGGCCTGCGCCACCACGTCTGGGTAATTTTTGTATTTTTAGTAGAGACGAGGTTTCCCCACGTTGGCCAGGCTGGTCTCAAACTCTTGACCTCAGGTGACCCACCCGCCTCGGCCTCCCAAAGTGCTAGAATTACAGGCTTGAGCCACCATGCCCGGCCCAAACTGTACATTTTAAATATGTGCAGCTTATTGATCATATGTCAATAAAGCTGTAATAAAAAGGAATTATTAATTTCAGAAAAAAATAGAGTAAGAAAGGAAATACATGCAATGCTTAGTTATGAAAAATGGTTACATAAAAAACTTGGCCCGGCGAGGTGGCTCACGAATGTAATCCCGCACTCCAGCCTGGCAACAGAGCGAGACTCCGGCTCCGAAACAAACAAACAAACAAAAAAACTTATGTGAATACTGAAGAGTGATACCTCAATTTTAAAAATCACTCTTCTTCATAAGGCTGGGCATGGTGTCTCATGCCTGTAATCCTAGCACTTCAGGAAGCTGAGGCCGGAGGTTTGCTTGAGCCCAGGAGTCTGATATCAGCCTGGACAACATGGTGAGACCCTGACTTCACAAATATATATATATATATATATATTTTAGGTTCTCCTGCCTCAGCCTCCCGAGTAGCTGGGATTACAGGCATGTGCCACCATGCCTGGCTAATTTTTGTATTTTTAGTAGAGACGGAGTTTCTCCATGTTGATCAGGCTGGTCTCAAACTCCTGACCTCAGGTGATCCGCCCGCCTTGGCCTGCCAAAGTGCCGGGATTACAAGCGTGAGCCACCACGCCTGGCCCAAAAATATATTTTTTAAAAAATTAGCTGGGCACAGGGGCACGAGCCTGTAGTCCCAGCTACTCAGGTGGCTGAGGCAGGACGATTGCTTGAGCCTGGAAGGTTGAGGCTGCAGTAAGCTGTCATCGCATCACTGCATTCCAGTCTGGGAAACAGAGCAAGACTTTGTCTCAAAAAGGAGAATAAAAGGGACTGGGTGCGGTGGCTCACATCTGTAATCCCAGCACTTTGGGAGGCCGAGGCGGGCAGATCACAAGTTCAGGAGTTCGAGACCAGCCTGGCCAAAATTGTGAAACTCCGTGTCTACTAAAAATACAAAAATTAGCTGGGTGCAGTGGTGCGCACCTTTAGTCCCAGCTACTCGGGAGGCTGAGGCAGGAGAATCGCTTGAACCTGGGAGGCAGAGGTTGCAGTGAGCTGAGATAGCACCACTGCACTCCAGCCTGGGTGACAGAGCGAGGCTCCATCTAAAAAAAGAAAAAAGGAGAAGAAAAAACAAATAAAATACATACGTAGAGAAATGGACAAATCTGAGATGTGACTAGTGATTTAACTCTAAAAGGCCACATGACTTCCACAGTGGACGACTCCTCTTTCGTCGTACTGGGTGGTTGGTAGATAGCGGAGGGTAGACAGGCGACAGGGCTAAAACAAATCTGCCCAAAGATAGCAGCATGTGCTTATTATTTAGAAATATAAAATGTGTAAGTGCTGGAAAGAAACTGCTCACAGAGCCAAAAGTGGTTGCTTCTAGGGAGGCGGCGTGGGGAGATTGGGGAGGCAGACAGGAAACCACTGCATGTTATCTGCCTTTAGGGTAAGTTTATTTTGCTTTCCCTGCACGTATGCTATTTCACCAATTCTTTTTTTTTTTTTTTTTTTTTTGAGACAGAGTCTCACTGTTGCCCAGGCTGGAGTGCAGTGGCGCGATCTCGGCTCACTGCAAGCTCCGTCTCCCAGGTTCACGCCATTCTCCTGCCTCAGCCTCCTGAGTAGCTGGGACTACAGGTGCCCGCCACCACGCCTGGCTAATTTTTTTGTATTTTTAGTAGAGACGGGGTTTCACCGTGTTAGCCAGGACGGTTTCGATCTCCTGACCTCGTGATCCGCCCGCCTTGGCCTCCCAAAGTGCTGGGATTACAGGCGTGAGCCACCGTGCCCGGCCAAACTACAAAACACCAATTCTAAGATGCCAAAGTATTCACATTTTAACATCTTTCTTTCTTTACTTATTTATTTATTTATTTATTTTTGAGATGGAGTCTCCCTCTGTTGCCCAGGCTGGAGTGCAACGTCTGCCTCCTGGGTTCAGGCGATTCTCCTGCCTCAGCTTCCCGAGTAGCTGGGATTACAGGTGCCTGCCACCATGCCCAGTTAAGTTTTGTATTTTTAGTAGAGACACGGTTTCGCCATGTTGGTCAGGCTGTTCTCAAACCCCTGACCTCAGGTGATCCACCCGCGTTAGCCTCCCAAAGTGCTGGGATCACAGGAGTGAGTCACCATGCCTGGCCCATTTTAACATCTTTAAAATCAAGATAAATCTTTCTATAATCAGTGGTGCACCTGACCACTATAATTGGCAGTGTTTTCTCTGGACAGCACATGAATCATGGTGCATCTTACTATTGGTGATGCCTCAGATTCACTGATGTATGGTATTATTTTGATAAAGTGGAAATTATTTTAAAGAAAAAAATGAGCTAATTGCAACAGCTGCTATGTATTGAGCTCCTACTGTAAGTGTTCTAAGCACTGTAAATGTTCCCATTTAGTATTCTATTATTTATTTGTTGACTTAATTTTTAAAAAATTTTTGCCGAGCTGAGGTCTTGCTATGTTGCCCTAGCTGGTCTTGAACTCCTGGCCTCAAGTGATCCACCCACCTCGGCCTCCTAAAGTTCTGGGATTGCAGATGTGAGCCACCATGCCTGGCCTTCATTTAGTATTCTGAATAACCTTGGATTGTTATTCAAAAGTTTGAGATGAGGAAATGGCTCAGAGATGTTGAGTAACTTCCTTTAAGCCACCCAGCGAGTAAGTGATAGACGATAGTCCAAAACAAGGGGCTGCCTGCCTCCTGAGTGCACAGCTCGGCTTCTGTTTTGACTAGTTTGAAAGAACTCCATGTACTCCCCTCAGTTCTAAACACCCAGAGAGAAATGGGTGTTTGCTCACAACCACAGAGACACTAAGGCTGAGTTAGGCCGAGACATGGGCCTTTAACACCCAATCCAGTGTCCTTTTCTTGAACCTGGGCTCTCCCTTTCTTCCTGTCATCCTGACACTCAGGACATTCCTGAGAGCTGTATTGTAGCTCCTAAATGCAAGTGACACTTACAGGGCCCAGGTCGAGCCCTGGGAGGAGGGAAGGGCAGGGTGGCCCTTGCCTGTCCTGCTCATGTGAACCTGGTAGGTACTCGGCAAACCCGTGTCATGTGAACACAGCTGTGTCTGGGTCAGCATCTGGGCCAGGCTGGCCTCAGGCTGGAGCAACCTCAGAAGCCTCCACAGGAAAAGCCTGGGGCCACCACAGTGGAGGGATATTGTGTGGGAGGCCAGGGCCTTTCCAGAAGCTGTACTGCCATAGCAACCTGCCTCCTCTTGATGGTGTGTTTGCTTGGTAGGGCTGGGCTCGGGCAGAGGACCGCGGATGGATGTGGCAGCAGGGACGGGGGTAAAGCTGGCCAGGCCGCTCCACAGGCTTTGCCTCTTTTGGCAAATAATTGCCCCTGCCTCCAACACTTGTTGGAGTGCTCAGTACCTTGTCACTATTTATTGAGCACTGTTCCACCAGGCCTAACAACCCGTGCTATTCAGAAGCCCAGAGAGGTCAAGCCACGAATCTGCAGTCACACAGCCAGGAGCCTGTTGACTCCAAAGCCTGGGTGCCAACCTCTTACCGACACTACCTGTCCCATGATGCTCACATGTGTCCCATGGTACCTGTCAATGTGAGGCACCAGCCCCTTAAAGGGGAACCCACATCCTGTTTCTGGTTCTGCCTCAAAGATATGAATTTGCGATAATGAGGCATCGCAAGTTAATCTCTCATGCGAGGCCGTGCCTCCTCTTTCCTTCCTCTCTCGTCTGCCCCAGACACAGGGGCCACAGCAGCTCCTGCCTGCACATGGCTACGGTGCTCAGCATGCATGGTGCCTGCGGTGTTCCACACCTAGTGTCTCCGAGCCTCAGTTTCTTCTGCTATCAAATGGGAGGAAGAGGCCCGGCACGGTAGCTCATGCCTGTAATCCCAGCACTTTGGGAGGCTGGGGAGGGAGGATTGCTTGAGCCAAGAAGTTCGAGACCAGCCTGGGCAACATGGCGAGACCCCCGTCTCTACAAAGCATACAAAAATTAGCTGGGTGTGTAGCCTGCAGTCCCAGCTACTTGGGAGGCTGAGGTGGGAGGATTGCTTGAGCCCTGGAGGTCGAGGCTGCAGTGAGCTGTGATCATGCCACCGCACTCCAGCTTGGGTGACAGAGTGAAACACTATCTTAACAACAACAACAACAACAACAAACAAATGGGAGGAAGAGTAAGGCTGTGGCTTCTGTGGGGACTGGCAAGCTGATGTGTGCTCTGTGCCTGGCCCAGTGCCTGGTGAGAACCTAGGAGAAGGCTCTGGAGGTCGGGGACTTGGCTGTGATTCCTGGTTCTGTCACTGATCAGCTGTGCAGCCTGAGACAAGTCTCTGCCCCTCTCTGAACCTCAGTTTCCTCCTCTGTGTGATGGGGTGGTGGCCCTGCCCCACCTTTCATTTACCGAAGAAGGTCCAGGTGTGAGGCTAGCATTACTACGGTTCATCTCCACTTCTCAGCTTCCTTGACCCTCTCCTCCCACTGAAAAAGCCTATCTAGACCAAGACGGCTCTGTTCCCGAGGGCACTATGAATCCTTGAAGGGCCCAGCAATCACGGAATCCAACCCCTTCCTCTGCCAAATGCACATTTGAATCTGTTTCACCAGAGTGGTGTGATGAGAATTCCATGAGCTGATGCTTGTAAACTGCCATAGGGAACACCCCCTCCCACCTTTCACAGGTGAGCAAAGGGAAGCCAGCAAGGATGTTCCCTGCAGCTGGGTTTAGAATGGAAAGGTGCGGGCGTGGTGGCGTGCACCTGTGGTCCTCGCTACTTGGGAGGCTGAGGCGGGAGGATCACTTGAGCCCAGGAATTTGAGACTGCAGGAAGCTATAATCACACCACTACAACAGAGGGAGACCCTGTTTCTAGGAAAGAAAAACAGCCTGTGCAAGGTGGCTCACACCTGTAATCCTGGCACTTTGGGAGGTAGGGTGGGAGGATTGCTTGAGCCCATGAGTTTGAGACCAGCCTGGGTAACATAGAGAGACCCCATCTCTATGAAAAAAAAATAAAAAAAAAAAAACTTTATTTAAAAAAAAAAAAAAAAAGCCCCGCTGATCCTGGACTTCTGGGATTCAAGGGCTCAGGAAGCCCCTCCCTCATTGGGCCAGAGCTGGTCTGAGTGACCAACGGCAGGATGCTCTGCTGCTGTGCTTTCACTTCTAAGATGCGCTTATAAAAGACTGCACTTTCTCTTTTTTTTGAGACAGATTCTTACTCTGTTGCCCAGTCTGGAGTGCAGTGGTGCGATCTTGGCTCACTGCAGCCTTCACTTCCTGGGCTCAAGCGATTCTCCTGCTTCAGCCTCCTGAGTGGCTGGGATTGCAGGCTCCTGCCACCACCCTCAGCTCATTTTTTAATTTTTAGCAGAGACCACCATGTTGGCCAGGCTGGTCTCGAACTCCTAACCTCAGGTGATCTACCCGCCTTGGCCTCCCAAAGTGCTGGGATTACAGGCGTGAGCCACCACACCAGGCCATAAAGACTGCACTTTTATCTGGGGCTCTCTCAGTGCTCACTCTGTGCGAAGCCACTGTCACATCACGGGGACATCAGATAGCAAGGAACTGAGGCCTGTAACAATCACGGGTGAGCCTGGAAGCAGATCCCAGTCCCTTCAGGAGACTGCGGCCACAGCCCACAGCCAGGGAGAGACCCTGAGCCAGACCGCCCGTCTAGGGTCGTTCCTAAATTCCTGACTCCTGGAATCTTTAAGAGAATAAATATTTGCCGTCCTAAGCTGTTAGGTTTTGAGGTAATTTGTTATGCAGCAGAAGATAAATAATCGAGGGCTCCATTAAATACATTTTAGTGGCTGGGTGTGGTGGCTCACGGCTATAATCCCAGCACTTTGGGAGGCTGAGGTGGGTGGATCACGAGGTCAAGAGATGGAGACCATCCTGGCCAACATGGTGAAACCTCATCTCTACTAAAAATACAAAAATTAGCTGGGCGTAGTGGCGTGTGCCTGTAGTCCCAGCTACTCAGGAGGCTGAGGCAGGAGAATCACTTGAACCCAGGAGGCAGTGGTTGCAGTGAGCTGAGATCGCGCCACTGCATTCCAGCCTGGGTGACAGAGCGAGATTCCATCTCAAAAAAAAAAAAAAGTACATTTTAGTTTACACGTGCTACGGAATGCCAGACTAAAGTTAAAAAGAATGAGGTAGATTCAGGCTTTCAAACGTGGGGATTTCCAAGGTATGCTGCTGAAGGAAAGGACATCTTGCAGAACAATATATATGGTGTGATGCTTTTGTATAAAAACATGATGTGCCAGGCGCGATGGCTCACGCCTGTAATCCCAGCACTTTGGGAGGTCTAGGTGGGTGGATCACCTGAGGTCAGGAGTTCAAGACCAGCCTGGCCAACATAGTGAAACCCTGTCTCTACTAAAAATACAAAAATCAGCCGGGTGTGGTGGCGCCCGCCTGTAATCCCAGCTACTCAGGAAGCTGAGACAGGAAAATCACTTGACCTGGGAGGTGGAGGTTGCAGTGAGCTAAGATCGTGCCACTGTACTCCAGCCTGGGTGACAGAGTGAGACTCTGTCTCAAAGACAAACAAACAAACAAAAACCAAAACACGATGTGCATACGTAGGAAAAAACCCTGGAAGACTATACCCAAACTATTAGTAGTGGTTATCACTCGTTGCAGAGCAAGCAGGGATGACAGGGACTTTCATTCATTCTGTGAGGTTTGCATGTTTTAGATGTCTTCATTTGGTAAATTAATGGAAAAACATAACTTTTAAAAGACTTGCCCAAGGCGATTCTGATAGAAAAATATAATAAATTGGCTTCATTCACCAATAACCTTTGAAATCTCAGTACTTAACAGATTAGAAGTTTATTTCTTGCTCTTGTAAAGTCCAGTCAGCAGCAGGAAGGGGTAGGTGAGAAGGGGCTTTGGGCCATGGAGCCGTGCAGTGATCCTGGCTGATGGAGCCTCTGCTATCTTCACATGTGGCCTCCTGGGCAGCCCTGGGCACAGACATCCAGCTGGCAGATGGGGCAGGCCAGAGGGTAGAGGAGGAAGTGGGAGTTCTTTATGAGTCAAGTCTGGAAATGGTGCCCAGTTTTTTCACATTCCATTGGCCAGACCTGCTCCCCTCTGGACATGGCTCCTACTTTCTGGCTGCAGGACCACCTACCCCTTGGCCCCTAGGTTGATTTTATGCCCACTTTCTTTTTTTTCTTTTTGAAACGGAGTTTTGCTCTTGTTGCCCAGGCTGGAGTGCAATGGTGCAATCTTGTCTCACTGCAACCTCCGCCTCCTGGGTTGAAGCGATTCTCTTGCCTCAGCCTCCGGAGTAGCTGGGATTACAGTCATGCACCACCATGCTCGGCTAATGTCGTATTTTTAGTAGAGATGGGGGTTTCACCATGTTGGCCAGGCTGGTCTCGAACTCCTGACCTCAGGTGATCCACCCTCTTAGTCCTCCCAAAGTGCTGGGATTACTTGAGCCACCGCTCCCAGCTTATGCCAGCTTTCACTGCCGCTCTCCTGTCACAGAAGCTGCCCCCAGAAGCTGCCAGCCACCCAGGAAGGAAGTGCTAATGCGGCACATTCTAGAAGTTAAAGCTCCCCGCATGGCGGCCCAGCCTGCCCAGGGCAGTTGGCCAGTCAGGAACACAGCCTTCTGACCCAGTGTCCCTCTTGCCTCTTTCTGTCCTGGGTAGGGCCTGTCATCTGGGGTGGGGCTGTTTGAGGATGGACATCTCCAGGTCACAGAGCCCCAGGAATTGTTTGCAGACTGTCATGTGTATCCGCATGAGTCTGCAAACCGGCAGCACTGGACTCACCAAGGTCGAGAAGCGTGATCGCTGCTGTTCCCTGCGTGCACACTGAGTGGTGTGCTGAGGACCTGCCCTGCAGGAGCATGTAGGACCCTCCCAGCAACTCTCTGAGGAGGCTCCAGATGGAGAACCTGGAAGTCAGAGAGGCGACGTCACTCACCCAAGGTCTCCCAGCTCCTAGCTGGTAAGGGTGTGAAGAGTATGCAAGCACATCTGCCTGACTTCAAACCCAGTGGTTTTGTTTTTGTTTTTGTTTTGTTTTGTTTTTACATAGAGACAGAGACTAAGCACGGTGGTTCATACCTCCCAACACTTGGGAGGCCAACACTTTGGGAGGCCAAGGAGGACAGATCGCTTGAGCCCAGGAGTTCAAGATCAGCCTGGGCAACATAGTGAGACCCCATCTCTACAAAAAATTAGCCGGGCATGGTGGTGTGTGCCTGTAGGCCCAGCTACTCGGGAGGCTGAGGTGGGAGAATCACCTGAGCTCAGGAGGTTGAGGCTGCAGTGAGCAGTGATTGTGCCACTGCACTGCAGCCTGGGAGACAGAGTGAGACCCTGCCTTAAACAACAACAACAACAAAAACAAAACAATACATAAATCAATAGAGACAGAATGTTGCTATGTTGCCCAGGCTAGTCTTGAACTCCTGCCCTCAAGAGATCCTCCTACCTTAGCCTCCCAAGATGTTGGAATTAGAGGCATGAGCCACAACATCTGGCCAAAGCCAGTGTTCTTAGTTTTTACTTCAAGTTATTCATTCATTCATTCTTTCTTTCTTCTTTCTTTCTTTCTTTCTTTCTTTCTTTCTTTCTTTCTTTCTTTCAGGAAGTATTTATTGACACCCCCACCTGCACCCTGTACCGTACTGCACTATATGCCAGGCTCTGAGCTGGCAATAGAGCAATGAGCAGAACCCCACACTGAGGTTATGTCCAGGGGCAGTGGGAGACAGAGAATAACAACAACAACAACAAACATATATGCAGATCACTTAACAACATTCCAGGCATAGGCCAGGCCCTTTATATATTCTCTAAATCCTCCCAACAGTCTTATGATGCAGTGACTTCTTATTGTGCCTCACAGATGGAGAAGCTGAGACTCAGAGAAGCTAGAAAACTTGCACAAGGGCAGAGCTCATGTGCAGTGGAGGCAGGATTTGAACCAAAGTCCAGGGCTCTTCACCATCACACTCAACTGCCTGTCTAACAACAAGAACAAAAAATGACATGAGTGGACAAGATAATTTCAGATAGTGACCCATGCATGCTTTGAAAAAAATAAAGTAGGGAGATGTGACTGAGTGTGCCAGGGGTCCGGGGACAGGGAGTGGGTGGTCAGGGCCAGGCTCCCCCTGTTGGTGACATTTGAACTGAGGCCTGAATAGCAGGGAGCCAGCAACCATGGGAAGAGGTGGAGAAAGACATCCCAGGCAGAGAGCATGGCGTGTGCAAATGCCCTGAGGCAGGCACAGGCAGGTGAGAACAGGCTTCTAGAAACCAGGGGGAAGGAGAAACAGAAAGGGAGGTGGGATAGTGGGTGGGGGACACCCTGGGGGCGGTGCCAGCCACCGGAAGGGTTTTGGATTTTACTTGAACAGTTCAAAGCTACTGGAGGATTTAAGCAGGGAAGTAGGGATCTTGAAAATTGTGGCTTTTGAGTTCTTTTCTGAGAATTTTCAAGGCTTGAATTTTTATTTTAATAATCTCATAAAATTACCAGCCTTCATACTGCACCTTGTGGAGGCCAACAACCCGGAGCCCGGCCTGTGTTAGTATTTCTGCTTCTATCCGAGCCAAACAGGGGTATGTCAAGGGCCCCAGGCCAAAGAGAAAATAACTGAAAAGACAGGGAAACTATTAGTTAGCTATGGCTGCCTGCATATCATCCACCCACCCACCCCCAACTTAGCAGCTTAAAACAACAAACTTTTGGCCGGGCATGGTGGCTCATGCCTGTAATCCTAGCACTTTGTGAGGCTGAGGCAGGTGGATCACCTGAGGCCAGGAGTTCGAGACCAGCCTGGCCAACATTGTGAAACCCCATCTCTACTAAAAATACAAAAACTATCCAGGTGTGGTGGCAGTGGTACTTGTGAGGCTGAGGGAATGTGATGAAACCCCATCTCTACTGAAAATACAAAAATTAGCCGGGTGTGGTGGCGGGTGCCTGTAATCCCAACTACTTGGGAGGCTGAGGCAGAAGAATTGCTTGAACCTGGGAGGCAGAGATTGCAGTGAGCCGAGATTGCGCCATTGCACTCCAGCCTGGGCAACAGGAGTGAAACTCTGTCTCAACAACAGCAACAACAACAGCAACAACAACAAACTTTTGTCTCCCAGTTTCTGTGGGTCAGGAATCCAGGTGCACCTTAGCTGGGTCCTTTGGCTCAAGGTCTTGCACAAAATCTCCATCAAGGTATCAGCAGAGGCTGGGGCCCATCTCAAGGCTCAGATGGGGGAGGATTTGCTTCCAAGCTCACTCACCTGAATGCTGGCAGGATTCTGTTCCTCATGGCCTGTTGGGCTGAGGGGCTTAGCTCCTCGACAGCTGTTGGCCAAGGCATCTCTCATGTTCCTGGCCATGTGGGTGTCTTCATAGGGCAGCTCATACAGTGGTGGGAGGCTTCGTCAGAGCCAGCAAGCCAGAGGAGGCAAGCAGGAGGGAAGCCAGGGTCCTTTCGTAACCTACTCTCAGAAGTGACATCCCGGCTGAGTCTGGTGGCTCATGCCTGTAATCTCAGCACTTTGGGAGACCAAGGCAGATGGATCACCTGAGGTCAGGAGTTCGAGACCAGCCTGGCCAATATATAGTGAAACCCCATCTCTACTAAAAATACAAAAATTAGCTGGGTGTGGCAGTGCATGCCTGTAATCCCAGCTACTTGGGAGGCTGAGGCAGGAGAATTGCTTGAACCTGGAAGGCAGAGGTTGCAGTGAGCTGAGATCGCACCATTGAACTCCAGCCTGGCGACAGAGCTAGACTCTGTCTCAAAAAAAAAAAAAAAAAAAAAATCAGCCGGGCATGGTGGCTCACACCTGTGATCCCAGCACTTCAGGAGGCCAAGGTGGGTGGATTGCTTGAGGTCAGGAGTTCGAGATCAGCCTGGCCAATATGGTGAAACCCCGTCTCTACTAAAAATACAAAAATTAGCCAGGTGTGGTGGCGGGTGCCTGTAATCCCAGCTACTTGGAAGGCTGAGGCAGAATCACTTGAACCCGGGAGGTAGAGGTTGCAGTGAGCCAAGATCGCACCACTGCACTCCAGTCTGGGCAACAGAGCGAGACTCCTCTCAAAATAAATAAATAAATAAATAAATAAATAAATAAAATACAAAAATTAGCCAGGCATGGTGGTGGGTGCCTGTAGTCCCAGCTACTTGGGAGGGTGAGACAGGAGAATCACTTGAACCTGGGAGGTGGAGGTTTCAGTGAGCCAAGATCGTGCCGCTGCACTCCAGACTGGGTGACAGAGCAAGACTCTGTCTCAAAAAAAAAAAAAAAAGTGATGTCCTGTCGCTTTTTTTCCTGAATTACCCTTTTTCTAAAAAAAAAAATTGAGCTGGGTGCGGTGGCTCACACCTATAGTCCCAGCACTTTGGGAGGTCAAGGCAAGTGGATCACCTGAGGTCAGGAGTTTGAGACCAGCCTGGCCAACATTGTGACACCGTCTCTACTAAAAATACAAAAAATTAGCCAGGCATGGCTGACGTGCCTGTATTCCCAGCTACTCAGGAGGCTGAGGCAGGAGAATCGCTTGAACCTGGAAGGCAGAGGTTGCAGTGAGCCAAGATCATGCCATTGCACTCCAGCCTGGGCAACAAGAGTGAAACTTCATCTCAAAAAAAAAAAAAAAAAAAAAAATTGAGACAGGATCTTATTCTGTTGCCCAGGCTGGAATGCAGCTGTGCTATCAAGGCTCACAGTAACTCAAACTCCTGGGCACAAGGGATCCTCCTGTCTCAGCCTCCTGAATAGCTGGGACTACAGGGATGTGCCACCATGCCCGGATGAGTTTTTTTTATTTTTTTGAGACAGAGTCTCGCTCTGTTGCCCAGGCTTTAGTGCAGTGGTGTGATCATGGCTCACTGCAGCCTGGGCTCAGCTGATTCTCCCACCTCAGCCTCCCAAGTAGCTGAGACTACAGGCCTGGAGCACCACGCTTGACTAATTTTTTTGTATTTTTTGTAGAGATGAGGTCTTGCTATGTTGCCCAGGCCAGTCTGAAACTCCTGGCCTCAAGGTTCTGGGATTACAAGCATAAGCCACTGCATCTGGCCTCCTTTTTATCTTGGAATAATGATAGATTTACAGGAAAATTGCAAAGATAATGTACAATAGCTGGGTGTGGTAGCACACACCTATAGTTCTAGCTACTTGGGAGATTAAGGTGGGAAGATTGCTTGAACTGGAGAGGTCAAGCCTGCAGTGAGTTGCGATCGTGCCACTGCACTTCAGCCTGGGCGACGGGGCAAGACCCTGTCTCAAAAAACAAAACAAAACAAAATCCCATAACCACAGTTCCTGAATACCTTCACCCAGTTTCCCTAATGTTATCATCTTAATTTACCATGAAACATTTGTCAAAGAAACCAACTTTGACACATTATTATTAAATAAACTCCAGCCTTTATTCAGATTTCATTCATTTTTACACTAAGGTCCTTTTTCTGTTCCAGGTTCCAACCCAGGATATCACATTGCATTTTGTCATCTCGCCTTGATTTCTTCTGGTCTATGACAGTTTCTGTCTTTCCCCAGATTTTCTGTCTTTCCCCAGATATTCTGTCTTTCTCAAGCCATGACCTTGAGTTTTGAGGAGTACTAGTGAAGTATTTTGTGAATGTCCCTCAATTTGTGTTTGTCTGTATTTTTTTCATGATTAGCTCAGGTATGAGCTTGGGAAGAGATGCCCAGAGGTGTGTGGAGCCCTCCGTAGTCCATTAAATCAGGAGGTACATGAGATTCCCATGATTAAAGTATTAACCTTAATATATTGACCTTCGTCACTTGACACTTGACCTGGTGTCTGCCAGGTTTCTCCACCATGAAGTTACTATTTTTCCCTTTACTATACTCTGTTCTTTGGAAGCAAATCACTAAGTCCAGCCCACACTCAAGGGGTGAGAAATTAAATCTACCTCCTGGGGTAGTATCATAAATTAATTGCAATTCTTCTGTAGGGACGATTTGTCCCTTTTTTCCCATTTATTTATTTACTCAGTCATTTACTTATATCAGCATGAACCTGTGTATGTTTATTTTGTACTTTGAGCTGTAATCTAACACTATATTATTCATTTCATTGCCAAATTGTTACCATTTTGGCCATTGGAGCTCTTTCAGATTGACTCCTGGTCCCTTTGACAAGCTCTTGTCCTTTAGGTTTTTTGTTTGTTTGTTTTTTGAGACAGAGTCTCACTCTGTCACTCAGGCTGGAGTGCAGTGGCACAATCTCAGCTCGCTGCAACCTCCGCCTCCCAGGTTCAAGCGATTCTCATGCCTCAGCCTCCCTAGTCTGGGATTACAGGCATGCACCACCATGCCCGGCTAATTTTTTGAAATTTTAGTAGAGATGCGGTTTTTGCCATGTTGGCCAGGCTGTCTTGAACTCCTCAGCTCAAGTGATCCACCCTCCTTGGCCTCCCAAAGTTCTGGGATTACAGGCGTGAGGCACCGAGCTCAGCCAGGTTTGTTTTTGTTTTTGAGACAGGGTCTCACTCAGTTGCCCAGGCTAGAGTGCTGTGGTGTGATCTCAGCTCAATGCAGCCTCAACCTCCTGGGTTCAAGCCAACCTCCCACCTCAGCCTCCCGAGTATCTGGGACTGCAGATGTGCACTACCACACCTGGCTAATTTTTAAGTTTTTTGTAGAGAAGGTGTTTTGCCATGTTGCCCAGGCTAGTCTCAAACTCCTGGGCTCAAGCGATCTGCCTGCCTCGGCCTCCTAAAGCGCTGGGATTACAGGTGTGAGCCCCCGTACCCAGCCGTCCTTTCGTTTCTGAGCAGGTACTTGCTTTCCGGCACTCTACAATGCTCCAAGCTCATCTTATATTTTCCCTGACTTAGCTATAGAATCAGCCATTTCTCGAAAGAGCCCTGATTGTTTTTGTTGGCGAGTGGCATTTAGAAACTAAAATCTGGGCCCTGGGCCTATTTATTGCACCCAGGGTGTCACTGCTTCTAGGCCCTCTCAGCCATCCCTGACATTTGCTGTCCTCTATGCATTAGAATCTGGTCACTAGGCCCTGCTCTCACCAGGAGTGGACCACTTGAAGGCATGAATACCCGGAGGTGGGAATCCTTGGAGGCCATCCTGAAGGCTGACTGCCTCAGTGACTTAAACTTAATTGGTGCAATTGCAAAGGTCAGAAGCAACCCACACGTGCATTGGCAGGCGGTGGGCAGGAGCATGGGACAACTGTGAATGGGAATGAGGAAGCGCTTTCCCCACTGATGATCTCCCAGATCCTCTGTTAAGTAAAAAGAGACTGAGGCAGAGCCACAGATGTGGCATAAGAATGTTTTGTAATGAGAGGAAAACACAGAACATAAGTTTGTATTTGCAGCTGGGTGTGGTGGCTCACGCCTGTAATGCCAACACTTTGAGAGGCCGAGGCTGGTGGATCACCTGAGATTGGGAGTTCAAGACCAGCTTGACCAACATGGAGAAACCCCGTCTCTACTAAAAATACAAAATTAGCTGGGTGTGGTGGTGCATGCCTGTAATCCCAGCTACTCAGGAGGTTAAGGCAGGAGAATTGCTTGCTTGAACCAGGGAGGCAGAGGTTGCAGTGAGCCGAGATTGCGCCATTGCACTCCAGCCTGGGCAACAAGGGCAAAACTCCATCTCAAAATAAATAATTAAAAAGTTGCCAGACATGGTGGTGCACACCTGTAGTCCCAGCTCCTCTGGAGGCTGAAGTGGGAGGATGGCTTGAGTCCAGGAGGTCAAGGCTGCAGTGAGCTAGGATTATGCCACAGCACTCCAGCCTGGGCGACATAGCAGGACCCTGTCTCAAAAAAAAAAAATGTATTTGCAAAGATGATCCCTGGAAAGACATACAAGGAACTCATAACACCGATTTCTTGGAGAGAGAGGTAGAATCTGTATATAGAAAAAAACACTGTTGTAAGAAGTGAAGGACAGGCTGGGTGCGGTGGCTCATGCTTGTAATCCCAGCACTTTGGGAGGCCAAGGTGGGTGGATCACAAGGTCAGGAGTTCGAGACCAGCCTGGCCAATATCGTGAAACCCCATCTCTACTAAAAATACAAAAATTAGCCAGGTGTAGTGGCGTACATTTGTAATCCCAGCTACTCGGGAGGCTGAGGCAGGAGAATTGCTTGAACCTGGGAGGTGGAGGTTGCAGTGAGCAGAGATTGCGCCACTGCCCTCCAGCCTGGCCGACAGAGCGAGACTCCATGTTAAAAAAAAAAAAAAAAAAAAAGAAGTGAAGGACAATAGCTGACAATTTCCCTGTGGTTTGGGAAGAGAAAAGCAGTCGGCAGGCCAAAGCCCCTGGGGAGCCTGTGGGCTGGACTCAACATGGTGGGGCGCAACCTCATTTCTGCAAAACATCATCGTCTGTCACACGCGGTTTGTGTGGTGGTCTGAACACTTGCTCTTGTTGTTCTGTTTGTGTTTAATTTGTGGCTGCGTGGTGGAGTGGTCAAGAACATAGAACCAGCCGGGTGCGGTGGCTCACGCCTGTAATCCCAGCACTTTGGGAGGCCAAGGCAGGCAGACCTCCTGAGGTCGGGAGTTTGAAACCAGGCTGACCAACATGGAGAAACCCTGTCTCTACTAAAAATACAAAATTAGCGTGGCGTGGTGGTGCATGCCTGTAATCCCAGCTACTTGGGAGGCTGAGGCAGGCGAATCGCTTGAACCTGGGAGGCGGAGGTTGCAGTGAGCCAAGATTGCACCATTGCACTCCAGTCTGGGCAACAAGAGAGAAACTCCCTCTCAAAAAAAAAAAAAAAAAAAAAGAAGACATAGGACCCAGGAGACCGACTGTGCGTGTCCAAATCCCAGCTCTGACACTTCCCAGCTGAGTGACTACGGGCAAACAACTCACTTCTCCGAGGCTTAGTCTCCTCTTTTGTAAAATGGGAACAAACATAGTCCCTACCTGACAGGTGATTACGAGGATCTGGTGAGTTTATACGTGTCAGGTGCCCAGAGCAAGGGCTCAATAAACATAAGCTAGTGTGATTATTAAGTGCATGCATATGTAGAGAACAGAAAAATTGCAATAGTCAATGGTATCCTTGGGACTCTGAGAGTTCTCCCACCGCCACTTTATATTCTTTGAGACAGCGTTTCCCTCTGTAGCCCAGGTTGGAGTACAGTGGTGCAATCTCACTGCAGCCTCTACCTCTGCATCCCCGGTTCAAGTGATTCTCCTGCTTCAGCCTCCCAAGTAGCTGGGATTACAGGCACGTGCCACCACGCATGGCTATTTTGTATTTTTATTTATTTATTTAGAGATAGAGTCTCCCTCTGTCGCCCAGGCTGGAGTACAGTGGCATGATCTTGGCTCACTGCAATCTCTGCCTCCTGAGTTCAGGCGATTCTCCTGTCTCAGCCTCTCGAGTGGCTGGGATTACAGGCGCATGCCACCATGCACAGCTAATTTTGTAATTTTAGTAGAGACAAGGTTTCACCATGTTGGCCAGGCTGGTCTTGAACTCCTGACCTCAGGTGATCTGCCTGCCTCAGCCTCCCAAGGTGCTGGGATTACAGGCGTGAGCCACCACGCCCGGCTCTAGTTTTTGTATTTTTAGTAGAGACAGGGTTTCACCATGTTTGCCAGGCTGGTCTTGAACCCCTGGCCACAAATGATCCACCTGCCTTGGCCTCCCAAAGTGCTGGAATTACAGGCATGAACCACCGTGCCCGGCCAAGATCTCCCCTTTTTAACTAGGTCTCTACCTTCTTCAATCTGGAGGAATGGGGGGACTCCCACGGTGCCCATGCTCATGCCCAGTCCCATACTGTTCCCTCGTGGACTGGCATTGTTTGTCCCCTCCCTATTCTCCTTTCCTTACCCCCAGTCCAGACTGAGATATGAGCTTGACAAGGCAGGGAGTGTCTGTTCATCCCAGTATCCCCAGTGCCCAGCCTGGAGCCTGGCACAAATAAGTGTTCAGTACATGTTTGGTGAATAAATAATGCAAGCAGGCCATGTGCAATGGCTCACACCTATAATCCCAGCACTATGGGAGGCTGAGACGGACGGATCACCTGAGGTCAGGAGTTCGAGACCAGCCTGGCCAACATGGTGAAACCCCGTCTCTACTAAAAATACAAAAAAATAGCCGGGTGTGGTAGCAGGTGCCTGTAATCTCAGCTACTCAGGAGACTGAGGCAGGGGAATCACTTGAATCCAGGAGGCGGAGGTTATGGTGAGCCGAGACTGTACCATTGCACTCCAGCCTGGGCAACAAGAACAAAACTCTGTCTCAAAAAAAAAGAAAAAAAAAGTTCCTAACCTTCAACTCAGCAGTTCTTCTTCTCAGCACTTATCCTGGGATAATAGTTTAGGACTTGCAGAAAGATCTGGCTCAGGAATCTTCATCTGAATGTGCAGGATGTGGTCTACAATAGCATCTGCCCGCCTCGGCCTCCCAAAGTGCTGGGATTACAGGCGTGAGCCACCATGCCCCACCATAGTTTCTTTTCTTTTTTCTTTTTTTCTTTTTTAAGACTGAGTTTCACTCTGTCGCCCAGGCTGGAGTGCAGCGGTTCGATCTCAGCTCACTGCAACCTCTGCCTTCGGGTTCAAGTGATTCTCCTGCTTTAGCCTCCCAAGTAGCTGGGATTACAGGTGTCTGCCACCACGCCCGGCTGATTTTTGTATTTTTAGCAGAGACCAGGTTTCCTCATGTTGGCCAGCTGGTCTCGAACTCCTGACCTCAAGTGATCCGCCCGCCTTGGCCTCCCAAAGTGCTGGGATTACAGGCATAAGCCACTGTACCCGCCATGGTTTCTTAATAAAATATGATCCTATTACATATGTTATACTAGATTGTTAATAATGGCCCTGGTATATCTTGCCTCCAGCATCTAGGCCCTGATGTAGGTTGTCACATGTTGAATTTGGGCCTGGTCATGTGATAAACTTGGGTCAAAGGGACACTAGTAAGCCTGCTGCAGAGTTTCAATAAGGGTTTACACTTGGAGGCTTGTTTTCTTGAAATACATTACTCACTCTTGGGATCAAACCCCCGTGCTGGAAGGAGGCTCAGGCAGGACTGTGGAATGATAAGGCCATGTGGAGATGGGTGCTGGAGGATGAGAGGGCATCATCCTCTCATCCTTGGAAGTTCGAGCCCCAGCCAAACTCCCAGTTGAATGCACCCGCATCAGTGACCCCTGCTGCCACATGATGCTGAAGAAGGGCCAGTTTCCGGGTACTTTGCAATTCAGCAATAGATAATTGAAACATATTGTTCCGCAACTTTAAGAAATCTTAACAATACCTATATATATCATGAACATCCTCCTCTGGCATTTCATATAGACAGGCTCATTGTTTTGAATGACTGTAGTTTTCCATGGGAACTGCAAGCATAATTTACTTATCCATTTCCTCCTGATGGACATTAGGTGGCTTCCAGTTCTTTGCCATGACAAACAGTGCTACAGTAAATAACCCCCTGTGTGAATAACATTGCCAATTTCATGGACGTTAGCGTTTCTTTAGGATAAGTTCCCAGAAGCGGAATTACTGGGTCAAAGGGTTTGCACTTTGCATGTTTTCACAGATATTGCCAAACCATCCTCTAAAATGGTCAGACCGATTTATACTTCTGTGGGCAGTGGGCAAGTGGGCCTGGCCTTCAACCCTTGTCCGTACCTGGTGTGACCCACCTTGAAAAGCCATTTAAGTAGCAACATTGGCCAGAGGGAGTGTGTGGAAGTGTTACAGAGTGGCCGGGGTTCGGGGGTGGGGCCAGACTCGGGAAGATCGGCTGCAGCCACAGGAGCCCTGGGTTCCTTCCTCTTCTGCCTGGGCAGCTGTGCTCAGCACATCCTTTCTAAGGTGCTTCCCCAGCTGACCCGCCCCCTAGACGGGCCCAGTTCCTCCAGCCTTGACCTCCACTCACAGTGACCCTCGACTCAGATGGGCCCCAGCCCAGCCCCTGCCTCCTGTAAAGAGGGGGACCCTCCAGCCTCACCTGGTAACCCTGGACAAACCTCTGATCTCTGAGCCCATTTTTGCTTTTGAGAAAAATGTGGATGAGAACAAACCAACTGTTGGGCTCTGTTGTTTATTGTTTATTACTTCAGTAAACAGGTATTTATTTAATAATTTATTTATTCTTTTTTTTTTTTTTTTTCCTGAGACACAGTTTCACTCTATTGCTCAGGCTGGAGTGCAGTGGCACGATCTTGGCTCACTGCAACCTCTACCTCCCGGGTTCAAGTGATTCTCCTGCCTCAGCCTCCTGAGTAGCTGGAATTTCAGGTGCGTGCAACCACGCCTGGCTAATTTTTGTTTTATTAATAAAGGCGGGGTTTTACCATGTTGGCCAGGCTGGTGTTGAACTCCTGACCCCAAGTGATCCGCCCGCCTTGGCCTCCCAAAGTGCTGGGATTACAGGCATGAGCTACTTTACTTGGCTTTTTCTTTAAAAAAAAATTATTATTATGTTATTACTATTATTTTTTGCTTTGTCACCCAGCCTGGAGTGCAGTGGCACAATTTCAGTTCACTGCAACCTCTGCCTCTTGGGCTCAACCATCCTCCCACCTCAGCCTCCCAAGTAGCTGGAACTACAGGTGCATGCCACCACATTCCCAGCTAATTTTTTTATTTTTTGTAGAGATGGGGTTTCACTACGTTACCCAGGCTAGTCTCAAATTCCTGAACTCAAGCAATCTGCCCACCTCAGCCTCCCAAAGTGCTGGGATCACAGGCATGAGCCACCGTGCCTCGCCTATTCTTTCAGCAAACACCATCCTAACCTATCAGTCCCCATGACCTGCTTGGGGAGGTAGAGACCAAACAGGTAATCACGCAGATATATACTCAGAAGTTCAGAAGTACTTCTTTTTGTTTTGTTTTGTTTCGTTGAGATGTAGTCTCACTCTGCTGTCCAGGCTGGAGTGCAGTGGTATGATCCTGGCTCACTGCAACCTCTGCCTCCCGGGTTCAAGCAATTCTCCTGCCTCAGCCTCCCGAGAAGCTGGGATTATAGGTGCCCACCACTATGCCCAGCTAATTTTTTGTATTTTTGGTAGAGACGGGGTTTCACCATATTGGCCAGGCTGGTCTCAAACTCCTGACCTTGTGATCTGCCTGCCTCGGCCTCCCAAAGTGTTGGGATTACAGGCTTGAGCCACCGCGCCCAGCCTCAGAAGTACTTCTACGCAGGGCTTTGTTATCTGAAATGGAGTCAGGTACATACACAGGAAACTGATTTGCGGGAGGGCAGGGCAATGACCTGGCTGTGGGGCTGAGAGCAGAGGATGGAGGGGCTGAGCCAGTGGAGACCAGGGTGACGGCATTCCCGGATGCAGGAGGGCTTGTGCAAAGCCCTGAGATGGGAGGAGCGGGTCATTCTTTTCTGGGACTGAGAAGCTGAGTGCAGAGTGAAGAGGAGAGAGGTCTGAGATGAGGCCGAAGGTGGCCAGCAGGGCCATACCATGGGGCCTTGTGGGTCACAATGGGGATGTTGACCTTTAAACGAAGAGCACTGGAGAGCCATTGACAGAATGGTGAAATTAAATGAGATGTATCACAGAACATTCTTAACCCATGGTTAGTGCTCAATAAATGTTGCTATTATTATCATCATTATTATTTTCTTACTTTCTCTACCTTCTAGGTGTCAGGTCAGAGAATTCCCTTGGATCCCAAAAGGGCCTGACTAGGCCGGGCCAGCTATGTTCCTTGACTAGGAAGGACCCCAGAACTAGCCCGACCGTTTTCAGGAAAGGGAGTGCAAATCCGGAGGGCATCTGCAACATGCCCCCAACGTCACCAGAGAGGCAGTGCTGGAACTTGAACCCAGGGCTCTGACTCCAGGCCCAGAGCTCCCTCACTCCATCCCCACTGCTAAAAGCAAGTCCTCATCACCTCTCTGCCCTGCCTGAAATCCTCGGTGGCTCCCCAGTGCCTCCAGCATGCCCCCAGCCTGGCATTCAAGGCCCCTGCTTGGGGTTATTTCTCTCTCCCTTCATGTGAACCCTAACCCAAAGCAAAGAGCACTGCTCCGCGATGCCAGAGGACACAAGGGCCCCTGCTCTCACACACCCCTGGTGCCTTCCTCACCTGGAATGCCGCCAATGGAGGCGTCCCTAAGGCCCAGGGTGCCAGCCTGTCCTCCTGTGTTAGTTCCCTATCTCTGCTGTAACAAATTTCCACAGACTTAGTGGCTTAAAACAATGTAAGTTAAAGGCCTGGTGCAGTGGCTTACACCTGTAATCCCAACACTTTGGGATGCCAAGGCGGGCAGATCACTTGAGGCCAGGAGTTTGAGACCAGCCAGGCCAAAGTAGTGAAACCTCATCTCTACTAAAAATACAAAAATTAGCCAGGCGTGGTGGCGGGTGCATGTAGTCCCAGCTACTCCAGAGGCTGAGGCAGAATCGCTTGAACCCAGGAGGTGGAGTTTGCAGTGAGCCAAGATCGTGCCACTGCATTCCAGCCTGAGTGACAGAGGGTGACTCCATTTCAAAAAAAAAAAAAAAAAAAAAGGAAAAGAAAAGAAAACATAACTTCATTATCTTACAGATCTGGAAGATGGAAGTGTGACATGGGTCTCACAGGGCTAAAGTCAAAGTGTCCACAGCAGAGCCTCGTTCCTTCTGGAGGCTCCTTCCGGAGAATCTGTTTCCTTCCTTTCCCAGCCTCTAGAGGCTGCCTGCATTCCTTGGCTTGTGGCCCCTTCCTCCACCTTCAAAGCCAGCAACGGAGGGCTGAGTCCTCACACTGCATCTCTCTGTTCTCTCTCCTGCCGCCTCCTCCTCCACACTGAAGGACCCTTGTGATCACAATGGGCCCCCAGATGATCCAGGATAATCTCCCTGTTTGAAGGTCGGCTGATTAGCAACCTTCATTCCATCTGCTACCTTATCCTTGGCCATGTCACCTGGCACCTCCATGCATAATCACAGGATTAGGATCTGGAGTGCGGGGAGACCCTTGTTCTGCTGGCCACACCTCCCCTCTTCCCTCACCGGAGCCTGCTCTGTCTCTCCTCAGCATCCTCTTCAGGCAGGTGCTCTCAGACAGACAACCAGGAAGTGCATGCCGCCCACGCTTCCGGGGAGGAAACAAAAGGTCCTCCCAACACACCTTTGGGGGTTGTTTTTGAGTTTGTAAAGGGCTTTCACACGCTTGAGGGTTAGTATTTGTTCTGCTCCACATCTGAGAAAGCTCATGTGAGAGAGGCCAAGTGGCTGGGCCGGGCTTGCAGGGTGAGGAATGAACTGTTGCTGGGCTCACCCCCAGGCCTGACCCCAGCGCTTCCCCTTCTTCCCCACTGAAACAGCCTCGCCTCCCCCAGTCCATCGTAATGGTTTTCCAAGGCCACTTCAAGTGAATCCTGTGGCCAATCTGCCCTTATTTCTGGCTTCTTGCCAAAAGTCATGAGGTCACACTTGAAAGACTTCCTCAAAGCCTGCAAGCCATCGTGCTGGAGGTTTCTGCTTGAATTAGAAGCAGGAATTGTTCCCCATATGCTGCCAATGGGGCTGTCAGAGGTGCAGGTTTCCAGGGGAGCTATTAGTCAATAAGTCTCAAAAGCCTTAAACAGGAGCACTCCTTTTACCCATCGGTGCCACAGGAAGCCATGGACAAAAGCGCAGAAATGTACATGCTAGGTTTGTGTCATAGCATCGTGTGGAAAGCAAAATATCCAAGCTACCCAAGATGTCCATCACTAGGGCCTCGATTCAATAAAATGCTGTAGCCAGGCGCTGTGGCTCACGCCTGTAATCCCAGCACTTTGGGAGGCTGAGGCAGGCGGATCACCTGAGGTCGGGAGTCTGAGACCACCCTGGCCAACATAGTGAAACCCTGTCTCTACGAAAAATACAAAAATTAGCTGGTCGTAGTGGCGCGTGCCTGTAGTCCCAGCTACTTGGGAGGCTGAGGCAGGAGAATCGCTTGAACCTGGGAGGTGGAGGTTGCAGTGAGCTGAGATTGTGCCACTGGACTCCAGCCTGGGCAACAGAGTGAGACTCCATCCCCCCACCACCCCCCCCCAAAAAAAAAATATATATATAAAATAAAATAAAATGCTGTATCCACTGTTGTAGCACTACACAGTCATTACAGATCTTTTTGTAATGCTAATCTTCTCTGTATCATTCCAATTTTTAGTATATGTGCTGCCGAAGCAAACACAACAAATCTCAAGGTAGATTTCCATTTACTGATGAGATACTGAGATAGCCTGGAACAAGGACACGAAAATTCCCCACTTCATTAGTCATCAGGGAAATGAGAATTAAAGCCAAAAGGAAATACATCTACATATCTATTAGAATAGCTAAATTTGGCCGGGCAAGGTGGCTCACACCTGTAATCCCAGCACTTTGAGGCTGAGACGGAAGGATCACTGGAGCCCAGGAGTTCGAGACCAACCTGGGCTGCATAGTGAGACCCCTGTCTCTCCAAAAAAAAAAAAAAAAAAAAAAAAAAAATTAGCTGGGCGTGGTGGTACAGCTACTTGGGAGGCTGAGGCATGAGGTTCGCTTGAGCCTGGGAGGCAGAGGCTGCAGTGAGCCAAGACTGAATCACCGCACTCCAGCCTGGGTGACAGAGTGAGACCCTGTCTCAAAAGAAAAAACAAAAGCAGGTTCTCTATGTACAGTTTGATTTCCTTTCTGGGGAAACAGAAGTGTGTGTGTATGTGTTTTCTGAGTAATGGGATCGGAGGTGAGGTAGGCTTTTTTCTTTAAAGTTTTCCGCATTTGCGTGATGCTTTTTTAAAAAATCATACATCTGCATTTATATTTATAATAAATAAAGCAATTTCCATTTTGTAAGAGGAAAAGAAAACAAGTGCCCCGAGCAGAGCCTGGCCCCTGCTGACCTCACGGAGGCTCCTCTTCCCTGGCTGGTCCTGTCCAGCCGGAGACGGGAGTTGACACAGACTCGAGGGCTTCCTGTGCTGTGGCAGCTGGGCTCTTCCCCAGGCGTGCAGCGGCTCCCAGGGCAGTGATGGGAGCCGCAGTGCAGATGCTTCCCGGAAGGCTCAGGGTCAGCCTCAGCTAGACCAGTAAATCACCCACTGGTGCCGGCCCTGGCTGTGCTGCCTGCCGCAGGGGTGGGAGCATTTCCTCTGCAGAGGCAGGGCCAGCATTTTGGGGAAATGCACAGCATGGTGCATTTGGAAGAGCGTGGAAGCCCACTCACAGTTAGCTTTGAGTGGTTGAGTAATTTATTTATGTATTTATTAAATTAATTAATTAATTAATTAATTTTTTGAGACAAAGTCTTGCTCTGTTGCTCAGGCCGGAGTACAGTGGTATGATCTCAGCTCACTGCAACCTCCACTTCCCAGGTTCAAGGGATTCTTCCACCTCAGCCTCACGAGTAGCTGGGACTATACAGGTGCCTGCCACCATGCCCAGCTAATTTTTGTATTTTTAATAGGGACGGGGGTTTCACCATATTGGCCAGGCTGGTCTTGAATTCCTGGCCTCAGGTAATCTGCCTGCCTCAGCCTCCCAAAGTGCTGGGATTGGCTGGGTGCGGTGGCTCACGCCTGTAATCCTAGCACTTTAGGAGGCCGAGGCGGGTGAATCACCTGAGATCAGGAGTTCGAGACCAGCCTGGCCAACATGATGAAACCTAGTCTCTACTAAAAATGCAGAAGAAAATTAGCCTGGCGTGAGGGCAGGTGCCTGTAATCCCAGCTACTCGGAAGCCTGAGGCAGGAGAATTGCTTGAACCCGGGAGGCGGAGGTTGCAGCGAACCGAGATTGCACCTTTGTACTCCAGACTAGGCAACAGAGCAAAACTCCGTCAAAAAACAAAAAACAAAAAGTGCTGGCATGAGTCTATTTTATTTTTTGAGACAGGGTCTCCCTCTGTCATCCAGGCTGGAGTGCAGTGGCATGATCTCAGGTCACTGCAACCTCCACCTCCCAAGCTCAAGTGATTCTCCTGCCTCAAGCCTCCTCCCCAAGTAGCTGTGACCACAGGTGCATGCCACCGTGCCCAGCTAATTTTTGGACATTTTGTAGAGACAGGGTTTCACCATGTTGCCCAGGTTGGTCTCAAATTCCTGATCTTAAGTGATCTGCCTGCCTTGGCCTCCCAACGTGCTGGGATTACAGGTGTGAGCCACCACATCCGGCCCCAGGAATTGATTATATGGACAAAGGAGGCGGCTGGTGGAGAGGGCAGGCTCTACAGTAGAGCTCCCTAGGGACCAAAATAAAGACCTGGGAACCAGCAGGACCCTCCAGAGTCCTTAGTGCCAAGGGCTGTTTCATTCTCTGCTTTCCTGGGCATATGGCCACACCAGTGGGTAGTTCAGATGTCAACAAAGACCACTTCTAGTTTTCTTTTTTTTTTGAGATGGAGTCTCTCTCTGTCTCCCAGGCTGGAGTGCAATGGCAGGATCTCTGCTCACTGCAACCTCCACCTCCCAGGCTCAGGAGATTCTCCTGCCTCAGCCTCCCGAGTAGCTGGGATTATAGGCACCCACCAACATGCTCAGCTAATTTTTGTATTTTTAGTAGAGACGGGGCTTCACTGTATTGGCCAGGCTGGTCTCAAACTCCTGAACTTAGGTGACCCGCCCACCTCTGCCTCCCAATGTGCTGGGATTACAGGTGTGAGCCACCGCGCCCACCCTAAGACCACTTCTGAGTACAAATTTCTAGATAGAATCTGATTGGCCCATCTTGGGTCAGGTGGCACCCAGTCAGCCAATGGTGTGGGGTCAACTTTACTAAGCTGCCTTCCAAGGAGTTCTCAGGGGTTCTCAGAGGAGCAGGTGTGGGCTGGGTGGCTCCCCAAAGACTGTCCTCTACACTCTGCCAACAGAGGAAATCTGATTAGGTGGTTAAGCCCCCCAAGCAACATGGTGCCTCCCTATGTGGCAGCTGTCCTGAGGGGCCTGGGCGTGGAAAGCCAGCCGGGTCCAAGCCTCCTCCCAGGGAATGGTTCCTTACCCAGATTCTGTGCTGTAACACGTCCCTGCTGACAGCTGCTAGGACACCTGCCCCAGAACAGCAAAGCTCTGCCCCGACAGGGTGATGGTAAAAGTCCTCTGAGGAATCTGAACCGGTTACGTGGGGGAAGGCCAGGCTCTCTTCAGCAGGAGCAGGAGTGGATGGACACACTCAGGGCAAGCCGCCGAGCCAGAGTAATGTGAACGGTGGGGCAGCCATCAGCTTCTGGGGGTATATCGTCACTATCACTAGAACTATAGGCCCATGGCAGCAACACCGACATGACAACAACCATGGCAAAGAGCATACATACTTGTGACAGGCTAAGCAACTCCTATGCTGGGTGCAATCACCAGGGCCTGCTATACATGGATCCTTAGAGACCCTCATATAACCAGTTCACTTAATGCCAACATGAGCACTAATCCAGCACTTTCTGCAGGCCAGGCGCCCATTCCTAGCACCTCACATATATTCACTCACGCAACCCTCCAACAACCCTAATGATCAGATAAGTACCTTTTTTTTGAGATGGAGTTTCGCTGTTTCGCCCAGGCTGGAGTGAAGTGGCACCATCTTGGCTCACTGCAACCTCTGCCTCCCAGGTTCAAGCGATTCTCCTGCCTCAGCCTCCCAAGTAGCTGGGACTACAGGCACGTGCCACTACGACCAGCTAATTTTTGTATTTTTCGTAGAGATGGGGTTTCACTATGTTGGCCAGGCTGGTCTCAAACTCCTGATCTCAGGTGATCCACCTGCCTTGGCCTCCCAAAGTGCTAGGATTACAGGTGTGAGCCACCACACCCGGCCCAGATAAGTACTAGTATCCCCATTTTACAGATGCGCAAAAGAAAAGTGCAGAGAAATTCAGTAACTTGCCCGTATTGATAGAGGCTGGAGTCAAACCTGGGCAGCCTGGCCCTGACCTCATGCTCATATCCACTGAGCTACACCGTCTGCCAGACACTGACATGTGCCTGATGCATGTGCCTGACACTTTCCAGGTACTGGGATGCAGACCAGGACACAGATTCTACAACTGTGACCTCACTGCCTGAGGGGAGATAGACATAAATAGCAATGGCCCAACAATGAGCTGTCGTTTTAAGTGCTGCAAGCTTAGTACCCTAAGAGTATCTAGAAAGGGACCATTCTTCTCTGGAGGGGTCAGGGAGAGCTTCCCTGCAGAAATGACACCAATGCTGAAGTCTAAAGAGTGACAAGGAGGGTCGGGCGCGGTGGCTCACGCCTGTAATCCCAGCACTTTGGGAGGCTGAGGTGGGTGGATCACCTGAGGTGAGGAGTTCCAGACCAGCCTGGCCAACATGGCTAAACCCAGTCTCTACTAAAAATACAAAAATTATCCAGGCATGGTGGCATGCGCCTATAGTCCCAGCTATTCAGGAGGCTGAGGCAGGAGAATCTCTTGAGCCCATGAGGCGGAGGTTGCAGTGAGCCAAGATCGCACCATTGTATTCCAGCCTGGGCAACAGAGCGAGACTCTGTCTCAAAAAAAAAAAAAAAAAAAAAAAAAGAAAGAAAAAGAAAAGAAAACAGTGACAAGGAGTAGACCAGGCAAAGCAGTGGGGGCGGGGTGTGCAGCAGAAAGAGGTGCAGGTGAGAGGGAACAACATGTCCAGCGCGCCCCAGATTAGGTGAGTGCTCTGCCAAGTCACCGGGGCAACACTGACAGGGCACCATAAGGACCCTGCCCTGGTCTCCAGGGGTCTGGCCACTCTCTCTGTGACCCTGTACCACTTCCTACCAGCTATCATTGAGGAATACTCGCAGCTCTCTCTCTCTTTTTTTTTTTTGAGATGGAGTCTTGCTCTATTTCCCTGGCTAGAGATGGCACCATCTCGGCTCATTTCAACACCCGCCTCCCTAGTTCAAGCGATTCTCCCGCCTCAGCCTCCTGAGTAGCTGGGATTACAGGCACCCACCATTATGCCCGGCTAATTTTTATATTTTTGTAGAGATGGAGTCTCACCATGTTGGCCAGGCTCGTCTTGAACTCCTGACCTCAGGTGATCCACCCGCCTCCACCTCCCAGATTGCTGGGAATACAGGCGTGAGCCACCACGCCCGGCCTCACAGCTCTCTTTGAGGTGGCAGCAGGACAAAACTGTGGATGTGTCCAGGAGACGTTTGCTACCGGGTGGCCCAGAAGGAAGTTAATCACTTCAGTGCCGGTTTGCAGGAGTCACGATGATTCAGGGGAAAAGGCTGTTGGCTGCATTCTGGAAGGGAATTCAGCCGGCCGGGCTATCCATGTGTAGAGATGCTAATCAGAGGCTGGCTGGGGCAGTGCTCTCCTTGAAGGGAAGGCCCTGGCGGTTTTGCAGGACAGCTCTGGCCGAGGGCTAGTTTTGGACATTCCTGGCTTGCCTAAATGAGTTAAAAGGCAAACATGGGGTTTTTTTAGTTCTTCGTCTTCAGCCACTTGATGAATCTTCCTGACAAGATGGTCAATTTCCAGACCCTGCTGGCAGCAGCAGGACTGTCACTATGAACGTCTGCGCAGCTCTCATGGGTCAGGCACTGCTCAGAACAAATAGGGGTCATATTGATCAGCTGAGCAAAGACAGCCGCACCAATAATGGGGGTACAGGACCAACGGTCTTCTACCCTCTAGGAAAAGCTGGCTTTACCTTCCTGTAGGGAACATTAAAAATGTTCTTGCCCTGTGTCCCAGCGGCTCTACTACTGGCAATTAGCCCAAGACCCTCCCAGCAGTGCATAGGGAGCATTTACAAGGGTGCTTACTGCAGTGTGGCTTGAAATGGTAAAAAACTGCAAACACCCAAACATATCCTGATGGAACTGGCTAAATCCTGTGTGGATGTCTTCACCACAGACCCGTGCAGCCATGAAGACAATGTTCCACAAGCAGCAGCCTGCAAGCTCACTAGCAGGTAAAATAAAACAAAACGTTTCATATTATCCCATTAAAAAAAAAAAAAACCAAACGACAAAAATCAGCGGCATTTCCACACATTAACAGCGAACAATCTCAAAAGGAAATTATAAAAACAATTATATTTATAATGGCATCAAAAATAATAAAATCGGTTGGGTGCAGTGGCTCTTGCCTGTAATCCCAGCACTTTGGGAGGCCAAGGTGGGTGGATCACCTGAGGTCAGGAGTTTGAAACCAGCCTGGCTAACGTGGTGAAATCCTGTCTTTACTGAAAATACAAAAATTACCTGGGCGTGCTAGCAGGCACCTACGATCCCAGCTACTCAAGAGGCTGAGACAGGAGAATCAGTTGAACTCAGGATTCAGAGGTTGCAGTGAGCAGAGGTCGTGCCATTGCACTCCCCACTGGGTGACAAGAGTGAAACTCCATCTCAAAAAAAAAAAAAAAAGAAAAAGAAGAAAAAAAATGCCAGGTGTGGTGGCTCACGCCTGTAATCCCAGAACTTTGGGAGGCAGAGGTGGGTGGATCACCTGAGGTTGGGAGTTAAAGACCAGCCTGACCAATGTGGAAAAACCCCACCTCTACTAAAAAAAAAAACAACAGAAAATTAGACAGGCATGGTGGCGCATGCCTGTAATCCCAGCTACTCAGGAGGCTGAGGTAGGAGAATCTCTTGAACCCGGGAGGCAGAGGTTGTGGTGAGCCAAGATTACGCCATTGCACTCCAGCCTGGGCAACAAGAGCGAAATTCCATCTCAAAAAAAAAAAAGACAAGAAAGAAAAAAGGAAAAAAGAAAAAGAATAAAATGCTTAGGAATTAACCAAGGTGTTGAGACTGTCCAGTGAAGACTACAAAGCATTGCTGAAAGAAATTAAAGAAGGCGGCCGGGCGCAGTGGCTCACGCCTGTAATCCCAGCACTTTGGGAGGCCAAGGCAGGTGGATCACGAGGTCAGGAAATCGAGACCATCCTGGCTAACACAGTGAAACCCCGTCTCTACTAAAAATACAAAAAATTAGCCGGGCGTGGTGGCAGGCGCCTGTAGTCCCAGCTACTCGGGAGGCTGAGGCAGGAGAATGGCGTGAATCCGGGAGGCGGAGCTTGCAGTGAGCCGAGATAGTGCCACTGCACTCCGGCCTAGGCAAAAAAGCAAGACTCCGTCTCAAAAAAAAAAAAAAAAAAAAAGAAATTAAAGAAGGCATAAATAAATGGAAACATATCTCATGATCATAGATTGAAAGACTTAATTTATTTTTAATTGTAGAGATGATAGTCTCCCTACGTTGCCCAGGCTGGTCTTGAATTTCTGAGCTCAAGCAATCCTCCACTTTGGCCTTCCAAAGTAGTACAATTACAAGCATGAACCACTGCACCTGTCCTGAAAGACCCAATATTGTTGAAATGTTTATGCTCCCCAAAGTGATGTACAGATTCAGTGCAATCCCTGTTAAAATCTCAATGACATTTTTGCAAAAGTAGAAAATTCTGTCCTAAAATTTGCATGGAATCTCAAGGGACCCTGAATAGCCAAAACAATCTAGAAAAAGAAGAACTAAGCTGGAGGACTCATACTTCCTGGTTTCAAAACTTACTACAAAGCTACAGTAATCAAAACAATGTGGTACTGACATAAAGACAGACACATAGACTCATGGAATAGAACATAGGGAGCCCGGAAATAAACCCTTGCATATATGGTCAAATGATCTTTGACAATGGTACCAGGATAATTCAATGGGGAAAAAAACGATCTTTTTATTTTATTTTGTTTTATTTAATTAATGTAATTAATTAATTAATTTATTTTGAGACGGAGTTTCGCTCTTGTTGCCCAGGCTAGAGTTGCAATGGCATGACCTCAGCTCACTGCAATCTCTGCCTCCTGGGTTCAAGCAATTCTCCTGCCTCAGCCTTCTGAGTAGCTGGGATTACAGGCGCCCACCACCACACCTGGCTTTTTTTTTTTTTTTGAGATGGAGTCTCTCTCTGTCGCCAGGCTGGAGTGCAGTGACGTGATCTCAGCTCACTACAACCTCCGCCTCCCGGGTTCAAGTAATTCTCCTGCCTCAGCCTCCCCAAGTAGCCTGGACTACAGGCACACACCGCCATGCCTAGCTAATTTTTTGTATTTTAGTAGAGACGGGGTTTCACCGTGTTGCCCGGGCTGATCACGAACTCCTGAGCTCAGGCAATCTGCCTGCCTCAGCTTCCCAAAGTGCTGGGATCACAGGCATGAGCCACCATGCCCGGCCCAAGTTTTGTATTTTTAGTAGAGACGGGGTTTCACCATGTTGGCCAGGCTGGTCTCAAACGCCTGACCTCAGGTAATCCACCTGCCTCGGCCTCCCAAAGTGCTGGGATTACAGGTGTGAGCCACCGCGCTCAAGAACGGTCTTTTCAACAAATGGTGGTGCAAAAGAATGAACTTGGAGCTTTACTCAATACTGTATACTGTATAAAAATTAACTCAAAATGGGTCAAAGACCTAAATGTAAGATCTAAAACCATGTGGTAATAGCTTGACACCACTGGGTTTGGCAATAATTTCTTTGCTATGACATCAAAGTCACAGGCAACAACAACAAAAATAGACAAATTGAACTTTATGGACGTTAAAAAATTTCGTGCATACAAAGACAATATCAATGGATTAAATAGGCAATCCACAGATGGTAGAAAATATTTACAAATCATATATCTGAAAAGAGATTAATACCTGGAATATATAAAGAACTCCTAAAACTTAACAGCAAAAAACAAATAACCTGATTCAAAAATGGGCAAAGGAGCCAGGCGACGTGCCTTACACCTATAATCCCAGCACTTTGGGAGGCTGAACTGGGAGGATTGCTTGAGTTCAGGAGTTTGAGATCAGCCTGGGCAATAAGATGAGACCCCATCTCTACAAAAAAAATACAAAAAAAAAATAAGCTGGGTGTGGTGGCTACTTGGGAGGCTGAGGTGGGAGGATCGCTTGAGCCCGGGAAGTCAAGGCTGCAGTGACCCGTGATCATGCCACTGCACTACAGCCTGGGTGACACAGCAAGACCTTGTCTCAAAAAAAAAAAAGACTATTCTCCAAAGATTCTCAATATCACTAATTGTTAGGGGAATGCAAATCAAAACTACAATGAGATATCATTTCACACTCATTAGGATGGTTACTATTAAAAAAAAAAAACAGGCTGGGCGCAGTGGCTCACACCTGTAATCCCAGCACTTTGGGAGGCTGAGGTGGCCAAATCACTTGAGATCAGGAGCTTGAGACCAGCCTGGCCAACATGGTGAAACCTGGTCTCTACTAAAGACACAAAAATTAGCCAGCTGTGGTGGCAGGTGCCTGTAATCCCAGCTACTTGGGAGGCTGAGACACAAGAATTGCTTGAACCCAGGAGGCAGTGAGCAGAGATCACACCACTAACGAGTACTGGAAAGGAGGAGAAATTTGAACCTTTCTACATGGGTGGTAGGAATGTAACATGGTGCAGCCACTGTGGAAAACATTATGGCAGTTCCTCAAAAAATTAAAAATAGAATTACTATGTGATCCAACAACTCTGCTTCTGGATTTACAAAATGATTGAGAGTGGGATATCATACACCCATGTTCATGGCAACAGTATTCACAATTGCTAAAACATGGAAGCAACCCAAGTGTCCATCAACAGATGAACAGATAAATGTCGTATATACAAACAATGGAATATTATGCAGCCGTAAAAAGGAAGGAAATTCTGACACATGCTACAACATGGATGAACGCTGAAGACATTAGGCTACATGAAATAAGCCAGTCACAAAAAGATAGGGCCGGTCATGGTGGCTCACACATGTAATTCCAGCACTTTGGGAGGCCGAGGCAGGTGGATCACTTGAGGTTAGGAGTTCAAGACCAGCCTGGGTAACATGATGAAACCCCATCTCTACTAAAAATACAAAAATTAGCTGGGCGTGGTGGTGGGCACCTGTATTCCCAGCTACTCAGGAGGGGGAGACAGGAGAATCGCTTGAGCTGAGAGGTGGGAGTTGCAGTGAGCCAAGACCTTGCCACTGCACTCCAGCCTGGGCGACAGAGCAGGACTCTGTCTCAAAAAAAAAAAAAAAAAAGATAGATACTGTACGATTCCACTGATATAAACTACTTAGAGCTGTCAAAATCATAAAGACAGAAAGTAGAATGATGGTTGCTAGGGCTTGGGGGAAGGGGAAATGGGGAGTGTTTAATGGGTTCAAAGTTTCAGTTTTGCATAATTAAAAACGTTATAGGGATGGATATTGGTGATGGTTGCATACCATTATGAATACATTTAATACTCCTGACCTATATACTTAAAAATGGTTAAGATGTAATTTTATGTTATGTATATTTTGCCACAATAAAAGAATTCAAGGAAAAAAAGAAAATATCACTGCAAGCTTTGAAAAAAAACCATCTGACACTGTTAACAAAGGTTCTCTGGGAAGGAGCATTACAGAGGACTTTCACTTTTTTTTTTTTTTTTTTTTTTTGAGGCGGAGTCTCATTCTGTTGCCCCCGCTGGAGCGCAGTGGCGCGATCTTGGCTCACTATAAGCTCCGCCTTCCGGGTTCACGCCGTTCTCTTGCCTCAGCCTCTCGAGTAGCTGGGACTACAGGCGCCCGCCACCATGCCTGGCTAATTTTTTTGGTATTTTTAGTAGAGACGGGGTTTCACCGTGTTAGCCAGGATCGTCTTGATCTCCTGACTTCGTGATCCACCCGCCTCTGCCTCCCAAAGTGTTGGAATTACAGGCGTGAGCCACTGCGCCTTGGCCTCACTTTTTAAACTTTCTCTTTCTATAGTATAAAATTTTGCAATGCTTGAATTTTATAATGATGAGAGTGTAGTACTTTTGATTTGAGATCTTTTTTCTTCTTGGGAAGCTGTTGCCCAGGCTAGAATGCAGTGGTGGGATCACGGCTCACTGCAGCCTCGACCTCCTGGTCTTAGGCGATCCTCTCCAGTAGCTAGAACTTCTCCAGTAGCTGGAACCACGGGGGAGTGTATGCCACCATGCACAGGTAATTTTTTTTTTCTTTTTTGACAGTTTTGCTCTTATCCCCCAGGCTGGAGTGCAATGGCACATCTCGGCTCACTGCAAGCTCCGCCTCCCGGGTTCACGCCATTCTCCTGCCTCAGCCTCCCGAGTAGCTGGGACTACAGGCGCCCACCACCACACCCGGATAATTTTTTTTTTCATATTTTTAGTAGAGACGGAGTTTCACTGTGTTAGCCAGGATGGTCTCGATCTCCTGACCTCGTGATCCTCCCGTCTCGGCCTCCCAAAGTGCTGGGATTACAGGCGTGAGCCACTGCACCTGGCCGTGTTTTCTTCTTTTTAATGTAAATGTTTATTGCTGTAATCTTCCCTCTTACTACTGTCTGAGCTGCATCCCATATGTTTGGATATGTTGTGTTTTCATTTTCATTTGTCTCAATATATTTCCTAATTTCCGCGCCCCTCACCCCCCTGCTTTTTTTGTTTTGTTTTGTTTTTTTGAGACGGAGTCTTGCTCTGCCACCCAGGCTAGAGTGCAGTGGTGCAATCTTGGCTCACTGCAACCTCCACCTCCCAGGTCCAAGCGATTCTCCTGCCTCAGCCTCCCAATTAGCTGGGACTACAGGCGTGCACCACTATGTCCAGCTGATTTTTGTATTTTCAGTAGAGACGGGGTTTCACCGTGTTAGCCAGGATGGTCTTGATCTCCTGACCTCGTGATCCCCCTGTCTCAGCCTCCCAAAGTGATGGGATTACAGGTGTGAACCACCATGCCCAGCCCCTTGTGATTTCTTCTTTGACCCATTGGTTAAGAGTGTGTTGTTGGCCGGGCGCAGTGGCTCATGCCTGTAATCCCAGCACTTTGGGAGGCCGAAGGGGGCAGATCATGAGGTCAGGATATCGAGACCACGGTGAAACCCCGTCTCTAATAAAAATACAAAAAAATTAGCTGGGTGCGGTGGTGGGTGCCTGTAGTCCCAGCTGCTCAGGAGGCTGAGGCAGGAGAATGGTGTGAACCCGGGAGGCGGAGGTTGCAGTGAGCCGAGATCGCGCCACTGCACTACAGCCTAGGCGACAGAGCGTGACCCCGTCTCAAAAAAAAAAAAGTGTGTTGTTGGCCTGGCACGGTGGCTCAAAAAAAAAACAATAGTGTGTTGTTTATGTGAATTTTCCAGTTTCTCTTCGGCTATTGATTTCTAGTTTCATTTCATTGTGGAATATGTGCTATTTTTATTTTTGAGATGGAGTCTTGCTCTGTTGCCCAGGCTGGAGTGCAATGGCAATGATCTCGGCTCACTGCAACCTCCGCCTCTGGGTTTAAGAGATTCTTCTGCCTCAGCCTCCCAAGTAGCTGGGATTACAGGCACCTGCCACCACACCCGGTTCATTTTTTATTTTTAATAGAGATGGGATTTCACCATGTTGGGCAAGCTGGTCTTAAACTCCTGACCTCAGGTTATCCACCCACCTCAGCCTCCCAAAGTGCTGGGCTTACAGATGTGAGCCACCACACCCGGCTGATTTTTAAAACCAGCGAAGCAGTGATAAAAAAAGAATGTCTTGGCTAGGTGCAGTGGCTCACGCCTGTAATCCAAGCACTTTGAGAGGCCAAGGCGGGTGGATCACCTGAGGTCAGGAGTTCAAGACCAGCCTGGCCAACAAGGCAAAACCCCATCTCTATTAAAAATACAAAAATTGGCCTGGCACGGTGGCTCATACCTGTAATCCCAGCACTTTGGGAGGCTGAGACAGGCAGATCATGAGGTCAGGAGATCAAGACCATCCTGGCTAACATGGTGAAACCCTGTCTCTACTAAAAATACAAAAAATTAGCTGGCATGGTGGCATGCGCCTCTAATCCCAGCTATTTGGGAGGCTGAGGCAAGAGAATTACTTGAACCTGGGAGGCGGAGATTGCAGTGAGCCGAGATCGCGCCACTGCACTCCAGCCTGTGTGACAGAGTGAGACTCCGTCTCAAAAAAATAAATAAAAATAAATTTAAAAATACAAATACAAAAATTAGCTGGTTGTGGCGGCGCACATCTGTAATCCCAGCTACTCGGGAGGCTGAGGCAGGAGAATCTCTTGAACCTGGGAGGCGGAGGTTGCAGTGAGCCAAGATCAGGCCAGTGCACTCCAGCCTGGGTGACAGAGCAAGACTCTTGTCTCAAAAAAAAAAAAAAAAAGAGAGAGAGAGAGAGAAGAATATCTTGATAACACGGTGGTTAAGAGTTCAGGCTCAGGATCCAAACTGTCTGGATTTGAAATCAGCTCCATCATTTACTACCCTCGTCACCCTGAGCATGATGTTGCCTCTTTATGCCTCAGTCTCCTCACCTGTGAAATGGGACATAACTCATGAGATTGTTGTGAGGATTTTAAAAGTTCATATGCAGAAAACCTTAGATTAATGCCAGGGGTGTGTATTAGGTAGGTATTCAGTAACATGTTAGTTGTGATGATGGTGAGTAGGAGGAAGCGGAGGGGACAGTGGCAACAGTATAGTCTGAGAGTGAAGCCACAAGCACCTACGGCTGAGCTCGCTGCCCTCAAGGAGTGCAAAGCCTCCTAATCCCTGCTTTAACACTTACTCCCTGGAAGGGTTAGTGCCAGTTGGATTCGGATGTCCATTAGTTTGCTCATTTATCTAACAATTGCTTCCTGGTCCCTGTAATGTGCCAGGCCCTGGGTTGGGGGCCTTTATTTCTTCAACTGTGAAGTGAGGATGGTGATGGTACCACGGGGAGGATGTGATTGGCATCTGATGAGATCTTAGGAGCACAGCTGGTCTAGGGCACGGCTCCCATAGTGAGATCGACACACAGAAGCTGTTATAGTTGTTTAGAAAAAAAGAATCAGGGCCAGGTGCAGTGGCTCACACCTTGTAATCCCAGCAGTTTGGGAGGCTGAGGCAGGTGGATCACCTGAGGTCAGGAGTTCGAGACCAGCCTGGCCAACATGGTGAAACCCTGTCTCTACTAAATACAAAAATTAGCCAGACATGGTGGTACACTCCTATAATCCCAGCTACTTGGGAGGCTGAGGCAGGAGATTCTCTTGAACCTGGGAGGTGGAGGTTGCAGTGGGCTGAGATGGTGCCATTGCACCCCAGCCTGGGTGACAGAGCCAGACCCTGAGCATCAAGAATCAGGAGCATCAATCCCTGAGCACGAGAATAGTCAACGCTGACTACTCTGCTTTGCGGCTGTATCACTCAAGTGCTAACGTGTAGATTTCTTCCCCTCCCCCCCACCAACAAAACCTCAGGGCTGTTGTTCACGCTTATATCCCCAGTGTCTGCAACAGTGCCTGGCACGGAGTGGGCACTCAGTTTTTGTTGAAGCAAACAAGTACTATTCTAAGTACTTTACAATATCCATTCACTCATGACTCAGAAGAACCCTGTGAGGCTGGTTGTGGTGGCTCATGCCTGTAATCCCAGCACTTTGGGAGGCCGAGGCGAGTGATCAGGAGTTCAAGATCAGCCTGGCCAAGATGGTGAAACCCCCTCTCTACTAAAAATACAAAAATTAGCTGGGCGTGGTGGTGGGTGCTTGTAATCCCAGCTACTAGGGAGGCTGAGGCAGGAGAATTGCTTGAACCCTGGAAGCAGAGGTTGAGGTGAGCCAAGATCACAACACTGCACTCCAGCCTGGGCGACAGAGTGAGACTCCATGTAAAAAAACAACAACAGGCCGGGCGCGGTGGCTCACGCCTATAATCCCAGCACTTTGGGAGGCCAAGACAGGCGGATCACCTGAGATCAGGAGTTCAAGACCACCCTGGCCAAAATGGTGAAACCTTGTCTCTACTAAAAATACAAAAATTAGCCGGGTGTGGTGGCACATGCCTATAATCCCAGGTACTCAGGAGGCTGAGGCAGGAGAATTGCTTGAACCCAGGTGGCAGAGGTTGCAGTGAGCCTCACACCATTGTACTCTAGCCTGGGCAACAGAGCAAGACTCCATCTCAAAAAAAAAATAAAAATAAAAAAGGCCAACATTTGATGAGCAGGGCCAGCTGCCAAGTAATTCAGGAGCCTTTTGTATACATTACTCCTCATGACAGCATGGCCACTAAACCCACTTTTCAGCTGTGAAAACTGAGGCTCAGAGACTTCAAGCAACTGGCTCCAGGTCCCAGAGCTAACAGCTGGAGGAGGCTGGGACGCACACTCTGTTCAGATCTCCAGTCCCTGCTGCTCCGTCTGTCTCCTACTACTCTCCAGTGCCTCACCACTAAATGCCACTACTGATACTTTCACATTGAAAAAAATAGCTGTTGTGGGGTGTGTTGGGGGGAATTAAAAGAAGGAAGTTGGTTAATGGGTACAGAAATACAGTTAGATAGAAGATATAAATTCACCAGGTGCTGTGCCTCATGCCTGTAGTCCCAGTACTTTGGGAGGCCGAGGCAGGTGGATCACTTGAGCTCAAGAGTTCAAGAACAGCCTGGCCAACATGGTGAAACCCTGTCTCTACTAAAAATATAAATATTAGCCAGGCGTGGTGGCATGTGCCTGTAGTCCCATCTACTCAGGAGGCTGAGGCAGGAGAATTGCTTGAGCCTGGGAGGTGGAGGCTTCAGTGAGTCGAGATCATGCCATTGCACTCCAGCCAGGGTGATGGAAGTGAAACCGTGTCTTTAAAAAAAAAAAAAAAAGCAAAAGAAATAAGTTCTAGTATTCAATAGTACAGTAGAGCAACTATGGTTGACATTTATTATATGTTTCAAAATAGCTAGAAGAATTGTAATGTTCTCAACACAAAGAAATGGTAAATGTTTGAGGTGATGGATTTCTCAATTATCCCAATTTGATCAGTACACGGTGTATACATGTATCAAACACCACCTGCTATGATATATCAATAAAAAACAAAACAAAACAATAGCCGTTGCCAACAGTAACGCCAGGGACTATGACTAAGAACTCAGAAAATAAGCAGAGCTCAGCAAAGGCTAAAGGGCTGTGTTGTGAGCAGGTACCTAAGAGGACAGGGAGGTGACCCGGCAACTCCTCTTCTGGGTAAACACAGCCCCGATCACTGGGTGAAAGGTGTGGGACTCCTGCCAGGTTATGTAAGCCCCACACCAGCCTGCCGACTCCTGGCCTGCTGGGTGGGGGCTCTGAGAAGGTGCAGAAGTCCGACTCTAGGTTTGGGGGATCTGCTTTGAGGTACCTAGCACATGGTCAGGCTGCCCAAGAAAGGCCTCAGAAATGCTTCCCTCCACTCCCATTGGGGCCAGCTGGCCCAAGGACACTTCCCAGGAATGAGACTTCTGCTTGCCCTTTGGGAAGCCCCTCAGGCCCCCTTCATGGCTTTGATTGACCGTGCACAGAAGGAATTCAACTAGACTCCATTTCCTGGTGGCTCTGTGGCATGCAATGTTCTCTCATAACATATGTAACTGTGCAGAGAAGGTATCATTATCTCCATTTTACGGGTGAGGACACTGAAAGGTGAAGGGTGAAAGAGGTTCATGACTTGCTTGAAGTGATAGGGCCAAGGTGTGGCAGGGCTGCAGTTTGAACCTAGGGCACTACAGGTGGGAGAAAGTTCCTGGGAACTGTGTGCACTAAAGTATTTTGAAACCTAGGTGGCAGGTGGAGAAAGGAAACGTAAAGGGGGCTAAATTCCTGAATTCCAGGGGGAGACAAAGGCTATGTGGGGAGCTGACCCCTGGAGTAATCACATCATCCTTCAACACCTTCCGTGGCTCCCCATTACCTTCAGGATAAAGGACTAAAGGACACATCCTTTTTTTTTTTTTTTGAGGTGGAGTTTCACTCTTGTTGCCCAGGCTGGAGTGCAATGGTGCAATCTCGGCTCACTGCAACCTCTGCCTCCCAGGTTCAAGTGATTCTCCTGCCTCAGCCTCCCTCCCAAGTAGCTGGGATTACAGGTGTCCACCACCACACCCGGCTAATTTTTTTTTTTTTTTTTTTTTTTATGGAGTCTCACTCTGTCACCCAGGCTGGAGTGCAGTGGCACAATCTCGGCTCAGTGCAACCTCCGGCTCCCAGATTCAAGCGATTCTCCTGCCTCAGCTTCCCAAGCAGCTGGGATTACAGGCACCCGCCACCACCCCCAGCTAATTTTTGTATTTTTAGTAGAGACGGGTTTTCGCCATGTTGGCCAGGCTGGTCTCAAACCCCTGACCTCAGGTGATCCACCCGCCTCGGCCTCCCAAAGTGCTGGGATTACAGGCATGAGCCACCGTGCCCAGCCTTTTTTTTTTTTTAAGAGATGGGATCTCACTTTGTTGCCCAGGTTGGAGTGCAGTGGCTGACTGCAGCCTCAAACTCCTGGGTGCAAGCGATCCTCCTGCTTCAGCCTCTTAAAGCATTGCGATTACAGGCGCAAGCCACCTCACGTGGCCTCAACACCTTCATATGGCCGATAAGCCCCTCTAGTGGAATTGGGCCTGTTTCATTTCCAGCTTTGCTCATGCCTCTGCAGATCATGGGACCCTCTGTCTTCTGCTGCAGGTCGACTCAGACTGTCTTCTCCAGCGGCTCCCTGCTCTCCTGGCTGCTTCTATCCACTCATCAGGCTTGGGCTTACATGTCACTTCCTGAGGGAAGCCTGCCCTGACCACCCACCCCAGGCAGACCTTCTCTGTGTTCCCATTGCTCCCTGAACCCCAGCCCCCACCACCCTAACTAGGTGTATCACAACAGTCATCATTTGGGCCACATCCATGTATCCCTCATTGTAGCCCCAGTCCCAGAGCAGATGGTCGGATAAACACCTGTGAATGAAAAATGAATGAATGAAGTGAGTGAATGAAGTGGCTCAGCAGACCTTAGAAGGCTGGGGTAGGAGGCAGACACAGGGTAAGGCTGGGGAGGCTGCTGGGCTGACCTACATATTGTAGGAACGACAGTAATGCCAGGGCAGGGCCAGCTCTCAGAGGCCAGAACACAGGCTGGAGAGTTTGGACGTTGCCCTGTCAGCGATATGGAGTCCCAGGCTGAGGCCTGCTGGAGCTGGATTAGGAAGGGAAAGCTGGCCTCCCAGCTGAAGGAGGGTAGCTCTGGAGAAAGCCACCCAGGGGTCTCTGTACACAGTGTAAACAGGGCCAACATACTCTCATGTTTCAACCTGGGAATGTGGCCTGATTTTGCGCTGTTGGGTCAAGTACAGGGCCTGGACCTTCACACACAACCCACAAACCAAATTTGTAGAAGAACCTCAGGAAGCAGGGGCTGTTGTGAGCCTCACTGAACAAATGGGGAAACTGAGGCCCAGAGAAATGGAGTGCCTGACCCAAGCCACACAGGGACTCTTCATCCCCTAATAGCAACTAGGTATTGCAGCTTGCTCAGAAATGTAGGCCATCTACACATGTGCTGCCCAATAGTCATTGGCCATGTGTGGCTACTTGAATTTAAAATTCGAATTAAATGAAATTTAGAATTCAGTTTCTCAGTCACACCAGGCACATTTCAAGTGCTCAATAGCCACATGCGGCTACTGGTTATCAAATTGGAGAGTGCAGATATGGGGCATGTCTGTCACTGCAGAAAGTTCTTTGGACAGTGCTGGTCTAGCCCATGGAGGTACACAGGTCTTCCTCCTGACTCTCAATCTAGAATTCTTTCCACTGAAGTAGATTGACTCCTCTCTCTTAGCTGGGGCTTCGTAAGAGGCTTCTATGGGGCAAAAAGACACCATAAACCAAGTCCAGAGTCCGGGAAAGGTGACACACGCCTGTAATCCCAGTACTTTGGGAGGCTGAGGTGGGAGGATTGCTGGAGGCCAGGAGTTTAGACCAGCCCGCGCAATATAATGAGACTCTATCTCTACAAAAAACAAAAAATTAGCTAGGTGTGGTGGCACACACCTGTGGTCATAGCTACTCAGGAGGCTGAGGCAGGTGGATTGCTTGAGCCCAGAAGTTCAAGGTTACAGTGAACTATGATCGCACCACTGGACTCCAGCCTGGGTGACAGAGTAGGACCGTGTCTCTAAAAAATAAAATAAAAAATAAACAAAGCCTAAAGATAACTAAGTGGAAGCAGCCAGGTGCGGTGGCTCATGCCTGTAATCCCAGCACTTTGGGAGGCCGAGGCGGGCAGATCATTTGAGGCCAGGAGTTCAAGACCAGCCTGGCCAACATGGTGAAACCCCATCTCTACTAAAAATACAAAAACTAGCCAGGCGTGGTGGCGGGTGGTACTCATGAGGCTGAGGCAGGAGAATCACTTGAACCCAGGAGGCAGAGGCTGCAGTGAGATCACACCACTGCACTCCAGCCTGGGTAAGAGGAAAACTCCATCTCAAAAAACAAAGATAATAAGTAGAAGCAATACTTTAACATATACAAAGTTGAAGTCCACAATATGTAATAAGCCACTACAAATAAATAACAAAAAGATTATTTCCCAAATTTAAAAATGGACAAACAAAAGATGTGGACAGGCAATTTATAGAAGAAATTAAAATCACCAAAAAATATGAAAAGATGATCATGAAAGAAATGCAAGCACTATAGGATAGCTTTTTTTTCCTCTTTTGGTCAAACAGATTGGTGAAGATGGAGAAAGTGTGGGAATGGCCGCTTTCTTATACTGTTGGTGGGAATATAAATGTGTGTGATCTTTTTGGAAGGCAGTTTGTCAACATCTCTCAATGGTAAATATGCAAATACTCTTTGACTCAGTAATCCCTGGACCGGAACCTAGGGCCGCCTGACTCCACATCTCGTGTTCTGAACCATGACTACCCTCTGTGAGTGATGGTCAGGCTTGGGTTGGAAAGGGCAGAGTTGGCTGATCAACAGGGAAACTTGTGGATTTGACCGTGGGAGGCTTAATCAGGACAGACTGCTGTGGGCGAGTTCTTTGTGGCCTTTATCTTCTTGTGTGACTGGCTCAGATATTAGCAAGGAGCCCAGCACAAATCAATATGCCCTTGGTCAGCTGCTTCGGTGGCTCGCCTGCCATTCCAGTTGTGCAAATAATTGGAGGCCAGTCACCGGTGAATCAGCACTGACCGCCCTTGGCAAGCAGGGCTGGGGAGACAACTTGGCATGGCATGGCTGTGAAGCAGGCACTGTGCTGGGTGTCAGGTGCCTGAGAGAGTGGGCCAGCTGGGTGGCTGCCCTCAAGGTGACTTGGGCAAGTGGTATTCCCTGTCCCTACCTCAGTTTCTCTTTTCTTTCTCTTTCTCTCCTTCTTCTCTCCCTTCTTCCCTCCTGCCCTCCCTCCCTCCCTCCCTCCCTTCCAATGAGAATGAAATATGCACCAGCTATGGTGGAGACAGAAGACAGAAGGCTAAGCCCTCATTTTCTCTGCATACAGATTTTTGGTGACATGAGCACACAGAGCAGGGAGTGGGCAGTGTAACTGATGGGGGGATAGGATGGGCGGGGATGCTGGAGCTAAAGCTAGACATTGAGACATTGAGTAGGTGTCCCCAAGTGGGCAGGAGGGTAAGCCCAGGACCTGTGGGCATCAGGGCTGCAGGGGCCCAAGGGAGGCAGTCAGGGACGGGCTGAGCGGTTGCTTCCAGAGGGTCCTGAATGCCAGGCTAAGAACCTTGGATTTTATCCGGAGAATGATGGGGAAAGGCTTTTGTTTATAACATTCTTATAATTATATATTGTTAAATTATAAAACAAATTCATCTTACAAAAATCAAACAATATCCAAGAATATTCTTTTTTTTTTTTTTTTTTTTTTGAGACAGAATCTTGCTCTGTTGTCCAGGCTGGAGTGCAGTGGCATGATCTACACTCACCGCAACCTCCGCCTCCTGGGTTCCAGCAATTCTCCTCCTCCAGCCTCCCAAGTAGCTGGGATTACAGGCACCTGCCACCATGTCCGGTTAACTTTTGTAGTTTGTTTGTTTTTTGAGACGGAGTCTCGCTCTGTCGCCCAGGCTGGAGTGCAGTGGCGCGATCTTGACTCACTGCAATCTCTGCCTCCCAGATTCAAGCCTTTCTCCTGCCTCAGCCTCCCAGGCACCTGGGATTACAAGCGCCCCCCACCACACCCTGCTAATTTTTGTATTTTTAGTAGAGATGGGGTTTCACCATCTTGGCCAAACTGGTTTTGAACTGCTGACCTCAAGTGATCTACCCACTTTGGCCTCCGAAAGTGCTGGGATTATAGGCGTGAGCCACTGGGCCCAGCCCCTATTTTCTTTTCTTTTTTTTTTTTCAGTAGAGACGGGGTTTCACTATGTTGGTCAGGCTGCTCGAACTCCTGACCTCAAGTGATCCACCTGCCTTGGCCTCCCAAAGTGCTGGGATTAGTGGTGTGAGCTACCATGCCCAGCTCCCTTTCTAAACATACAGATTTTTTCTTTTTTTAAAAAAAAAAAAAAAAAAAGAGGAGGGATCTCACTATGTTGCCTAGGCTGATCTCAAACTCCTGGGCTCAAGCCATCCAGCCATCCTCCTGCCTCAGCGTCCCAAAGTGCTGGGATTACAGGCTGAGTCACCACGCCCAGCCTATATATAGAAATATATATATATATATATATATACACACACACATATGTGTGTGTGTGTGTGTGTGTGTGTGTATATATATATATAATTTAAATATTTGTTTAGAGACGGGGTCTTGCTGTGCTCACCAGAAGAGCCTGGACCTTTTGGGCTCAGGCTATCCACCCACCTCAGCCTCCCGAGTAGCTGGAACCACAGGTGCACACCACCACACCCAGCTAATTTTTAATTTTTTTGTAGAGATGGGGGGGTCTCGCCATGTTGCCCAGGCTGGTCTTGAACTCCTGGGCTCAAGTGATCCACCACCTCGGCCTCCCAAAGTGCTGGGATTACAGGTGTGAGCTACCATGCATTCCTTTGACCACCATTTTTGGAGCATCAGTTACGTGGCAGGCCCAGTACTGGACATGGGGACTCTATAGGAGAGGCATCTGACCCTGTGAAGCTCACGATCTAAAGAGAGACAGAGCTAAGGAAATGGCATCACAAGGTTTGTCCAGGGCCAGATAAGGATAAGGATTCTCTAAGGCCCTCCCACTTTCTCCAGGTGTGATTGTATTCTGGAGCCTGCAGTCACATGGAATTCCTTCATTCCTCTCCACTCCTTCCCCACACCTAAGCCAGTGCTTAGACTCCCTAAACTCCCGACTCCAAGAACCATGGGACACATTCAATCAAAATCAAAATAACTGGGAATATTCAAAAGGCTGTACATCCTTCCTGGGCTCTTGAGCTTTGACCACGACCTTCCATAACTATTATTGCTCAGCAAGTGCTGTCAGTGCTTCCTCTGAAATGGATTCCCTTTCTCTTGCCATCGCTCTGTGTCCACCCTGGTTACCCTGGTCAATCTCCCACTGGGATGGCTGCAATTGCCTCCTCACTGTCTGCCTGCTTCTGTTCTTGCCCCCTGCCAATCAATCCATTCTCAGTAGCCAGAAGGAGTGTTTAAAAATGTTAATTTGGGCCGAGGCAGGCAGATCACCTGAGGTCGGGAGTTTGAGACCAGCCTGACCAACATGGAGAAACCACGTCTCTACTAAAAATACAAAATTAGCCGGGCGTGGTGGCACATGCCTATAATCCCAGCTACTTGGGAGACTGAGGCAGGAGAATCGCTTGAACCTGGGAGGTGGAGGTTGTGGTGAGCCAAGATCAAGCCATTACACTCCAGCCTGGGCAACAAGAGCAAAACTCTGTCTGAAAAAAAAAAAAAAAAAAAAAAAGTTAATTTGGCCAGGCGCATGGTGCATGCCTGCAATCCCAGCACTTTGGGAGGCCAAGCCGGGTGGATCACCTGAGGTCAGGAGTTTGAGTCCCGTCTGACCAACATGGTGAAACCCGTCTCTATTAAATACAAAAAATTAGCCGGGCATGGTGGCGCATGCCTGTAATCTCAGCTACTTGTGAGGCTGAGGCAGGAGAATCGCTTGAACCCGGGAGGCAGAGGTTGCAGTGAGCCGAGATCGCGCCATTGCACTCCAGCCTGTGCAACAAGAGCAAAACTCAGTCTCAAAACACACACACACACACACACACACACAAAATGTTAATTTGCATCTTGTCACCCTTCTGCCTGCTCACATGCTCCAGTGCTGTCCCGTGGGGCTTAGAATAAACTCTAAACACCTGCTAGAGGTTGCAGTGAGCTGAGATCATGCCACTGCACTACAGCCTGGGCAACAGAGTGAGACCGGGACTCAAAACAAAACAAAACAAAACAAAAAACACCTCCTAGGCCCACAAGGGCCCATGTGCACAGGCTCGTCTGCCCCACCGCTCTCTGTCCCCTGTACTCACTCTATTCTAGTCACACGGAGTCCTCCAAACATGTCAGCTCATGCCTCTGTCCCCAGAGCTTCCTGTACCTGGGTCCGCCTTATTACTTAGGTCTTGGCTAAGATGACACCTCATAAAAGCCTTCCTTGACCACCCTATCTGTATCAGGACTTCCAACCCAATCATTCTCTGACCTTTCCCTGGGTTTCCTTCTCCAGACGACTTGCCTTGTGGTCTGGCAAACAATTATCTTGTTTGGTACTAGGTTCCTTATGCGTCTGGTCATGGCCTCGGGGAGGTAGGATAGGCCATGCTTGGGAATTTGGGAGGCTGGGGAAGTGTGGAGCTGCCTATTCCTTTCACAGGCACAGCCTCTTGAAGTCCTCACCACATTCCGGAAAGATGGAAATCCTGATTCCCATTTTACAGGTGAAGAAGCGTGGCTGAGATGGGAAAGTTTACGGTATTCTTCAAGATTCCTTTCTACATATGCAAAGGTGCACCCAAAGCTTGTGTGGCCCCGGTTGTCAATGGCAAAGTAGCCGGATTTTGAACTCAGTTCTGTTGCAAGTGGTCCCAGCCATACCACACCGAACCCCTTACCAATTCAGAGACCTGAACCAAGGCCACACCGCCACCATGCAGCAGAGCCAGGATCCTAACTCAGGCTTGTCTCACCCAAATCTAGCATGCTGTCCTGGCACCATACTCTCCCCCTTCCCCAGGCACCATCAGGGAAATGAGGGAAGGGAAATTTCCTGGGTTCCCAGGCCACAGGCCGCAGAGAGATAAATACCCAACCCCAGCTAAACCTGGCAGTCAGGCCCACCCTGCTTCCTGTTGGGTGGCCCAAGGTTACTCAGGGTCATAGCTGAGGAGCCAGCCAGTCACTGGGATGTCCTTGGCTGGCTCTCCACTCTGAAGTCTCCTCCTGGGGTCAGGTAGCCACAGGCTCTGCCCTTGTGGAGCAGGCCCAGCCAAGATAGTGAGGAGAGCACACCCCACACTGTGTGCAGCACAGTTCAGCACTCTGAGCCTGTGCTTCAGGGGAAAGACCCCAGGCAAGTGTTTTAAATCCTCTAGGCCTTAACTTCCCCGTTTGCCAAAGGGGACACACAGTCACATTGGAAGCTGCTGTTAACACTTTTCTTTAATCTGGTTAACTCTCTGATCTAAATTATGGGACAAACTGGAGAGAAATATGGATCGCCACCCATCTTACAGCTGGGAAGAAGGAAGAAACCAGAGTCCTTGGTCACCACATGTCCAGACCTAACTCATCCCTAAGTCCAGTCAAACCTGTCTCTCAGATGCCTCAGACCTATCCTCTTGCTTTCTCCACAATGCTGAGGTTGCACTGTCATCATCTCTTGCCTGCATCACCAAACAAACTCCTCATCCACCTGTTTCCCAGCTTGTCCCCTTCACACTGCCCACAGCCAGAGCAAGCTTCTTAGGACAAAAAGCAAATCTGGGCCTTGCCTCGTGGCTCACGCCTGTAATCCCAGCACTCTGAGAGGCCGAGGTGGGCGGATCACCTGAGGTCAGGAGTTTGAGACCAGCCTGGCGAACACGGTGAAACCCGGTCTGTACTACAAATACAAAATTAGCCGGGCGTGGCGGCGCGCACCTGTAATCCCAGCTACTTAGGAGGCTGAGGCAGGAGAATCGCTTGAACCCAGGAGGCGGAGGTTGCAGTGAGTGGAAATTGCACCACTGCACTCCAGCCTGGGCAAAAAGAGCGAAACTCCGTCTCAAAAAAAAATAAATAAATAAAAAATAAAGCAAATCTGACCAGGACACTCTCCATCTCAACGCGTGTCCGTGGCTTCCTCCTTACGGTCTTACAAGACTCTGGGAGATCTGGCCTTTCCAGCCCCATCTCTTGCCCCTCTCTCCAACTGCCACAGTACAGCCAGATGTAGTTGCCTGAAACTTTCTGCGGGCACCACGATCTCCAGCCACCAGGTCTCTGGCAGCTCCCTATGCCTGGACCCTGCGTGACTCAGGGCACGCATCCTGTGGATGGCTTGGCTCCCTTTGTTCGAGACTTTCTGAGTCTGCGCCCCAACCCATGTCAGGTGCCTCTTATCCCCTGTTACAACTCTTACCCATAGATTTGTCGCTGCCTGTGTCCCTGTCTGCTTCTCCACCTGGTGGTCTTGAGCTGGGAGCATTTGGGAAGGGCAAGCCCACCAGGTTCTCCACTAGGTCCCAGCCTGGCTTAGTGGAGACTGCCCCTAAACATTTGGGGACTGGATGAATGAACCACAATATGCCGAGGGGCCTGGGAGGTACGAGGCTTTCGAGTGGGTTCTGCCCCCAGAACAGCTAACTAGTCAGTGAGACCAGTCACGCTGGGCAAGAAACTAAAGGACAACAGAAAGCTTAGATAACAGCTTGGAATGTTACAAGCTGGGTCACAAGGCTGCGTGATGGACTGAGCCAGAGCCACCTCCTCGGCGAAGCCTTCCAGACGCTTCTCTGCTCATTGCTGAGGGGCACTAGAGATTCAGGGCGAGCAAGCGACCTGCCAGGGGCTCTCTCTGGGCGCCAGCTTTCTGAGAAAGGAGACTCGCTACCTTCCGGGCCTGCTTCAGGGTTCTACGAGCTCAAGTCTGGCGGGACCCTGGAAGGCCGCTGCAGCCACAAACTGTTTCTCCTTGTCATTGTTTCTTCTTTTCTTCTGCTCGCGCTCTCCCTGCCCCGCCAGCCCTGCGACCTCCCACTGCCTTCCCAGGGCCCCTCTCCCTTCCCTCAGCCCCGCCCCGCCCTAGGAGGCGGGCCCGGCCGCGCGGTGCACCAATCCGAGAGCCCCGAGCCGCCTCTGCCTCCCGCGAGTCCCACCCCACGCCACCGCCCACCAATCGCGCTGCGCGCCCGCCTAGCCGGGCCGCGCAATAGCGGGAGGGCTGAGCCGCCGGCGCCCCGCCCCTGCCGTGCTCGGCGGCGGCTAGGCGGGCGGCCGCGCGGGGCCCAGGCATTCTCCAAGCGGCGCCTCGCAGCATCGGGCTCTGGCTGCAGCGTCGGGGCCGCAGGGGGCGGCGCTGCTGCTCGAAGGGTGCCGGGCGAGGCGGGCGCCACCGGCCGGGCCGAAGGGCGCCTCAGCTCCGCCGGGGCCCGCGGCGCGGGTCCCAGGATCGAGGAGGAGGCGGCGCCTCCGCTGCCCGGGGCCGGCCCGGTGCCTGCCCTGAGGAGGCCCGAGGCCGGACGTTCCCGGCCCGCAGCGACCCCGACGCGCCTCCTGGAGAGGCCCCCGAGCTCCTGGCAGCCCCCTGGGGGTGCCCCACCTTCCCCGGCTTCACCTGCGCTGGCCGCCCGGCACCCAGGTGCGGGGGCGTGAGCGGCGAGGGCACCTCCCCCGGCCGCCAGCGGGGCGGGGGCGGGGCCGCCCTCCGCCCTCAGCCTTACCGGCCAGCCAGCCCGCCCGCCGCCCTCAGTCTCACCGGTCCGCCCGGCCGCGCGGCGTGAGCTCCCCGGACATCGCGTCTCGGGATGCTGCAAGCCAGCGCGGCCGCTCGCGCGCAGCCCCGCACCTCCGCCCCTGCCTCTGCCTCCTGGGCCATGCCCTGCTGTTTACATGCCGGTGAGGTCCCCGGCCGCTCCGAACCCCTCCGAGCCCCGGCTCCCCGAGGGTGAAGCCCGCCGGCCCGCGAACTGGACTGGTGGATCTCTCAGACCTGGGGCCCCGGACTCCGATCTCCGCCGTCTCCGCCACCATCAGGGCGGGATCCGGCTCTGGTGTTTTGAGGAGGGGGTGTGGTGTAGGGAAAGGAATCCCGTCCCTCTCCACCTTTTTTCGCCTTCGGGGCTTCAGACTCAGGGAACTCGCTCATGGCTTTCTTGATGAAGAAGAAGAAATTCAAATTCCAAACTACTTTCACCCTGGAGGAGCTGACTGCGGTTCCCTTCGTGAACGGGGTCCTCTTCTGCAAGGTCCGGCTGCTGGATGGAGGGGATTTTGTCAGCTTGTCGTCAAGGTAGGAGCTGGGGCGGTCGCGCCTGCAGCAGCGGGGGTGATGAGCGAGACCTAGACACTTGGCAAGTGTGGAAGGGCCCCTTGGGGCCGGTGTGAGGAGGATCCGGGGGATTCTGTGTGCCTGGGGCAGGTTGCACAAGGCAGGACTGGGCCTGAGGCAGTTGGCAGGGTGCCAGGCAGCCGCCAGCCAAATACCTGGGGGTCTAGTCTTTCAGCCTTCTCTTGGGGCCCTGCGTGCCGCCTGCAGTAGGTCCATTCTGCAGACTTGCATGTACAGCCTATCAGGGATTTGTACCCTGAGCGATTGTGCAGGGGAGGGGTGTTCAGGCCACCTTGCACCCGAACTGGCCACTGGGGCTGTCATATGATTCAAGAGTCCAGGCCAGCCACGGGTTCCCCGGCACCCCCAGGCGCCTGGGAAGGCCCGATCGCAGGCACTCCCTAGTCTGGCTGGAGGGAGGTGGCTGGATTTTGGCCTACCCAGCCCCCTCCGAGTGACTATCCTCCTCTGGCTGGAGCTGGGCTGCTTTGCATTGCAAATACCCTTGTCGAGGAGGCTGCTGCCCTCTCTGAAAGAGGCTCCGTTGAGTTTGGTTTTGTGTTGTTCGTCCCCATCCTGGCAGGTCCAGCTGCCCAGCTTGTTGCTGAATGCAACTGAGTTCCCAGGCTGTCCCTTGCCAATTGGGCCCAGCTGGGGTCACATCATCCTGGCCTGTCTCCGAAGAGCCTTGGACTTCTACAGATGGGAGTGTGACTCTTGACTCTGTTACTTTCTGGGCCTCCTCTTCTGGAAAGTGAGCCTAATACAGGTGGAGAAGCTGCAGCAGCGAGAACTTAGGGCAGGCTGGATGCTGTGGCTTACTCCTGTAATCCCAGCACTTTGGGAGGCCTACGTGGAAGACTTGCTTGAGGCCAGGAGTTCAAGACCAGCGTGGACGACTTAGATTCCTGTCTCTATTTTTTTTTCTTTTTTGGGGGGACGCGATTTAACTCTGTTGCCCAGGCTGGAGTGCAGTGACACAAGCATGGCTCACTGCAACCTCTACCTCCCGGGTTCAATCAATTCTCATATCTCAGTCTCCTGAATAGCTGGGATTACAGGTGCCAACCACCACACCCAGCTAATTTTTTTTAAATTTTAATTTTGTTTATTTTTTAGATGGAGTCTCACTCTGTTGCCTAGGCTGGAATGCAGTGGCGTGATCTTGGGTCACTGCAACCTCCACCTCCTGGGTTCAAGCGATCCTCCTGCCTCAGCGTCCTCAGTAGCTGAGATTACAGGCGCACGCTACCACGATAATTTTTTTGTATTTTTAGTAGAAATGGGGTTTTACCATGTTGGCGAGGCTGGTCTCGAACTCCTGACTGCAAATGATCCACCCCGCACCCCGCCCCCTGGCCTTCTAGAGTGCTGGGATTACAAGTGTGAGCCACTGCACCCGGCCTCTCTCTTTTTAAAAAATAAAAATGAAATAAAATAGTATGCGGGCAGGGCCTGGCCGAGTGCCTGGGACACGCTGCTTCCCTACCTGGTCTGCCCTTTGCTCCCTGGGCCTCCTTGTGGGCCCTGTTAGCCAGAGCTGCCTCCCTGTTCTGAGAGCCCATGTGTGCGTGTTATAGGCGGAGAAACTGAGGCCCAGAAAGAGGAAGTCAGTGGCTTGCCAGGGACCTCGAAGGAGTCTGTTATTAACTGAACTTCGCTGGTTTGGGGGCCTGCTGGCTGAATCCAGAGGTCAAACACTCTGCTGGGAGGAGGGGAAGGGAGGGGAACTGCACAGCCAGGCTCAGATTTAGGAATCTCCGGTGTGGACAGGGTGGGGTGCTTTTTCTGAGCACTGGCTCCCTGTTCTGTTGGGAGCTGCTTATCTGAGGAATTTGGACAAGGGCTGCCCCTTGTGGTGGGGGTGGCTGGCCTCCTTGGTTGCCTGGGAAGCCTGTGATCCTGAGGCCACCCACACAGCAGTCTGAGGTTTCAGAGAGAAGGCTGTGCTCACAGCTAGGGCCTGGAGTTGGCTACTCACTGGCTGAGTGACATTGGGCAAGTTACCTAAGCTCTCTGATTGCAAGAACCAGCTACCATTGGTGCTGGGCTCCCTGTTTTACTAGCACCTCTCACTTAACCCCTGGACTGTGTCATGGAGCAGGAGTGGAGGTGGGGGCCCCATAGGATTATTATCCCCATGTTAGAGAGGTGGAAACAGGCTCTGAGAGGAAATGATTTGCCTGAGTTGATTCAGTGGAGCCTGCATTCAACCCTTTTGTGCCTCTGAACTTCAGTTTCCTTTTCTGTAAAATGGGGATGTCATACCCACCTCTAGAGTACAGATAATCTGTGTGTTATGTCTCGCCCAGGCACACTGCCGCAGCAGTTATCGCTTCTGTTGGTAGAGGGGCCCAGGCTGGGGCCCAGCCCTTTCCGGGTCTTTGGTGGGCGGTGGGGTGGGGACCAGATCCAGTCAGCAGGGGGCCTGTGTGTGAGCTGGGAGTGGGGACAGGGTCTTGGATCCCATTGAGGAATATAAATTTTGAGCCCCAGGCTGAGGACTTGCCTGGCCTCCAGGCCCTGGAGCCACTGTCTCCCTACCTGTTGGCCTTTCCATTGCCCAAACCTGCTTCCCCATTAGGGAAAGTGTGGGAAGTTCCAGGTCTTAGTCCACAGGGTCTGGATTTCACCTCTGTTTTCCCTTCTTCCTCCTGGCAAGGGGCCTTAAATTGCCTGAATCCAGCTAAGCCCAAAGCATTTCCCAGCCCTGTCCTGCATGCAACCTGAATGGGGCTGAGGAGGGAGGAACTGACACTGAGCTCTCGCAAAGCTGGGCAGTTAGTGGCCACCAGGCACCTGTTTGCTGTTGGGTAGGTGTGGCTGGAGACAGCAGACAGTGACATTGGAACCTGAGGCCAGTTTAGAGCTGCTTTGGTGTTTGCTGTGTTTTTGCCCAGTAGACGGGGGTTCCTGGGTTCCTGGGTTCCTACCCCCTCCACCCGTACCCCACCCACCCTGGACTGCAGCCTGGGAACCCCGCTTCACAGTCTGCCCCTCTAGACAGCAAAGGCCCCATTGTTTCCAGGTTGGAGTAGGGTCTGGGGGAACTGGACCTGGTTAGATCCTGGACCCAGATCAATAGCATATTTCCCCCACCCCCAGGAACCCCCGAGATGGCCCAGAGACCTGGTGGTGGCAGCATGGGTGGTGTCAGTGAAGCAGGCCCAAGGCCCCACCCCTACAGCACCTGCCGTCCTGGCTGGAGTATTTCCCTGTGTGCTGGGTGCCTTGGCAACAGCTGGGTACACCGCTCGCCTGACCCAATTTGAGCAGGTAGAGCAGGTGGTGCATCAGGCTGTTGCTCAGCCTCATCTTCCTGAGGCCTCCTTGAGAGCAGCGATCCTCACGCTGCTGTGCTCTGAGCTCCTGCACTCTGTGCCAGGCAGGGTGCTGACTGTTTTGCAACTGGTATTTCCATGAATCCTCTCAGCCATCCAGAGAGGCACCAAAGCCAGAGAGGTGAGTGCCAGAGGTCACCCAGGTGGTAAATGGCAATTCGGAAATTAACACTTTTATCGTTCTATAAAGCGCCCTTGATTGTACGCATTCTGTATGCTAGGGGCTTGCCTAGCCCCTCAAATAGATGATTATTTGAGGCCCTGCAGTCACCTACCCCATGGGCTGATGGCATTACCCCACTTACAGGTGAGGAAGCTGGGGTCAGGACAACTGAAGTGACTGGGTCTGTGCTACTCAGCTTGAAATTGCAGAGATGGGATTTGAATTTGGGCAGGTCCAGCTCTAAGGCCCTGTCTTGCCTTGATGGCAGTGGGCCGGAAGCAGCTGCAGACCCGTGTGACAGCCCCAGACCTTTGAGAAAGGCTCCATTCCATGGATTGGGTAGTTCAGGAAAGTCCAGAGCTGAGCAGTTAGGAGGCACCATGGTAGGTTTCGTGAGGTCCAAGGAAAAGTGTCCCCAGGACCTTTCAGGGGGTGGGGCTGAAGTCACTGCTGTGGATTTGGGGCCAGGCCTGGGCTGGCACTGGGGCATGGTGAGCATTTGTATTCTCCCAGGCATATGTATCCACATAGGGGGGCCTGGGAGGCTTTCCCAGGGGTCCCGGGAGGGAGGAAGAGGTCCTAGCCAAGTCTGGTGAGTCGGGGAGCTGCCATCCTGTCCAAGGCAGCCCTTGGGCAGGAAGAATCTCAAACACCCAAGAGATCTCTGCTTGCAGCTGGCACCAGTCCTGTGTCTGCCTCATGCACGTGGCTGGTGGTGCCAGGGGAGAGGAGTACAAGGGAGGCACTGACTTACCTCATAGCAAGTATTTTCTGGAGGAGATGGGCAGAGAGCATTTTCTCAGCCAACAGATGGGGAAACTGAGGCCTGCGGCAGAGAAGTGACTTGCTACGGCCACTTACAGGAGGAGCTGATGGCGTAGCTGAGTGGACTTGGGCCTGGCTCTGACCTCTGTCCCCTGTGTCTTAGTAACTCTCTGTATGAAGGAGGCAGGCTGGGCCAGAACGGGGAGGGGGTCCTTCTGGGGTCCTCTTGTGCTCTGTACTTGGGTGCCAGACTGTCCAAGAAACAGACAGCCTGTGACTTGGAGGCCCCTCTTCTGGCCTTTCTTCTTTGGTAGGCTTGAATCCTCAGTGGGCTTTTGATTTGGGCAGTCTTTGGTGGGCGCGTGGCCGCCCACCACAAAGATGCTGCCTGCCTTCCATGGCACGGCTGGGATGGTGGCCCCGGAGGCACAGGTGGGGTTCTTTTAGTATGAAGAAGGCCTTGGCCAGGTCAGTGCCGCGCTGGGGGCCCCACGCCAGGCCCAGTCCCTGGGGAGGCCAGCCTGGCCGGGTCTTTCCTCACACTCCACACACTTGTGGCCAGAGCCTCCACCCCCCTGGTCCCTCACCCGCCCTTCTAGGAAAAGGCTGTGGAATGCTGGTTGAATCCACCTCCGGGGGAGGCCTGCTCACAGGCACAGTGTGGAGCTCCAGGAGGGCAGGATGGAGATGGACACAGAATTCTGTCCCTTGGAGCTGAGTGGAGCAGGGGCCGTGGAGGTTCGATGGGATTCTTAGATTGGCAGGGCACCCACTTTCCTTCACAGAGCAGGAGCTCTGGAGGCTGAGCACACTGGAGAGGGAGAGGAGGCTGGTGGGCACGTGTGCCTGTTCCACTTTCCCTGAACACACGCTTTGTCTTGGGCTTCTGGAGGTGATCATGATTAGACAGCCCTGTTTCCATGGAGCTGCCAGCTAGGTGGGGGCAGTGAGCTTGGTGGGCATCGTGAAAGCTTCAGAGCAAGGCAGATCTAGGGCATATCCTTCTGCATCCCACTGGATCCCGGCAGGCAGCTGGGGAGGCATTTCCGTCCAGGTGTCTGTCCATTTATTTGACAGATGTGGATTGAGCACTTAACTCAGGCTGGGCATGGTCCTTGTCCTCATGTGGCACATCACTGAGTTAGGGAGAGCTTCCTGGAAGAAGTGACCCTTCCTGGGAGCCTTGAAGGCAGAGGGGAATTGGACAGGAAAGAGATCGGGATAAGCCTTTGGCATAGAAGCCCCTGGCCAACAGGCACTTGTTCCCAGGGTCAGGCGAGGAGCTGGGGTATGGGGAGGGTGGAGGAGGGGATGGAGTAAGTTAGGGTAATGGGTGGCCGAGCTGGTGTGTTCCTGGCCTCAGGAGTACCTACCCAGGGGCAGTGGAGCCACGTGGCCTGGTTGCCAGGTGGAGAAGGTTCAGGGGCCTGACCTGCACCCAGGGAAGGACAATGGGAGTTGGCTGGCAGGTACTGCTGGCCTGGCGGTAGCAGGCAGAGGAGCAGGCAGATTGGAGAGAGGGCTGGCAGGCAGAGTGGGCAAGTGGGCTTCCTCAACCGCAGGGCTGGCATCATGCCTAGTACTTAGTAAGTGCCGGGAGATGGATGGGGGCACAGTGGCCAAATGTAGCCAGGGTTTGTCGACCCCTGCAGTGCGCCAGTCATTTGTGATTGCATGAAAATCAGATTTCCCATTTGTTTTAAGTTGGAAGATCTGGCAGCAGTGCTGTGTGGCGGCGTTTGGCTCAAGGGGCTTTACAGCTGCCTCTTGACGTGGGCTGCCCACTTGAGTTCCCCTGACCCCGCAGCATGCCTTGGATGTCTGATGTGTGCTGCCTTAGGCCAGCCTGGTCCCCTGGGTGCCGTAGAAGGCCTTCCAGGTGCAGGTCGGGGGCACAAGGAGGCAGAGTGGCCTGTGGAGAGAAGCCCTGCTGGCAGAAGTGGGCAGGGCTGGGTGGCCTCAGAGGCCAGCCCGGGCAGCGAGGCTGTGGTACCAGGCCATCTGCTGGTTCCGCGAGGTCAGACTATACTGCTGGTGGCTGCGGGGAAGCCTGAAGCTGCCGTGACTGTGCCTGGCCTTGGTGTCTGCTCCTTGGACCTAGCCTTTGCTGCCAGCTGGCTGCACTGTTGGCAGGTGCCACCCTGGCAGCCCCTGCTGCCTACCTGCCAGCCTGGCAGCAGCCCTGACCCGAGATGATCTGGCTTCGTGGAGCCAGGCTATTTCCTGAGGCCTGTTCCTTGCTTCAAGCTCCGTCCTGGGAGCTGCTCTGGCCAGAGGCTCTTAGCAGCAACCACATTATGTGCCTGAGGGCCCTGCTTGTCCAGGGGTGGCAGGGGGGCCCTGAGTCCCTTTGAACCCTGCTTGTTCAGTACCTGGGAGTCCTGACTTGCATTTGGGAGGCCCTACTTGCACCTTGGGATGGCTGCTGGCATGTCTGCTAAGGGGTCAGGAGCCGACTGACTCTGTGTCTGGCATCTGGTGACTGCTATGCAGTGACCCTGCAGTCACTCGCTTGCTGCTGGGGACAGGCAGTAATATCTTAAGCACAACCAGTTTAGATGTATCCTCATCTTACCAGGGAGCCCCAGGAAGGTTTAAGCAGGGGAGAGACACCAGATTTGCTTAGAAAGAGACCCAGAACTAATGTAGGGTGGGGAGGGGGTGTTGCTCTGTATTATCCACCTCCCTGGCAAGTGCTTTGGATTATGGGGACTCCAGATATGCCCTGGGACCTGTCAGCCACCCACTATGAGGTCAGACTGCTGTCCGTGGCTCAGTAAGGCCCAAAGCTGCCAACCTATGGCTGGCTTCTGTGTCTGCATAGGGCTGTGGTGGCAAACCCTGGGTCTTTGCCCTGAGCCTCTTTTGGCACCCAGGGCTTGGAAGAGCTCTCACATGCAGGCCTGAAGCTGCCCGCACCCCCACCCTGCCCGGTCCTCTGTCCTGCCAGCCAGCTGATTTGGGTGGCTGGGAGGAAGAGCTCTGACAGAGGCCTTTCTGCCTGCTTGTTCTGCCTTGTTGCCTCCCTGCCTCCAGGCCTGCAGGAGACATTTCCATCCTGCTTCTGCTACTTGCTGCCTGTGTGACCTTGGGCAAGGGACTTGGCCTCCAAGCCTCAGTGACCGCCCCTGTGAAGCAGGGCTGCCGGTGCCTGCCTCCTGGTGCTCTCAGAGGACATGGTGAGATAATGTCTGTCAGACGCCCAGCGCGGCTCCTGGCATACAGTGCACACGCTGCATGTGCTTACAGTCTGTCCTCCTGTGTCCAGGCAGAGTTATGGCAGGGTCAGTGCCCCTGCATGGCCGCTGGCACTCCTGTGTGGGCCAGGACTGATGAGGTGCTGCTGGGAGAGGACACTTTGCACTCGGGGCAGGGTGGGGGTGAGTGAGGAGCACACCGGGTGTCTGAGCTCAGGGTCCCCAGTGGGGTCTGCGTGTTTTCTTGTCCCTTGTTGGCTTGAACTTGCCCCACAGGGAGATGCTTGGCTGTGAGCCAGGGTGAGTTGGAGCGTCCCTGCTTGGTGGACCCAGGCTGGGCTGAGGGGCTTTTGGTGAGGGAAGAGGCCCTCTGCACAGCCGGCTCTGGGACCTGCTCTGGCAGGCAGAAGACAGCCTCCACGGAGGCAGAGGGCACTGGCTGTCAGGCTGCTGGTGGGCTGGAGTGTGGGTGAGAGAGACAGCGGCCGCTCAGTACATGGGAGGCCCCGCCACTCCCGGCATCAGGCTGGCCTCGTCGGCTTCCACTGCTCCTCGCCCTTCTGGTTTCTGTGCCTTTGTTCCCTGTAGTTGCCTCTTCCTCAAGTTCCCTTCCCCCACTTCTCTGCTCGCTGAATTTCTTCTCAGCCTAAGAGTCACCTCCTCCAGGAAGCCTCCCTGGCCTCTTTTGGCCTTGTACACTCTGTGGGCCCTCATCTCAAGGCACTGCAGTCTCTGTCCACATCTCTAGCTCATTCCGCAGACTGTGGGCCCTTCGTGGGCAGGAGTAGTCCTTGCATCATTGCATCTTGGTCTTGGGGCTTCCTGCTGTGGGTTGGCACTGTCCTGGTGCCGGGGCTTTTCTCCCCTGGCTCTGAACCAGTGTGAGTGCTGGTGTGGGACCTCACTGTGGCTGCTGCCAGCTGCTGGACCCGCCCCCCCGCCCCGCATTCCCTCTTCAGGCCCGAGGTGTCAGTCTGTGTCAGGAGCAGCCCTCACTTGCATACGGGACAGCTGGGTGCCTCCACGGGCTCAGAGGCTGCAATTGAGAGGCAGCTGGGGGCATCAATGGTTTGGGTGGGGTGGGCTCCTCTGCATGGGGCAGGGATGCTCATAGCAAGCAGAATGGAAAGGAGGAGGGGGCTGGGGCCTGACTCCAAGCACGGCAATTGGACCTTGGCAGTTGCTTGATTTCCCTGTGACTGTGGCTAAAGGCCTTGTCCTCTCAGCCTCAGCTTCCTCCTCCATCAAACAGGGCTGCTCAGGAGGGCTCCCTACCCAGCACAGGGCCAGGCACCTGGCAACTAAAAACAGACTAACCCTGCCCAGAGAGGAGGTGGCCGGCTGGTGCTCAGGGAGGGCGGAAGTCTGGGTGCTAAACACTCTTACCTCTCACCACTTCCTCTCTGAGCAGACTCTGCAGGTGTGGGGCAGCATACCTGTGGCTCCCTGCTCCCCCTAGGCTCCCCCCAGACAAATTCTTGGGCTCCTTCTGGTGTGGGGCTCAGGCTGGGCCCTGGAGATGTGGCCCCCACCCCTGCAGGGCCCTCCAGTGAGGGGAGGTGCGCAAATCCAATCAGTGCTATGGCCACAGGCCCTAAGGAGGTGATGCTGGGCTCGGTTCTGGGGCATGAGTAGGATTAGCAGGTGGCGGGTGGGAGAAGAGCAGCCTGCGGCAGAGGCACGGCAAGGGCGAGCGTGCTGAGCGGGAAAGAGGGGCTGGCTGGCCTGGGAGGGAGCTTGAAGTCAGGAGGAGTCAAGGGGAGGGGTTTGGACTGTACCTGGAGGGGTGGGAGCCACAGAAGCTGTGAATCCGAGTCACATTTGTAGTTTAGAACCACCAAGGGCAGCCATGGGGTTGATTGCTTGGGACTGCAGGTTGCAGAAGGGCAGGTGACTGTCAGCTGAGAAGGGCAGGTTTCAACCTCTGTCATCAGGGAATTACTCAAAACAAAACCCGAGGCATACTGTGCAGTGCTGAGGATGAACAAGCTGCTGCCACTCACAGCAGGAAGCAGTCTGACAAACAACGTTGAGCAAAGAAAGCCGGAGACAAAAGAGTGTATGATGCGGCCAGGCGCAGTGGCTCACTCCTGTAATCCCAGCACTTTGGGAGGCCGAGGCAGGAGGATCATTTGAGGTCAAGAGTTCAAGACCAGCCTGACCAACAAGGTGAAACCCCGTCTCTACTAAAAATACAAAAAAATTAGCCGGGCATGGTGGCGCATGCCTGTAATCCCAGCTACTCAGGAGGCTGAGGAGGCAGGAGAATCACTTGAACTCGGGAGGCAGAGGCTGCAGCGTGCGGAGATCGCGCCACTGCACTCCAGCGTAGGCGACAGCGCAAGATTCTGTCTCAAAAAAAAAAAAGTGTATGATGCCATTTATACAGAGTTCAAAAACCTTTCTGATGCAAGTCAGGGCAGTGCTGTCTTTGCTGAGGGGAGTCATGTCTGGAAGGACCTTCTGGGGGCCTGTAATATTCTGCTGCTTGGGGGCTGGTTTCATGGGTATGTTCTCTCTGAGTATCTGTGAGTTCTGCACGTCTCTGTGCCAGAAACAAGACTCGAGATGCCCCACACTTTTGGGTGGTGCTGGGTGGATGCCTGAGTCCTCTAGACAAAAATGAGGCACCTTTTTGGGTGCCCGGAAGCCTGGAGGAGATCCCTGGGTGTTTTCCTTGGTCTTTCTGGTAAGGCAGCCTGAACCGTTCTGACCTGATAAGCATCAGTCTTGTTTATGAGGCAGTAACTCATCCTGGCAGCTGCAAACAGAGATGTAACTCTTCTCTGGCTGGAGATTTTCCTTCTGCCTCTTGCAAACTCCAGCAGGGCCTGCTGGGCTGTGGGGCTTGGCTGTTCATGGGGAGGGCAGGCTCCTGAGGCTGCCAGAGAACTAGATCTCCCCGAGCTTTGCTTTCCTCATCTGTGAAATGGGATAATGAGGTCCTCCTTGATGCTTGGGTGAAATGGGTTAATGCCTATTATGTGCCCATCGTAGTCTCTGGCATGGAGTACGGGCTCAGTAAAGGCTGGCAGCATTGGTATTCATCCAGGGCAGTTATTGTAAGGGCCCTAGGGGTGAGAGCAGAAAGGAAAGGTCCATATTCCTCCCTCTGTCCCTGTAATTGTTTCTCTTCTCTCTTCCTGTGGTTCACCTATCCAGCAAACATTTGTGATTAGAACCAGGCCATTGCCTTGGCCAAGACAACCGTCCCTGCCTGGGCCCAGAGCCAGGAGAGACTGTTAGGCACATTCGTCTCTCAGAGGAGTGCTGAGCACAGTGGGGTGGGGGAGAATTGCCACTCCGCCTGCTCTGCCCTGAACCCTGTCTTTGCCGACGGGCATTTGACTGTGCTCTCCCCAAATCCCAGGAGAAGGCCTGACCTTGGGGTGTAGCAGCCCCTAAGGGTTTTTTATGTTGGCCACACCCATCTTGGATACAGGCAAGACCAAGGCCAGGCTCTTGGGATGTGTCCCCCGTGTCTAGCACAGGCCTGACGTGTAGTAAGTGCTCAGTACATATGTGTGGAGTCCGTGAATGACAGAGGCAAAGATTGGTCCAGGATTGGTCTGTGAGTCTTCAGGGAATCACATGTCTGGGGAGGAGGTGGAGACCAGTGAGTCAGGGCCTCACACTCCAGCCTGATGCTTAGCCCATGGTGGTTGGAATCTTGGGGAACTGATGAAGACAGCTAGGAAAACAGGTCTGAGTCTGTGCAGGGCTGGGAGGAAAAGTGACTTTGGCGGAGCGATTCACAATTATCTCCTGGTCACCTCAGAAGTCCAGGGAACCTTAGGGCATACTGTATGGATCAGTAGGAACAGCTGGGTGGCAGAGCCAGCAATGGCAGTGACCCCTGGCCCCTTACACTCTGCAGAGAATATGGCCCTACCCTTCCATGAAGGTGGCACAAGAAGGCTTAGGGGAGCCCTTACGGGAGCAGGGGTATGAAGGGCGCTCATTTAGTCATTAGTTAGTTACTGACCTACCGTGTGCCCAGCACCATCCTTGCGACAGGGGAAGCAGCAGTGAGCAAAACAGAGGCCCTTCCTCCAGGACCTCCACACTCTGGGAGACAGGAACCTAAGACCCAGGCCTAGAAGAGGAAACTTGCAGTGTGTAGGGGGTGCCCTTGGGATGGGCTGGGATGGAGGGTAAGGATAGAGAGGACAGAGGCAGCCCCATGACTTGAGTCTAGTCATTCGAGGGGCCAGGCCCTGGGGATGGGAATCCGTTCCTCCTCTCTCTCCCCTTCCTCCTTGGGTGAATCAACCACCACCCAGGCATGAGTCAGCCAGGAGTGGCTCAGGCATGCCTAGGCCACCTGCTGGTCCCCCTCCCTGGATGTCCCAACCAGGGTGTCCCAGCCAGGTTTAAGATCTAAGGAAGCCAGGCGTGGTGGCTCACACCTGTAATCCCAGCTACTTAGGAGGCTGAGGCAGGAGGATCATTTGAGCCCAGGAAACATAGTGAGACCCCTTACCTCAAAAAAAAAAAAAAAAAAAAAAAGACCTGGGGAAATATCCTGATCTATGGTCCTGGGGTGGAGAAGAAGGTAGGGGACTGTGTGACCAGCTTTTCCTGCTGGACCATCTGCCTCAGAGGGGAACTCCAGGTGCCTGTCAGTAGTTACTTCTGGAGGTCTAGTCCCTGCCCCCATTCAGCATGGGTGTCCACTGTGCCAGGTCCTGTAGCAACTCTGTGAGACAGGGACAGAACTGCGACTGAGGCCCAGAAAAGTCAAGTGTCCGGTGGGTACCAGAGCCTGGCTTTGAGCCCCAGTCTCTGCTTCCCAATGCCTTGTGGGCAGGCCTGCTGGGAGACTGGTGGGTGCAGGAAGGGAAGTCCCCCGAGCAGAGCCAGCCCCGAAGCTCTGTGTTTGCTGTGGGCATGGATCCTGGGGAGGGGAAGCTGCTACCACAGCCCAGTGTGACACCCATTGTGTCTTCTTGCTTTGAACTGCTGGGGTCTTGGGTCCAACCCTGGCATGGGAGCCCAGCTTGCAGCTCTGGGGTCAGACAGCCCTGGCTTTAGGTCACAGCCCTCTCCCGGCCAGTAGACCTTGGGCAGGTGACTTCCCTGCTCTGGGGCCTCAATTTCCTTGGCTGCGATGGGGTAATGGGCTGACAGCACCCATCTCCTAGGGCTGGGTGTGGATTCTTGGGGTCAGGGAGAGTGCTTGGCTCGGTGCCTGACATGCAGCAAGTGTTCAGGAGATGGAGCGCTCATCTTTGGAAGTTCTGCAGAGCTTGCCTGCTGGGGGGCCTTTTCCCACTTCTCCCTCCTAACTTGGGACTTCCTAACATGGTCCCCAACACCAGCAGGTCTTGACGGATTTGGCTCAGAGCCACACCCCATTGGCCCCACACTTTGACCCAGTGACCATCCCTCCCTTGGCATAAACCTGGTCTCAAAGCCTCTTCCCTGGGATTGAGACTCAAGGTGAAGGGTCAGCCCACACAGCATGGGGTCCAGGGTCGCTAGCGTGACAGATGCCCATGCCACAATCTCTGGAGAATGGCTGTACTGCCTTGGCAGATTTCCCAGGGGTTCTGCAAGATCAGGAAGTGGGGGTGGGTTCCTGAAGGGGGGCCTGGGAGTACAGACCACCCGTTACCTCCCATGTGACCTGCAGCGACTGCCTGGACTCCCCAAGTGTCTGTTTCCTGATCTGTGAAGTAGAAGCAGGAAGATGATGCTTGAGAATTACTTGGCACACAGGAGGGTGCCTGGGAAACAGCCAGGCTGGGCCATGCTGGGTGCCAGGGGCATCTTTGCCCAGGTGCATGAGATTCTTGGTTAAAGCCAGTAGTTTACTTTGGGTCCCTTCAATGGCCTGCTCGCCTCTTGGGCTGTAAGAGCAAGAGAGAGTGATCATTTGCATCTGGAGAATGGCGTTAACAGGGCGTTTGCCTGGGCAGTAGCTCAAGGCATCTGCACAACCTGACTCTGGGTACAGAGGACAGAGCAGGGCAGCCACTTGCCTGTGCTTGTAAAATAGGGATGCCCACACCTGCCTGCATGGGCTTTTTTTTTTTTTTTTCGGAGATGGGGTTTTGCTATGTTGCCCAGGCTGGTCTTGAACTCCCGGGCTCAAGCAGTCCTCCAGTCCCAGTCTCTTGAGTAGCTGAGATTACAGGTACGCACCACCATGCCCAGCTTGTGTGGGGTTTCCCTTGAAGATCAGTCTCAAGGTTGCTGCTTGACCGGTGAGCAGCAGGATTCAGACCTAGATGTGTCTGACTCTGGGATCCTTTCACCTAACCCTGACGCTTTCCCAGCAAGCCTGGATGACCTGGCTTCCCTCCACCCTGTGCCCATGCCCTGCCCCTTTTCCATCTTGGAGTTTCTGAAGCCCCAGTGGGCTGTCCACTCTGTGCTTCTTTGGGTCACTTATGATGCCAGCCTCCCTCCCGGCCCACCCGCCAATCCCAGGCCACTGCTAATAGGGGTGTCTTTGGCAGGGGAACAAAGAGCGTTTTGGGGCTGCCAGGTGGCTGCTCTGAGTGCTCCAGTGTTGGCCAGAGTGGCTTGGCTTCCAGAAACTTCTTGCTGCCTCCTTGCAGGAGGAGGTCCTGGCCATGCTAGGACTGTGAGCTGCTCCCCCTGAACCCCTGGCAGGAGCCAGACGCTGCTGTGCTGCCACGCTGGCTCTTCAGCCCCTGGACGGACGCCTTGGCTGGTCCCCAGGGCAGGCTCCTCCCAGGCGGCTGTATTCTCTTCTCTTCGGGGAAGCACAAGGCAGATGTTGTCGATTTAAATTGTTTCCTTATTAGACTCTCGCTCTCTGGCCTGGGCTGGGTTTCATCAGCCGGGAACTCTGATTGCATCACTTTGCCGCTCACTCCTCCAGGAACCAGGCCAAGGGCTGGGAGAGCAGGCAGGGTGGGAGTGAGCGTGGCTGAGGGAGGGGCAGACGGATGGCAGGCAAGGGACTTAAGTGATGGACTTAAGTGATGGGGCCCTGTTCTGGGGGACCAGCACTGTCAGGAACCCAGGAGCACAGCTGGAACCTGGAGTTCCACACGCCTGTCAGAGCGCTACTGTCTCTTAGCTGGGTGCCCAGCTCCCTGCATCAGAATCACCTGGGAGCTCGTTTAAAATGCCCTTTTAAGACCTGCAGCAGTGGCTCTCAACCAGGGTTGATTTGGCGATCTCTGGAGACATTTTCGGTTGTCACACCTGGGGCTGTGCTACTGGCAGGGTGCTGCTGAACATCCCACAGTGCGCAGGACAGCCCCTCACAAAAAGAAACCCTGTCCTGCGGAGTCTGTGGTTCTGGAAGGGCTCACTGGGAATCTTCGTTTGTCATGAGCCAGTGGAATGTTTTTTGGTTTTTGGTTTTTTTTTTTTTTTTTTTTTTTTTTTTTTTTTTTTTTTGAGACAGTCTTGCTCTGTCACCCAGGCTGGAGTGCGATGGCGCGATCTTGGCTCACTGCAACCTCCGCCTCCCGGGTTCAAGAGATTCTCCTGCCTCAGCCTCACAAGTAGCTGGGATTACAGGTGCCCGCCACCACATCTGGCTAATTTTTGTATTTTTAGTAGAGGTGGGGTTTCATGTTTCACCGTGTTGTCCAGGCTGGTCCCGAACTCCTGACCTCAGGTGATCCACCCGCCTCAGCCTCCCAAAGTGCTGGGATTACAGGTGTGAGCCACCGCGCCTGGCTGCCAGGGATATTTTTATCTGAGAACCCCTGTCCTGCTGGACCTCACCCCTCTCTTTGCTTGTGAGTTTGAGCACCTGCCCCCGCAGGGCTTCGTGCTGGGCACCCAGTGGAGGTGAGATGTGTGTCTCTGAGTACTGGAACTGGGAAGGCGAAGTGTTGAGAGTGGACGTGGGTCAGGCTGGAGCCCTGTCACAGAGGTTGGACTGCCCCAGTGATACCCGGATTCCTTTTTCCTGACTTTCTGCTCCTGTGAGGGTTGCCAGCCAGGCATGCACTTTTGCTCCAACTCTGAGGAGAGCCCCTGATGGGCCCATTTGACCCCTGTCTGTAGGAATCCTGTGAGCCTGGCAGCCTGAGGCCAGGAGGTGGCTCCCACAGCCCTACGGCACCTGGCCCCACGTCACCCTGGTGATGGAGACCTGGGGTTGTCAAGGCTCTGGGATCTTCTTGTTGCACCTACTGGGCAGTAATGCTGGATCAGGCTGGGGCCAGGTGCTGGGGATGTGGCAGCGAACTGACCTCGGGACCACAGAGGCAGAATTCTCTGCATCCTCCCTCTGTTGAGCAGTGGAGAGAGGTGCTGTGGGACCACAGAGTCACCCCAACAGCCCCATGTGATGGGTAAGTCGTCCTTTTACAGATGAGGAAGTTGAGGCTCACCAAGATGGGGCTCCCCGAGTCACTTGGTGGCCTCTCCTCGTCACCAGCCTCATCCACCCCCCGGCTTTCCAGGGAGGCTCTTCCTGGGAGCCACCTCCCTCCTTCTGGGTCTTCCCTGTGCTGTTCCCACTGCCTGGGACCTCCTTCCCCCCAGGTCTTCACCCAGCTGACTGCCTGAGGTCCCGGCTCTGATGTCACTATCCAGGGAGGCTTCTCGGCCTCCTGCCCCCAGCCTGCTCTGTTCACCGCCCTTGTAGCTCCTTCTCCTTCCTGGGAGACTGGCGGTGACTGCAGTCATTCCTGTGTAATGGCCGTCTCCCCCTCTCAACCAGGGACTCCTCCAGGAGGTTGCTCGCATTGTGTCCCGCACCCCGAGCCGGCACCACAGTCAGTCCTCGTGGATGCATTGTGGAGGTCCCGGTCCGATTTGGGATACAGGTCTGTGTGTCTCCCCACACCACCTGGCGTGCTTCCTGGGATGGGTCAGAGGGTGGTCAGGTCACTGGGCAGCCTTCCCAGGGCTGGGAGAGCTCCTGGAGAGTTCTGCTGGGCCAAGGACACCAGCCTGGTGGGGTGTTCTGCTGTTTCCAGACAGCCCAGAAATAGCCAAATTCCACTGCTGGGATGGCCACAGTGGCTGTGGTGGGTGCAGGGCTTGTCCCGCCTTGCTGAGATTTACATGTCTAATTGTATATCTTAAAGCTAAAAATGAAACCCAGTCTCTGTAATTACCTGTTCCTGGCAGCGGGGAGCGGGGGAAGCACGCCCTGCAACCCCAGGCCCGGGAGGGCCGTTCATCACTGTCTCTTCCCAGGCGGGCGGCCAGCCCTGCCAGCAGGTCCCATGTACTGCATGGGGTGACTCCACTTGGTAACTTGGGAGGACCCAGGCCTTGAACCAGGTGGCTGAGGGTTCAGATCCCTTTTGCTTATAAGCAGCCTTCCTAACCCATACCCTTTTCTCATTTTCAATTTAAATTTCAATTATGGAAACAACTCTTGGACAGAAACGAAGAAAGAGTCTCTGATAACCCTTCCACCCCACCTTTGGTCAGACCTGCTCTGAGCTCCCTGCCTGCCTTCTGGCCATTATCCCTTCATACCAGTGTGAATAAGCTGCTTGGCCAGGGAGCCTGAAGTCCAGGATTCTGGGTTAAAACAATCTCCTTCTCCGGACCTTGCTTCTATCATTTTAAAATTTCAGTTCTGTAGCCCAGACCTGGGCCACATTAGGGTAAGTAGGTGGTGGTGGGCAGTAAGGAGGGTCCGTGGTCCTATTTCTTTTTTCTTTTTTAATCAAGGTGGGGTCTTGTTATGTTGCCCAGGCTGGTCTCCAACCCCTGTCCTCAAGTGAGTCTCCTGTCTTAGCCTCCCAGAGTGCTGGGATTACAGGCATGAGTCACCATGCCTGGCCTGTTTTCTTAATAAACATCTTATTTATAATTTTTCTTCATAGGTGCTCATTTTAGTTTTTTTACACTTTCCTCTTTCTGAGACAGGCAGCTGGTTGTGCCTCTGGTCACTGGAGACATGTGTTGGGTACTGGCATGCACAGCACCCAGCAGCCCAGGCCTGCCCTCTTAGCACTCACAGGCCATGGAGGTCACAGCCGGCCCTGGTGGCACTCAGCTCTGAGGACCCTGGGCCCTCCCTCCAGGGTCTCATAGTGCTGGGGTGGGGTCGTTCTGCAGAGTTGCATTTCCACCCTGGGCCACAATGCAGTCCCCAGGACTGCCGGGGATTGGGTTTCCTTTGGTCAGGTGTGCTTTAAGAAATGCTCACAATGGATACTTTCTGTTCAAGACAAAGGAAAAAAGGGGCACCATGCCCATCTTCATCCTTTCTTTTCTTCCCTACTCACCCCAATCTCCAGACACTCCAGTGGCCAGAGGTGGCCTTCATTTGCAATTTGATGTGGGCATCTCCTGTTTTCTGTGTGCTTGTGGGCATTTACATATGTCACTTTAAAAAATTAAATAAAAATGGGGTCATGTAGATCCCCTTCTGCATGTTCCCTTCCTGCAGGTCTGATGGGGCCATCCCACCCTGCTGGGGAGCACAGCTTGCCCTCCCTCCCCTCCTTCTCTTCTGGCGTTGCCTGCTGGGTGCCATCGGAGCAGTCCTCATTACTTCCCACTTTTGCCCAACTTCTGCTGCTGTGACCAGTCGCATACACGTGGACACCGTGGGGACTGCCCCTCCATACAGCTCCTCTGTAAGCTTAGGACCAAGGCTGCCTCTCCAGTCTCCCTGGCCCATGCCTGCCCCGGCATCCTCCGCCCCAGCTACACTGGCCCCCAGCTCCTCCTCAAACGCGACAGACATTCCCACCCCGGGGCCTTTGCACTTGCTGTTCCTCGTGCCCGGATTGCTCTTCCCCCAGATATCTGTGGCCACTCGCTTCAGTCTTTGCTTAGATGTCACCTTCCCATGAAGACCTTCTCTGGCCCTCATTCTCTGGTGCCCCCATTGTTGGGGCACTGTCTGCCTCCTTCCTTGGTTCCTTTTTCTCTGTTGCACCCCAGGCTAGCTGGTATGCATTTGCCTGGTTTTGTCTGTCTTCCACCCACTGCCAGAGTATAAGCCCCTTGAAGGCAGGGATTTCTGTCTTCTCTGTTTATTGCTTGTGTTCCCAGAGCCTTCAGCAGTGCCTGGCACCTGGTGGGGGCTTCATAAAAGGTTTCTGAATGGATCAAGGCTCTGAGATGTCCTCAGTCCTGACCTGGCCAGCTCCCAACCTGGGGCTCATGGCTGCCTGCCTGGCATCCTCATTCCCACCTCCCATCACAAGCATCCCTTACCCCACCCTGCCTGAGCCTGTGTTCATCTCCCACCATGATCCCTGCCCCATGCATGGGATCATGCCCCATGCATGCCACCTGCCTGGGGGTGCCCAGCTGCTTCCCACCAGAGGGGCCCCGGGGCTGAGGGGGAGGCAGTGTGGGCCCTGAGGCAGCTGCATAGCTGTGTCCCAGCTGTGACACAGGGTCTGGACGCAGATGGGGCTGGGGTCGAGACTAGCTCTGCTGTGACTTCAGATGAGTTACGCAGCATTTCTGAGCCTCACTTTCCCCATCTGTAAAGTGGGCTGTGGTAGCAGTCACCTTTCAGTGTTGAAGAGTTCTGGGCCGCACACAGTAGGCCCTCAGGAGGTGGCCGCTGCTGCTGTGGTTTTTTTTTTACCCTTGCTGTGACCTCTGGCCGTGGGCCAGGGCGAGGCTGCTTGCCTCTTCCCGTGGGAGTGGTGGCTTCCAATAGGTGATTGTTCAGAGCCCTGTAGAAACAGGAGGGAGGCCCAGTGCTGACCCTGTGAGCTCTTCCTGTGGAGGGGGGAATGTGCCTGTTACCTGAGCTAGGAGGGTTCCAGGTGGCTTTTTCTGGCTTGGCCCTGGAACTGCAAATGGGCCTTAGGCTTCCTGGCTGGCGTTCCCACAGCAAACTCTCAAAAGGAAAGGGAGAAAGCCCACAATTCACTGTGAGCTTTTGTTCCCAGACACTAATCCCAATTCCACTGGGTGTTTCAACATGCCCAGAGCACCGAGCTGCCTCCCCAGGCCTCCAGCAGCTGCTTCCAACCCTAGGTGAAGTGTGGGGAGCCATGGCCACTCCCCAGCCTTCCCCCTTTCAAGCTTGGGCCTCCTCTGGCTGCCTGGGAAGTGTCTCTGCTCTCTTTGCCCTTCCATTCTCCTCCTCTGTGGCTGTTCTCAGCCTCTGCCTAAGCCACAGTCCACGGGGGCAAGACAGAGCCGCTGTCAGAATCAGATGCAGTCTTCTCACACCCTTGAGGTCTAGCAGGACCTGCCCCTGCTCCTTCACCCATCTCATCCCCTCTGATCTCCCCCCAGCTCCTCTTCAGCCACTGTCCTCTGCACTAGTTTTCTACCTGCCAAGTGTGTTTCTGCCTCAGGGCCTCTGCACTTGCTGCTCCCTCACCTGGAGGGCTCTTCCCCTGTCTTTGCTCAGTCCCCACTTCAGTCCAAGCCGTGCTCAGATGTCACTGCCCTAAGGGCCATCCCTAACCCCCCACCTGAAGCAGCCACACCTCATCGCTACCTGCACTCCCCACACACCTTCCCTGTGGTGTTCTCCATTTTTCTATTTATCTGACCTACCATGTATTTAACAGCTTTATTGAGATATAATTCACATACCACACAATACACCCATTTAAAGTGTACAGTTAAGTGGTTTTTAGTATATTCACAGTTGCACAACCATCATCACAACAAATTTTAGAACATTTTCATCACCCCAGAAAGAAATCCCAAACCCATTAGCAGTTACTCCTTTTCCCCTCAAGTCCCCTGTATTAGTCTGTTCTCACACTGCCATAAAGAAATACCGAAGACTGGGTAATTTACAAAGGAAAGAAGTTTAATTGACTCACAGTCCCACATGGGTGCCGAGGCCTCAGGAAACTTAAAATCATGGCAGAAGGCGAAGGGGAAGCGAGGACCTTCTTCACATGGCAGCAGGAGACAGAAGCAGCAGCAAAGGGGAAAGAGCCCCTTATAAAACCATCAGATCTCATGAGAACTCACTCACTCATGTTAACAGCATCGGGGAAACCACCCCCATGATCCAATCACCTCCCCCCAGGCCCTTCCCTTGACATGTGGGGATCACAATTTGAGATGAGATTTGGGTGAGGACACAGAGCCAGACCATATCATCCTCCATCCCTGGCAGCCACCAATCTAGTTCCTGTCACTATGGATTTGCCTATTCTGGACATTTCATATAAATGAGATAATCAACTCTATAGTTCTTTCTGGCTGGCTGCTTTGATTTAGCTTCATGTTTTCAAGGTTATTCCCCAGTTAGAAGTGTATCATTTCTCTTTATTGCTGAATGATACACCATTGTATGCATAGAACACATTTTATTTGTCCATTTACCAGTTGATGGACATTTGGGTTGCTTTCACTTTTTGGTTATGAATAATTCTGTGATGTACATTTGTGTACAAGTTTTTGTGTGGACACATTTCATTTCTCTGGGATATATACCTAGGGGTGAAATTGCTGGGTCATATCATAACTCTGTGTTTCACCTTTTGGGGAATTGCCATACTGTTTTCCAAAGGGGCTGCACCATTTTACATTCCTACCAGCAGTGTATGAGGGTTCCACTTTCTCCACATCTTCGCCTTTGATTCTAGCCATCCTAGTGGGTGTGAAGTAGTATCTCATTTTAGTTTTGATTTTCATTTCCCTAATAGCTAATGATGTTGAGCATCTTCCTGTGTGCTTGTTGACCACTTGTGTATGTTCTTTGGAGAAATGTCTATTTGGATCCTTTGCCCATTTTTAATTGGATTTTTGTCTTTTTATTGAGTTGTGGGTGCTCTTTATATATTCTGGATACCAGTCCCTCATATATCTGATTTGCAAGTATTTTTTCTTATTTTGTGGTTTGTCTTTTCACTTTTTTGATGATGTCCTTTGGAGTGCAAAAGGTTTTTTGTTTGTTTGTTTTGTTTTTTCTTTTTTTTTTAAGATAGGGTTTCACTGTGTCACCCAGGCTGGGGTGCAGTGGTGTAATCACAGCTCACTGTAACCTCAAACTCCTAGGCTCAGGTCATCCTCTTGCCTCAGCCTCCCAAGTAGCTGGGACTACAGGCATGCACCACCACTCCTGGCTAATTTTAAAATTTTCTGTAGAGATGGGGTCTTGTTGTGTTGCCCAGGTTGGTCTCAAACTTCTGGCCTCAAGTGATCCTCCCACCTTGGCCTCCGAAAGTGCTGGGATTACAGGTGTGAGCCACTGTGCCCCACTAAAAGTTTTTAATTTTGATGACATTCAATATATCTATATTTTTCTTTTATCACATGTACTTCTGGTATTATATCCAGGAAATAGTTGCCTAATCCAAGGTCATGAAGATTTACCCATATGCTTTTTTCCAACATTTTATAGTTTAGCTCTTACACTTAGATCTTTGATCCATTTTCAGTTAATTTTTGTATATAGCATGAGATAGCCCTGTGCACCACCCCCCTCACACACGCACTTCATTCTCCTGCATGTTGATATCCAGTGTCCCAGAAACATTTGTTGAAAAGACTATTCTTTTTCCCACTGAATTATTTTGGCACTGTTGTCAAAAATCAATTGACCATAAAAGTGAAGGTTGGTTTCTTTTTTCTGAAACAGTCTCCCTCTGTCGCCCAGGCTGGAGTTGCAGTAGTGCCGTCTTGGCTCACTGCAACCTCCGCCTCCTGGGTTCAAGTGAGTCTTGTGCCTCAGCCTCCCAAGTAGCTGGGATCACAGGCACATGCCATCATGCCTAGCTAATTTTTGTATTTTTAGTAGAGATGGGGTTTTGCCATGTTGGCCAGGCTGGTCTCTAAGGTTTATTTCTAAACCTTTGTAAACTGGATAATCTCAGTTGTATTCCATTTGTGTCTGTCCTAATGCTAGGACCACCTTTTCTTGATTATTATAACTTTGTAGATATTTTGAAATCAAAAGCGTGAATTTTTAAATGATGTTTTACTTTTTAAAGATTATGTTGACTATTCTGGTCCCTTGGATTTCCATGTAAAGTTTAGGATCAGCTTGTCAAAGTTCTGCCAAGAAGCCAGCGTGGGGCTTTGATAGGGATTGTGATGAATTTTAGAACTATTTGGGAGTATCATCTTAACAACATGTCTTCCGATCCATGAACATGGGATGTCTTTCCATTTATTTAGATATTTAATGTCTTTCAGCAATGTTTTGTAGTTTCCGGAGTATGTATTTTGTACTTTATTAAATTTATTCCTATGTATTTTTTTCTTTTTGATGCTATTGTACGTGGAATTGCTTTCTTCTTTTCACTGTGTTTGCCAATATATAGAAAGAATTGATTTTTGTATATTGATCTTGTATCCTGCAACTTTTCTGAACTCATGCATTTTTATTTTTTATTTTTGTTCTTTGTTTGTTTTGAGACAAGGTCTCACTCTGTTGCCCAGGCTGGAGTACAGTGGTTTGATCTTGGCTCACTGCAACTTCTGCCTCCTGGGTTGAAGAGATTCTCCCATCTAAACCTCCTGAGTAGCTGGAACTATAGCTACCTGACCTCAAGTGATCCATGCCCGCCTCGGCCTCCCAAAGTGCTAGGATTACATACATGAGCCACCACACCTGTAATCATGTATGAGGCCAGGCATTGTGGCCCATGCCTGTAATCCAGCACTTTGGGATGCCATGGCAGATGGATCACTTGAGGCCAGGAGTTCGAGACCAGCCTGGCCAAAATGGCAAAACCTCATCTTTACTAAAAACACAAAAATTAGCCAGGTGTTGTGGTACATGCCTGTAATCCCAGCTACTTAGGAGTCTGAGGCACGAGAATCACTTGAACCCAGCAGGTGGAGGTTGCAGTGAGCCGAGATCGTGCCACTGCACTCCAGCCTGGGCCATAGAGTGAGACTCTGTCTCAAATAATAATAATAATAATAATGGCCGGGTGTGGTGGCTCACGCCTGTAATCCCAGCACTTTGGGAGGCCAAGGGGGGCAGATCACCTGAGGTCAGGAGTTCAAGACCAGCCCGGCCAACACAGTGAAACCCCGTCTCTACCAAAAATAGAAAAATTAGTCGAGCTTGGTGGTGGGCACCTGTAATCCCAGCTACTCAGGAGGCTGAGGCAGGAGAATTGCTTGAACCCGGGAGGCAGAGGTTGCAGTGAGCTGAGTTTATGCCCTTGCACTCCAGCCTGGGCAACGAGAGCGAAACTCCATCTCAAAAAAATAAATAAATAAAACAAAATAGTTTTTTAGTGGATTCCTTAAGTGTTTTCTGTATAAAAGATCAAGTCATCTGTTAATATAGTTTTAGTTCTTCCTTTCCACTACTAGGTATTTTTCTTATTTATTTGGTCTTCTTCTTTCTCCTCCCACCAGAATGTAAGCTGGTTACTGCTGTGGTTCGAGTGCCTAGAACAGGGCCTGGCACACACTGGTGCTCAGTTGTTTGATGATGAATGAATGAATAAGTGGAGCCAGCATGACTAGGCTCAAGTGATGCCCCCAGCCTAGGGCCCCCACTCCTGTGGCACCTGCCTATAGGGATTAGATCTGTCCCTTCCTCCCGTCTTCAGCCCTGACCTTTCTGCTTGTCCCCAGTCTTGGTTGCAGAGGGTTGTTGGAGCTCACCCTCCTAACAAGCTAGGTGCATTCTGGTGACATCACAGAGCCTTCACCGGGCCAGGCACTTTGCAGGATTCATTTCACTCAGTGCTCCCACAACAGCAGCCACGACAGGGGCGGTGTGCCCCAGTGAGTGTGCAGGGTGTGGCCCAGGTCTGCCTGCCCTCTTGACCCTTGTCACCGCCTTGGCAGGAGCACAGGGTAAGCCTTGGTCACATCCTCAAAGCCTTGTGGAGCCTGGAGGGGGCTCCTCATAGAAAGTGAGGCTTAGGGGCTTTCATTGGCTAAGGAAACGGGACTCCCTCATTCATGCTGTTTCCTCTCTTTGGAACTGTCTCCTCCACCTGGCTACTCCCCAGGCTCATTCTATCCTGAGCTTGAATGTCACCTTCCCTGATTCATCTGTTCCCCCGCCCTCTCCTGGTGACAATGAGTCATCACTGGGTAAATACAGTCTGCAGTGGCTCATCCCAGCACCTGCTTGGCACTCAGAGACCTGGGCGGTGCCTTGGGGCAGAGCAGGGTACTACAGGCCCCACAACACCACAGGTTCTCCTCGCCAGGCTTTCCCGGGCTCCTGAGCCAAAGTGGCGACTGAGAGCCCTGACTCTGAAGTCATACAGTCCTGGGTTTAAATCCTGCTTTGCCAATCACTGGGGATATGAGCTCGAGTGGCGGGTAGGGTGGCCTTCTTTTGGAGCTTCAGTGCCCTCAGCAGTAGAAGGGGTGGCATAGAGCCCACCTTGCAAGACTGCCATGCAAAGCAAACCTGGCGATGCTCAGGGGAGGCTTGGCTGCGGCCCTCTCCGACCCTCTGCCCTGAGGCCTCGATCTGGCAGTTAACCCACTCTCCTCGGGTCACTTCCTTAGCTGTCCCCTTGGCGGTTGTGCTTAGGTGGGATGAGCTGGAGATAACGTCTCTCACACTGTCTCCTCCCTTCCCTGGCCACCCCTTCCTGAGCACGGGCTCTGCCAGGCAGGCTGTATGGAGATGGGGAGCTGCTCGGGGATGCAGAGCTCGGTTCTGCCACGTGCCGCTGCCACCCCCAGATCCTGCCAAGGCCCCCGCAGCAGTTGGGAGGGGCTTGGATGAGCTGCTGCCACTGGCTCCCACTCACTCCCAGGGCACAAAGCATCTCTCCAGTAGAGGGGTGCTGAATTTTTCAGCATGGTCATGCTCTCCAACTCAGGAGGAACCGGGGGGCTAGAAGACCAGAGCCCTCTGCTTAGTGTTGGTGAAGCTGAAGCCCCCAGGTCGCTGTCTCCGCACCCAGAGTCCAACTGCTTGGGTTAATCCCCATTCTGCTCTTACCTGTGGTGGGCCTCAGGTGAGGGTCTTAGCCTCCGGGCCCCCAGTTTCTTTGACTGGGGATTGAGCTGATGATGTGGCTGCTCCATACAGAGGTTGGAAAGGTTTGGCATGACCACCTTTCTCTGGCACTTGGAGCAGGCTCCAGGGCCTGCTGGCTCTTGTGAAGTTCTTTGAACAGTGCCTGGCACATGGGAATCACTGTGTGGGTATCAGCTGTTGTTACTATTGTCATTGTTGTTATTAGTGATGAAGAAGGCAGCTCTGGAGTCAGGAGGAACCAGGCTTCAGGCCCAGCTCAGCTATCTACTGGCTGGGAGGTGTGGGGCAGCTTGCCTAGCCTCGGTCTCTTCATCTTTGAAATGGGCTGAGTAGTCCAGCCTAAGACTATTGTGAGGGTCATGAGGCGGTTGGCAGAGCCTGGCTTTGGAGGAGGTAATGGCAGTGCAGGGAACTGCCCAAGGTCTCAGAGCAAGGTGGCGGGAGCAGCACTGGGTACAGAGGGAGGCTCTGCAGGTTGCCAGGCTTCCTGGGGAGGGACAGCTGCCCTAGCTCACCTCACCCCTGCCTTGTGTTTGTCTCATTTTTATTACGTTTTCACTGTTGTTTTTACAACAACTACACGAGTACATTCTTGTGGTGAAAACACAGCTATTTTGTGACACAGAGTGAAAGTGGAGCTTCCCACCGCCTCAGTCCCAATGGGGAGTGCCATGTCCCTGGTACCACATGGAGTCCCCTGGCGCGGATGTGTGTGCCTGTGCTCACCTGTCGCCTCTGGCCCACAGGGAGGAGGTACAGGAGAACTGTGTGCGGTGGCGAAAGAGGTTCACCTTCGTGTGTAAGATGAGTGCTAACCCGGCCACCGGCCTGCTGGACCCCTGTGTCTTCCGTGTGTCTGTGCGCAAGGTGAGGCCAAGGGCGCATGTGGGGCTGCTGGGCTGGGCTATAGGCCCCTCCCCTCATGAGTCCGCACCCCCAGCTGAAAATGGGGTGAGTTGCTCTGCCCGTTGCCCTCCTCCCCTCAGATCTGGGGGGATTGTGGGAGATGCATGAGGTCCCTGGGATTCTGCAGTCAACTTGCTGCTTGTGTCTCCCTCCCTGTGCAGGAGCTGAAAGGCGGGAAGGCTTATTCCAAGGTAAGAGGGGCTGTGTGAAGGGGCAGTGGGATGGAATGGGGGGTGGCATGGGACAGGCACAAGGGAAGCCTCCAGCCCCTTTTCTGCCACAAGCAAGAGGCACTCAGCCCTACCTGAGATGTGTTATTTTTTAGAAATATCTTTATTGATGGTCTTTGCACTCAATATAAAGGCAGCATATGGTTGTTGCAATATAAATGGTACAGAAGTCCACAGAGCAAAAGGGCCAGTTTCTGTCCCCTTTCCTCTCTCCAGGCCTCTTTCTGGGACCCCATTATTGGATAGATTAAGACCTTTCCAGACCTTGTAAGAAGAAAAAAAGGAAATATACCATACAAAGAGAGCAGCAAATAAAATGTATGCGTGTGGTTTAAAGAAATGCAAAATGAGCACCCTCTGTGTGTACTGAAGTGCATGCAAACAATATGATTTTTTTTTTCCTCTGGAGACAGAGTCTTGCTCTGTTGCCCAGGCTGGAGTGCAATGGCACAATCTTCGCTCACTGCAACCTTCTCCTCCTAGGTTCAAACAATTCTCCTCCCTCAGCCTCCCGAGTACGGCTGGGCATGGTGGCTCACGCCTATAATCCTGGCACTTTGGGAGACTGAGGCAAGCGAATTGCCTGAGCTCAGGAGTTCAAGACCAGCTTTGGCAATACGACAAAACCCCGTCTCTACTACAGATACAAAAAAAATTAACCAGGTGTGGTGGTGCATGCCTGTAATCCCAGCTACTCGGGAGGCTGGGGCACAAGAATTGCTTGCACCCGGGAGGGTGGAGGTTACAGAGAGCCGAGATTGCGCCACTGCACTCCAGCCTGGGTGACAGAGCGAGACTCTGCCTCCAGATAAATAAATAAATAAACAGATTTGCAGCTTGGTTTTTTACTTAATCCATTCTGGGCATCTTTTTGTGTTATCACAAATTTCCATGTGCTTTCTAATGGCAGCAGTGTCCCGTGGCATGGCTGGCGATGGTTGACTCAGCCAGCCCTGCTGCTGGACATGTGCATTGTTACCAGGGTTTCACTGTACCCACAGACAGTTCAGCCCTACATAGTATTAAGAGCTTTTCTACTGGGCAAAGAGGGAGAAGACAGCTCTGGCTTTGAATAAGCCTGCTCTGCCTTCCATCCCTCTTCTCCATGGTGGACTCTTGGCCTCCCCTCCTCAGCTCCTGAGGCTTAGCCCAGTGGCAGGAGGGTGGGCTTCATCAGCCGGGAGGGGAAATGCCTTCGCCTCACCTCTCACCCGAGGGAGGCGCTATACAGGGCGTGGCCCTTCCCACTGACCAGAGCTCAGGAACTCAGCCGGCTGGGCAGTGCACTCTGCCCTGGCCCGGGGCGCTGACGTCCCTCTCCAGAAGCAGAGGACAGTATGGCTAGAACCAGGCTGTGGAGGGTGCTGTCACAGTGGAAATTTCTCTGATTCACACGGGTGAGGACAGCTGTGCAGCCAGGAAAGGAATTACCAGCAAACACCTGGGAGCATCTCACCTCCACTGGCAAACATTTACCAGGCACCCAGCACATGGCAGGCACTGCCAGGCCCCTTCCCTTCTGTTCTGTAATTGAACTCCCACTGCAGGCTTTACTCCCATTATACAGAGGAGGAAACTGAGGCCCTGAGAAGTGGCTGGACGTGGTGCTGATCAGGCCTAGTTTCAGTCCTGTCTCTGTTGGGTTAGCTGTTTGGCCCTGGGCAAGCTTCTTCCCCTCCCTGAACTTAGTTTTCTTTTCTTTTCTTTTTTTTTTTTTTTTTGAGATGGAGTCTCGCTGTCGCCCAGGCTGGAGTGCAGTGGCGCGATCTCGGCTCACTACAAGCTCCGCCTCCCGGGTTCACGCCATTCTCCTGCCTCAGCCTCCTGAGTAGCTGGGACTACAGGTGCCCGCCACCTCGCCCGGCTAATTTTTTTTGTATTTTTAGTAGAGACGGGGTTTCACCGTGTTCGCCAGGATGGTCTCGATCTCCTGACCTCGTGATCCGCCTGCCTTGGCCTCCCAAAGTGCTGGGATTACAGGCGTGCCACCGCGCCCGGCCTCTGTGAACTTAGTTTTCTCATCTATAAAATGGGGATCACTCTGAGTCCATGGCGGGGCTAGGATCTGAATCCAATTCCCTGATTCTGGAGTGTGTGCCCTGAACACTGCAGTAGAGACTTGCAGGCAGCAGTTACTTGACACTCATCCCTGATTGGTTCGGTTGGGTTCAAACATTGGTTCAAACATTTCATTATCTATCTCTTCTGAGCCTGTTGTATCTGGAGCAGAGCTGGGCAGGAGGTGGTAAGCAGAGGCTCTGGGGCCTCCTAGACCCTTTGCAGAGGGAACCGGAGATGTCTTCCAAGTCCCCAAGTCTGGCACCACCTCGTCTCAATCTCACTTTCCCCTCCAGGTCTAGCAGACTTGGCCTCCATCCACAGGGCCTTCTTAGCGCATGCCCTCTTCGCACTTACTCCCACTTCCCTCCCCATCCCTCGATCCTCTGTCCAGAGGTCCCAAGGGCCTGTTCAGACCCTGAACTCTGCCCAGCAGCCCCTCACTCTGTCCTCTACCAGGGCGCCTTCCCTGGGGCTCCTGCTCATCCTGCAGTGCCCCTCCCCTCCCAACCCCTGTGGGGGTGTCCCATCACTTTCCCCAGCACCCACTTCCCACAGGCCTTCCCTCCTCCCCTGCCTGCTGACCCGGCAGCTCCCGACAGCACGGCCTTGTTTCCCAGGGAACAATGCATCTGTGTCACGGACAACAATGTCCTTTCATGTCAGGCGCACTGGCCCCGGTGCACGCCGGGACGTGGCACAAAGGGTGCTTTGTGCAGCTCAGGGATGTGAGTTCCTGGCTTTGCCATGTTGGTGCTGCCGACCCGGGGCCTCTGTCCTTGGGTCCCAGTTATGCAACAGTCAGTCGAGGCTGTGGGGCTGGCCCAGGGGCTTTATCTGTCTCCCTCTCCAACTTTTGCCAAGTTACCCTTCTGGGCTTCCGCCAGCCAGGAGCCCACACTCCCTCAGCCCTCCCACACGCTCCTCTCACCTCCTAGCTGGGCTTCGCTGACTTGAACCTGGCCGAGTTTGCGGGCTCGGGCTCCACGGTGCGCTGCTGCCTGCTCGAGGGATATGACACGAAGAACACTCGCCAGGACAACTCCATCCTTAAGGTACCAGGGATCCTGCCACCTCTGCCACCCTGACCACGGGATGGGGACAAACCAGGCTGCTCATCAGAATCCTCTGGAGGAGGGTTGTTAAAAATACAGGCCTTACCTGAATAGGTAGACATCGGGAAGGGGCGAGCCCTGGAATCAGGAAACCACTATCAGAGGGAGGCCTGGCTCCGCTGTTGGCCTCAGTTTCCCCATCAAGTTCAGAGAGGGGGCCCTGACAGTCTCCAGGGTTTGGCAAGCACCTGCAGTGGGTTCACGTCATGCTGATTGCATGCCCTCTCTTCTCTTGTGGTCCCCTGACAGCAGCCCCACGAGCTGTGGTATCTTTGATTAGTCCCAGCTTCAAATGGGAGGGAGTTAAGGCACAGACGTTAAGTCATTTGCCTGAAGTCACAGACAGAGCTGGCACCTGACCACCAGCCAGTTGACTTCTTGGCCCAGCTCCTAACTCTTCCCCAAGTGACACGTGGTAGCCTGGCCCCCAGTGGATTATCAGTGAAAATGATGGCTGCTGAGGGCCCCGGGGGCAGGTTTCCAGTGGACAGGGCAGCCCCACCCCCAGGCAGCTGCCTCGTTGGCCTTTTGGGAACAGAAATGTCTGGGTGTCCGTCACCAGCACACCTCTCTTCCTCTGTTTCCACACCTTTCACCTGGCCGGGAAAACAGGCTGTCCTAACAGCGCCTCTGCAAGGGGACCCAGGGAGAGCCTATGGTATCTGGAGCAGAGCTGGGCAGGAGGTGGTGAGCAGGGGCTCTGGGGCCTCCTAGACCCTTTGCAGAGGGAACCGGAGATGCCAGAAAGGGTCCAGGCTGATTGTCTTGGGAGCTGGAGCCTTTCAGCCTCAGTCAGGCTGAAAAGCACAGGCACAGTAGCCCTGTGCACCTCAGGCCAGATCAAGGGAGCCTGGGGGCCAGGTAGCCTTGGGTTCAAGGGAAGCTCCCCCACATCCTGTCTGCAAGGTCTTGGGAGTCACTTCCCCTCTCTGAGTCTTGGTTCCCTCATCAACAGCCTTGGGCTAGCTAGGATGCTTTCATGGCCGAGTGAATAAGCCATAGAAAGCCTCAACCTAGTGGTCACCCTTTCTTTTTTTTTTTTTTTTTTTTTGAGACAGAGTCTCGCTGTCACCCAGGCTGGAGTGCAGTGGCACAATCTCAGCTCACTGCAAGCTCCACCTCCCAGGTTCATGCCATTCTCTTGCCTCAGCCTCCCGAGTAGCTGGGACTACAGGTGCCCGCCACCACGCCCGGCTAATTTTTGTATTTTTAGTAGAGATGGGGTTTCACCGTGTTAGCCAGGATGGTCTCGAGCCCCTGACCTCGTGATCTGCCCGCCTTGGCCTCCCAAAGTGCTGGGATTACAGGCGTGAGCCACGGCACCCGGCCGAAAGCCTCAACGGAGTGGTCACCCTTTCATAAGTGGTGACGTCAGGATCTGTGCTCCTCTTTTCCACTTGCTCATCTCTGCCTGTCACTCCATCTCAGCCTAGATTTTAGGGCCCAAATCTTGCCACATTTGGGCTGTTGTTAGTTTGCAATGGCTTCATGCTTTTTCATCAGACTTTCACCAAACCCTGCCCACCACCTGCTGTGCCAGGCCCCATGAGCCCTCTTCCCTCTCCTGCCTGCTGGGTTGAGCTCTGTGGTCCTTACACAGGGCCGGGGTGAGTGTGTGGCTTCACCATGGAGAAGCTCATTGTCTAGGCCTGTAGCTGATGGCAGTCCGCTCACTCTGCCAGGCGCAGGGCTGAGCCCAGGCCTCACCTTGCTATGCCCTCCCCTCTGGTCTGCCAGGCAGGCCTTGGTTCCATCTCTGTCCTCCACACAGGGAAACTGGGCTCAGAGAGGTTAGTGGCTTTGCCAGAGCCCCCAAGCCAGGAGGGGGCAGAGAGACAGGATTGGAATCCAAGCCCTTCTGAGGCCAGAGCCGAAAGGCTGCAGGGGGCCCTGCGCCTGGGCAGGCTGTGGGTGGTCAGGGCATAGCTGATTGCTCCCCTCGCCACAGGTCACCATTGGTATGTTCCTGCTCTCTGGAGATCCCTGCTTCAAGACGTGAGTGCTGGCACAGGCCTAGGGAGCGGATGGGAGCCCAGTCCCGGGCACTAGGGGTGGAGGAACAGGGACTCTGGGTGTCCTCTGTTTTCATCTGGTCCTGAAGCAGGGCACCCTAGTCACACCTGTCTGTCTTCCCAAGGCCACCATCGACTGCCAAGTCCATCTCCATCCCAGGCCAGGATTCCTCCCTGCAGCTGACGTGTAAGGGTGGTGGGACCAGCAGTGGGGGCAGCAGCACCAACTCCCTGACTGGGTCCCGGCCCCCCAAGGCTCGGCCCACTATTCTCAGCTCAGGTACAGTTCCTCATCTGTCCGCCCCTCCCCTGCTAGCGGCCCGAGGGGTTTACCTCCATGTCATGCCCAGGTCCCCAGGGAGACGCTGACTGAGGGGAGAGTGATGGTGGGAGGGTGTTTGCATGCTCCTGCTGGGCTGATGAGACCTGATCACCTTGTGCGTGCTGGCTGTGGTGCTGGGCCCTGAGATCACAGCTGTGCCTTGGACTGAGACTGATGTGGCCTCCCCATCCTCAAGGCCCTGCAGTCTAGCAGAAGAAACAGGCCTCAATCAAGCCATAGATAAATGCATGTCTACCTGCAAACAGGATAAAAGCTGGGGAAGACAGGCCCAGAAGGTGGGATCCATCTGGGGCCAGGGAAGGCTTCCCTGAGGATGTAGTATCTGAGCTGCATTCAGGGGGTGAGGCACAGTATACCTGGCAGAGGGACGTGCTGGGAGCTCTTGCTCTCCCACATACTCTATGACTTTGACTGGCCAGTTTGCGTCTCTCTGTCTCAGTGTTCTTTGGAAAATGGGATTGGTAATAGCAATTACATCCCAGGTCACTTTGGGGATTAACTGTCCACATGTGGGCACCTGCCCAGCACATGGTAAGCACTTAGTGGGCACTCTGTTTTTTGTTTATGTTTTTTTAGACAGAGTCTTGCTCTGTCGCTAGGCTGGAGTGCAGTGGCGCAATCTCACCTCACTGCAACCTCTGCCTCCCAGGTTCAAGCATTTCTCCTGCCTCAGCCTCCCGAGTAGCTGGGACTACAGGCGAGCGCCACCATGCCCAGATATACCTTTTTTTTTTTTTTTTTTTTGTATTTTTAGTAGAGACTGGATTTCACCATATCAGCCAGGATGGTTGCCAGGATGGTCTCAGTCTCCTGACCTCGTGATCTGTCTGCCTTGGCTTCCCAAAGTGCTGGGATTACAGGCGTGAGCCACCGCGCCCGGCTGGGCACTCTGTTTTTATTAAATTATCACTGGTACTAATGTTATGAAAAATGTGAACGAGCCCCAACCCCCAGAGGAGATGGTGTGGCAATTAGGAGGAGGGGGTGTTGCCAGGACAGGAGGCTCTGGCCTGCCCCCAAGTGTTTGCTGGGCCCCCTCAACCCTAAGCAGGGCCCCCAGAGGTATGAGCCTTGGACTGCCTCCAGGCTGATTAGTGAACAAGGTGTCACGTGACAACCCTGATTTGTCCCACAGAATCAGTTAGAGCACAGGCCTCATGTGGCCCAGCAGATGCTTGCCGAGTGATTCTGCCTCTGGGAACTGAGAGCAGTGAGAGACCCTCTGACCTCAAGGGCCCAGCTTCCCTCCACTCCCTTTTCCACTGCAGACCCAGCTAGCTGAGGCCCAGAACAGAAAGCTGGGGGCTTCCCAGCACAATTACTCTCTCCAGCCCCTGGATGGGGTTCCCCAGAAGAGAGATGTGTCTGGGGACTAGGCCACCCCAGCGCAGGTGGTGCCTTCGTGTGAAGTAGAAGAGGCCCCTCCCCCAGGCAGGGTGAGACTTGAGTGCCCACTTGCCTCTGGAGCTGGCCTCCCCCCATATGCAGAGAACCTGTTGGGGACTTGAAAAGCCACATAGTTATGGATGGGCACACAGGCCAGCCTGGGGTGTCACAGGCCAGCCTGGGGTGTGTTGGGCGGGAAGGCAGGTGGATACTCAGAGCCCTGGGTAGGTCCCACCTAGTCCCTTTTGCCTCCTGCTGGGGAGTGCCAGGAAAGTCTGTTTTGAAGTTGGGCTTATGGGTGACTTGGGACAGGACTGTGGGCCTGTCCCTTTGGGCCAGACCGCTCGCCCTCACCATGTCCCTTCCACTCCAACTCCGCTGACCCAGGCCCCTTCCAGCCTCGGGGCCTCTGCCGATGCTGTTCTCTGTGCCTGGAAAGCCCTTGCCCTCTTGAGGCCTTAGCTGGCTCCCTCCAGCAATGTGTCCTGGAGGTCTGCCATTAAGGCCGTCTCCTTGGAGAAGCCTCCCCTGTCCCCAGACTGGGCCAGACCCCCAGTAAGCACTGCTCCCTGCTGTGCACCTCTCACTGCGGTTGTGGGTAGTGGAGGCAGTTTTTGTTCAGCGTTCTTCTTCCTCGCTGACCTGTGGTGGGCACCCCACCCAAGTGTGCCCTCTGTGGAATGAAGGGACCTGGGTTCGGAGGGTGACCTATGGCTCAGGCTGGTTGCTGCTCCTCTGAACCTGTTTTTCAGTCTGTTAAATGGCGCCCTGCCATGGGAGGCTCTGTGAGGGCACGTTGTGAAGGGCGACAGTGAGCAGCACTGGGTGACCCCTGTCACCTCACCCCCTGCCCCTTCCTGCCTTCCAGGGCTGCCAGAGGAACCCGACCAGAACCTGTCCAGCCCTGAGGAGGTGTTCCACTCTGGCCACTCCCGCAACTCCAGCTATGCCAGCCAGCAGTCCAAGATCTCCGGTGAGTGGCTGCCTGGCCCTGCCCCCGTGGCCTCCTCCTTCCTCGGGATCCCCCATTGTGATGCTCCCCTGCGTCGCCCCTGACAGGCTACAGCACAGAGCACTCGCGCTCCTCCAGCCTCTCAGACCTGACGCACCGCCGCAACACGTCCACCAGCAGCAGCGCCTCTGGGGGCCTTGGCATGACCGTGGAGGGCCCTGAGGGCAGTGAGCGGGAGCACCGGCCCCCGGAGAAGCCGCCGCGGCCACCCCGGCCCCTGCATCTGTCCGATCGCTCTTTCAGGTGAGGCCTACTGCTTGGTGCCCCCTGGAGAACAGACCTCTCCCGGTGGTGCCTTGAACCTCCGCTTCTTTACCTATAACACAGGGACCGTAAGGTCCCCACCTCAGAGGGTTGGGTGGTGACGATTCCACTAGCTGATGGCCCTGAAGGGTGCAGCCATGCCCGGCGTGCAGCAGGTTCTGTTCATGGCTGCTCTTGCGGTTTTGTGGATCAGACAAGAGCACGATCTGCTAGGTGGCCTTAGGAAGCTGACTTACCTGCTCATTGCCTGGCATCCTCGTCTATAAAATCGGCTCATGATGGCAGCTGCACCCTATTGTGCATGTGAGGTTTCAGTGAAGTACAGCACGGAGCGCACAGGGACATTCTGAGCGCCGCTGCGGCTGACTGGCATTATTGTCGTCGTTCTGTGCTTGTACCTGTTACTGCCCTGACCGTTGTGACTTGTCCCCCCACGACCTGACCCAGGCGGAAGAAGGACTCGGTGGAGAGCCACCCGACCTGGGTGGACGACACGCGGATCGATGCGGATGCCATCGTGGAGAAGATCGTGCAGAGCCAGGATTTCACAGATGGCAGCAACACCGAGGGTGAGCCGTGCTGGGCTGGTGGGGGCGAGGCCACCTGCTCCAAGGGCTGGCCCTGCCGCGCTCAGCCTCCATCCTCTCCTGTGTCCCCACAGACAGCAACCTCCGGCTGTTCGTGAGCCGCGATGGCTCTGCCACGCTGAGCGGCATCCAGCTTGCCACCAGGTAGGGCAGGCTTAGGGAGGGGTCGTCGGGGCGGCTGGGGCTTGGGGGTGAGAGCAGAGTCCCCACAGTCCACTCACCTGGCCTTGAACGCCAAATCTTGTCGCCACAGTGTGACCCTGGGCCTGTCATGTCTCTGAACCTCCCTTTCCCCATCTGTCAGGCTGTGTGGACACCACCACCTCACCTGGGAGCCTGGGGCAGTGAGGGCACGGACAGGTTCGGTGGTTTCCCACAGTTCACAAGGTCACCTCCAGCAATGCCTGGTGCAGGGCTCAGCACATGGCAGGGGCCTCACACGCATTTATTTAGAACCCTCCCTTCTACTTCCTCCCAGCTCCAGGGACTCGGGAAGAATGGTGGTGGTGATGCCTCATGGGTTTACTGAACAAATCTTTCCCTAGCACCAGCTAGGCACTAGGCCCTAAGTGAAGGCCTGGTTCAATGCAGGCTGCTGCCTACACAGCATCCACAGATGGCAGGGGTAGATGGGACCAAAGTTGCGGGAACGACAGTTTATAGAGTGCTGCGTCACAGACATTCATTTGGAGCATGTTGACTATGTGCCTGGCTCTCCATGTGCTTTGGCTAACCAAATGAATGAGCGAGTGAGCGAATGAGCTTCCCACAGGCGGGCTGCTGAGGGCAGGTGGGGAGCCCGCCTAACATCCACATCCCCAGGGAAGAGGCGTGGCCAGGCCGCTGCGCAGAGGCTACCCTCTCAAGCTGCTCTGCTGACTCCTGCTGGCCACGGCCTGGAATGGCAGCTATCACCTCCCAGTAGCCTCCTGGGCTGCTCTCGGGTGGGGGTGAGGGGGCGGTGAGCAAGAAGGAAACTGAGGGGCTGGCTTCCTTATGGGTTTGTAAACACACCCCTCCCTGGCCCCCTCTGAAAATGAGGAAGCATCTTGGGGAAAGAAACCAATCTGGTTGGGAGCGAGATCACAGCAGAGCTACATGCTGAGCCCCGAGAGTCCCCGACTCCAGGGCTGGGCCTGGGCTCGGCAGGGAAAGGAGCTGACCAGGTTTCCTGACTTCCCACTGCCCTCTTGGTCACCCTCACATCCCTCTGAGCCTCAGTTTCTTCACCTGTCAAGTGGGGCAGGATGCAGTGACTCCCTGCCGAGGTGACCGTGAGGATGGGGTGGCACAGCCAGATGTGCCCGGAAGGGCTCTGCAGGCCCCACAGACTCTGATGCTTACTATCTGTGTCACTGTGGGCAAGGGACTTACCATCGCTGGGGCACGGTTTTAGCCCCTTTGCAACACAGGGCTGGTTAACAGTACCTGCTTGTGAAACACCTCCAGAGGCCTGGTCCAGTGGAGCGCTCAGGAAATGGGGTATCGAGGGGGACATGCTGACCTGTCTCTCACCTGCAGGGTCTCTTCTGGGGTCTACGAGCCAGTTGTGATTGAAAGCCATTGAGGAGCAGGTGTCCGGGCTGGAGAAGAGTCCTGCTTTCTCTGGAGTCCAGACCTGTATCATTCCATGAGGAACTTTCCCCTTCAGATCACCTCTGCGCCACATCTCATCCATGCCTCCTCCATGCACTCCAGTCCACACTCCCCGTAGCATCATTCCATTGCCCCTCCCATCCATGCTGGGACCCTCCTGGCCCACCAAGGCCCAGGCACCACTGTGAATATTCTCCTCTGAACCACTAGAGGGCAGGCCAGGCAGGCCAGGCGGGCCCGTGCAGCTTGTGGGCAAGAAGGAGCTGGCAAGGACCGGCGCTGCTGGAGACTGACCCAGCCCTCTGGCTGAGGACATGCAGCGGCTCCTAAATGTAGAGATGCCTGTGGCTGAGGGGGCCTCTCTACCTGTGTCCCCACTCACTCCAGGAGCACTGGCTTTGGTCACGTCTTAGCAGCAGGGCCTTGCTCCGTTGTTCCCTTGCCCTGGTGGTGGGGGGGCCAGACCACCTCCGGAATCCTGCCACCTGTGACTGTCTGACTGCTTAGTGCTTCAGCTGTCCCTTCCTTGTGTCCTGGGGGACCTGCTGGCGGCCTCTTCCTGGGAGCCATGACCTCAGACCCCACCCACACTCCAGATCGAGACCCCTGCCTCCCCCCGGCAAATGTCCTCCCGCTGCCTTGCAGCCTGCACTTTGCACATGCTCACCCCCAGCACAGTCCCACTGGCCCCTCACCTCCCCTTCCCTGAGCTCCTTCCCAAGGACTCCTGGTCACTGCCTGCTGTGCAGTCAGAGGCCCAGGGTCCAGCAGCCCGGCGGGAACGGGTGCTGCCTCTTCCTCCAGTTAGCTCCAGCTCAGGTCTGAGACCCGTGCTGAGAAAGGTCTGAGCACCGACCGTGCCCTCTGCCCAGGGCTGGGTCCTGAGCAGCTGGTTTTCCTGCAGGAAGGTTGGAGCAAGCAAAGTCCTTCTCTGCCCTCAGGGTCAGCTGCCCAGACTGGGGCGGATGCCAGAGAGGCAGGTGGGCTGTGGCTGGACTGGTCCGGAGCTGGCTTCCTTACCAGAAAAGCCTCAGCCTTCCTCTGGAAGCATCCCCCGTTCTGGGCAAGGGGGAAGGGCTCCTTTAAGGGGTGTGCTTTCCCAGTGGGGAGCAGTCTGGCCCTGCCCCCTACTAAAGCCTCTGCTCTCAGCACTTTCCCCCAAGTCCTTGTAACTTGCTTGAAGGTGGGTTCTGGCTGCCAGCCAGTCCCTGGACAAACTCTCCTGCCCCTTTTAAATTTCACTCATTTTGTATAAACCCAGCAGGCTGGTGTTTACTTAGCCCTGTAGCTTTTTTCATTTTTTCTTTCCGTCTTTCTTCTTGAGTTCACGGTTCAATATTGCCTCCTCGCCCTGGTGAGGGGAGGTGCTGCTTTTCTGCCCCACCTGCCGGCTGGTTCCAGCAGCGCTGGGGCCCAGCTGGGGGGCCGGGATGGGGGCTTCTCTCTCTGGGAGGGGTGCAGGTGCCCTCCCCAGGCTGGGAGGGTTCCTTCCCTAGCTCCCCATCTGCCCCCGCTGGTGAGAGTTGGGCTTCTTGGTCTTGGAACTCCCTGGCATTGGGAACAGAGCATTTCCAGCATTTGTTGTTGTTTTACTCACCTAACCCTTAGAAAATGAATGTTAGAAGGTGCCTGCCGAGGCGGGACAGAGTGTTCGCTCGCGCTGGAGAAGGCTCTGCTCAGCCCTGAGAGTCCCTTCCTGCCCCACCGATACTGGCACTTTAAAAAGGAAGCTGACCGCACAGTGTCCAGACGAATTGGCCCCCAGAAGATGGGGAGTTCTGTCCTGCCCTTCTGTGTCTGCGTGACCTCACCCAGCCTAGGAGGGAGGTGCATTCAGGGTAGATTTGCCTCTCATTCAAAGTTCTGGGGCTTTGGGTGGAAAACAGCCAGCTTTGGCGCTGTTGGGGAGACTCCTCCAGACCAGGAACCCCAGAAGGAGACAGAGCCTGCCACATCCTCCCACGCCAGGCCCTGGGCCAGGGTGATTGGACTGAGAATTTGGCCACAACCAAATTGATGCTGGCTGGAACCAGAGGCCAGAAAGCCTGGCCTTGTCCCCATGTGGGAGCCCTGTCCTCAGCCCTCTTGTCCCCTTGAGCTCAGTGAATTCCCACCAGGTGCCCACAGCTCCTGGACTTCAAATTCTATATATTGAGAGAGTTGGAGAGTATATCAGAGATATTTTTGGAAAGGAGTTGGTCTATGCAATGTCAGTTTGGAATCTTCTTGAAAGTTTAATGTTTTTATTAGGAGATTTAAAGAAAATAAAGGTCTACAATATCTTTAGGTTTTTTTTTTTTCCTGTTTACCGCACAAACTGACCACATGGCATGTCTATCAGGATGGAGGGTGTCCATGTTCTCCTCTGTCTTTAGGGAGGTGATAAGGAGATGGGCGGAGGGGTGTTTTTTTCTTTGACTCCCCTCCTTTCTAACAGAATGTTGCCACCACTGCTTGAGTGGGCTGTGTTTGTTCCTCTGTCCCAGCTTCTGTTGTAGAAAATAACATTGTTAGGGGAACTCAGGCTAGTGTCAGCGTCTTGGTTTGGGGAGAAAAAATTAAATGTTTCGGTTTTTGTTTCTTTTGCTGTTTTGTTTTTACCTTGTTACTTTATCATATTGACTTTAGGGTCAAAGGCAACATCAGAAGAAGTCAGATATGTATAGTGACATTCCAGGGGTGGGGAAGGTGTAGGGATCCAGGGTTCTCCCGGTCTTGGCCACAGGCACAATCATCACCTTCATCGTTCCAGATTCCTGGGGAGAAAACTGAGAAGATCGTTACCTGCCAGCCTCATACGGAGCAAAAGCTCTGTCCTCAGGGCCAAGTTCTAACCACTGCTCTGTAGACCTTCTCTGCAATCAAGTGGCCTCTAAGGAGCATGCCTGAGGACAAATAACTGCGCCTCAGTTTCCTCACCTGCAGATGGGGTTATCAAATAACACGAGTGTGCAGCCTGACCTGTAGGAGGTGTGAGTGTGTTCCCAAACTAAAGCCCCAGGCTGCCATCATTTACAGGCTTGGCTTGCCCCGGGCCCCTCACCCCCGTTTCTGACCATCCCAAGTCTCTCTGGGACAGGCAAGTCACTCTGGTTCTTTAATAAGCTTGGAGGTGTTGGGAAGCTTCAGTGGTACTGGCCAGGCCAGGAGGAATCAGGCCACCAGGGCTCCATCTCTATCCTGGGATAGCATTCACCCCACTCCTCCTCAGGGCTGACCCCGACTCATGGCCCCTTTAAACCCTGAAGGCCGATTCTGCCCCTTCCTCTGTTATATGCACAACTGAGGAAGGAGGTAAAAGTGGGCTCCTAGGTGAGCCCAAAGTCTCCTGAGAGATAAGGGAAAAGAATTGGACTGTAGGTTTAAAAAAGTTGCTCTTGGCCGGGCACAGTGGCTCACGCCTATAATCCCAGCACTTTGGGAGGCTGAGGCAGGAGGCAGATCACCTGAAGTCACCCTGACCAACATGGAGAAACCCTATCTCTACTAAAAATAGAAAAATTAGCTGGGCGTGGTGGTGAGTGCCTGTAATCGCAGCTACTCAGGAGGCTGAGGTAGGAGAATCGCTTGAACCCAGGAGGTGGAGGTTGCAATGAGCCAAAATCGCGCCATTGCACTCCAGCCTGAGTGACAGAGCGAGACTCCGTCTCAAAAAAAAAAAAAAAAAAAAAAGTTGCTCTTGTCAGCTTTGGGAGGGCAGACTCCATAGTTGGAGATGGGCTTCCAACCAACCAAGGAGATAAATGCCAGAGGGAGCGAACCATGCCAGGCTCAAAGCACATCTCTCCCCAAACTCCCCAGGTGGGGACAGCAGGCCAAAGGCCTCCACATAACCCCTCAGGGAGGCCTGGAGTCCAGATGCTGTACTCCAGTATCTAAACAATCACTCAATCTTAAAGCTGACAGGTTCAAAGCTCTTACTTTGGGCCGAGCGCAGTGGCTTACGCCTGTAATCCAGGCACTTTCGGAGGCTGAGGTGGGTGGATCACCTGAGGTCAGGAGTTTGAGACCAACCTAGCCAACATGGTGAAAACCCATCTCTACTAAAAATACAAAAATTAGCTGGGCGTGTTGACACGTGCCTGTAATCCCAGCTACTCGGTAGGCTGAGGCAGAAGAATCGCTTGAACCCAGGAGGCAGAGGTTGCAGTGAGCTGAGATCATGCCACTGCACTCCAGCCTGGGTGACAGAGTGAGACTCCCGTCTTGGGAAAAAAAAAAAAAAACAAAAAAACCTCTTTCTTTGGGCCAAGCCTCCACTGAGTGCCAGGGATACAGCAGCAACCTCAGACCCTACCCTCGGGGCTGACAGGGCTGGATCAACAATTGCATCAGTGAATTAAAAGGCACAGGAGGCTGGGCACCGTGGCTCACGCCTGTAAACTTTTGGAGGCCGAGTTGGGAGGATCGCTTGAGCCCAGGAGTTCGACACCAGCCTGGATAACATAGAACTCCGTCTCAAAAACAAACAAACAAACAAAAAAAACGTTCCCGACTGGCTTCCCTGAGGAACGTGGCGTCCCAGTGAGACCGGATGGGTGAGGAGCAGCCGGCCTGTGAGTGGTGGGGGACCGCGTTCCTATCTCGGAGCTGAAGAAGCGTGGAAGATGATCTGGCCCAACATCTCTTTGTTCTCAGAGGAAGGGCCTTCCAAGACCGGGGAGGGGCCTGTGCGTGGGTCCCGGTCCGAAACGTGTCTGGGCTGCTGCGAGAGACAGTCGGTGAAGGAAGGGAGGGGACATCCGAAGGGTGGCCCGGGAGGCCGGGCGATGGTGAGGAGGGCGCCTCCTCTCCACCAAATCCTCCCCATCCATGCGGGCTAGGGACAGACCCTCCCCCGCCCACCCTAGGCTGGAAAGTGAACGTTCTCTGCACCTCTCCCACCTACAGACTAAGTAGGGCACCCGGTTTCCGTGTCGGCTTCACCACTGACTCGGAATGGGATCTACCTTTCTCTGAGCCTCACTTTTCCCATCTGAAAAATGGAACTTCCGATCCCGCACTCCCATCCCACTCTGGCCCCGGGACTCTGGGATACTTAGAGATTGGCTTTTGGTGGGGCGGCGACAGGACTGTGGCCATGAAGGCCAGGGAGTCTGGGTCCCCAACTCGGTCCCATTCCCTAGAGAGATTCGGGCAGCAACCGGCCCCACAATGCTCTTGAGAACTACACTTCGCCGATATGCAAAGAAGAGGAGGCGGTTCCTGCTCGTCTCCGACGAGGTGGGCCCGAGCAGGCCTGGGGACTACGACTCCCGGCGTGCTCCGCAGTCCAAAGCCGGAAGAGCGTGGACCCGGAACCGGATGTGGCTTGCGGCTCGGGTGGCTGAGCGCGCGGGGAAATGGTGAGATTGGCACCGTGTGCCGGAGATAGGGGCGTCTGGGGGTGGGGTCCCGGGTCTGCTCAGGAGCTGGGGCATGGGCACTTGGAACGGGGATTGCTCTCCCGCCCCCACTATTGTACGGACGACAACGCGGAGGCCTAGCATTCTCTCCCAGCCTAGAAACTGATCCCTAGTCAGCCCTCTACCATCTGTTGAATGGGAAGCTTAGACCGTGATCGGGCCGCGACGCCCCGCTTCCATTAGTGCGCCGAAATAGAGGGTCACTTCGTCAGCTGAGACCTCCCTTTTCTCCAGGCCACGGGGACAGACCAGGTGGTGGGACTCGGCCTCGTCGCCGTTAGCCTGATCATCTTCACCTACTACACCGCCTGGGTGATTCTCTTGGTATGTCATTCTCCCCGTCCGCTGCTCACCTTCCCCGAGCCCTGGCACCGCCAGAGCAACTACTATATAGGCTCTAGGCACGGCGCTGGCTTCATTGCCTGCCTCATCTCTTGAACTCTCCAGAACAACTCTATGAGGAAGATGCCAGTGGTACCGCATTTTATAGATGAGATAGCTGAGGCTAGGGGAGAAGGATCTGGCCCAAGATTGCATCCTTAGCCGCTACACTTATAACTCTGTTTCCGGCTTGCTTTGACTTTTGGGGGAGTTCTGTTCCTTCTGGGTTAGCCTGCTGACTCTTAGGCATGGCAAACGCCAGTGATATTTGTGAAGGCCTTTAGGATATTTTTTTCTTGTGGGAAAACTTGTTGGTTATTGCTTAAGAAGTGCAGTGTGTCTGGAAGTGCAGAACTTGGTATCCTTTAGAGAAAAAATATTAGTGAAGAAGCCCTGGAGGCCCAGGTTGGGAGTCAGTCGAGGATTCCTCAAGTACCATTTGCTAGGCTGTGAGGTGCCTTAGGGCAGGTCTCTTGTGCCCTGTTCTCTTGTCCCCACCACCAACCTATAGCAGGCACCAAAGCAAGTGCCCGGTAAATACCAATAAGAAATTAAGGAAAGAAACAAACCACGACACCCAAATGCCGTAATCTTAAAGAAAAGCAAATGCAGTCCCAGTCCTCTGAATGGGTCAGCCCCTTAGATGGAGGAGGTGGGACGTTTGGGCTTGGGGGCTCGGCAAGGCAAGCAAGACACACCAGAGCTCTTCCCTCGATGCCAGCCATTCATCGACAGTCAGCATGTCATCCACAAGTATTTCCTGCCCCGAGCCTATGCTGTCGCCATCCCACTGGCTGCAGGCCTCCTGCTGCTCCTGTTTGTGGGTAAGTCATCACCTCCTCCCCTTGACCCTGGGCAGGGTTTCGGGAAGACCCCACCTCTGAACATGCTTCCACACTTTGGCGGTGCTGGAAGCTGCTTGCCCCGAACTCACCCGTGGGGTTTTCCTGTTCATCCTTCGAGGCTGCCAGTCAGTAACCTCTGGGTTTCCTGGTGCCCCAGGCTTTTTGGACTCCAATGACCTGTCTACCTCTTTCCTGCCCCAACCCCATCATCACTCTGCTCACACCTCAGTCACCCTCTTGTCACCCTGGCTTCTAATTCCTGCACCTCTCTCTCTCATGGCTTCCTAGGGATGGGGACTGTGTCTCCATCATTACTGCACATCTAGAACAGGCTGTGGCACTGAGGCTGTGCTCAGAAAGTCATTTGGATGAGTCAGTCAACAGCCGGGTGCCTGGATGATGGGTGGATGGATGGGTGGGTGGGTGAGGTGTAGGAGGAGGTGGGTAGGTATGTAGGTGGACAGACAAGTGGTTGACCGGGTGATCGATAGATGGGTGGATCTTGTTCCCCTTGGAATCTGAAACACTAAATGCAGCATCTTGCTTGAGGCAGGCACTCAGTTGGTGTTTGTTGAGTGAATGTGAGTAGACATATGCCTTGACGAATGACTAGGGAGATAAGCAGGTTCCCTGGAGGATGGTTGGGTAGGTTCACAGCCCTGTGTGTGGGTGGCTCTGCTGTGTCATGCCCTGGCCTCCCAGCAGCCCTGAGCTTAGATCTTATGTGGCCTTTCTGGTCTGTGTATCCCAGGACTGTTCATCTCCTATGTGATGCTGAAGACCAAGAGAGTGACCAAGAAGGCTCAGTGAAGGTCCCGCAGGGATGAGGCTGCCAGCCCCTTCTCTGCTTCCCCTCCAGCACAGGGACCAAGTGGGGGAGCCTGCAGAACCTGTCCAGGCACAGTGGCTCCTCAAGCCTGCCTGTCCTGCAGAGTCCCCATGGCATGGAGCTTACACCTGACTGACTGGAGCCCCCTCCCCGACTCCCACTTCCAGAAGCTAGGAGGGAGGGATACCTGGAAGACTCCGGTCACCTCCTTCTTGCTCAGGGCCTAAAAGATGCTGGTCCTCCCAACCTCACTCTCAGACTCCCTGCCACCTTTTCCCCTGGGTTCTGCCGTCTTGCCTCACTTCCCCTCCTGTCACATGCTGACGTTGGACTTAGCAGGTTCTAAGGCCACATGTGTGACCTCTCTGACTTCTCTTCCTCCACCAAGGCAGCTTTCCTTACCCTGACACAGCCCCAGACCCCACAAAGCCTTCTGGACCTGGAAAGCCTGGGGAAGGACTGACAGACCCCAGGACCAGCCCTGGGGCTCAGGGCAGCCACCCCGGGCCGCTGACCGACTGACCTCTCCTCACGGAGGCCCAGCCCCAAAGCCCCAGGGCTGGCCCGTTTGGGACAGCTGACCAATAAACACTGATGGTGTGTTTGTCTCTGTGCCGTGTTTACCCAGGGTCGGGGCTGGAGCGGGCTGGGAGCGGTCTTGGGTCAGGAGATCCTGTACAGTAGGGGTGACTCGGGGGCCTTCTGCCCTGACCCTGTGCGCTGGGGATAAAGCAGGGACTGGGACAGATGTGCTTCCTACCCAATGGAGCTCACAGCTGGGAGTCATTGGAGGCCCTGGCACCCCTCTGCCATGCCTCCCCTGTGCCAGCTTGGCCGGGTTGGATTTATTACTTTAGGGACCCTTGGGCCACTCCCCTAAAAACCCCACAGCCCAACTTAACGTGGCCCTGAGCAGTGAAGGCTGCTCTGTGTTCAGGTTGGCTGGACTGGCCCAGCCCCTAGCCTTCCAGCAGTCCCACCGTGCCTGGGCAGCTGGCTCTCCCATTTTCCACGGCACCTAGTGTAAACCCCCATTCCTCAAACCCGGTTCCCTCACTTTTCTTCCAGTTGGTGGAGGTATCTTCCTCATCACAGAGGAAAAAGGCCAACTGCAGACACCTGCCCTCTCCCCACCTGCTCCATGCTCTGTCCTCCAGTCCAGGCAGAACTGCCCACTTGGGCTTTGGATCCTAAACCCCCAACTACTGTAGTGGGAGCCTGAGGTCACAGTTGGCGCCCCCTGTTGTGAGAAAGATCTCCATGGGATCCTCTCATTGTTCCCTGAGTGTGCTCTGGGATCCCACTTACAGGCCCTCCGTCAATCCAGTAGTTCCCACTAAGTATCTCCCTCTGTCCATTTCACCACCAAGCTTCCCCAAAGGGGGTCCGCATCTGTCTCCTGCATTTCTTCACCTCCTGCCGCACTCAGCATCTGTCCCCATCTCTCCAGGCAGGCTGCAGCCACTGAGGCCACCAGCGGTGTCCACTCTTTATTTTTTTTTTTTTTAATTTTTCTTTGTGACAAAGTTTTGCTCTTGTTGCCCAGGCTGGAGTGCAATGGTGTGATCTCAGCTCACTGCAACCTCCACCTCCTGAGTTCAAGTGATTCTCCTGCCTCAGCCTCCCAAGTAGCTGGGATTACAGGCATGTGCCACCACACCCAGCTAATTTTGTATTTTTAGTAGAGACGGGGTTTCTCCATGTTGGTCAGGCTGGTCTTGAACTCTCGACCTCAGGCTATCTGCCTGCCTCGGCCCCCCAAAGTGCTGGGATTACAGGCATGAGCCACCGTGCCCAGTTGATGTCCACTCTTTAAATCCAAAGGATGTTTGCTTGACTCTCAGCTGCATTTGGCCTGTGACATCCCCTGATCCACTGTCAGCCGCTTTCTTGATGTCTGTGATGACCATTCTGTTTGTTTGTTTGTGGCAGAGTTTCGCTCTGTTGCCCAGGCTGGAGTGCGGTGGTGCGATCTTGGCTCACTGCAACCTCTGCCTCCTGGGTTCAAGTGATCCTCCTGCTTCAGTCTCCCGAGTAGCTGGGATTACAGGCACCTGCCACCACGCCCAGCTAATTTTTTGTATTTTTAGTAGAGATGGGGTTTTGCCATGTTGGCCAGGCTGGTCTCAAACTCCTGACCTCAGGTGATCTGCCTGCCTCAGCCTCCCAAAGTGCTGGAATTACAGGCATGAGCCACCAAGCCCGGCTGTGATGATCATTCTGCTATTTGATGTCTCACTCATGCCGTCTTCTGCCATGTGATGCTGGGCTCCTCAGGGTTGTGTCACAAGCCGTCTCACCCTTGCCAGGCTCACCTCTGGCCCGATGCACTGCACATGGCCCAGCTGCCCACCTGACATCCTCATCGGATGCCATGGTGGGAAACTCAAATGCATCCTCTCATGAGCTGAATTCTCAGACTTCTCCCAAATCTGGCTGTTCCCCTCATGCCCTTCCCCCTCTAGTGACTGGTGTACCATGTCCCTAACCTGGCTTTCTTCCTTATCCCCCCATCCACAGGACCCTGAGCTTTATCAGTTCTCCCTCCCCTTTTCTCCTGGCCTCTAGCCACCTTCCTGATGCAAAGCCACCATCCTCTGCCCTAAGTCACAGATGGCTTCCTCACTGCTTCTCCTGCCCACTCTGGCCCCACCAGTCCAACTATGCATAACAACCAGTGCCCTTCAAAAATGCACACCTTGACCAGGCACGGTGGCTCACGCCTGTAATCCCAGCACTTTGGGAGGCCAAGGTGGGCAGATCACTTGAGGTCAGGAGTTGGAGACCAGCCTGGCCAACTTGGTGAAACCCCGTCTCTACTAAAAATACAAAAATGGGGCCGGGCGCGGTGGCTCACGCCTGTAATCCCAGCACTTTGGGAGGCTGAGGCAGGCGGATCACAAGGTCAGGAGCTCGAGACCATCCTGGCTAACACGGTGAAACTCCGTCTCTACTAAAAAAAAATACAAAAAATTAGCCGGGCGTGGTGGCAGGCGCCTGTAGTCCCAGCTACTTGGGAGGCTGAGTCAGGAGAATGGCATGAACCCGGGAGGTGGAGCTTGCAGTGAGCTGAGATGGTGCCACTGCACTCCAGCCTGGGCGACAGAGCGAGACTCCGTCTCGAAAAAAAAAAAAAATACAAAAATGGCTGGGCGCGGTGGCTCATGCCTGTAATCCCAGCACTTTGGGAGGCTGAGGTGGGCGGATCACAAGGTCAGGAGATCAAGACCATCCTGGCCAACATGGTGAAACCCCCGCTCTACTAAAAATACAAAAATTAGCTGGATGTGGTGGCGAATGCCTGTAATCCTAGCTACTCGGGAAGCTGAGGCAGGAGAATTACTTGAACCGGGGAGTCAGAGGTTGAACTGAGCTGGGATCATGCCACTGCACTCCAGCCTGGCGACAGAGAGAGACTGTCTCAAAAAAAAAAAAAAAAAAAAAAAAAAGCCCAGCATGGTAGCACGCGGCTGTAGCCCCAGCTACTCAGGAGGCTGAGGCAGAGGAATCTCTTGAACCTAGGAGGCGGAGGTTGCAGTTAGCTAAGACCGCGCTACTGCACTCCAGCCTGGGCGACAGAGCAAGACTCTGTCTCAGAAAAAAAGAAAAAAAAAATTAGCTGGGCATGGTGACGCCTGCCTATAATCCCAGCTACTTGGGAGGCTGAGGCATGAGAATCACTTGAACCCAGAGGCAGAGGTTGCAGTGAGCCGAGATTGCGCCATTGCACTCCAGCGTGGGCCACAGAGGGAGATTCTGTCTTAAAACAAACAAACAAAACCCTCGAACCTTGGTGCCTCACACACACACCCATACTCACAGTACCTCTCTGGGTCCCCACAGGGCCCTGCCTCTCAGCCTGCTTTCCCCTCTTCACTCCAGCCACTCTGGCCTTTCACTTCCTGGACTCACCAAGGCCCTTTGCACGTCCTACTCGCTTGGTCCCATAGACACTCATCCGGCACAGGCTTGTGCCAGGCACTCAGCCAGGAGGCAGGAATGACATGGCCCCGCTTTCATGGCATTCCCACTCCAGGGGGAGACGTGATAAACAATAAACAAGACAGTCTCTGACAGTGTTAGGGTGGTAAAGAAAATAAAGGTGATGTGATCAGGAGTGGGGGGAGGGGAGCGCTCTGTTGGAGTCTGGCAAGGTGACGAAAGAACGAGGCGAGTAGCAGTCTGGGGTCAAGAGTTTCAAGCAGAGGGAATAGCAAAATGCAGAGGCTTGAATGGGAGAGTTTGGCGGCTAAGGAACAGGAGGGGCCGGGCGGCTCAGTGGTTAAGTGTAGGGTGAGTGGTTTGAGATGGGCCTGGGGTCAGGGTGAGGGGTTTGGGTTTTGTTCCATTGCCATGGGAGCCACTGGAGGCTTTAAGCACGAGAGTGACATCATCCAAGTTATGCTTTTAAAGATCACGCGGGCAGCTGAGCCCCTCCCTCTCGCTCACCACTAAATCCCCAGGGCCTAGCACTGCTGGCCCACAGTGGGTGTTCAATATCTATGTGTTCAATGAATGGATGTCCCCGACTTTGCTGTGTGACCTAGAGGTAGTGACTTCTTTCTCTAGATCTCTCAGTTTTTTCACCCAAAAGACGGGCAATGGGGATTTCACGCCGGAATGGGTGGGTGGCACAGGATTTAGGTTACTCGCCTCCCCAGGCGGCCCTAGCGACCCGAGTCCCCACGCCGAGGGCGGAAAATGGGGGTGCTCCCTTCGAGGGACCCCAGCCAATGTCCGGCGGCCCCGCCCCAGCCGGACCGAGGTCTGAAGGATGCTGCAGCCGTGGGGGCGGGACCCGCAGGCGATCGCCAGCGCCTCCCGCGTGGATTGGATGCAGCCGCAGTCGGCGCCATGCTATTGGTCGGCCGCGAGGTAGGGGCGGGGCCTGATTCCTGCAGCGGGGCGGCGGGGAATGCGGCCAAAGCCCGGGAAGCTGCTGCGGGGGCGATGGCTGCGCCGAGCCCGGGGCCCCGCGAGGTAGGTGCGGACCCGAGAGAGGACAGGAGAGGGAAGGGTTGGTGGGCAGGGGCCGGGCCTCCCCTCGGCGAGCGGCGCGGACACGCCCCCATCCAAGCCTGGGAGGGGCCCTGCAGCCGGCGAAGACCAGGACACGCCCCACACGGGGCGCCAGGTATCCCGAGGGGCGGCCTGGCGGATATCCCTCAACACTTCCTCAGCTTTCTCATTGGGAAAATGGAGAGGATGCTAAAGCTCCTCCTTCAGGGAGCTGTTAGGAGGTCAAGCTCTCATCCAGTGCGGGGCACGCGGTGGATGCCCACTACTGGTGGGTCAGCGGCTATGAAAAGCATCGTGCTGGCCCCTCCGTGCTGGCCTGGAGGCGCTCAGCATAGGCGAATGGAATAGATGTGACTGAATCACCGGCATCACAGCTCCTACTATCAAGGGCTCCCGTGCAAGGAGCTCAAACTCAAAAGTAACAAGAGTTCATACCTACCACGAAGAAGCTGTTCTAGTTTTCACGTTGCAGATGAAAAAATGAGGCACAGAAAGGTTAGGTGACTTACCTAAGGTCACAAGGTTGGTGAGAGACGGTCCATCTAAGGCCAGGTTTGACTGCAGAGTGCACGCCCTATCTACTGATAATCATAACCATTGCTCTATTCGGGTGCTGACTGCGTGCCAGGCACTGTGTGGCCCCTCTGGGTACCAGCATCATCTCTATTTTACAGCTGAAGAAATTGAGGCAGAGAGAGATGAGGGGAAGTCTCACAAGTAGTGGAAGTGGGACTTGAACCCTGATCTTTTTCCTCTGTGACGCTGCCACAGGCTGTGTCCTGTGCCTCCTCCCACCAGGTCCTGGCCCCCTCCCCTGAGGCTGGATGCAGAGCAGTCACCTCCAGCCGGCGGGGGCTTCTCTGGCGCCTCCGAGACAAGCAGTCTCGCCTGGGCCTGTTTGAGATCAGCCCGGGGCATGAACTGCATGGGATGACGTGCATGATGCAGGCAGGGCTGTGGGCTGCCACCCAGGTCTCCATGGACCACCCACCCACGGTGAGTGGCCCATCTGTCCCACGAATCTCCACACCAGCAATGGCAAGACTTGGCTGATGCCCTGTCTGGCTGAAACTGCAGGTGTGGGGATCAGAGAGGGATATCAAGGGGAGGAAGGCAGAGAGGGAGGAACATTGTGGTGTGGGAGCTGGAACGTCTGGGGTGCGTTGGGGGTGTGAGGAACCCCCTGACTCAGGTGGTTGCTGTGTGACTCTAGGTGGGTCTCTGCCTCTCTCTGGGCCTCAGTGTCCCCATCTGTATAATGGGGGGAGATTATACTCCTTGGTTTCTGAGGCCCTCCCAGCCCTGCCAGGGTATATGGTTGAAAAGGGACCCCCACCCCCACCCTGCTGGCCTAGCCCATCCTCTCTGGAGCTCAGGCTGAGGCAGGGCTGGCTCAGCAGAAAGGTGGCCCAACTGCAAGCTCAGCAGCTGGGCGGGCCTGGGTGAGCATGTGTGTGGTGTTCGTGTGTGTGCATGTGTGCGCAGTGGGACCACATTCCACAGACCACATCCGGGCACAGGGACCTGGAGATCCAGGGAAAGTGTAGAGACTCGAGGGAGTTCTCTAAATCACAAACTGACCTCATCACCTGCTGAAAAGCTTCCATGGCTCCCCAATACTCAGCATGACCTCCAGATCCAGCTGCATCCAGCCTTGTTCACACTCCATCCCTCCCTCACTGGCTTCAGCCACTTGGGCCCTCCTTCCCTTGCCGGCAGCCACCAGTGCTGTTTCTACTGGTGCGAGCACCCTGCTCCTCCTCTCCACTACCCTTTAGATTTCAGCTTAGAGGTCTCCACCCCCAGGAAGGCTTCTCTGATTTTGCCCCTCCCAGGTTGCATCAGGCAGGTCCCTTGGCTTCAGGGCCACCCCCTTGTACTGGACAGAATCTGGCTTCACTTGGCCAGCCTGTGAGTCTGGGAACGTGCCTGGCTTGAACTCATGGCCTGGTGCTGGTGATCCAGAGTGGATGAGATACACTCAGGCCTTGCCGTGGGTCACTCTTGTCCCCCTGGCATCCCTGGGAGGTGAGCAATGCATCTGCCCAACTCAGGCACTCTCAGAAACTCCGGTCCCGGTTTGCTGAAGGAATCCAATTGGAGGAGGTGGGGGACGGGCCAGGTGCAGGACATCTGGAGATCCTGGGGCAGGCAGCAGGGGACTGAGGGTTGCCCTGAGCTCCTCTACCTCTCCCTGCAGGGGCCGCCCTCCCGGGACGATTTCTCGGAGGTCCTAACCCAGGTTCACGAGGTAGGAGGCCCAGACTCCCGTGTGGGAGGGACGTGTGCTGGTCTTGCTCTCTCCTCTGCAGTTTTCCCATCTGTGCAGTGGGAGTGAAGGCTTGTCCCTGAGACTTGAGCCTTGCAGGAAGGGTGTGGTCACCCTGACCCTCCTGTCCCAGGACCAACTGCACACACCCGGGCCCACGCAGACACTCCAGAGGAGGCTCTTCCTCCCCTGCAGGGCTTCGAGCTGGGCACGCTGGCCGGCCCCGCCTTTGCCTGGCTGCGCCGCTCCCTGGGCCTGGCGGAGGAGGACTATCAGGCTGCCCTGGGCCCCGGCGGCCCCTACCTGCAGTTCCTCAGCACCTCCAAGAGCAAGGCCAGCTTCTTCCTGTCGTGAGCTTGCGGCAGGGGTGGGGCAGGGGTGGGAGTGGTACCCCTGGCTGGGAGGGCAGAATTCCCAGTGGCGGGGAAGGCCCCCTGAAGAGAGAAACAGAGCGGCCCTAATCTGGGAGGGTCAGGGCCGGATGGTGGACAGATCGGGGAGGAGAGGAGGGCGAGGGCCGAAGGCGAGAGAGGCGGTGCCGAGACCTGGGAGCGAGATCCACGTGCACAGGTCGGGGAAGGGGGCCGGGTGGGAGCCGCTCCAGCCAGGCCTGGGCAGTGACCTCTTTCTCTTGCCCCCCAGCCACGACCAGCGCTTCTTCCTGAAGACCCAGGGGCGCCGAGAGGTGCAGGCTCTGCTCGCCCACCTGCCCCGCTACGTGCAGCACCTGCAGCGGCACCCGCACTCGCTGCTGGCGCGGTTGCTGGGTACTTGGCTGGGGGCGGGGCTCGGTGGGGGCGGGTCCTAGGTCATCATATACCTGGGGAGGGCGGGGTATGTGGGCGGGGCCCAAATGGGCGGATTTGGGGTTGTAGGGCATGGGGGTGGGGCCATACGTGGGGGCGGGGCACCACTGGGGCTGTGTTTAGGGGTGGGATCGGGTCGGGATCCGGACCAGCCAAGGAAGGGTCCAGGTGCCGCGGATCTTGAGAAGGAGGCGTGGCCTGGCGCTGGGATTGGCGCCGGATGCACCCCGGGTTGTGGAGTTTGGGGATCCTCATCCGGCGCCCTCTCCCCTTCCAGGAGTGCACAGTCTGCGGGTGGACCGGGGAAAGAAGGTGGGTGAAGCCGAGGCGAGGTGGCTGGGCGGAGCGGGCGGCTGGAGGGCGACAGCCGGCCTCCCTCACTCCCTGTCCCGGCCCCCAGACGTACTTCATCGTCATGCAGAGCGTCTTCTACCCCGCCGGCCGCATCTCCGAGAGGTGAGTGGCCTAAGCAGGTTTGGGCCCCCATCCCAGCCGAAACTCGCGGCCCGAAGCACCCACACTCACTAGCCAGACGGTGAAACCGAGGCCCAGGAAGGAGAAGGGGCGTTCCCAAGATCTGGTGGGTCAGAGACAGTGACGCCCACACCCAGCATCTCTGGAGCACTCAGTGTGCGTTAGGCGCCGTGTTGGGCCCTTCGCATGCTTTTTAATTCCCAGAAGGACGCTGAGGGGCAGCTCTTATCCTCCTTCCTAGATGAGAAACCGAGGAAGGAGAAGGCCACACAGCTAACATGTGGGGAGCAGGGACTCAGACCCAGCCTCTGACTGCACGTAACCCCCTGTGCCCTCCAGCGCTGACTCTACCCACAGGTTCCCCGCCCCCCGGCCATTGGCTGCCCCCAAGCCGTCCTGTTGCCACCGCCTGGGGTTGGATCCCTGTGTCTGGGACACCCTCAGGGGTGACAAGGTGTCCAGAGGCAGGCACAGGCAGGGCTCAAGCCTGGGCTGGGCCACCAGTGGCCTGAGTGTGAATGCCTGCTCTGCTCTTATCTTTAACTCAGAAACAATAATAGGCCGGGGTTCAGCTATAGGGCCGGGCATGGTGCGTCACGCTTGTAATCACAGCACTTTTGGAGGCCAAGGCAGGAGGATTACTTGAGCCCAGGAGTTGGAGACCACCCTGGGCAATAGAGTGAGACCCTGCCTCTACAAAAAATGAAAAAGTTAGCTGGGTGTGATGGCACGTGCCTGTAGTCCCAGCTACTTGGGAGGTTAAGGTGGGAGGATTGCCTGAGCCCAGGAGGTCAAGGCTTCAGTGAGCCGTGTTTGTTTCACTGCACTCCAGCCTGGGTGACAGAGTAAGACCTTCTCTAAAAAAAGAAAGAAACAGGTGAGACTCCATCTCCAAAAAAAAAAAAAAAGGGAAGAAAGAAGGGGAGGAAGGAAGGGAAAGAAAGAGAGAAGAGAGAGAAAGAAAGAAAAGAGAGAGAGAAAGAAAGAAAAGAGAGAAAGAAAGAAAGAAAGAGAAAAAGACAGGCCAGGGTTGTGCTGAGGACTGGGGATGATCTCTGTAATAGTTCAGTGCACATAAGTAGTCACTGGAAGCTCTTGTGAGATTCTCTCTGTGTCTCAAATCTATGTAAAGCTGAATTCTGTCCCCCCACCCAGGTATGACATCAAAGGCTGCGAGGTGAGCCGCTGGGTGGATCCCGCCCCTGAGGGCAGCCCCCTTGTTCTGGTGCTGAAGGACCTCAACTTTCAGGGCAAGACCATCAACCTGGGTGAGCCACGGGGGTGGCCACTGCCTGTTCCTCCTTCATTCAGGGTGAAGTTTAGAAGGGTGTCCCTGCTGCCCTCTGCCTGAGTTATTAAGAGCCCAGATTCGGCCGGGCGCCGTGGCTCACGCCTGTAATTCCAGCACTTTGGGAGGCCGAGACAGGTGGATTACGAGGTCAGGAGTTCAAGACCAGCCTGGCCAAGATGCTGAAACTCTGTCTCTACGAAAAACACACAAATTAGCCAGGCGTGGTGGTACCCGCCTATAATCCCAGCTACTCAGGAGGCTGAGGCAGGAGAATCGCTTGAACCCAGGCGGCAGAGGTTGCAGTGAGCCGAGATGGCGCCACTGCACTCCAGCCTGTGCGACAGAGCAAGACTCTGTCTCAAAAAATAAAATAAAAATAAAAGAGATTCTGGAATCAGGCAGAGCAGAGTTCAAATTCAGGCTCCATGACTTCCTAGCTAAGTGACCAAGGCAAATTACAGATGAGTTTCTTTATTTGTGAGATGGGGACAGTAATGCCACATGCTGTCACGGGGCAGAGTGTGTGGAGCACCGTGGCTGGCACATGATGAGCGCTCAGGTGGGGGCACTGATGCTCCGGCAGGGCCCCAGCGGAGCTGGTTCCTCCGCCAGATGGAACTGGATACCACCTTCCTCCGGGAGCTCAACGTGCTGGATTACAGCCTCCTGATAGCCTTCCAACGTCTCCACGAGGATGAGAGGGGCCCGGGCAGCAGCCTCATCTTCCGCACGGCCAGGTGAGCCTCCCACAGGGGCAACAGCGAGATTGAGGTGGTGAGAGTAAGGGAAAGACAGACATGGGGGCATGGGAGTGCACCGGGAGCAGTGCAGCCAAAGACATGAAGGCTGGAAAGTGCAGAGTTTGTGTGTGTGTGTGCGTGTGCGCGCGTGTGTGCATATGTGTGAGTGCATGCATGCGTGTGTGTGCGTGCATGTGTGTGGGTGTGCATGTGTGCGTGTGTGTGTGTGTAGAGGGGAGGGCTGGAGAAGCCTGGCTGGTAGGGCAGGAGGGGCACAGGTGGACTGCAGCAGGGGACAGAACAGATGAAGTCCAGTTGGAGAAGAGCTTTGGTGACTATTTGAAGAATCTGCCCATTTTCCAGTGGGGCTGTGGAACCACTGAAGGTTTCAGAGCAGAGAAAAAGACCTATTTAATTTTTAACATTTTTGCTTTTTTTTTTTTTTTTTGAGATGGAGTTTCGCCCTGTCACCCAGGCTGGAATGCAGTGGTGCCCTCTCGGCTCACTGCAACCTCTGCCTCCCCGATTCAAGCGATTCTCCTGCCTCATCCTCCTGAGTAGCTGGGATTACAGGCATCCCCACCATGCCTGGCTAATTTTTTTTTTTTTTTTTGAGATGGAGTCTTACTCTGTAGCCCAGGCTGGAGTACAGTGGCGCGATCTTGGCTCACTACAACCTCCGCCTCTCGGGTTCAAGCAGTTCTTCCTGCCTCAGCCTCCTGAGTAGCTGGGATTACAGGCACACACCAGCATGCCCGGCTAATTTTTGTATTTTTATTAGAGACGGGGTTTCATCAAGTTGGCCACGCTGGTCTTGAACTCCTGACCTCAAGTGATCCACCCGCCTCGGCCTCCCAAAGTGCTGGGAGGCCCAGCATCCGGCCAATTTTCGTATTTTTAGTGGAGATGGGGTTTCGCCATGTTGACCAGGCTGGTCTTGAACTCCTGACCAAGAGATTTGTCTGTCTCTGCCTCCCAAAGTGTTGGGATTACAGGCGTGAGCCACCGCGCCCAGCCTAATTTTTGCTTTAGAAAGGGTCCTTGCCCTTTTTAGCTGGTCATTCCACTTCCAGGACGCTGACGTCATCATCATTGGCACCGTCTTCCTGTCTTCATCTCAGTAGTGGTAACTGTCATTCCTTCATGCTGACTGGGAGCCTCCCTGGGAGGGTAGACTCATCCCCATTTGAGAAATGTGAGAACTGAGGCTCGGGAAGCAGACACAAGGTTGCAGAATGACTTCTGAGGACTCATGTTAGTACTTGGCCAGCTACTTCCATTTCAGTTCCCTCAGGCCCACCCCTGTGGTCGAACAGAATTACATAGGAGCTAAGACAGGCACTCCATTGATCCAGTGGGTGGACAAGGGGAGTGAAAGAGGAGGTCCAGCCGCCACCCCTCCTGTCCCCTGCCTCGTTCCTACCCCTCAGAGGAAGAACTTGGTATGGGTGAGACTTGGGTAGAATTTGGAGTCACTGGCCTTTGGCTGGGCTGGACACGTCCTGACCGGATGGTGGCAAGCCTGCCATGGGGCACGGAGCCTCCCACACCTGCCCATCCAAGTGAGGTCAGCTTTTCCCTTGCCCTCTCCCCCTAGCTGGTACTTAGGCCACCGCTGTCATTCAGTCAGTGAGTCCTGGTTTGCATGGAATTGTTGTGACATTGAAATATTTTCATGTTGGCTGTCCCAGCCCCACCCCAACCCAGTTCCCAGCCCCTACTGAGAACGCCCCCATCCCACATCTCCCCATCATCCAGGTAGCCCACAGGGTACCAGCATTCTGTTCAGACTCTCAGACCACTGAGCTCTGATTGGCCAGCGCCGGGCAGGGCTTTTTTCTCATTGGTCTATTTACCCCGAGACCCAGACAGGACAGGATTAAAGCCCTTCAATGACGCCTGAGGACAAAGTTAGGGAATTGAACCTGCTTCTGCTGGGACTGGGCGCCCTGCCAAAGGTACCTTCTGGTATGGAAGACATTTTGAGGCAAAACCATAGACACACCATCTGCAAACTGGGGTTGCTGGATTTTGTTCACAAAACTTCTGCTTCACAACCCTGAGACTTCTGGGGTTGGATGACTCCAAAGAGAAATTTAGGAAATAGACTTACCTGAAGTCATGTGGCACCAAGGTGCAGATTCCAGGGTCTGTGTGACGCAAAAGCTATAGACCAGTGCTACCCAGTAGAAATATAATTCAAGCCATACATGTAATTTAAAATTTTCTAGTAGCCTCATTTTAAAAAGTAAAAACAGGTGAAATACTATAATTCATTTACTCAATACATCCAAAATGTTCATTTCATTGAATCAACGTAAAAATGAGTAAGATATTTTACATCCTTTTTTTCTTTTCTTTCTTTTCTTTTCTTTTTTCTTTTTCTTTTTTCTTTTTTTTTTTTTTTTTGAGACAGAGTCTCGCTCTGTTGCCCAGGCTGGAGTACAATGGCAAGATATTGGCTCACTGCAACCCTCCGCCTCCCGGGTTCAAGCGATTCTCCTGCCTCAGCCTCCTGAGCAGCTGGGATTACAGGCGTCCGCCACCACACCTGGCTAGTTAATTTTTTCATTTTAGTAGAGATGGGGTTTCGCCATGTCATGGTCTCCGACTTCTGACCTCAGGTGATCCACCCGCCTCGGCCTCCCAAAGTGCTGGGATTACAGGCGTGAGCCACTGCGCCCAGCCTTACATCCTTTTTTTCATCCTGTCTTTGAAATTGAGTATGTATTGTACACGTATAGCACATCTCAACTAGGAATAGCCACATTCAAGGCTCAGTGGCCACCTGTGGCCAATGTCTACTGAACAGTGCACCTCTAGCCCAACACTTTCACTTTTCTCAGTCTACCTGACTTCACAAACCTGGGCACACAGGAGGTGTGGGAATGAGCTGGTGGAGGGGTGGGCAGCCTGGCCAGGCTTGCAGAGCCGACTGGCTGGGGCTTCCTGGAGGAGCTGGCAGCTTCACCCTCCTGTCGGCCCCCAGGTCTGTGCAAGGGGCACAGAGCCCGGAAGAGTCGAGAGCCCAAAACCGCCGGCTGCTGCCCGACGCCCCCAACGCCCTACACATCCTGGACGGGCCCGAGCAGCGCTATTTCCTGGGCGTCGTGGATCTCGCCACAGTCTACGGGCTCCGCAAGCGGCTGGAGCACCTGTGGAAGACACTGCGCTACCCAGGCCGGACCTTCTCCACTGTCAGCCCGGCTCGCTACGCCCGTCGCCTCTGCCAGTGGGTGGAGGCGCACACGGAGTGACGGGCGCCCGGCCCCACTCTCCGGATCTGGACGATGGGCTCACGCCAGGAACGCCGGTTCCCCCGGGCCCGGGCATCTCGCCTGCGCTTCCTCCTGATGGTCGCCAGAGGGCAGCATCCCCTAACTAATACCGTAACCGCGCAGTCCCGTTTGACGGTGGTGCCGTGCCCAGCATCGTGCCAAGGACTCCCCTACTTTAGCTCATTTAATCCTCAAAAAATGCTATTATTCTCTTTTTACAGACCATGAAATGGAGGCTCAGGGGGTGAAGGGACTGATCAAGATCATTCAGCAATAAATGCTGGAACCAGGACTCAACCATGGCTTTTGGATTCCGGAGCCTGTATTCTTAACCACCAGCTCCTGCAGCTTGGTCCTCATGATCTGGGCAAGGGGGGAGGCTGAAGGCTGCAGCCCTCTTGTCATCCAGATGGGGAAACTGAGGCCCAGAGACTTTAAGGGGCGTAAGCACGGGTAAGTGGCAAGGTCGGCCCTGAGTACCCAGGCCTCCCGGCCCCCTGCTCCTGGCCTGATACTCTAGGGATGCAGGTGGGAGAAGCAGGGGTCCTGGGGGCTGCCTGGAGCTCTGGGAGGCATTCTGAACGGGGTCTACTACTGATCTCAGGTGAGCTCTGCCCTCCTCTGAAAGTCACTTTTCTCATCAGTTAAATGGGGGCAAGGGTCCGTGGTCCGACCAAGGTCTTGGCTTCACAGACATCACCAGGAGCCTGCATGCCCCTGATCACTCCTTCTCCTTCCTCCAGGAAACTCCAGCCTGGCCTCTGACCCCAGTTCAATCCGACCATGCCCAAGCCCAAGCGGGCCTTTCCTCCAGAACTGCTCCGGGGCCTGGCTGTGTGACTGGAGCAAGGTGCTAAACCTCTCTGTGCCTCGCTGGTCTAATCTGTAAAATGAAGGAATGGAAACAGACCTCATTAACTCATTAAATATTTGTTGAGCACCTGCCATGTGACAGGCCCTCTGCTGGTAATGGGGACCTGGGGATGAAGCAAGTGGCACAGATTCTGCCTTCATGGAACTCGTGGAACTCACAGTCTGGGGGAAGGGACCCCTACCCGATCATTTGATGGATAGTGTTGGGGGAAGAGCTTTAACTTCTACTCTGAGACCAGAGAAGAGTCTGACACGTCCCTAGGAGGGTCCCAGGCTAAGAGCACAGCAAGGGCCTGGGGTGAGAGAAGGAAAACATTTCAGAGTGGGAGGGGGCCATGTGGGCCAAGAGTGGACCCCCAGGATTGGACAGTGCAGGACCTCGGGGAAGCCATTCAGCTGCAATGCACACTGCCACTCCACTGACCTATCAGATCCCACCAAAGAAAGATGGCTGAGGGGCCGGGCACGTTGGCTTACGCCTGTAATCCCAGCACTTTGGGAGGCCAAGGTGGGTGGATCACTTGAGGTCAGGAGTTTGAAACCAGCCGGGCCAACATGGTGAAACCTCGTCTCTACTAAAAATAGAAAAGTTAGCCAGCTGTGGTGGCGGGTGCCTGTAGTCCCAGCTACTTGGGAGGCTGAGGCAGGCGAATTTCTTGAGTCCAGGAGGCAGAGGTTGCAGTGAGCCGAGATGGCACCACTGCACTCCAGCCTGGGCAACACAGCAAGACTGTCTCAAACAAAACAAAACAACAACAAAAAAAGAAAGATGGCTGAGGGGGAAGGGGGAGGAAGGAGAGAGCTCTGGATGCAGGGTTCCTGGAATATTTGGTTTTTGGTTTTTTTTGAGACAGGGCCTCCCTCTGTCACCTAGGCGTGAGTGCAGTGACATGGATTACAGCTCCTTGCAGCCTCAACCTCCTGGGCTCAAGTGATCCTCCCACCTCAGCCTCCCAAGTAGCGGGGACTACAAGCATGTGCCATCACACCTGGCTACTTTTATTTTATTTTATTTTATTTTATTTTATTTTATTTTATTTTGCAGAGACAGGGTCTCATCATATTGCCCAGGCTGATCTTGAACTCCTGGGCTCCAGCAATCCGCCTGATTTGATCTTCCCAAAGTGTTGGGCCCACAGGCATGAGCCACTGCACCTCACCAGAATATATGTACTTTAAATATTGATATCACTCCTAGTCGTCTGGGTGACCTTGCCTGATTTCTCAACCTCTCTGTGCTGGCATGAGCTGAGTGGAAATTTCTTGTCCTTACTTTAGCAGGAAGTTGTGACATAGAGTGTTGTCACGCCCATCACTCAGGAGGTGATGGGCCAGGGAAACTCGGAGGTGGCAGGGAATTGCAGCAGGAACTGGAGTCTGACTCCACATTTCCACCCATCTGGATCCCACAGGGCTGAGTCAGCGCCACAGAGTCCTGCTCTCACACATAAGGATGACTCAGACTCTCTCCACCTTTGGGTCTCTGGCCGTGAGCCTAGCCGGGACCTCAGGCTGGAAAGGAAAGTGATTTGTCCAAGAACTCATGGGACCCAGGCTCTCCTAACTCATGCATTGATAGACGTGACCTAGCACCTAGTGTGTGCCGGGCACTGTGCAGGTGCTGGAGGTGTCCTGAGCACATGGCTGGTCTGACTTTGCCCACATGGAGCTTAGAGTCTGTGGGGCAGGTGGACCATAAATAAGGCAACCAGTTAATACACAGGGCAATTTCAGAGTGTGACAAATATTATGAAAAACTGAGTCGGGGTGAGGCAAGAGGGATTGGGGTGCAGCGTTGGGTAGGGTGGCTGGCAAGGGCTTTTCAGAGGAGGTGATGCTTGAGCTGAATGGTAAGAGAAGCCACCATATGACTAGCGCAGTCCAGCAGAGGACACAGTGAGGGCAGAGGCCCTGCAGTAGGAATGGCTTCAGTAATGATTGGCGGTCGGAGGGTGGCCAGGGCAGGTGGAGGGTGACTGAAGGAGTTCACACTGTGTAGGATCGTGTAGGTTGTGGTAAGCAGAGTAGGTTTTTGCCAAAAGCAAAGTGAAGATCTTTATCTGGGGCTGTGGGACTTCCTGGTCACAGTTCTACTGTGGACTTATGATCCTCATCTACCCTGGGAGCACGGGCCATTTGGGCATGTCCCTGTCTCCATGTGGCCCTAGCAAGGATGGAGTTGCCTCTCCGGGGAAGGAATCATCACCTCACCAGCCATTGTGGGCAGTGAGTGAATCCATAGGGAACTTCTCACCATTGTGCCCTCAGGGTTGGGCCTATGAGGAAAGAAACTTGAAGAACGAGGACTGAGAGGAAAGGGCTCTGGCTTTGGGGACCCACTGCCTTGTGTGAGTGAGGGGCCATGGTGACTGAGCGTGAACCACTACTCCCCATGTGTGTCCAGGCTGGAGTGGCAGTGACAGGAGAGTTTGTGCTCAAAGGAGGCCCCTAGGGGGCAGGGCCACTACAGCAGCCCTCCTCCCAGCCCCTGGATAGGGGAGGCACTGAGGCCTAGAGCACCAGGCCCAGGGGTGATTTGGCTTTGAACCTGGAGCAGGGTAGACTGGGAAGGTTGCTGAGCTGGGGACAGATACCCTGGCATCCTGCCCAGGCCTGAGCCTCTGAGAAAAAGGAAAAAGGAGTTTGAAATGGAGACCAGGGCAGGAGCCCAAGCTGGTTCCCAGGCTAGCTCCCTGCAGAGGAGGTGGGTGTGGTTGGGATGGTGAAATGATCTTTCTGGCCAATTCAACATTTTGCACAAAAAATCATAAACAAGGGCTGGGCGTGGTGGCTCACGCCTGTAATCCTAGCACTTTGGGAGGCCGAGGCAGGCAGGTCACTTGAGGTTAGGAGTTCGATACCAGCCTGGCCAACATGGTGAAACCCTGTCTCTACTAAAAATACAAAAGTTAGCTGAAAATCGCTTGAACCCAGGAGGCGGAGGTTGCAGTGAGCCAGGATGGCACCACTGCACTCCAGCCTAGGCAACAGAGAGAGACTCTGTCTCAAAAGAAAAAAAAAAAAAATCCTAGACAGGAAGTGTGCCCTCTCACTTCCCCATAGGCCCACCCCTGCTACTGTCCCAGTGCTTTCTGCCACCAGCCTGGCGCTTGAAGGCAGTTGCCTCTGAGATCCCAAGGGACCCCAATAGGACACACTGCAGCATCTGCCTGGGGCCTGAGCTGACTTGACTTGGATTTGGAGGACATTCCAGCGAGGGAGCCTTCGAGAGGTAAGAGTAGGTGGTCACAGCCCCGGGTCTGGAGTGAAACTTCCTGGGTTCGAATCCTGGCTGTGACAGGAGCTGCCTCTACACGTGTGTCTCAGAGGAGAAAAACAGACTCAGGTGACTGTCACACTGACATAATCATAATAAAATAATCATATTGAAAATAACTCATGTATTCGTTGTTTATCTGAATTTCCAATGTCACTGGGCGTTCTGTATCTTACTTGATAAATGCAGCAATCCTACCAGTTGAAACGTGGGCTGCCTGACCCGAAGCCCTGCTTAATTTCCCTCCCCAACCACCATTTCAGAAATGGAGACACTCAAGTCCGGACAGCCAGGCCGCCACTGCCTGGTGGCCCCCGACACCCTCTAGGTCTCTTTCCCCTGCGGCCCGACAGCCTCGCCCAGGCAGGAGCCTGCTGGAAATTCGGCAGGACCGAAAAGGGAGATGCTGGTACTCAGACTCCGCCCCGGCTCTGAAGCCCCGCCCCCGGCCCTGAGGCCCCGCCCCTAGCTGGAGGCCTCGCCGCCAGCCATTCACGTCCCGCCCCGTCCCGGCCGCGCAGAGCCCTCCCCAGGTCGCGCAGGCCGCGCTCGTAGGATCCGCCTGCGGCGCGCAGGCCCCGCCCCCGGCGCGCGAGTCTCCGCCCCTCCTCGCCGGCCCCGGCCCCGGCCCCGCCCCCTGCCTCTGGCCGCGCGGATCAGCTTCCAGCCCAGTCGGCCCGGCCCGGGGGCCATGGAGCTCCGAGCGGCGGATCGCGAGCCTCCTGCGAACCCCAGCCTGCACGCCCGGTTAGCATTCGGCCGGGAGATGCGGCAGTGGAATCTGGAAGGGCGGTGAAAAACCTACGTCCTGCCCTCGCCCGGCCTCTCCATTCGTCCCCCGGGTAGAGAGGTAGGATGGATGGGGTGGAATTCCGGGCTTCTGGCTCTCTCTGCCCCAGACCTGATGGGTGACCTTGAGCTGGGGGCGCCTCCTCGCTGCCTCTTCCTCCCCATCTGCGCACTGGGAATTGGGTTGGCAGGAGGTCTCGCAAACGTCGCTGATTCCTGCTCCTTTAGGATGGGGACATTGCCTTCCGGTGTTTGGAGACGTCAAGGGGTTGGATTCCCGGGTGCCATGTGCTTTCACCCCGGCCTGTACCCTCTCCTGCCTCAGTTTTCCCTATAGCTTAGAACCCCACCTGCCTTACCCCTCCCGGCTCTGAGTTTCTGGGTCTTGGCAGGTGCCCGGCTCCCACCCCTTCCCAGCCCCAGCCCTGGAGACAGCAGCCCCTAGACTACTGAGGGACAGCGACAGCATGAAGGCTCCGGTAAGTGGGAAGAAGGAGGACTTCCAGGGAACGCAGAGGCCCCGACTGGCGGAGCAGCTCAGCAGCCTCTCCACCCCAGGACCCACTGCCACTTCTGACCTCCCTACTGCTGAGCAGAGAAGGGCAGAATGGCCTCAAAGTCCAACCCTGTTCTTGCAGACCGTGTGGCCCCAGGCAGGTGGCATCCACTCTGCAGTGTCAGTACCTTGCTATCCCTGTAAAACGGAGGTAACGCTACGAGCTCACCAGGCAAAGCCTACGTGGAACTGGGGTTGTGAAGTTCAGTTCAGCCGCTCTTGTCTTTACTGCAGAAGCCCCGGGCTGTGAGAGAGAGAGCTGGATGTGGGGGGCAGTTCATCTCGACTGCCTGAGTCAAGGTCTCTGGTTCCTCATGGGCAGGGGAGCAGGTGCCAGGCAGAACTCCCTCCCCTGCACAGCTGGCCACACAGAAAAGACTTATTTTTAGAAGCTGACGTAGCTTGCGGGCAGAAAATGGTGGGCCTCAGGCAGGATGCGCCGGGGCAGGTGGGGTGATGGGGTAGGGGGTGGGGGCCACTTTCCCACTTCTGATTTTTGGAGAGCACCAGCCAACTGCTTGGTGGCTTCTGAAGGGTGGCCTAGGGACTTGTGCCTCGAGTCTAGAAACCTGGAGCCCAGAGAGACACACGTGGTGACCAGGGTGGCCCACTACCCAGTGACTAGCCCACAGTTCTGCTGCCACCAAGCCCTTCCCCTCCTGGGAGGCTTGGTGGTGGTAGGGGCATTCACTAAGTCTGCCAGCAGGACCAGCCCCAGGCTGGGTCTAGGCCAGATGGCTAGAAGAGCTTCCTGGTTCCAATGGCCTTTGGCACATGGTTTCTGGAGGCGGTAGCCTCCAGGCACCAGCTTTTCAATTATTAAAACCATTTCTTGAGTGACCTTTGCTCCAATCTCCTTGTGCCACCTGGCCTGCTGACCCAGATCCGGATCACCAGGGGACAGCCACTGAGTCAGCTGGGGGTGGGGAGGAGGCGGGGCCACACTAGGCAGCCCTGGTCCTAGGCTGAAGGGGCTGGTGGCCCTTCTGAGGCACCACTTTCCCGTTGTCATGTGCACAGCACTTTACAGTATACAGAAGGCTTTCACTGCCCCCCTCCCGTAAGTTCACACGGTGGGCATTATCAGTCCCCAGTTTGTAGAGGAGGAAACAGGCCCAGAGGGATGGAGAGCCATAGGTCGCACAGTACACCCTAGCCTCCAGTTAGGAATATGGGCTTTCCAGCCAGTATTTAAGGCCCCACTGTGCTGCTTCTTTGCTGTATGGCCTTGTACTACACACTTCACTCCAAACTGCTTTCCTTATCTAGAATGTGGGGATGATAACAGTGTTATCTCCGGGGCCTTATGTGCCCAGAGCTTGGCATCCCCAGGTAAGGCCCAGTGGATGGAGACTGGATTCTGCTGCTGTTCTAGGAGCTGCTCTAGACCCAGGAGCTTCTCTAGACCCAGGAGGCCAGGTGCAGCGCTGAAGGGGCTTCTGGGAGCCCCTCCCCACATACACCCCCCCATGGCCACTGTCTCCCTCAGGGTCGGCTCGTGCTCATCATCCTGTGCTCCGTGGTCTTCTCTGCCGTCTACATCCTCCTGTGCTGCTGGGCCGGCCTGCCCCTCTGCCTGGCCACCTGCCTGGACCACCACTTCCCCACAGGCTCCAGGCCCACTGTGCCGGGACCCCTGCACTTCAGTGGATATAGCAGTGTGCCAGATGGGAAGGTGAGTGGGCCAGGCAATGCATCCGGGGTGGGTAGTGAGAGCTGGGCTTGTCCCAAACCGGACCTTGAGCTTGGCCCCTCTACTCACCAGCCATGTGATCCTGGCCAATCACATCACCTCTCTGAGCCCTAGGTTCTTTTTTTTTTTTTTTTTTTTTTTTTTTTTGAGACGGAGTCTTTCTGTTTCTCCCAGGCTAGAGTGCAGTGGCGCGATCTCGGCTCTGAGCCCTAGATTCTAAAAAGAGATTTTTTTTTTTTTTTTTGAGATGGAGTTTTGCTCTTGTTGCCCAGGCTGGAGTGCAATGGCATGATCTCAGCTCACGCAACCTCTGCCTCCCAGGTTCAAGCGATTCTCCTGCCTCACCCTCCCGAGTAGCTGGGATTATAGGCATGTACCACCACACCTGGCTAATTTTGTATTTTTAGTAGGGATGGGGTTTCTCCATGTTGGTCAGGCTGGTCTCGAACTCCCAACCTCAGGTGATCTGCCTGCCTTGGCCTTTCAAAGTGCTGGGATTACAGGCATGAGCCACCACGCCCGCCCAAGAAATGTTTTTTTTTGTTTGTTTGTTTGAGAGAGAGAGAGTCTAGCTTTGTCACCCAGGCTGGAGTGCAGTAGTGCGATCTCAGCTCACTGCAACCTCCACCTGCCGGATTCAAGTGATTCTCATGCTTCAGCCTCCCGCCACCGGTTCTTGCCTGTCTCGTCCTGGAAGATCTGGTCACAGTAGGCCATCATGCGCTCGGTGAAGGTGTACACCTGCAGGCCGGGGTACATCCTGGTGAGCTGCAGCAGTGTGCAGTAGGTGTGGCCGCCGAGCACCCCGTCCATGTGCCTGCCCTAGCCCTGCCCTGGGACTACAGGCTCATGCCACCACACCTGGTTAATTTTTAGAGATGGGGTTTCACCATATTGGCTAGGCAGGTCTTGAACTCCTGATCTCAAGTGATCCACCCACCTTGGCCTCCCAGAGTGCTGGGATTACAGGTGTGAGCCACCGTGCCCGGCCAGATGTTGTTTTCTTTTTCTTTTTCTTTTTTTTGTATTTATATTTTTATTTGTTTATTTATTTTAGACAAGAGCTCACTCTGTCAACAGGCTGGAGTACAGTGGCGCAATCTCGGCTCACTGCAACCTCCGCCTCCCAGGTTCAAGGGATTCTTCTGCCTCAGTCTCCTGAGTAGCTGGGATTACAGGCGTGTGCTACCACGCCCAGCTAATTTTTGTGTTTTTAGTAGAGATGGGGTTTTGCCATGTTGACCAGGCTGGTCTCGAACTCCTGACCTCAGGTGATTCACCCACCTTGGCCTCCCAAAGTGCTGGGATTACAGGCGTGAGCCACCGCTCCCGGCCCAGATGTTGTTTTCTTCCCCATTTTATAGATGAGAGACTTGAGGCGCACAGAGGCCGGTGACTTGGCTTCAGGCCACATAGCTAGGAGAGGGCAGAGCCAGGATTCAGGCTCAGGACCAGGGAGTCCCACAGCTGTCCTGGGCGCTGATGACCCTGCTCTTACTTAGAAACTGGGCACAGTGTGGGTGAGGCATGTGCAGGGGAGGGAGTGGCCTAAGAATGATTCTGAAGAGCTGAGGTTCATGTTTACTTGACAAATACTTATATGACCTCCAGTCTGCGCCAGCCACTGTTCTAAGTGTTTTATAACTATTTGCTCAAGCAAACCTCATAAGGACTCATTACGTAGAGACAGGGCCTCAGAGGCAGCAACAGGAATAAGGACCACAAATATGGCTGATGAGGAAGTGGGGGCTGAGTGCAGAACCTTAGCTCTGACACTGGGTATCACTGTGATCTCGGGAAAGTCATCCCTGCTGCCCAGCCTGCAAAATGGGTTCATAACAGTCCTTCAAGCCGATACCTGATCAAGCAAGATTGGTGGATATTCCAGGGGGAGCTGCAGGGGGTGTAAGCTGCGTGTTCATGCCTCTCTGTCTCTTTCTCCCTGCCTGCCCTGCAGCCGCTGGTCCGCGAGCCCTGCCGCAGCTGTGCCGTGGTGTCCAGCTCCGGCCAAATGCTGGGCTCAGGCCTGGGTGCTGAGATCGACAGTGCCGAGTGCGTGTTCCGCATGAACCAGGCGCCCACCGTGGGCTTTGAGGCGGATGTGGGCCAGCGCAGCACCCTGCGTGTCGTCTCACACACAAGCGTGCCGCTGCTGCTGCGCAACTATTCACACTACTTCCAGAAGGCCCGAGACACGCTCTACATGGTGTGGGGCCAGGGCAGGCACATGGACCGGGTGCTCGGCGGCCGCACCTACCGCACGCTGCTGCAGCTCACCAGGATGTACCCCGGCCTGCAGGTGTACACCTTCACGGAGCGCATGATGGCCTACTGCGACCAGATCTTCCAGGACGAGACGGGCAAGAACCGGTGAGCCTGGGGCCTGCCTGCTGGGGTCTCTCTGGCAGCTGGGGCCTTCCTTCTCTGGGAGTCTCTTGTCCATCAGGGGCTGCTCTGTCAGGCCCGGGAGGTCAGCACTCATGGAGGCAGACATGGTCCTGCCCTCTAATGGGGGGCAGGAGGCAGAGGGGATGTCACTCAGGAAACTGTCACACAGATCTAGAATCCCAGATGGTGTTGAGGGCTGTCAGGCCTTTTGAGCACCTGATGGGAAGCACTAGCCAGTGTGTAGGGGCATGAGGGAGCACTTCTCTCTGGAGGGAATGGTCTGTCTAACTTGGTCTCTGATATCCCTTCTGGATAATAAAAGTTAGAGGCCGGGTGCGGTGGCTCACGCCTGTAATCCCAGCATTTTGGGAGGCCAAGGCGGGAGGATCACTTGAGGTCAGGAGTTTGAGGCCAGCCTGGCTGACATGGTGAAACCTTGGGCTCTACCAAAAATACAAAAATTAGGGCTAGGCCCGGTGGCTCACGCCTGTAATCCGAGCACTTTGGGAGGCCAAGGTGGAAGGATCACGAGGTCAAGAGATCAAGACCACCCTGGCCAACATGGTGAAACCCCATCTGTACTAAAAATACAAAAATTAGCCGGGTGTGGTGGCGCATGCCTGTAATTCTAGCTACTCAGGAGAGTAGCTGAGGCAGGAGAATCGTTTGAACCTGGAGGCAGAGGTTGCAGTGAGCCAAGATCGCACCACTGCACTCCAGCCTGGGTGACAGAGCGAGACTCTGTCTCAAAAAGCAAAACAAAACAGAGCAATAACAGCCCTCTTTGCTCACCAGGCATTGGGTGAAGCACTCCGCATTCAAGGTTTCATTTTATGTCATATCCAAAAGCACACTCATGACTCTTGCCAGCCCCTCCTCCACACACCTGCTCTCCACTGGCCTCTGTGCTCAGGAGATAGAACAGTCAGCCTCTGGTGTATCCCCCAGAAAATTGGGCTGTGCCTCTGATTCCTCTCGTATCATCATCTGCCACGTACAATGGCCCATGGCTGCCACCTTGACTTAGGCTTCCCGCCCCCACCACTCCTGGCCTGCCTGCCCTGCGTGATCCTGCCTCTGCCTGCCTCTGTGACTTTGTGTCTCCTTCAGTCTCCCTGTTCTACCCATACTGGCCGTCTGGGGCTCAGACATCCATGCCTATTTCTACCTGCAGGACTTTGCACCTGCTGTTCCCTCTCCCTGGAATGTTCTTCTCCCAGATCTTCCCATGACAGGCTCCTCTTGTTACTCAGGTCACCTCCTCAGGGAAGCCCGCCCTGACCACCCCATCAGAAGGAGTGCCTCCCGCCCTGGCATTCTTTATCCATTCCTTTGTTTCCTTGTCTTGGCAGCAGGTGTCACCCTCTGCCATCATCTTGCTTAGAGATTTGTCTCCTAGCTACTTGTTTATCTATTTTTCTCCTTCCCTTCCCATCTGGTGCTTCCGTGGAATGTTAGCACCAGATGAGGTAGGTTCTGGGCCAGCACAGGGCCTGGGTGGGGCTCAGTTTGAATGAATGAACCAGTTCATACCCGCTCTGTAGAGGTTGAGAGGGGTGGCCCTTGGCTGCAAGAGTACCCAGGGCTGCTGCCTCCAGGGAGCTGAGGCTGGGGCCACCACCTAGCCCCTTGCTCTGAGTGGGGCATGGGGGCATGCGGGCAGGGGCTGGGCTGACAGTGTTCCCTCCCTATAACCCCCTAAAATTATCTCCACTTCACAGACTGGTCATGAGGCTCAGAGAGGTTCACGAGCAAATGTGATGCCCATAGCAGAGCCAGGGTTCAAGTGGAAGATCCTTGGACTCTAGAGAACCCCCACCTGACTTCAAACCACGGTGCCCTGCTGCCTCATGCTGTCTCCCCAGGCCTGGTCCCTTAGATGAGGAGAGGACGTGGCCAGAGCCCCCACACCCATCATCCAGGGGTTTGCTCAAACCCTGCAAAGCGTAGCTGGGCCCGAGCCCCGCTGGGTGCTGAGGAGGTGATCAGGCCTGGGTTTGTGTGCCGCTCTGCCTGTCACCCACTGCTGGCCTTGGGCTGGCTCTGTCCCCTCCCCAGCCTCCCCCAGAGCCCCCCGCAAGAGGTTGAGGTGCATAGCCCCGGGCTGGCAAAGTACCAAGTGCTGCTGGGGCCTGGAGCTACCACATGGCCTCTTGTTGACAGCGTCCCCCTGTCCCCCCGCCACCCCCAGGAGGCAGTCGGGCTCCTTCCTCAGCACCGGCTGGTTCACCATGATCCTCGCGCTGGAGCTGTGTGAGGAGATCGTGGTCTATGGGATGGTCAGCGACAGCTACTGCAGGTCAGACCGGCCAGGCCGGGCACGCGGGGACGCGGGGAGGACTGTGAGCCCTCCTAGGCCTTAAACCAGAGGATTTGGGAGCTGTGGGGGCAGAGGGAGTGTGGGCTTCATGGTGGGTGACCATAGCACAGATACCCCTTGCGCTCTGGGCCTTGGGAAAGAGCTCAGTGTCAAACAGGCTGCCTTACCAACCCCAGTGTGGCTGTTGTGGTCACAGGCTGTTCACGGGCCAGTCATGCCACCCCGCAGACCCTCTGTTTCCTTATGTGGAAAATAGAGAAAAGAACCACATCTTACTTGGAAGGTTGTTGAAACATTTAGGGAGGGAATAATCTACAAAAGTGCTTACCACAGTCAGGGCCTATATATATAGGGCCTAAATATATATATATATATATATCAGTGATATGTTTTATATAAGTTTTAATTTTTGATATTATATGTGATTTTTGATATTATATAATATTTGATATTATAATACCAGCATGATATCAAGTTCAGATATGTTTATGGTATGATTTTGTACCATTGTTATATTATTATATTTCTTTTTTTTTTTTTGAGATGGAGTTTTGCTCTTGTTGCCCAGGCTGGAGTGCAGTGGCGCGATCTTGGCTCACTGCAACCTCCACCTCCCGGGTTCAAGCGATTCTCCTGCCTCAGCCTCCCTAGTCGCTGGGATTACAGGCACGTGCCACCACGCCCAGCTAATTTTTTGTAGTTTTAGTAGAGACGGGGTTTCATCATGTTGGCCAGGCTGGTCTGGAACTCCTGACCTCAGGTGATCCTCCCGCCTTGGCCTCCCCAGGGATCAGGGATTACAGGTGTGAGCACCGCACCAGCCTATATTATTATATTTCAATATTATGGAAACTAACGAGTTCACAACAGGTCACCGAGGTGACAGGTGTCCCTGTGCCCCAGCCATGGCCCTGGCCATACGGCTGGCCCCCGTGATGCTGATGGGGAGGTGGGCGTGCAGGGCTGGTGGCTCTGTGACATGGGAATGAGGGGCTCCTCCCTCACCAGGAGCCCAGGACCACTAGCAGGGTGCCTGCAGTCTCCATCTCTTGATCTACGCACTTGTTCTGGAAGGCGGATGTGACCATCTGCGTTTTACACACGGGCTCTTGAGGCTCACAGCGTCCATCTCTGGCCCAGAGTCATCCAGCTTGCAAGAGGCAGAGCCAGGACTCGAACCCTGGCTCTCGGGATCTGCTACTCCCCTATGTGTCTTGGCCTCCCCAGGGATCAGGCGTGGGTCTTCACGAGCCCATGGGCCTGGCGAGGGGTGGTCAAGGTAGGCGGCAGGGTGTGGCCGGAGGCGAGTGGGTTCTGTCCCACCCCAGCCCTGTTCCCCACCCCGCAGGGAGAAGAGCCACCCCTCAGTGCCTTACCACTACTTTGAGAAGGGCCGGCTAGATGAGTGTCAGATGTACCTGGCACACGAGCAGGCGCCCCGAAGCGCCCACCGCTTCATCACTGAGAAGGCGGTCTTCTCCCGCTGGGCCAAGAAGAGGCCCATCGTGTTCGCCCATCCGTCCTGGAGGACTGAGTAGCTTCCGTCGTCCTGCCAGTCGCCATGCCGTTGCGAGGCCTCCGGGATGTCCCATCCCAAGCCATCACACTCCACAAAAACATTTAATTTATGGATCCTGCCTCCTGCCACGTGCTGGGTGGACCTAAGGTTCCTTCCCGCCCCATTCTGGCGACACTTGGAGCCATCTCAGGCCTCATGACTTGAAGGGGAGTGGAGGGGGGAGCCGTGTCTCCCCCCTCCACTCCCTGAGTAATTCACGGCATTTGGGGGCTCACCCCACCTCCAGGTCTGTCAAGTGGCCTTTGTCCCTGGGGCTGATGGCCCCCAACTCACCAGCATCATGACCTTGTGCCAGTCCTGGTCCTCCCTCCCCAGCCGCTCCTACCACCTTTTGGTGCCACACTTCTCAGGCTGGCCGCCCTGGTTGGGGCAGCCGAGAGCCTGGGGTTCATTGGTGAAGGGGCCTTGGAGTTGTGACTGCCGGGGCCGTATCAGGAACGTACGGGTAAACGTGTGTTTTCTGGATGCTGTCTCTAGCGTGGTCATGTGTCTGATGTGTTTAGGGGTGGAGATGAGGGTTTCTTTCCCTGTCACAGTCCCAGAAGCTTTTTTTTTTTTTGAGACGGAGTTTTGCTCTTATTGTCCAGGCTGGGAGTGCAGTGGTGCCATCTCGGCTCACTGCAACCTCCGCCTCCCGGGTTCAAGCAATTGTCCTGCCTTGGCTTCCCAAGTAGCTGGTATTACAGGCGCGTGCCACCACGCCCAGCTAATTTTTTGTATTTTTAGTAGAGACGGGGTTTCATCATGTTGGCCAGGCTGCTCTCGAACTCCTGACCTCAGGCGATCCACCCGCCTCGGCCTCCCAAAGTGCTGGGATTACAGCCGTGATCCACCGCGCCCGGCTGTCCCAGAAGCTGTTGACTGGAATCCCTGAGGCCCCTACCTGGGCCCACATTGGCTGGGCTTCAATTTCTTCCCCAACAACCTCCTGCTGGTGGCCCCAGCCCAGCCCCTTCCCCAGCAGGTCAGGGCTCCTCTGGGGGGCTGGTCCCTTCACTGCTCTGGCCCAGGAAACTGACCCTAAGTCGGAGGCTTCTTTGGGAACCCCGTTCTGTACCCAGTGAGAGGAGAGCCAGGGCCAGGAGGAAGCGACTCTGAGTGGGAGGGAAATTTCTCCACCCATATTGCTTCCCTGGTCCTGGGTCAAATGGCAAGTTAAATTAGCCATTAAATCTGGGGTTGGGCCTGGCACAGTGGGGGCTAAGGCGGGAGTGTTGCTTGAGACCAGGAATTTGAGACCAGTCTGAGCAACGTGACAAAACCAGTCTCTACAAAAAAAAAAAAAAAGTGGGCCAGGCGCGGTGGCTCACTCCTATAATCCCAGCACTTTGGGAGGCCGAGGTGGGCAGATCACTTGGGGTCAGAAGTCTGACACCAGTGTGGCCAACAGGGTGAAATCCCATCTCTACTAAAAATACAAAAAATTAGTAGGATGTGGCGGTGGGTGCCTGTAGTCCCAGCTACTCAGTAGGCTGAGGCAGGAGAATTGCTTGAACCCGGGAGGCGGAGGTTGCTGTGAGCTGAGATCATGCCACTGCACTCCAGCCTGGGCGACAGAGTGAGACTCCATCTCAAAAAAAAAAAAAAAGAAAGAAAGAAAGTGGGTTTGGTCTCCCTGCAAAACAGGAAGGCAGAGGGCAGCCCTGGGTGGCTGCTGTGAGGGAGTCTAGTCTGGCTCAGGCCTTACTTTCGTCATCTGTAAAGTGAGAAAAAAAGTCCCACCAGCGGAACCTTGCCATCCTCAGAGGAGGACTGGTGCTAGCTGGTTTTACAGATGAGCTGAGGCCACTCAGCTGAAGCCGGACAACTGTGGAGCGGCTGGGCCAGTGTGCAATACCAGGTCTGAGAGCTGAGCCCGAGGACCTGAGCCCTGCACCCCTGGGCTGGAGAGAGCCCACAAGCATCACCCCTTCCAGGCATCACTACTTCATCTGGGGACGGGAAGACTCAGAGGACTGGGCCAGGGCCTCGGGCTGTCAGCTGGGATGCAGCCCTGGGGTTCTAGCTGCCAGCTCCAGGGATCAGGGCCCTATGCTAATGCTCTGCTGTTGCCAACTTTAAATTCTTAGGGTTTTTTGTTTGTTTGTTTTGTTTTTTGTTTTTTTTTTGCAAGAGGACTTGCATTTTCATTTTGCACTGGATCCCAGAAATTATGTAGCCAGTAGTCCCGGGGGCTCTGGGTGACCCGGCATACTCTCCCTCCCGCCCTTGGCTTTCACAGAGGGGGCTGAGACCTGGCACTTGGTTCACAGCACCGCTTTTGTGCCCGGCTTCCTCCTGCCCAGTGCCAGGTGGACCCAGAAGTTTCTGCAGGAATGGGAGGGGGGAGGAGAGCCCTGAGCTGGCGAAGCAAGGAGCAGGCTGGCAGCGGAGCCACAGCACGGAGCGAGGAGCTCTCAACAGGTGTCAGGCAGAGGTAAGGGCGGGATGGAGTCTGGTAGGCGGAGGTGGAGGGGGTTTCCGGGCTCAGAGGGAGGGCCCTGGAGTCAAGGCCTGACTTCTTTCTGGCCCCACTTTCTGCTGTAGTGGTCTTGGCAGATTAGTACCCCTCTCTGGGCCTGTTTTGTCATTTGTAAAAGGTTAAAATTGTCCCCACCTCACAGATTCAGACAGTGGACTATCCCCATGGCTTAGGACATAGCAGGCACTTGACATGTGGAGCCAGCATTTTTCGTGGGGTTCATCTGCCCTGGGCTGGCCCTGCCCTTCCTTGGTGGTGACAGATGGCAGGAAGCCCCTGCCCCATTGGTTGTCTCCCTACTCCCTGCCTCATCCTGGGTGTCCAAGGCCCAGTGTCCACTGGTTCTGATGGGATTTGAACTCCACTCTCTCCTGGGAGGCTGCCTCCTCTTCCTTCTCTATCCCCTGGGAAAAGGCTGACCCAGCCCTTGGGCCCAGGACACAGAGGCTCCTCTAACCTGGCCCTACCCTCGGGTGGGGTATTTACTGCTGGGTTGGCCCAAATGGTGTGTCTTTCTGGGGGTGGTGACCTGGCAGGAGTGATGCGTCAGTCACTTCCTCCAGGCAGATGGAGATGATCCTTGACAGGTCTGGTGGCTGGTTCGGGGTCTACTGAAGGCTGTCTTGATCAGGAAACTGAAGACTCTCTGCTTTTGCCACAGCAGTTCCTGCAGCTTCCTTGAGGTGAGCCCAGGGCAGGAGCCTCCCCACAGCCCCAGGGATCACCTGAATCTGCAGCCACTCTTTGGGCCTCTGTTTTCCTGTTCATACCCTGGTTCCTTTGCCCCTCAGCAGAGTGGCTGAGGACCTACCCTACTTCCTCCAAGCCCAGAGGGGAAGCCGGGGAAGCCTCACAGCCCAGAGGTGTCCTAAGGGGCCTTTTCCTTAGAAGGGCCATGGAGCCTGGCCCAGAGCTCACGCTCACGGTTCACACAGCTTCACCTTGTAAGGAACAAAATGAAACAAAAAATCTCACACACCCAGGTGAGAACAGGAACATCTGGCTTTGGGGGACTGGTGGGACCCAGCGTCTAGGCTCATCTAGGCCCGTCTGCCCTCTCCAGCCTCTGTGGGGGAAGAGGCAGTACTTCCTCGTTCCAGACCCTCTGGCCGGGAGCCCAGGTCTTGGGCTATGGAGCAGCCCCTGTGTGCAGGCCCCCACCTGCCCGCCACTCTCACAGGCCTCTCCTCTCCAGAAGCCCCTCCCCCAGACAAAAGCCTAGAGGGAGAGAGGCCGGAGTCCCCAGGCCTGGCTTGCAGCCTGGCTCTGCCCACGACCCGCTGCGGAGTCTTGGGCAAGTTCTATTCTCCCTCCGACCCTTGATCTTGGTTTCTTTGAATTGGGAGCTGCGGCAGGTGAGGGGTCTCTTAGAGCTCTTTCCAGAATACCATGGAAGGGAAAAATCCTAACGGCTCAAAGAAGTTTGCTAAGGGTCAGGAAGCAGGGGATACACGGGCCTCTCCTACCCGTGTAGGAGGCAGGAAGGGTCAAAGCAGAGGCCAGCTCTCCCAGACTGTGGGGGAAGGGCTGGGGGGGGGAGGCCCACGAGGACTGGCCACAGCCACCATGCAGGAACGTCCTGGTGTGGCCTGGCCTGGCTCTCACAGACCCAAGGCTTCCGTGTAGAATATGTCTGTGGTTATTAAACAGACAGGCCTAGTGGAAACAACCCTGCCACCTGCGTGTTCTCTGAGCCTCAGTTTCTTCCTCTGGAAAGTGGGTTAACCGCAGTACCCAACTCATAGGCCACCATAAGGATTCAATGAGGTGTGTTTGCAAAGTGCCTGGCAGAGAGTAAGCTGCTCTGTTTCTCATCCTTGTTATTACTGTTATTGAGATGGTTGCTGTCGTTCTTGGGGCCCAAGAAGGGAAGCCAGCCCTGAAGCAAATCCTGCTGGAGTGAGCCTGGGCCCAGAGACATGGCAGGCGGGACAGGCAGCTCCAGGCCCAGATGCTGTCCAGGAGCAGGGCCAAAGCACCCTCTCACTTCTGGGTGTTTGATTCGGGTCACTGGCCTGGGTTAGTGAGAAGGGCTGGGGACAGGATGTTTCCCTCCTGGTGCAGCCCCCAGCGCCCTGGGTGGCCTTGGGCTAGAGGCTCTGAGTCCTCAGAAGTCAAGTTCATCAGGCCTCCTGCCTGTCTGACCGCCCTGCCCCCACTCCATGGTTTTCCATCCTGTCACTTGTAGGGCGGGGTCGGCGACCTAGGAGGGCCATGGGTGGAGCTTGGTCTGAGGCTCAGGAAGCGGATGGAGGTGGGCACCAGGGACAGGAAGCCTCCAATCCACCCTTGCGGGCCACCCCCTCCCTGCCTGGTGGGCAGTGCCTTTATGGCCTAAAGGCTGGACCCTGGGGGACTACTGCTGACTTTTGTTTTAATTGGAAACAAACTGGTATTAACTTCCCATATAAGTACAGTGCAAACAACCTAGAAGTTTATAAAGGGAAAAGTGAAGGTAGCACCCAACCGTCCTGCCCCACCTTCACTTTAACAGGGAATCAACTGCTGGTAGTCCTTGTGGGTCCTTCCAGACACTTTATGTGTGCATTTACAAATATTATGCATAGTTATGTATTTTTAAAAGGCAAGCAAAGGCCGGGTGCGGTGGCTGATGCCTGTAATCCCAGCACTTTAGGAGGCCGAGGCGGGCGGATCACAAGGTCAGGAGATGGAGACCATCCTGGCTAACACAGTGAAACCCCATCTCTACTAAAAATGCAAAAAATTAGCCGGGCATGGTGGCAGGCACCTGTAGTCCCAGCTACTCGGGAGGCTGAGGCGGAAGAATGGCGTGAACCCGGGAGGCAGAGCTTGCAGTGAGCCGAGATCGTGCCACTGCACTCCAGCCTGGGCAACAGAGTAAGACTCCATCTCCAAAAAAAAAAAAAAAAAAAAAAAAGCAAGCAAAAAATTATGCTATATATTGCAGTTTGTTTTTAGAAATTAAAAAAATACATTTTTAAATATATAAAAATATTTAAATATATATAAAAATTGTGTGGGCTGGGTGCGGTGACTCATGCCTGTAATCCTAGCACTTTGGGAGGCCAAGGGGGGGTGGATCATTTGAGGTCAGGAGTTTGAGACCAGCCTGACCAACATGGTGAAACCTCGTTTCTACTAAAAATACAAAATTAGCCGAGCGTGGTAGCACACGCCTGTAGTCCCAGCTACTCAGGAGGCTGAAGCAGGAGAATCACTTGAACCCAGGAGGCAGAGGTTGCAGTGAGCCGAGATCGCGCCATTGCACTCCAGCCTGGGCAACACAGTGAAAGTCTGTCTCAAAATAATAATAATAATAATAATAATAATAATAATAATAATGTGACCATTATCTTAAAATTTTTGGAAAAATACAGTTAAACCAAAAGAAAAAAAGCAGCCCCAGATCCCATCATTCCAGAAATAACCACTATTAACACTAAACACTGGCCAGGCACAGTGCCTCACACCTGTAATCCCAGCACTTTGGAAGGCTGAGGCAGGCGGATCACCTAGGTCGAGAGTTCGAGACCAGCCTGGCCAGCATGGCAAAACCCCATCTCTACTAAAAATACAAAAAAATTAGCTGGGCGTGGTGGCCCGCGCCTGTAGTCCCAGCTACTCGGCAGGCTGAGGCAGGAGAATCACTTGAACCCAGGAGGCGGAGCTTGCAGTGAGCCGAGATTGAACCGTTGCACTCCAGCCTGGGTGACAGAGCGAGACTTTATCTCAATAAAAAACAAAAAACCAAAAACACTAATCACCGTGATAGGCAAAAGGCATTTCCTTATTTATTTTTTTGCATCTTTTAAAATATTGTGATATGGTGTCATATTTGAAAGTGATAAAGCATAAAAATATCATGAACCTCTTGAACTCAGTCCCCACTTAAAGACCAGTTACTGTAACTTGCATACCTCTTTGATTCCTCCCCCATTGTTCTTGACTTTTGCTTTTATTTTTATTTATTTATTTTTGAGATGGAGTCTCGCACTGTCACCAGGCTGGAGTGCAGCGGCACGATCTCGGTCACTGCAACCTCCACATCCTAGGGTCCAGCGATTCTCCTGCCTCAACCTCCAGGGTAGCTAGGACTACAGGCATGCACCACCACACCTGGCTAATTTTGTATTTTTTTAGTAGAGACTGGGCTTCACCATGTTGGTCTGGCTTGTCTCAAACTCCTGACCTCAGGTGATCCGCCTGCCTTGGCCTCCCAAAGTGCTGGGATTACAGGGCTGAGCCACCGCACCCGGTCTATTTTTATTTTATTTTATTTTATTTTATTTTTTTGAGACGGAGTCTCTCTCTGTCGCCCAGGCTGGAGTGCAGTGGCACGATCTGGGCTCACTGCAACCTCTGCCTCCCGCCTCTCAGGTTCAAGCGATTCTCCTGCCTTAGCTTTCCAAGTAGCTGGGATTAAGTAGCGTGTTCCAAGTAAGCATGTGCCACCACGCCTGGCTAATTTATTTGTATTTTTAGTAGAGACGGGGTTTCACCATGTTAGCCAGGCTGGTCTCGAACTCCTGACCTCAAGTGATCCGCCTGCCTCCCCTCCCAAAGTGCTGGGATTACAGGCATGAGCCACCGCGCCCGGCCCCTATTGTGTAGTTTTTACTTATCTTCCAATACCTCTTTTTCACTCCTTGTGTCTCTAAGATTCATCCATGTAATTGTAGATCATTGATTTTACCCTGTTACATATTATTCCACAGTGTGAACCTTCCATTGTATAAAACAATTCCATTCTCTTGTTGATGGATATTTGGGGTTTTTCCCCATAGCGATGCTGCTATGAACCTCCTTGGGCACATCTGCAAGAATTTCTCCAGGGCATGTGTACTCAGCTGTGGAATGCAAATGTTTACAACTTTGTTTCCAAGACAGTTTTTTTTTTTTTTTTTTTTTTTTTTTTTGATAGGGAGTTTAGCCCTTGTTGCCCAGGCTGGAGGCTGGAGTGCAATGGCATGATCTCGGCTCACTGCAATCTCTGCCTCCTGGGTTCAAGTGATTCTCCTGCCTCAGCCTCCCAAGTAGCTGGGATTACATGTGCCCGCCACAACGCCTCGCTAATTTGTGTATTTTTAGTAGAGACTGGAGGCGGGGTGGGGTGGGGGGTTGGGGGAGGGGGTTTCACCATGTGGACCAGGCTGGTCTCTAACTCCTGACCTCTGGTGATCCACCCACCTCAGCCTCCCAAAGTGCTGGGATTACAGCCACTGGGCCTGGCTGGCAGTTCTTTAACTTGCTTTCTTCACGTAAATATCCTATAAATATCCTGGCCATCCTTTCCTGCCAAGACATACTGACCTGCATCCTTCTTTTTTTTTTTTTTTTTTTTTTTTTTGAGACGGAGTTTCGCTCTTGTTGCCCAGGCTGGAGTGCAATGGCGTGATCTCGGCTCACCGCAACCTCTGCCTCCCAGGTTCAAGCGATTCTCCTGCCTCAGCCTCCCGAGTAGCTGGGATTACAGGCATGTGCCACCACGCCAGGCTAATTTTGTATCTTTAGTAGAGACGGGGTTTCTCCATGTTGGCCTGGCTGGTCTCAAACTCCTGACCTCAGGTGATGCACCTGCCTCGACCTCCCAAAGTGTTGAGATTACAGGCGTGAGCGAACCACCGCGCCTGGCCCGCATCCTTCATTTTAACAGCCTCCTCGTGCACTTCGGCAGGCTGTGCCTTAACTTAAGCAGTCCCCTAGCAATGGCTACTTAAGTTATTTTTCCCTATCACGTAGAGTGATGTCATGGATGCCCTGGTAATTACAAGAAGGAACATCTTAAGTTTTCCCAGCTCTGTGAAGTTATTCTTCTCCCTATTTTCCAGAGGCAGGGAGAAGGGAAGTTATGCGCTAAGGCTGCGCAGCTGGCGAATGGCAGAGGTTAACTTGAATCTGAGGGTGAACCCTAAGTTTGCCCAGGTGACTACAGGGTGCAAGGCAGGGAGCTGGAGGCCCTCTGTGGGGAGCCCAGGTAGAAACTCCACTGAGTGCAAGCACAGCGTGCTCCGGAACTCAGTTTCCCCATCCGGGGTCATGGTGGCAATAAAGAGAGCTAGAAGTGGGCCCGATCCACACTGCAGGGAGCCGAAAGGCTGTTGTATTTTGGTGGTCACCCCGGGCTGCCCAGTGGGGTGACCGAGGCGCTCACCAGGCGGCGGCACCCGGGTCCGCCTCCCCTTTCCCTTCCCCGCCCGCGCCGCCCGTGGGCGGAGCCACCCGCGGCCCCGAGGCTCCGCCCACCTCCCAGGCCTGGGCCGGGCCGTGACGGCGGCGCTAGGACCCGGCGGGCCGCGGGTGCGGCGAGGCCTGGGCGGCCTGAGGAGCGCGGACCCCGGCGCTCGGCTCCCGGCGCCATGTGAGGGGGCTCGGGGGCCGCGGGGGGCCGGGCGCTCCCCGCCGGAGGTGAGCAGGCGCCGCGCGGGAGCAGGCCGCGGGGGCGGGGGCGGAGGCGGGGGCTGGGGCGGAGGGCGCCGGGAGAGGAGATTGCTAATCGCCGGGGATGGGGATGGATGCGGGTCCCCCGGCGGCACCCCTAGACCCCTTCCCCCTTGGTAGCCGCGCCCCGAGGTTCCGGTCCTCGCGCCCAGGGTCTGTCGCGGGGTCCGCTGGGCCTCTTGCCGCCGACTACCCCGTCAGCGGTCCTGCCTCTCTTTTCTTCCCAGCTGGGGTTAGGGCTCCGGACCCCCGGAGTGCAGGAGTTGGGGAGGGGGATGAGGCGAGGCGCGCGCTGGGTGAGCCCCCCACCAGGTGGACGCACGGGCTCAGCGTCCCGCATCGTCTTGGATTTAGGAGCCCCCCTCCCCCTTCTCCCTGGAGCCCTCCTCCCACGCGGGTTCGTGGGGGCGTCCCGATCTGCGGGAGGACTCCCGGGGCTGGAAGAAGGAAAGCCCCCAAACAGAGGGCAGGGTGTGGCCCCCACCCTCGGCTCCCGCTCAGCTCGCCTGCACGTCCAGCCTTGGGCTGAGTCCATGCTCCTGGCCCAGCGCTCGGGGCTGCCGCCTCCCCAGCGTGAGCAAGCCGCTCCCCAACAGGCCGGCACCCCTAGACCCCCGCCCTGGTGCCTGTGCCGAGCCACGTCCTGGGCACACACTCCATGGCCTCTGACCCGTTCCAGCCGAGAGGGATCCTCCAGGGAGACGAAGTCAGGCTCAGCCCTGGGCAGCTCCCTGTAAACAAGGCTCTGGAGCCGGCTCTGGGCGGCCCCGCAAGGCGCTTTGCCTCTCTGAACCTCAGTCTCCTTATCTGTAAAATGGGCAACAAGAGCTCCTACCATGCATTGCCTGGATTCAGTGCGTGGGTGATGCTTAGAACGCATTCCCACACATTCCTTGATATTCCGGGAAAGTCGCTGCACTGGGGTCAGGGGAGGAGTGTTTCACTGACACACTGGAGAGGCGGGCCTTGAACAGTGATTAACCACAAGACTAACAGCTGTTGGCATTGTGGGAGCACTTTCTTTTCTTTCTTTCTTTCTTTTATTTTATTTTATTTATTTATTTTTGTTTTTGTTTTTGAGACGGAGTCTCGCTCTGTCGCCAGGCTGGAGTGCAGTGGCACCATCTCGGTTCACTGCAACCTCCGCCTCCCGGGTTCAAGCGATTCTCCTGCCTCAGCCTCCGGAGTAGCTGGGACAACAGGCGCACGCCACCACGCCCAGCTAATTTTTGTATTTTTAGTAGAGACGGGGTTTCACCATATTGGCCAGGCTGGTCTGGATCTCTTCACCTAGTGATCTGCCCACCTCGGCCTCCCAAAGGGCTGGGATTACAGACGTGAGCCACCGCGCCCGGCCAATGTGGGAGCACTTTCAAGCCCCGCGTGTCCCTTGCCACATCTGCTTGAATCCTTCCAACAACCCCTTGAGTTACCGACTCTTATTGTTCCCATTTCACAGATGAGGAAACTGAGGCTCAGAGAGGTCACATGGCTTGCTCGAGGCCCCCCAGCCAGTAAGTGGTGAAACCGGGATTCGCACTGGCAGCTGACATGCTGTACTGACCATGGCCTTCTCAGAGCAGGATTGTGACGGGGCGGACCAGGGGGACGGTGGTCCTGGCTGAGGGCACAGCTCGGGCAAAGGTGGGAAAGTGGGCGGCGGGCAGGGGGCATCCGCAGGAAAGGGTGGCCACGCGTAGTAAGATATAGGCGGCTGGACCCCTGGGCGCCTTGAATGCCAAGGTCTCAGGGCAGATGGGGCCACCCCAGGATTCTGGACTCCTGTCTTTTGCTCTAACGGTCTGTGAGGGCAAGAACAAGCCGCTCCCTGCTTCTGATGAGGCCCCGTTTTCTGCTCTGTACCGCAGGGCCTGGACTAGATAGGAGTCTGGGCCTCCCTGACTGGCAGTGAGGGGCAGCCGCTGGAGAAACCCGAAGCCGAGCTCCGGATGAGGGGCGCTCCCACGGGGAGGGGGCGGGGTTGGAGAGGGGGCGGGGCCATGATCTAACCAATCAGGAGCGAGGTGTGTGTGCCAAGCCTCCTCTGGCCCGAGGTTCTCTGGCTATTCCTGGTGGCCGTGTAGGAGTAAACAGCGGCTAGGTCAAAGGGCTCAGAGAATACAGGAACTGAGAGGCCCCTGGAGCAGGGGACGGAGCTGAGGAGGGCCCCCTAAGCCCCAGTTTCTTCCCTCTGCACTCCTGCCCGCCCTGCCCCCGGCCTGTCTGCTGGAGGTAGGCTGGACACAGTACATTTTCCCTTTCACAGGTGGGGAACCCTGGAAAGGAGCTGGGTTTTGGTTGTGGGAGAGGAAGAGATTGGGGTGTGCGGAGCAGAGCTGGGCCGGCCTCCTCACTGCCAGGTCTTCCAAAGGCCCCCCCAGCCACCCCCTGAGACTGTGATTACAGCCATTTGACAGATGAGGAGTCAGCCCTGGCAGAGACTGTCGAGCCTGGACTAGAACCGAGCCTCTCAGACTTGAGTCTGTGCCCTTAGCCCCCGAGAGATCCTGCTTGTTAATGCACTAATTCATTCAGCGATATTCCTGAATCTCCGTGGCTGTGGAGGCACAGGGAAACTGAGTGAGGACCTGGGTGGGCTGTATCCCGCAGGCAGCTCTTAGCCTGGGGGGATGGGAGGACGTAGGGGAGTTCCTGGTCCATGCCAGGCTTGGAGGATGAGTGGGAGTCAGGAGGCCATAGGAGGGAGGGCGTTCCAGGCCAACCTGAGAGAGAGCCAGAGCAGAGGAGTTCGGGGGCCTACAAGCGGTGTTGTTTTATTCTGACACCACAGGGACCCAAGGCAGGGTTTAGAGCAGGGTGTGAATGGGGCTCCTACTGCGTGGAGGTCAGGTCCTCCAGCAGGGGAGCCAGCTTTGGCCCTGCCAGCTGCCTTGGTGTGGGAAGGCCCCTGCTTAGGGAGGAGAATGGGCAGGGCTCTGCCGCCACCAGGCTGTGTGACCTCAGGCAGATTCCTGGCCTTTCTGGCCCTCAGTGTCTCCGTCTGCAAAAGGGATACAGTCCTGAGCCTTAAAGTTCTGGGTGCATAGAAGAACTAGTGCGGGGCAGAGAAGGTGTAGCCTTTGGCTTGCTGGACCCAAAGGACCGAAGCCATAATAACCCTTTCTGGTGGCTTGCAGGTGTGAACCCACATCCCTGCCCCCAGGGCCACCTGCAGGACGCCGACACCTACCCCTCAGCAGACGCCGGAGAGAAATGAGTAGCAACAAAGTAAGTCTGCCTTCATTTCTTAACCCCATTGAGCCTCTCACTTCCCTCCATGGAACGGGTTCCTTTGGACCTGTCTCAGACCCCAGCCACCACGAGTCTCTTCTTCCCCGCAAGAAGCTGCCCATGCCTGGGAGGCCCAGATTTAAGCCCTGGTTTGGCCACTGATCTTCTGAGTGGCTTAGGGCAAGCTCCTGCCTGTTCCCGGGCCCAGGGTCAGCTCTGCCTTCCCAGGCCTGACGGTCTGTCTGTGATGGTCAAGGACTAGCCGAGGTGACTGTGGAGTGCTGTGCAGGAGAGAGGGGTGGGCAGGTGGAGGTGAGCGGGAAATGGGGCAAGGGTGCACTGATCAGAGTCAAAGGTGATACAGCCCGAGCATGACCCTGAGAATGTCAGGATTCCCCATCATTCTTTCATTCATTCATTCTTTCCTAAGCACTTACTACATGACTGGCCCTGCATGCCCCTTCCCTAGGATCCACTGCAGCCTTGGTGGAGCCTGAGGTTTGGAAGTGGGATGGGGTGGTTGTATTAATTTGAGTTTAATCAGGAAAAAGAAACTACACAGTGATTAAACGGAAAAGTTTAATGCAAAAAATTATTGACTATAATAGGACACTAGAGTAACAAGGGATTGGAATTCTGAGGAATACAGGAATAGCAGATATTAATATAAGGAGCACCCCTGCCCCCATAAAGGCTGAGATCTGGGCCTTGCTGAAGAAGGCCCAGCTATGGCCCACTGGATGGCTCCAGTACAGAACTGGCCTGGGGAGGGGAAGCCGCCAGCCTCCAGGTGCTGCAGGTGGTTGAGTGTACTGTAGGAGCTGGACTTCGGAGAAGCTGTGATCACAGCGGGAGCCAGAAGCAATAAGCCTGACTTGCTGGCACTGCTGGCCTCTGGGCAGTGGGTAAGATGCCCTTACTGGAGAGGCCGTGTGCACTGAAGGAGCCTCCCTAGCAAGCCTACCAGAACCAAGAAGCAAATGCTTTTCCTCCTGCAGTGTCTGTCCAGCACCCTCTACTCACAAAGTTTAATATGCAGCTAACTGACAAGGGAAAATATTTAAAGGGCCCAGATCCATTTCCACAGAGCAGACAAAAAGGATAAATTTGGAGCTAGAGGCAATACATTGGAGAGTTACTGTTGGGGGAAGACCTAGACCCTCTCACTCAGATGTCCCACCTGTCTCTAGACATCCTCTTAGCAGCAGCTATAGGGAATCCTGACATATTCAATCCAGTCCAGCAAACCCTCCCGGAGAACCTTCCATGTTCCAGGCCCTGCCCTGGGATCTAGGATACAGTGGGGAGCAAGGCTGACCTAGTCCCAGAGCTCACGGTCTAATTGGAGGGATGGGAGTTTGAATGCAGTATGATCAGTGTTGTGATGGGGGGACTGAGGTGGCTGAAGGAGGCCTTCCTGGAGGAAGTAGTGCCTGACCTGGTCTGCAACAAAAAGCAGGAGTTAACCAGGCATGGTAGGTGGCAAGGAGGTGGGGGCGCTGAGCCTGCCCGGCAGCTGGGCCCTCACTGACCTCTCCTCTCTCCAGGAGCAGCGGTCAGCAGTGTTCGTGATCCTCTTTGCCCTCATCACCATCCTCATCCTCTACAGCTCCAACAGTGCCAATGAGGTCTTCCATTACGGCTCCCTGCGGGGCCGTAGCCGCCGACCTGTCAACCTCAAGAAGTGGAGCATCACTGACGGCTATGTCCCCATTCTCGGCAACAAGGTAGCGCAGCTGCTTTGGGGAGCTCCTCCCTACTGCCCAGCATCACCACTCCCTCCACCTGTTCTTTCCTAAAGGAAAGGTGGACCCTGAGAGTCAAGGCCCTGCCTCCGGTGATTTCATCTTGCTGCTTGCTGTGTGACCTTGGATAAGTGCGCTGCCCCTGTCTGGGCCTCAGTTCTCTCCAAGTCCCCACCCTTATTGCTAATATCCTACCATCTCCTGAATCAGAATCCTTTTGAAAATGTGTTTCTGTTTTCACTGCTCTCTGTCTCTGCTGGGGAGCCCACACAGGCTTGGGAGCAGAGCACTGGGACATTTGACAACACAAAAGCAGTAATAATACCGGCTGCCTTTTATCAAGTGCGTGTGTGTGCCAGGCCCTTTGATCACCAGTAATCCTCAGACAAGCCCTGTGAGGGCAGCATTATTATCTTCCTTGGTGAGATGGAGTAACCAAGGCTCCGAGAGGTGAAGTCACATGTCTAAGGCCACACAGTGAGGGAAGGAAGAAGATGGTATTTTCCTACCCGCTGCTAAGATGCAGCTGCACAGAGAGGCCAAAGTCATTCCTGGGGACTTCTGTTGGCCTTGGGTAGCCATGAAATTCAGATTGTATTTCTGAGGTTCACCCTGTAGTACCTCTTTCTCCTTCCTCACTGACCCTCCTATATTTTCTTCAGGGCCTTCGCATGCAGAGTGTAGAGCCCGGGCTCTGGACACACCCTCACTAGGAAAGGGCACATTAGCAGGTGTCTGGAGACAGGTTAACACCTAAGTGAGTCTTTCTCTACCCTAAGAACCCTTGAAAGCGGAATAAAAATGGGACAGCTTGAGTGTGGGTGATGTGGAAAGGAGAGACAGAGCCTGGCTTGCAGTGCTTCCAGCATCACAGGGGAAGCCAAAAAAACTAGCACTCAGAAAAGTGGGAGTGCCAGTCGAGGTACGTGGGATGTGTTGCTGGATCTTGGAGTAAGGGCTCAGGGAAGGCTGCCTTGGGGAGGGTGGTATTTGAGCTTAGCCTTAAAGGGTGAATGGGAATTCCGTGGGCAAAAAATAGACCCCAGAGAGTATGTGGTTCCAACCCATTCATTTCAGCCATGGAAAAACAAGCCCAGAGTGGCTTTCACACCTTCCTTAATAACAAGGTGGTTCTTGTTTCTGGGTGCTGTGGAAATGTCATGGGTGCTTTTTGGAAGATGTCTTCTTTGGAGAGCTGGGAATCTGTGGTCACATAGACTTTGTGACCTGCTGTTCTCCCACTTGTTGACTCTGCCCCAACTGAATGGCCTTCTTTTGGTTTTCAGTGTACCACCTTTATTTCCACATTGGAGCCTTTGTGCTGGCTGTTTCTCCTGCCTTGAATATGTTTCCCTAGGTGGTCCTTCTTCATCCTTCACATCTCAGCTCAGAGAGACGTCTCTGTTACAGCCGGACAGCTTCTTGCCTGCTGCCCAGGAAAAGCCAATACACTGAGACTGCGGGTGTTGCAGCAGAGAAAGGGTTTAACAATCGCAGGGCCAGCCAAATGAGGAGGCGTGGGATAGTTCTCAAATCTGCCTCCCCCAGAATTTGGAAGCCAGGGTTTTTAAAGGATAGTTTGGCAGGCAGGGGGACTAGAGAATGGTTGGGGATGAAATCATAGGGGTGTTGAAACTGTCTTCACCTGCCGAGTCAGTTCCTGGGTGGGGGCCATGGGTCACTGGTCTGGTTGGCATCCATTGATCTACCAGATTGCAAGGTCTGAAAAATATCTCAGACACTCAGGTTTTACAATAATGATGTTATCTATGTTAAAAACAACGATGATGTTATCTATATTTTAAAAAGCAACCTAAGAAACAATGACTGGTTATAATTCAACTATAGCTACATCTTAGCAGAAAAGCAAGCTAAGAGATAATGACTGGTTATGGTTTATGCCTACAGCTTGACAGAAAGGTGTGCGGGGGGTGAGACAATCAATTCTTAGTGACCACCTTCTATCGAACTGACTATATGCAGGCAATCATGCATCTACGAAGAGAAGGACAAAGGAAAAGGAAAATAAGTAAAACAAATGATTTTACTACACCTGTATCCTAGCAGAGTCCAGGCCTCTGTCTCAGTTGTTACCTTGTGGCCTTTTATTAACTTTACAAAGTCAGTTTTAGTCCCCAAACAAGGTGGAGTTCAGTTTTGGGAAGCGGCTGTTATCATCTTTGCTTCAGAGTTAAACTATAAAGTAAATTCCTCTCATAGTTAGCTTAGCCTATGGACAGGAATGAGCAAGGGTGGTTAGACTGTGAGGTCAGAAACAGGATGGAGTCAGTTATGTTAGATTCCTCTCACTAGATTCTTTTTTTTGTTTTGTTTTGTTTTTTGAGATGGAGTTTCGCTTTTGTTGCCCAGGCTGGAGTGCAATGGCTCGATCTCGGGTCACCGCAACATCTGCCTCCGGGGTTCAAGCGATTCTCCTGCCTCAGCCTCCCGAGTAACTGGGATTACAGGCATGCGCCACCACACCTTGCTAATTTTGTATTTTTCATAGAGATGGGGTTTCTCCATGTTGGTCAGGCTGGTCTCGAACTCCTGAGCTCAGGTGATCCGCCCACCTCAGCCTCCCAAAGTGCTGGGATTACAGGCGTGAGCCATCGCACCTGGACTTCCAGGCCACCACTCCTAAAGTGCCCTGGCTGCAGTCGCTCTTTGGTCACTTGCCCCTGTTTCCCCTCCCTTCCCCTCCCCTCCCTCTCCCCCCTCTCTGTCCCCTCCCCCTGTCTTCTTCCCCTCCCCCTCCCCCTCCCCTTCTCCCTCTCCTCTCCTTTCCTTTCCTTTTTCCCCTTTCCTTTCCTTTTTCTTTTCCTTCTTCTTTCCTTTCCTTGTTTCTTTTCTTTCTTTCTTCTTACCTTTCTTTATTTCGACAGAGTCTTGCTCTGTCATCTAGGCTTGAATGCAGTGGCACGATCTAGGTTCACTGCAACCTCTGCCTCCAGGTTCGAGCAATTCTTGTGCCTTAGTCTCCCGAGTAGCTGTGATTACAGGCACGCGCCACCACGCCTGGCTAATTTTTGTATTTTTTGGTAGAGATGGGATTTCACCATATTGGCCAGGCTGGTCTCGAACTTCTGACCTCAGGTGATCCGCCTGCCTCGGCCTCCCAAAGTGCTGGGATTACAGGCATGAGCTACAATGCTTAGCCATTTGCCACTATTTTCTTTTTTTTTCCTGGCATGTATTATGTGCATTCTTATCTGTCTCCCCACCTGTTTCTTGAAGGCAGAAGCCTGGTCTGTTTTGCTCCTTGCTCTGCCCCAGGACTTGGCCATTAACCAGCTTGCTATCAATGTGTGCTGAATGTGGAATGAATGGGCTCAGTTTCCCTGTCTTTAAAATGGGCATAACAATTCCTGGGTCCTGGAGGCCTGGATGTATGGAGCACAGGGCCAGCACAGAGTGGCCGTGATAATGTTGACTTTCCTTATCCACCAGACACTGCCCTCTCGGTGCCACCAGTGTGTGATTGTCAGCAGCTCCAGCCACCTGCTGGGCACCAAGCTGGGCCCTGAGATCGAGCGGGCTGAGTGTACAATCCGCATGAATGATGCACCCACCACTGGCTACTCAGCTGATGTGGGCAACAAGACCACCTACCGCGTCGTGGCCCATTCCAGTGTGTTCCGCGTGCTGAGGAGGCCCCAGGAGTTTGTCAACCGGACCCCTGAAACCGTGTTCATCTTCTGGGGGCCCCCGAGCAAGATGCAGAAGCCCCAGGGCAGCCTCGTGCGTGTGATCCAGCGAGCGGGCCTGGTGTTCCCCAACATGGAAGCATATGCCGTCTCTCCCGGCCGCATGCGGCAATTTGACGACCTCTTCCGGGGTGAGACGGGCAAGGACAGGTACCAGCCTCCTGCCTGCCCCCTCTGGCCAGCACTGTGCTCCTTCTCAGCATGCCCCATCCAGAGGGCCTGTTGCTCCCAGCATGCACTGCTCTGAGGGGTAGTCAAGTCCCGCCGTCCTCTGGTTGGGCCTCCTAGGAGAGTTCTCTTCATGTCCAGCTGTTCACATGGGTCCTTTCCAGCATGCTCTGCATGGCCTGGTTTGTCCAAGAGGGCTTTCTCCTGGCATACCTTGCTGTGAGGGCACAAGGGCTCCCACCCAGCATGCTCTGCTCTGAGGTTGCACAGTCAGTCCTAGCATCTTTCTGAGAGAAGCTCCCCATAGTGTACCCAATGTAAAGTCTTGACTGTTCCCAGCATGTCTTGCCTTAAGCACACAGTTGCTCCTGGCATGCTCTGCTCCAGCGATGCATCACTCCCAGCATGCCCTGCTGTGACTAATCTCCCTAGGAAAGCTAGGCCAGTGCTGCCCAATAGAAATCTATGTGAGCCACATATGTCATTTATTTTCATAGTAATCGCACTTTAAAATTAGTGAATAGCTGTGTGCGGTGGCTTGTACCTGTAGTCCTAGCTACTCAGGAGGCTGAGGCAGGAGGATGACTTGAGCCCGGGAGGTTGAGGCTGCAGTGAGCCAGGATGGTGCCACTGCACTCCAGCCTGGGTGACAGAATGAGATTACATCTTACATCTCCTTAAGAAAAAAAGTAGTAAAAGCAACTTTAATATATTTTTAACCCAATATGTTCAACATATAGCTCCTGTACATATTTTGTTAGATTTATACCTAAATATTTAAAAAATTTTGGAGCTATTATAAATGGCATTAACTTCTTTTGTTCCCAATTGTTAATTGCTAATATATAGAAATGGCATATAGAAATTGATTTCTGTGGCTGGGAGCGGTAGCTTATGCCTGTAATCCCAGTACTTTGGGAGGCCGAAGTGGACGGATCACGAGGTCAGGAGTTTGAGACCAGCCTGGCCAGCATGGTGAAACCCCGTCTCTAGTAAAGATACAAAAAATTAGCTGGGCGTGGTGGTGCGCACCTATAATCCCGGCTACTTGGGAGGCTGAGGCAAGAGAATTGCTTGAACCGGGGAGGTGGAGGTTTCAGTGAGCTGACATCCTGCCATTGCACTCCAGCCTAGGCCACAAGGCGAGACTCCATCTCAAGAAAAAAAAAAAAAAGAAAAAAAAGAGAAATTGATTTTTGTGTGTTGATCCTGTATCCTGTAACCTTGCTAAACTTACTTATTGGTTCTAGGAGATTTTTTTTTTTTTTTTTTGAGAGGGAGTCTTGCTCTGTTGCCCAGGCTGGAGTGCAGTGGTGTGATCTTGGCTCACTGCACCTCCACCTCCTGGGTTCAAGTGATTCTGCTGCCTCAGCCTCCCAAGTAGCTGGGACCACAGGCTTGCGCCACACACCCAGCTAATTTATGTATTTTTGGTAGAGACAGGGTTTCACCGTGTTGGCCAGGCTGGTCTCAAACTCCTGACCTCAGGCGATCCACCTGCCTTGGCCTCCCAAAGTGCCGGGATTACAGGCGTGAGCCACCGTGCCCAGCCTGTTCTAGGAGATTTTTGTAGACTCTTTGGGATTTTCCATGCAGATAATCATGTGACATGCAAATAAGGACAATTTTATTTCTTCCTTTCTAATCTGTATGCCTATTTCTTCTTTTTGCTTTATTGCACTGGCTAGGATTTTCAGTACAATGTTCAATTGTATTGGAAATGGTGAGAGTGGACTTCCTTGCCTTGGTCCTAGTCTTAGGGAGAAAGTATTCAGTGTTTGTTTGTTTGTTTGTTTGTTTGTTTGTTTGTTTTGAGATGGAGTCTTGCCCTGTCACCCAGGCTGGAGTGCAGTGGCACAATCTCAGCTCACTGCAACCTCCGCCTCCCAAGTTCAAGCGATTCTCCTGCCTCAGCCTCCCGAGCAGCTGGAATCACAGGCACGTGCCACCACGCCAGCTAATTTTTGTATTTTTAGTAGAGAGGGGGTTTCACCATGTTGGCCAGGCTGGTCTCAATCTCTTGACTTCGTGATCTGCCCGCCTTGGCCTCCCAAAGTGCTGGGATTACAGGCATGAGCCACTGCGCCCGGCCTATTTTTTTTTTTTTTTTTTTTGGAGAAGGAGTCTCACTCTGTTGCCCAGGCTAGAGTGTAGTGGTGCGATCTCGGCTCACTGCAACTTCCACCTCCTGGGTTCAAGCAATTCTCCTGCCTCAGTCTCCCATGTAGCTGGGACTACAGGCACGTGCCACCATGCCTGGCTAATTTTTGTATTTTTAGTAGAGACAGGGTTTCGCCACGTTGGCCAGGCTGGTCTCCAATTCCTGACCTCAGGTGATCCGCCCACCTCAGCCTCCCAAAGTGCCAGGATTACAGGCATGAGCCACTGCACCTGGCTAAGTTTTAATTTTTTGTAGAGATGAGGTCTCACTATGTTCCCCAGGCTGGTCTTGAAGTCCTGGGATTACAGGTATGAACCACCACGCCTGGCCTCCCTTCTTTTTTCCATACTACCTAAGAAATGCAGTGTGTATTTACACGTACAGCCCATCTCAATCACACATGGCTGGTGGCCACTGTAGTGTGAGCACAGCTCTTGGTTCTGGGCTACTCCTTCAGGCCTTGCTCTGAACTGCAGTCACTCCAGCATGAACTTATCTGATTAGTCTCCCCTTAGGAGTTTGCTTCTAGCATGGGCACAACTGTTTTTAGCATGCTCTGCAATCATAGTCACTCAGCCTGCCCAACTGTGACCCAGCTCCCCAGGAGACAGTTCATTTCTAGCATGCCCTGTTCCCATTCTTCCCCTCAAAGGAGCTCCCTCCACACCCCTCACCTCTGCCTGGACAGCCCTCTGCCACATGCCATGCTCCCATCAGCGAGGCTGGACTTGGGGTAACCAAAGTGGGAGTGGGGCCCTGATGAGTGGATGGGAGGAGTTCCAGGGAACTCCACGTGGGTGACCCTGGGTCACCTGCTCCCATCTCTCCCTGCATGTGCCCTCATCGTGACCCCTCTCCATCCCCAGGGAGAAGTCTCATTCGTGGTTGAGCACAGGCTGGTTTACCATGGTGATCGCGGTGGAGTTGTGTGACCACGTGCATGTCTATGGCATGGTCCCCCCCAACTACTGCAGGTGAGCCCTCCTTGCCAGCGCCCTCCCAGGACAACACCCAGGCACTGGCCGCAGGATGGAGCTCTAGGGGCTGGAAACCTTGGCTGAAGGTGCCTTTGAGGGCCTCTGCTTCATTGTTTTCAAACTGTTCTTCAGAGATCTAGGCTTCTTCTCCTTCCTCAGGGGCCTCCACTCCAAGCTCCGCCAGAGTTTATTTATTAATAATAACTATTAGTAGTAGCATCATATGAAAAGCCCACTAGGGGACAGCTATACTTTACTGAATACTGACCAGGTACCAAGCATGGCCACATGTAGTCTCTCACTTACTCCTCACAGCAACCTTACGGGATAAGAACTGTTATTCTTCCCATTAATTAAATGAGAAAAACTGAGGAGTATGTTTTATGAGTAGCCAAAGGTCCTCCAAACAGTAGGAAGAGGGGCCAGGCTCCAGTGCTCACAGCCCTCACCACTGCTCCACACTGCCGCCTTCTTAGGGAAAGGAAAAAGTGCCACTGCATTTAAAAAAAAAAAAAAAATTGGTGGTTACACACCTAGTCTACCCTGCACCCATTTTATGGATGGGGAAACCGAGGCCCCAGGAGGCATGGGGATTTCTCCTATTGAGGTCCTATGGTAAGCGAGGGGCTGAAAGGGCAAGGACCCTGCCAGCGCTCACCTTGCCCTGATGACGCCCGTCTGCTCTGTCCCAGCCAGCGGCCCCGCCTCCAGCGCATGCCCTACCACTACTACGAGCCCAAGGGGCCGGACGAATGTGTCACCTACATCCAGAATGAGCACAGTCGCAAGGGCAACCACCACCGCTTCATCACCGAGAAAAGGGTCTTCTCATCGTGGGCCCAGCTGTATGGCATCACCTTCTCCCACCCCTCCTGGACCTAGGCCACCCAGCCTGTGGGACCTCAGGAGGGTCAGAGGAGAAGCAGCCTCCGCCCAGCCGCTAGGCCAGGGACCATCTTCTGGCCAATCAAGGCTTGCTGGAGTGTCTCCCAGCCAATCAGGGCCTTGAGGAGGATGTATCCTCCAGCCAATCAGGGCCTGGGGAATCTGTTGGCGAATCAGGGATTTGGGAGTCTATGCGGTTAATCAGGGGTGTCTTTCTTGTGCAGTCAGGGTCTGCGCACAGTCAATCAGGGTAGAGGGGGTATTTCTGAGTCAATCTGAGGCTAAGGACATGTCCTTTCCCATGAGGCCTTGGTTCAGAGCCCCAGGAATGGACCCCCCAATCACTCCCCACTCTCCTGGGATAATGGGGTCCTGTCCCAAGGAGCTGGGAACTTGGTGTTGCCCCCTCAATTTCCAGCACCAGAAAGAGAGATTGTGTGGGGGTAGAAGCTGTCTGGAGGCCCGGCCAGAGAATTTGTGGGGTTGTGGAGGTTGTGGGGGCGGTGGGGAGGTCCCAGAGGTGGGAGGCCGGCATCCAGGTCTTGGCTCTGCCCTGAGACCTTGGACAAACCCTTCCCCCTCTCTGGGCACCCTTCTGCCCACACCAGTTTCCAGTGCGGAGTCTGAGACCCTTTCCACCTCCCCTACAAGTGCCCTCGGGTCTGTCCTCCCCGTCTGGACCCTCCCAGCCACTATCCCTTGCTGGAAGGCTCAGCTCTTTGGGGGGTCTGGGGTGACCTCCCCACCTCCTGGAAAACTTTAGGGTATTTTTGCGCAAACTCCTTCAGGGTTGGGGGACTCTGAAGGAAACGGGACAAAACCTTAAGCTGTTTTCTTAGCCCCTCAGCCAGCTGCCATTAGCTTGGCTCTTAAAGGGCCAGGCCTCCTTTTCTGCCCTCTAGCAGGGAGGTTTTCCAACTGTTGGAGGCGCCTTTGGGGCTGCCCCTTTGTCTGGAGTCACTGGGGGCTTCCGAGGGTCTCCCTCGACCCTCTGTCGTCCTGGGATGGCTGTCGGGAGCTGTATCACCTGGGTTCTGTCCCCTGGCTCTGTATCAGGCACTTTATTAAAGCTGGGCCTCAGTGGGGTGTGTTTGTCTCCTGCTCTTCTGGAGCCTGGAAGGAAAGGGCTTCAGGAGGAGGCTGTGAGGCTGGAGGGACCAGATGGAGGAGGCCAGCAGCTAGCCATTGCACACTGGGGTGATGGGTGGGGGCGGTGACTGCCCCAGACTTGGTTTTGTAATGATTTGTACAGGAATAAACACACCTACGCTCCGGCTTCGTGTCCTGTGTCACCTGGGTCGAGCACAGCCTTCTGGTCCAGCGCTGCATGCGGCCTCAGGACCACGTCTTCCGGTTGGGGGCTCCCAGTAAAGCGATCCTCAGCTTCTTCAGCAGCCAGTGGCCAGTGAGGTGTGTATTTTTGCATCTTGAGTGGAGACCTGGGGGCTCTGGGGATGGTGGGGGCGTGCGGAGCCAGGCCCGTCTGGCTTTTCCTGTCCCCACCTCACCCTGCCTGTGTGACCACGGGCAAGTCACTTCGCCTCTGAGAGCCCCAATTCCTTCAAGGGCAAAAGGGGACCAGACACTGCCCTCAAGGAGCTCAGGTTCCAGGAGGGGAGGAGCCCCGTGGTACACTAGGAAGAATTCCCACAGAAGCTGGGAAAAGAGTTTGAGCAGTGAATGCAGAAGGGGTGAGGGGAAAGACATCCCAGGCCACAGAGCCAGAGGTCTCTCAGCTCCTTAAGCGTCTGGGGACCTGATGGCTGGGAGCTGAGATTTCCTGCCAAACCCAGCAGGAGGGAGCCTGGCGGGGCTGCAACGCTGGCAGGAGTGTGGTGAGCGGTGGTTGCCACCAGCCTCTCTGCAAAAGGGCTGTGTACTCCAGGTTGGCAGGAGGCACGGGGTCTGTGACTCCAGAGATTACAAACTGTTTGGGCAGATAAGATGCCCTCGGAGGCGAGGCCTAACAAAGAGTGACTGTGTAAGACATGGGCAGGCAGCCTGCTGGGATCTCCCAGGGTCCCCGAGCTGCTGGGGACAGGAAAGAGAACCCTTCTGGGCACTGGGCCAGCCAGGATGGTGGTGACCGGGGCTGAGAGGCATGAATGGCACCTTGCATCTGCCTCTCAATTCACGTAGCCAATAAGCAGCCGCATGCCATGCACTGTATTAGGCACAGTTGATGAGGGTGAGAGTGTCTGGTGGGAGGAGTGGCCCACAGAGAAGCCTCATGGTGGGATCCCCAGCTTCACCCAGTAGGCAGTGAGGCTACAGCAGGAGGGAGCAGTGAGAGATGAGACTGCCCGGGGCCAGATGGCACAAGGCAAGGCCATAAATGTCAGTCTGAGGGGGGCAAGAGCCTTGATCTTTCTTGCGTAGAGAAGTCAAATGGGACCACAGCAGGATGGGCAGGAGGCTGACAGGTGGCATGGCGCAGGGCCCAGGGGCCGCCAGACACAGTAATGGTGGCAGTGGGGCTGGGGGGCTGGAAAGATTGGGACTCCGTGTAAAGTCTACATGGGGAGCAGAAAGCCGTGCGTGGGCATGGGGATATGGGAATATGGCACCCATCCAACCCCATGCAAAGGCTTCTGGGAACCTGGGTCCAGGCAGAGGTTTTTTTTTTTTTTTGAGACAGAGTCTCACTCTGTCACCCAGGCTGCAGTGCAGTGGTGCAGTCTAGGCTCACTGCAACCTCTCCCTCATGGGTTCAAGCGATTCTCCTGCCTCAGCCTCCTGAGTAGTCGGGATTACAGGCGCATACCACCATGCCCAGCTAATTTTTGTATTTTTAGTAGAGACAGGGTTTCACCATGTTGGTCAGGCTGGTCTCGAACTCCTGACCTCATGATCCACCCACCTTGGCCTCACAAAGTGCTGGGATTTCAGGTGTGAAGGTGTGAGCCACCGCATCTGGCCTTCCTTGTGGTTTTTTTGTTTGTTTGTTTTGTTTTGTTTTTTTGAGATGGAGTCTCACTCTGTCACCCAGGCTGGAGTGCAGTGGTGCAATCTCGGCTCATTGCAACCCCTGCCTCCCCTCAGGAGTGTGAGCCAGGGTGATCTCCCACTCCTGACCTCAAGGGTTCAAGTGATTCTCGTGCCTCAGCCTCCCGAGTAGCTGGGACTACAGGCACTTGCCACCATGTCTGGCTAATTTTTGTATTTTTAGTAGAGACAGGGTTTCAGCATGTTGCCCAGGTTGGTCTTGAACTCCTGGCCTCAAGTGATCCACCCACCTTGGCCTCCCAAAGTGCTGGGATTACAGGCGTGAGCCACCACACCCAGCCCCAGCAGAGGTTTCGAGGTAGAATTTCTCCCAGAATGCTGTGGCTCTTCTGTCTGTCCACTGGGGAGGGGGAGGTCAGTAAGAGGTGCATCAGGAGGGGGTCGGTTCCCCAGGGGGATGTTCAGTGGAGCATCAGGAGGTGGGACTCTGGTGGGCCTAGTCCCCAACTCCTCAATCTCTCACCCCCTCAGTGGGACCCAGTGGAGACTGGCCCACTCATTGCTAAAGTGAGCTTCCTGAAGCCCCTCTCATCACAGCCCTCTGCCCTGAAACCTTCACTGGCTCCCCATTCACTGGCCAGCTCCAAACTTACAGACTTGTCTGGCGTTTGAGGCCTTCCTGCACCTCCATCTGCACCTGCACCCCTCTCCCGGGTGCCTTAGTGAGGCTGGTGCTTCCTCATCTCTGTGCAGAGGGCCTTACCCCCACCCCTCCTTGGGAGGGGGCGCCTCCCACCAGCTGCAAACCTATGAGTGGCAGCCGCTCCTCTCTGGGCTTCCCGTCCAGCTGTTTCCTGCATCCATTTGTTTCCTGCGGATGCTCAGTGGTTCCCACTGAGCTCAGCCCCACCAGCCAGGCTCCCTGGGGCAATCCCCAATCCCACTACGTGCTGACTGGTGGGTCCACATGTGAACTTCAGAGTGAGGAGGCCCTGGCACATCTCCTGCAACCGCCATGCCAGCTTGTTTTCAAGCCTTGGAATTTTTTTCCCTTCCCTTCCCTTCCCTTCTTTTCTTCCCTTCCTTTCCTTTTTAGACGGTGTCTTGCTCTGTCACCCAGACTGGAGTGCAGTGGCATGATCTCAGCTTACTGTAACCTCTGCCCCCTGGTTCAAGCAACTAGGATTACAGGCGTGCACCACCACACCCAGCTAATTTTTATATTTTTAGTAGAGGTGGGCCAGGGTGATCTCACACTCCTGACCTCAAGTGAGCTGCCCGCCTCGGCCTCCCAAAGTGCTGGGATTACAAGCATGAGCCACTGCGCCTGGCTGGAATTTTTTCTTTAACCAAAATATTTTCATTTTAATTTTGTTCCTAAATGTCACAAGCTACAAAATATTTTTAAAAAATTTTTTAATTAGTTTCATTTTTATATGTTTCTGTTTTTAGATTTTTTTTATCATAAAACAAATAATACAAATGATATAAGATAGAAAGGGAGGGTATTGCCGAGTCCTATTAGGGTATAATCTTCCAGATCTTTCCTCCATGCAATTTTTTCTTTTTCTGAGACAAGGTCATGCTCTGTGGCTCAGGCTGGAGTACACTGGTGTGATCACGGTTTACTGTAGCCTTGATCTCCTGGACTTGAGCAATCCTCCCACCTCAGCCTCCCAAGTAGCTGGGACTATAGGCAGGCACCACCATACTTGGATAATTAAAACTTTTTTTTTTTTTTTTGTAGAGACAGGGTCTTGCTATGTTGCCCAGGCTGGTCTCAAACTCCTGGGCTCAAGTGATCCTCCTGCCTCAGCCTCCCAAAGTGCTGGGATTACAGATGTGAGCCACGGCGCCCAGGCTTCATGCAATTCTTTTTTCTTTCACTATTCCAGTTTTTCTCTCCCTTTCTTTTTTTTCTTTCCTTAGGTTATACCTGGGAAATAAAATTCTGAAACGTTAATATTCCAGAATTGGTAGAAAATCCATAGTTCACATGCAAATAAAACGGATACTTAAAATTGATTTTTTAATTTTAAAAATTTATTTATTTTATTTTAAAAATTGTGGTAAAAAACGTGTAACATAAAATTAATCATCTTAACAATTTTCACACTCTGTTTTGGATAACAGAGCTCCAAAACTTTGTCATTTTGCAGATCTGAGACTCTGTACCCATTAAACAGCAATTCTTCCTTCCTCATTCTCTCCCAGCTCCTGGCAACCACCATTCTACTTTTTTTTCTATGAGTTTGACTCCTTTAGATACTTCAATGTAAAGGAATCATACAGTATTTGCCTTTTTGTGATGGGCTTATTTCACTTACATAATGTCCCCAAGATTTATCCATGTTAAAGTTATTTTTTAATATATATAAAGTAATAGACGCTTGTTGTATGGAAAAGCAAAAATGCTTGGGTGGCTGGGCACTGTGGCGCGCACCTGTAATCTCAGCACTTTGGGAGGCCAAGGCAGGAGGATTGCTGGAGCCCAGGAATTTTAGGCTGCGGTGAGCTATAATTTTGACATAGCGCTCCAGCCTGGGCAACAAAGTGAGACCCTGTCTCTTTAAAAAAAAAAAAAAAAAAAAAAAAGCGTGGGGGGCTGGGCACAGTGGCTCACGCCTGTAATCCCAGCACTTTGGGAGGCCGAGGCAGGCAGATCACTTGAGGTCAGGAGTTCGAGACCAACCTGGCCAATATGGTGAAACCCTGTCTCTATTAAAAATACAAAAATTAGCCGGGCGTAGTGGCACGTGCCTGTAGTCCCAGCTACTGGGGGGTCTTGAGAATCGCTTGAGCCCAGAAGGCAGAGGTTGCAGTGAGCCAAGATTGTGGCACTGCACTCCAGCCTGGGCAACAGAGCAAGTATCCGTCTCAAAAAATAAATAAATAAAATAAAATAATAATAATAATAATAAAATGCCGGCTAGGCACGGTGGCTCACGCCTGTAATCCCAGCACTTTTGGAGGCCAAGGCCAGCAGATCATCTGAGGTTGGGAGTTCGAGACCAGCCTGACCAACGTGGAGGAACCCCGTCTCTACTAAAAATACAAAATTAGCCGAGCGTAGTGGCGCATGCCTGTAATCCCAGCTACTCAGGAAGGCTGAGGCAGGAGAATTGCTTGAACCCGGGAGGCAGAGGTTGCGGCGAATGGAGATCACGCCATTACGCTCCAGTCTTGGCCACAAAAGCGAAACTCCATCTCAAAAAAAAAAAAAAAAAAAAGAAAAAAGAAAAAGAAAAGCCTGGGGAAGCCTTTAAGTAGGAAGTGGAAGTGTCATCTCCAGCCAGGCGGTCATAGGCACACACCTGCCTTCTCTGTCCTGTTTCATTTCACCCACTCTAAGATGTTGTCAGTTTGATTGTAAGACAATGTAATTTTAACTTTGTAGAGTTACGGTGCAAAAAAAAAAAAAAGTCTGAGAATATATTTTACACACACACACACATTTGCATGTTTAGAGTCTTTTTTAAATTTACTACTTTTATTTAAAAAAAAATAGGGGCCGGGCATGGTGGCTCACACCTGTAATCCCAGCACTTTGGGAGGCCGAGGCGGGTGGATCACGAGGTCAGGAGTTTGAGACCAGCCTGGCCAACATGGTGAAACCCCGTCTCTACTAAAGATACAAAAAGTTAGCCGGGTGTGGTGGTGCATGGCTGTAATCCTAGCTACTCAGGAGGCTGAGGCAGGAGAATCGCTTGAACCCAGGAGGCGGAGGTTGCAGTGACCCGAGATCACACCATTGCACTCCAGTCTGGGCGACAGAGTGAGACTCCATCTCAAAAAAAAAAAAAAGAAAAGAAAATACAGACAGTGTCTCACTATGTTGCCCAGGCTGGTCTTGAACTCCTGGCCTCAACTGATCCTCCTGTATCGGCCTCCCAAAGTACTGGGATTACAGGCGTGAGCCACTGCTCCCAGCCTCCAGTCATTTTTATGCAGGTGGGATCAGAAGAGTGCAGTGGGGCTTTTTGCCTATTTCTTTTTTTTTTTTTTTTTTTTTTTTTTTGAGACAGAGTTTCGCTCTTCTTGCCTTGTTGCCCAGTCTGGAGTGCAATGGCGTGATCTCGGCTCACCGCAACCTCTGCCTCCTGGGTTCAAGCTATTCTTCTGCCTCAGCCTCCCAAGTAGGTGGGATTACAGGGGCGCACCACCATGTCCAGCTAATTTTTATTTTTAGTAGAGACGGGGTTTCACCATGTTGACCAGGCTGGTCTCGAACTCCTGACCTCAGGTGATCTACCCGCCTCAGGCTCCCAAAATGCTGGGATTACAGGTGTGAGCCACCGCGCCCAGCCTTTTTGCCTATTTCTTACCAATGCTATGGGTGTCTGAAGCCTCTTGTCCCATTAACCACAAACAACTTGGACTTCCTTTCTCACTCAGACCCTATGGGAAAGTTGCTAACTCCTCACCCACCGTGGCTGTGCCATCATCCCAGTGAGTCCCTGCTGGCACTTTAAAACTTTCCTATGCAAATTTGTGCCCACATGTTTCCTTGAAACAAATTTCTTAAAGTAGAAGGGCGCATTTGAAGACTGTGTGTGTGTGTGTGTGTGTGTGTGTGTGTGTGTTTTATTTTTAGAGACGGGATCTCGTTATGTTTCCCAGGCTGGTGTTAGAATTCCTGGGCTCAAGTGAGCTCAAGTGATCCTCCCACCTCGTCCTCCTGAAGTGGTGGGGTTAACAGGAGTGACCATTATGCCCGGTCCATTTGAAATTTTGATTTACTTTGTCAATTGCTTTCCCCAAAGGTGCCAATGCACACACCCTTGAGAGGGCCTTTCAAACAGCTTCTAATGCAACACCTCTGACCCCACTGCACCTGCCCCCCCACAGATGGGGAAACTAAGGTCCCAAGAAGTAAGGACTTATCTGACATCACAGGTAGCAGAGACCCAGGCCTCCTGGTCTCCTGGCTGCTGTGGTTGCTGAGGCACCACCACTGAAGGTGGTCTCAATCTCCTGGTAGTCTCACTCTCTTGCTCAAATACCTCCTATGGCTCCCTAGGGCCTATAATACAAATTCCAAGTTCAACCCACCTCACCATCTGGGGCTGCTGCCTGGGCTCCCATCCCTGCCCGGCTACATCACTGAGCACCTACTACTATGTGCCAGTCTCCCTGCAAAACGCTGGATAAACACGTGGCTTTCTACCAGGGAACCTCCCGCAAGGTATTTGACATGCTCGCCTCCCGTTCTCTGCTGTGTCTAAGGATTCACAGATGCGGCTGGAGTCTGCTGCTTAGCACAGTGAGTGCTCATTATGGGAGCTATTCTTCTTATCAAGACCGCAAATCCCCTCTCTGGCTATCCACAGCCTTCTGAATGTCCCGGGCAACTCCAGGGGAGCAGGGCTGGTTTTCTATAATCTTCTACCTTACTGGGTGGTCTTTGGGGTCCTGGCGGGTTCCAGTCCCAGAGGAGCTCGAAGGGTCCCTCCCAACAGGGGAAGAGGAGTCCCAGGTGGGTCTCGGCCAGGGCCTCTGGGCAGGCTCTGAGGGCGGGCTTGGGGACTGTGGCCAGCAAAGCCCCTGAGTCGATGCCTCAGCCCTCTCGCTCCCTGGTCTGGCCTCTCTCTGGCACCAATGCGCTGTGGGATTTTGCGGAAAGAGCCGCTCTTCTCTGAGCCTCAGTTTCTCCAGCTATCATAGGGAAAGCCTGGCCTTGTACCCTGGAGTGTACCTTGAGCACAGTCGGGGTATCGCAATGGAAAACTCTTGGCAAACTGTAAAGTGTAGTTCGCGTGTGTGGGCACAGCCACCTGGGGGTCCACGGTGCGGGGCACACGGTGCCGGGTGCGGTGTCGCCGCGCACCCGGGCTCGGGCTCGGTCCCGCCCCGCTTCCCGGTCCCTGGTCCGCTCTCCCTCCCTCCTTCCCGCCCTCCCTGCCTTCGGGAACGCCGGCTCCCGGCATGCCGCGCGCTGACAGCCTTATAAATAGTCGCCTTTGCCGGCCGCCGCGAGGACGGGCAGGGCACGCACTGGCCCCGGCGCCCACCCGCACCCCTCCCCAGGTCAGTGCGTGCCCGCGCGTGTCTGGGGGGGCGCCTCTGCGGGGAGGGGCAGCGGCACCGGGGGAGGGCGGGGGCGTGCTGGTGCGGGGCTCCCTGGGGGCTGTGCGGCTGTGTATCCGTGGTTGTGATCCGTGTGTGTTTGCGTGGCTGTGTTCCCCGGGCGCTGGGGATCTGTGCCTCGCTGCCTGTGCCTTTGTGGATCCGTGCGTGTGTGTGCGTGTGTGTTTGTGTGTGTTGCAGCCCCTTCCAGCCTCCGAGATAGTCACCCCTTTGTTCTGGCTGGCACTCCCGGGGCTCCAGGTCACTGCCCTTGGCATGTCCCAGCTTGGGCCCAGAGAGGGAGAGCTGTGGCCTGGCTCCCTGCCCCAGAGGACCTGGACAGGGGCAGCCTCTGTGCTCCGTAGGGCTATCGTGTCACTCCACTTCTAGTGCTGGGTGCATTGGAGAACACCCCCTGGATGCTCAGAGCTTGCCCTAGCCTCCTGACCAGGGCCAGCGCTTGGGGCCTTCCCACAGCACTGCTCAGTGGCCGCCTGGTACTCCTCAGCAGCAGCAGGACAGGCCCAGAGAGGGGACACCAACTGCCCAAGGTCACACAGCTGAGTGATGGAGCTGGGATTCGAACCCTAGTCAGTTGCCACCCACTGGGAACCGACTACGTTGGGTCAGAAGCTGGGAGACCTGGGCTTGCCTTGGCCTTGTCTTGTGATTGGGGTTAAGTCACCGTCCCTCTGGGCTTCGGCCCCACAGGCCCCTTAGCAGACCATCCAGTCATATTAGGAGTCGCTGGGGCCTTGACCCAGGGGCCTTATAAGGCCTGGGTGCTTAGCCCGTAACCCAACTCCATCCTAGACCCCTGTCCTCTGTGAGGCCTCCTCACGACCCAAGTTATTTTGGATCAAGGAAGTGGCAGGTGCCATCAGGGCGGAGGGGGCTTAGATTACCAGGAGGGGGGCGGGGCAGGGCGGGGTCGAGGCCACTTCTCAGGGCTTCACTGTGGTTGTCCCTGGCCCAGGACGCTCCCCCTCCCATGGGCAGCTGCTGAGGGGCACTTGGCAGCTCCTACCCCCGCTGAAGCACACTCAGCAGGAAAAGTGGCTGCCACTCCTGCCTGGGGCAGCAGGGGCATCAGCAAAGCCACTTCAGCTGCTACTGGGTGCCAGGCCCAGCGTAGCAGAAACTCAGGGCCGAGTTGGACCCTAGCTGGCCCTCGAACCAGTCTGTCCTCCTCCCCATGCCTCAGTTTCCTCCCAAGATGGCAGTGAGGATGGAACGAGGCTCCCCAGCCCTGTGCTCAGCCCATGCCAGGCCCAGTCAATGGGATCCCAGGCCCGCAGCACAGAAGAGGGGCCCAGTACAGCGTGGTTGTGCAGTGCAGGGCAGGTTTCCAGGAGGCACCTGCCAGTGTGGGAGTGGAGGGCAGAGTCCAGGAAGGCTTCCTGAAGGAGGTGGCACCTGAGCTGAGTCCCACACAATAGCAAGGTGGGGAAAGGCATCCAGGCATTGGGTACAACATCTGCCAGTGGCAGCTGATAGGGTTGCAGAGGGCAGCAGAGGTCAGCTCACCGGGACCTATCCACTATGTCAAGGGGCCCAGGCTTTGTCTGGGAGCCGAGAGGGCCACACATGCAAGGTTGTAAGCGGGTGTGTGATGTGGTCTGATACTTGCCAGAGAAAATCCTGCAAATTGCGTGGCAGGGTGTGGAGGCTTCAAGGCCCATGTGGAGGCGGGGGCAGTGGCCCAGGCCCCTTACTTAGCACAGGACATAGTGGTGAGGAGACAGACGGAGAGAGCCTGGGGAGGGGAGGGTTGGGCAGTGGGTGTGCAGGGCTGTGGAGAGGAGAGAGGAGCCTTCACACTGACTCAGCCTGTGGCTTGGCCATAGGGGCCTGGAGCTGGGACTTGGGGAGGGCTGTTCAGAGCCTGAGAAGCCTGTGGGGCTTCTGGGGCCTGTCTCGGGGGCATGGATGTCTGGGGCTGGAGAGAAAGGCCTGGGCTGCCTGCACAGGGATGGGGGTCCTTGGAGCCTGAAGCCAAGTAGAGAGGGTGGTGTGGGTGCCTTGGGTGGAGGTCCCGGTGCGGGTGGGGTCGCTGGCTGGAGGTCAAGGCTGGAGGGGAGTGTGGCTGTGGTGGTTGCGAGTGGCCTTGGGGAGGGCTGGTGGCTGGGAGTGAAGAAGTGGAGGCCAAAGGTGTCCAGAGGGCAGTTCTGAGATAGGGGGGCGAGGTAGGGGAGGTCCTGGGGGCTGTGGCAGCACAGGGTGGGGTCGCAGGTGTGATTGGGCTCATGGGCAGGCTGAGGGCAAGGTGGGGGCAGTAAAGCCAGGTCCTCAAAGGGTGGGGGTGCAGGGGACATGCGTGGGGCTGGTTGTTGGGCCTGTAGAGGTGAAGAGCCTGGGACCGCCTCACTTTGACAACTGTAAAGGGCTGTGTTCATGCGAGCGGCTCCTGTAGATTCCTTCACCCCAGGCCTCTGTCCCTTAGAGGATCCCCATCCAAACCTCATCCCAGACACACATAGTTCCTGGCCACCTCCCACCTCCTGGCAGCTTCCCTCTGGCCCTGGGGAGCGTTGTCAAGGTGTCTGGGCAGACGCTGGCCCTGCGCCCTGTTTTCTGGGAGTTTCGAGGGGAGCAGCTCTGCAGTTGTGTGGCCGCTGTTTATGTCCCTCGGTGCCATCCTCACTGTCCCAGCCCCTCCAGCGGGAACCCAGGTGGATGGGAGGGGGCTACTGCCCTTCTGTGACAGGTGAGGCCATGGAGGCCAGAGAGGAAAGGTGACTTTTCCAAGGTCACTTTCCCAAGGTGGCTTTCTCAGGGAAGGGGTCCTGGGCCTTCCCTGCCCCCAGCAGCCCCCTCTGCCCTCAGACTGCATGTCGGGCCTGGCACACACCAGTTGCCTTGGGTGTGGCTTAGTGGAAGGTGAGTCAGGGTGAGGAGGAAAATCCCTCCCCAACCTGTGCCCTTGTCTTACAGAGCACTGACACGGCTCCCGGGACCTCGGCAGGATGGAAGGTATGAGCCTCCTCTCCTTTTGCCCATTGCCTGGGCCTCAGTGTGCCTGACTATTAAGGGGGTGCGCTCTCAGGGAGACATTCTGGGAGGGGTTGGAGGAGGCTCTGGGGCTGCCGGAGGGGGCCTGGCTGGGAGCCTCCAGTATCCTCCTCTGGCCTCTCACGGGATGTGCCAGCTCCAAGATTAATTTTAGACGTGACGAGGCCTCCCCAAGGCTCCTGAGGGCCCCAGCGCACACCCCCTATGCTGGGTTTATAGAGCTGAGACCCTGCCCCATGGAGAGGCCACAGATACACAAAACACCAGGTCTAATGAGGACAAGGCAATTCCCCGTACCTCTCCGGGACTCAGTTTCCCTATCATCCAGTGAGGGTGGGCCTTGAGGAAGTCTTGGACCCTCCTAGTTCCTATGGGCTGGGACTTAGAGGGAGACACGGGCAGGCAGAGAGTCCAGAACGGGCCCGCCCTCAGCTGCTGGCAGCACCATCCGTCCAGTTCCTGGCACTGTGCCTTGGCCTGGGCAGCTCTTAAAGACACCCAGCGGGCCTGCTGCTGCTGCTGCTGCTGCTCTGCCTGAGCTCCAAATATCAACAGCCATAGGGCTGCGGCCACTGCACCCCCGGGATAGGGGCCCACAGGAGGAGCCCTTCTTGACAGCTCCTGTAGGGCTCCAGCCTTATGGCTGGGAGGGCCCCTGGGAGCCGCCCAGCCCACCTCCTCCCTGGGGAAGGGGCAGAGAACCAGAGAGGGGCAGGCCTTTCCTAAGTCACACAGCAAGGTGGGATACAGCCTGGTCCTCTATTTCCCTGGGAAGCGGGGGAGCCTGAAAGCCCAGTGGGGAGCTTGGGTTCTGGTTTTGGTTCTGACATCCCTTGAGCAGGCCTTCCCTCTCTCGAGCTCAGTTTCCCTCTGCCCAGTGGGGCTGTGGCCTTGCTGGGATCTAACAGCAGGCGGGACGAGACAGAGGTTGGAGCCAAGCTCACCGCCCTCTCTGGGCAAGAGTTCCACATGCCCACCACAGCCCTCCACCCCGGCAACTGTCTCCATGGCAACATATGTTGTGGTTGCTAAGCCCCCACTGCCGGGGGAGGCGGGTGATGGGCCGGCCCAGGGCCTGAGAGGGGAAGGGCAGGGTGCACAGGAGACACGGCAGGACGGGACCATGGGCTGCTGCTCCTCGAGTGACCCCCGCAGAGAAGACGATCTGAGAGCCAGAGGTGACCGGCCCCGGGGTCCAGGCACCCACAGGGAGGCGCCATGAGGGCTGGCGGCCCAGCCCGCTGGCTGTGTGGAGAGTACTTAGCCTTTAGGCTTTTGCCTCTGCCCGTCTGGCTGCCTGGAGCACCCTCTCTTCCCTGACCTCTCCCAGGCTCCGAGCTCACTCACATCCCTGCTGACTCTGGGCTGTGACTTGTCTGCCTCCCTGACAGGAGCGCCAGCGGTGTCTGTCCCTCCGCCTGGGGCCCAGCACAGGCCTGGGACTCCAGAGGTGCCTCTGGCTGTGGGTCCAGCGAGTGACTGAGCCCTGCTCCCCTTTTCTCTCCCGCAGAGAAGCTGAAGAAAACCAAGATCATCTTTGTGGTGGGTGAGTTGCGGGCAGGCGGGTGGTGCAGCAAGGGTCTTCACTGGCACTGGAGGGAGCCCGGGCCTGGGGCTGCACCCTGGGCTCTGCCCCTCCCTCTCTGGGAGACCCTGGCAGCCCCTGTTCCTCCTGGGACCCTGTGTCTCGGGGTTTATGAATGGGTGGGCGTTTGCAGGTGGGCCTGGCTCAGGGAAGGGCACCCAGTGTGAGAAGATCGTGCAGAAGTATGGCTACACCCACCTCTCCACCGGGGACCTCCTGCGGTCCGAGGTCAGCTCAGGCTCGGCCAGGGGCAAGAAGCTGTCGGAAATCATGGAGAAGGGGCAGCTGGTTCCACTGGTGAGTGGGCCCTGGTGGGGTGAGAGGCAGGGGATGACAGTAGCCCTGAGTGGGTGTCCCACCAGCAGCAAAGCCCACGGCACACAGGCAAAGCTGACCGTAACCGCCCCCGGCTCCAAACCCTTCTGTGGTTCCCCATTGCCCTGGACAGAAAGTTCCTTCCAGAAGCTCCCAAGACCTTGCAGGACTCTGCCCTGCCCCCAACTCTCTCCCTTCCCTCCATCCTTCAGCCACCCTGGCCTCTGTCCCCTCAGACTAGCCATACTCCTTCCAGCCTGGAATATTCTTTCCTCTTCAGCTTTCAGACTTCCCTAACTCCCCAGATTTGGCCTAAGACCTCCCCCCCCAATTTTCTACTCCAGAAGCCCCACTTCTCTGCCCGTACAACCTGTGCCATGCTTAGAAATGGAGAAATCATCTGTGGAATGTGTCTGTCCCCTCACCAGCCCCTGAGCTCCCCAGGGCAGGGAAGGCCTAATTGGTCCATGGCCGTGTCCTCGGGACCCAGGACAGCACCTGGCTGGAAGGAGGGTCTCAGTGAATACTGTTGAGTGAATGCATCATTCATTCATTCATTCACTCAGTCCAGGTCTCCACAATTCCGAGGAAGCTTCCTGGAGGGGGAGGCTTGTTTGGGACATTTGTGTTGGGGAGAGGGCATTTCAGGTGGCAGGAGCAGCGTGAGCAGAGGCTGGGAGAAGGGATGGGGAGGAGAGGCTCATGGCCCCTTCCTCCTTTGCTGTGCCCCAGGAGACAGTGTTGGACATGCTCCGGGATGCCATGGTGGCCAAAGTCAATACTTCCAAAGGCTTCCTGATTGATGGCTACCCGCGGGAGGTGCAGCAAGGAGAAGAGTTTGAGCGACGGGTAAGGCACTGACCCAAGTGGGGATCCTGGTGGGCTGGGGCAGGATAAGACTCCCATCCCCATGGGCGGGCCTGCGGGGGCTGTGATGCAGGTCAGAGTTCTGAGCAGAGGCTGATTCATGGAGTGTGGGTGAGGAGGAAAACCAGGAAGACTTTCTGGAAGTGTAGAAGAAAATGTGTAGAAGGGGAAGCGCCAGGAGGGGCAGTTGCCAAACCTGGGCTCAGATTCCAGCTCAACGGCTTGAGATCTTGGGCCAGTCATTCTGCCTCCTGAACCTCAGTTTTCCCATCTGCAAAATGCAGGGAGTGGGAGGACCAGGTCACAGCTGCCTTAAGGGACAGTGTGGGGACTGGAGAGGATGTGCCCTTCCAGTGTGGGCCTTGGCTCCCTATAAACACACAGAGGGGCAGGGAACAGCACTGGCAGGGCTGGAAAGGCAAGGCCAGTGTGGGGAGAACAGAATATGTGGGCAGGACAACAAGGGAGGTTCCAGCCTGGCTGGAGGCTGCAAATGCCATAAAGGGACATCAGTCTCCTTCCAGGGGTCATGAGGAGCCTGGCTGGAAAGAGCAGGCCTGGAAAATGATGGCCCTGAGCTTCCTAGCACGAGCATCCTGCAGATACACCTTCCCCAGGATGGGGCACCCCACACACGCACACACGTGGACGCTTGCACATACACATGCACAAGCCCCACAAGTTCATACACACAAGGCCAGGGGCATGTGCACACATGCACACACACGGCAGTGGATACTGCACTCCTGCACATGCATGTCACGGACGCAGCACACATATGCAGGAATGCACACGTGCTCGCACACATGGCCCTGTGCACACACATACACTTTTACCTCGGTGTCACAAGGCTGTATGGGAGAAATAAACGGGACTGCAAGGGCCTAGGAGGGAGAGGTCGGCAAGGGCTAGGGGGAGCCTAACCAGCATCCTGGTGGGCTGGGGCAGGATAAGACTCCCATCCCCATGCCCCATTCCCATGCCCCATTCCCATGCCCCGTCTCCGTAGGGCCTTCTGGGCTTCCGTAGCTTCCAGCCTCATCTGGGGATAGGAGGCCATATTTTCTGACCTCTGAGTGGCTGCATGAGTGGCTGCAAGACCTCAGGAAAGTGTCTACCCCACTCTGCCCCTCACCTTCCCTATCTGAAATGGGGGTTAGCTGGATTCCTTCAGACCTCAGACCCCTGACCCTGTGTTAGGTGCCACAGTTCTGAAAGATGTCCTGGCCTGGCTCACACATACCAGCTGTGTGGTACCACCTGTGACCCTCAGGGCCACATCTAGAAAATAGAGTTAATGAAAGTCGGCCGGGTGCAGTGGCTCACGCCTGAGATCCTAGCACTTTGGGAGGCCAAAGAGGGCAGATCACTTGAGGTCAGGGTCAAAACCAGCCTGGCCAACATGGTGAAAACTCATGTACTAAAAATACAAAAATTAGCCAGGCATGGTGGCGGGCGCCTGTAATCCCAGCTACTCAGGAGGCTGAGACACGAGAATCATTTGAACCTGGCTGGACGGAGGTTGCAGTGAGCCAAGATCACGCCATTGCACTCAAGCCTGAACAACAGAATGAGACTCCGTCTCAAAAAAAAAAAAAAAAAAAGTCCCCACCCTTCCAGGGCTGTTGTAGGTGCCGCTGAGGGCCGCAGGCTCAGCCCTGGTCCCATCCCTGCTGTGGCCTCCAGGTGTCCGGGCAGCTGGTCTTCTTGGCTCTGGACACCAGGGGGCGCCAGGGCTTCACCGAAGGAGGGAGGGTCAGCCTGGAAGTGTGGCCGGCTCACACCCAAAGCTTTTCTGGAGACTGGCAGTGCCCGTTGTGGACTCCCCGGGCTAGATGTCCATTGTCCTGACAGGGAGACTGAGGCCCCACAGCCAGAATCTCAAGCCCAGAGGCTGAGCTGGCTCTCCCAGATTTACCACCTCTGCTGGGTGTGTGTAAAGAGCCTACTGTGCTTGGTCCTGGAGACCCAGATGAACCAGAGACTGTGAGTCTGTGCCCTGGAGGAGCTCAGCAGCTGATGGATGATGATGGGGGGTGGGTGACCTTGAAGTTGAGGTCAGACTGCTGCATCCAGGCCCAGCCTTTGCCCCCATGGTAATCTGTAAGGTAGAAGCAGCCGCTGGGTGGTACGGAGTCATCTCCCTGAAGGCAGCTGACGCTGTCACCCTGAATCCTTAACTACGGAGGAGCTAGGGATGAGCGCTAGGATGGGTATCGCAGGCGAGGACAAAGGGCTTGCCCCAGGTCACACAGCTGAACAGAGGCAGGGGTGAGCCTGGGTCCAGGTCAGTCTGACGCCGGAGGTCAGGCTGCTTCTCGCCTCTGTCCAGCTGTGTGGCCTTGGACAAGCCTCTTGGTTACACAGCTGGACAGAGGCACGAAACAGCCTGACCTGAGAGGCAGTGCCCCAAGGCCTTGACAGGGGTCCAGGGCCAAAGCTGCGCAGAAACCCTTGGGGGCTGGCCCAGGCAGTTGGAAGCAGGAGACAGGGTTTGAAGGTCCCAATCCCATTCCTAAAGCTGTGGCAGTCATGGGTGACTCTGGGGTGGCTCTGCCCTCCCAACCAGGCAGCTGTGGTAGCTGGATTGAGCGAGGCAGGGGCTGCAGAACCTTATTCCTCTTGCCTTTCCAAGGCGTCCCATGGATGACATGGATGACATGCTGTTCCAATGACACGGACATTGCTCAGAACCCCCCAGGACTCAGCAGCCCCTCACCCCTTCCCTCATCCCTTGTTCCTTTGTCAAAGGACCCCAGAATTGTGAGACAAGTGCCTCCCTGCCCTCAGGGGCCCTTGGGAGACCTGCTTAAGGAAAGATAAAGGCGCTGGAAGAGCCTGTTCCAGGAGGCGGGGAGTACTGGGGGGCGGGGGGTGGCATCAGAGAGACTGCCCTGAGGAAGTGAGCTTCGCACTGAAACCTGATGCTTGGTATTGAGGTGAAGGCGAGTTAGGATCAGGCTCGGGGGAGAGGGCTCCTAGCAGAGGGAACAGCATGAGCACAGGTCTGGCATGGAAGGAGGTTGATGAGAGCCTAGAGCAGAGAGAGTCAGGCTCTCTCAGTCTGGCAAGTAGTGTGGACTTTCTCCTGAGGGCACTGGGGAGCCATGGTGTAGGTTTGAGCAGGGGAGTGGCAGGAAAGATTGGTTTTAGGAAGGTCTTTCAGGCTGCCTTGGGGAAGGGATTGAAGGTCTGAGGGGGTATCTACTGGGGCTTCATAGATGGGAAGATGGGGAGGAGATGGCCCTAGGGGGCAGGAATGGGGTCCCTGTGACATGGTGCCCGCCTGCAGATTGGACAGCCCACACTGCTGCTGTATGTGGACGCAGGCCCTGAGACCATGACCCAGCGGCTCTTGAAACGTGGAGAGACCAGCGGGCGTGTGGACGACAATGAGGAGACCATCAAAAAGCGGCTGGAGACCTATTACAAGGCCACAGAACCTGTCATCGCCTTCTATGAGAAACGTGGCATTGTGCGCAAGGTGGGCCCCGCGGGCCCAGGGGCAGCTCCGGGAAGAACGGGTTCCTATGTGGCTCCGCCTCAGCTCACTGTGTGGCCTCAGGCCAGCCCCTCTCTCTGGGCCTTGGTTTCCCCACTGGTTCAATGAGGGGCTGCTGTCAATTAGGTTGGGCTCGGGGAGGCAGGCCTGGTCTCTGGGGCCTGCCATGGTGAGGCCCACCCCACTCCACCTGGTGACTCAGCCCTCACGGCCCATCTCCCCACAGGTCAACGCTGAGGGCTCCGTGGACAGTGTCTTCTCCCAGGTCTGCACCCACCTGGACGCCCTAAAGTAGCAACGCTGGAGCCGCTTCCCCAGCTCAGAGCCCCGCCCCACCCCGTCCTGATTCGAGGTCCTCCTGGCCTGAGCGCAGCGCCTCCACCCTGCCCTGCTGAGCACAGACGGAGGAAGCCGCTTATCCTGTTTTCATGGACAGCTGAGCACTAAAGGAATTTCTAAGGACATTTGGTTTTACTGCTTTTTCTCTGCTTCCAGTTGGAGTTGATTCATGTGCTTGTGCCTACCTGGCCGCAAGTCCCCAGCCCCTCAACCCTCCGTTCCTCCTCAGCCTCCCTTTGCCAGCCACCCCTCCTCTAGCTCTGGTGGGAGGCCCGGGGCCCTTCCTCGCACAGGGCATGCCTGGCCTGAGGACCCGGCGCTGAGTGGCGGGGCCCCTGCTCCGAGGGGCTCATGTTCAGGCAGAACCGGTCCCAGCCTGGGCTCCTCTGCATCTTGCTCTGTGGCCTTGGCCCTGACCCCCATCGCTCTGAGCATATGTTCCATGCCTGGCCCTTGCCGGGGCCTGGACTGCACAGGCAGCAAGGTCATGGTCTGAGTGGGGCTTCCTGGGCAGTTGGGGCGGCCCACGCCAGCTGGCCCAGTGGGTAGTGAATTGGCTTCCTTGACGCGAGAGGCTCTGAGGGTCTGAAAAGGGCATCTCAATGGCATGGGTGGGTGGGGAGTCAGTCATGTCACTGAAATTGAATGGGGGAGGCCCAATGAGGTGGCTCATGCCTGTAATCCCAGCACTTTGGGAAGCTGAGGCAGGAGGATCCCCTGAGGTCAGGAGTTCGAGAGCAGCCTGGCCAACATGGCAAAACCCCTTATTTACTAAAAATACAAAAATTAGCCGGGCATGGTGGCATGTGCCTGTATTCCCAGCTACTCATGAGGCTGAGGCAGGAGAATGGCGTGAACCCGGGAGGTGGAGCTTGCAATGAGCCAAGATTGCGCCACTGCACTCCAGCCTGGGTGACAGAGCAAGACTCCGTCTCAAAAAAAAAAAAAAAAAAAAAGAAATTGAATTGGGGGAGTCATGGTCAGGGGTGAGACCTGAAGGACCTCCCCCTGTGTGGCCCTGGACACAGCCCACCCTCTGTGAGCCGTTTCCAATTCTAAAACAGACTCAATGTCCCCCTCACCCCCACCTCAAGGTCAGGATGAGAACACACTGAGTGAGGAGTGGACGCTGTCCATTGCCACGGCCATGAGGGCTGGAGACCAGAACAGCATGGCCCGAAGCGTGCGGGGCCCCGGATGACTTGGGGACACCCCAGAATCCCCTGGGGAGAACCCTTCCTGCGCGCTTTCATTTTTTGACCTCATCACTGAGAAAGGCTCAATTTGGTGCTCACGTGTCCTTAACACCTGATCTGGCCCAAGCTGGGCTCCCTTTAAGCCAAGAGAGCCTCTTGTGGACCCCGCCTGCCCGAATGAAATCCGAACAGTTGGGGCTGTTCATGGCAAGTGGGGCTGGTTTTTCATTTCCATTGGTTATTTAAAGTTTCCTTTAAAATAAACGATTTTAAGTTATAAAAGGTGAATCTATTGAAAGAAGAACATGAAAGAAATAAACAGGAGTTCAGCGGAGCTAGCAGAAGACAAGGCATGTAGGGGGAGCCATTCTGTCCCAGGGAAGTTGTGGAGGGTAGGGGCTGTGTGGAGGCCTCTGCAGCTGGTCCTCGGTTTTCCGCATCGGCAGAAAACTGATGGGGCACGCAGGGACACCGCAGGCTCCAGGTCCTGGGTCCTGCATCTGTCAAACCAGATTCACACACACACACTCACACACGCCAGCGCGCGCACACATGCACTCACACATACACACTGATCCACACACTTGCACTCCCACACACGCATGCACACACACTTTTACACACACGCATGTGCACACAAACCACTCATCCATACACACATTTACACAGTCACCCACACGCACTCACACTGACCCAGACACTTGCACTCCCACTCACACAAACACACTTGCACACACACTCATTCACACACATTTACACATGCACACATTCACACACTTGTACACACAAACCACTCACATTCACACACATCTGCACACTCACAGTCATGCAGTGCACACACCACACACGTGCACACAAACCACTCACATTCACTCTTACACGCACACACACTCACTGTCTCACACATCCATTCTGTCTCAGGATGAAGACAAAGTAATAAAGATAAGGAGGCGGTTTGGTGGGGGGGTCCTAGTTCTTTCTCATCTACCTTATCTTTATTTTGATCACAGCTTCATTCATCCGGGTGAGTCCCAGTTTGTGAAACCTAAGCTGATTCAAATTGTCAAACGATTCACCACAGAATCACTTTATCCACGTAAACAATACCTACCTATCATCTCTCTCCCTCTCTCATCTGTCTAGATGCAGATATCCTCTTTGCTGAAAACTTGGAAACGCAAAAAGTTTTAAAGCCCTGGGAACCACCACCCCGTCCTTGCCACCGTAAACCTTCCTTTGGGAATTTCTTTCATGCATGTTTGCTTGTTCTGTAGACATTGCTGGAGCACCCGCCGTGCCAGCGAGACAGAGGCTTAGAGGCCCCTGGCCTGCTGCGATATGGCTCCCAGCACGAGGAGAGGCCTCTGTTCGCAACATCCCGTCAGACCCACTCAACCAAGACCAGTTCTGGGCAGCTGAGTGCACCAAGCTCAGAGGAGACCTAGTGGTGGGAGGTTCCTTGACCAGAGTTCTGGGGCAGGGCCCTGAAGACACCTGGGAGTTCGCCACAAGACAGAGGGCAAGAAAGGACAGAGGGAACAGCTCTGCAGAGCCACAGAGGTGGAAAGGACCTGTGGGTGTTGGGAGAGCTGAGACCGCAGAGGGGGGCTGTAACGCAGGCTAGCGGGGTGGCGGTAGCAAGAGACAAGGCTAGCAGTGTACGAACCAGACTCACAGGGTTTCTCATAAGGGCAATGAGAGGCTAAGAAAGAGGTGTTTTTTGGTTGGTTGGTTTTTTTGCAACAGAGTCTTACTCTGTCACCCAGGCTGTAGTGCAGTGGTGCAATCTCGGCTCACTGCAACTTCTGCCTCCTGGGTTCGAACAATCCTCCCACCTCAGCCTCCCAAGTAGCTGGGATTATAAGTGTGAACCACCATGCCCAGCTAAGCAGGGTTTCACCATGTTGGCCAGGCTGATCTCGAACTCCTGACCTCAAGTGATCTGCTTGCCTCAGCCTCCCAAAGTGCTGGGATTACAGGCATGAGCCACTGCACCTGACCAAGAGGTGTATTTTTGTGTGTTTTTTGTTTGTTTGTTTGTTTGTTTGTTTAGAGACAGGGTCTTACTCTGTTGTCCAGGCTAGAATACAGTGGCACAATCATAGCTTACTGCAGCCTCAAACTCCTGGGCTCAAGTGATCCTCTTGCCTCAGCCTCCCAAGTAGCTGGGACTACAGGTGTGCACCACCACACCCAGCTAATTTTTAAAATTTATTTTATTTTGAAATGGGGTTTCTCAGACTCTTGAGCTCAAGTGATCTGCCCACCTCAGCGTCTCAAAGTGCTGAAATTACAGGTATGAACCACCACGCCTGGGTTAATTTTTATTTTTTATTGTAGACAGGGGTCTCAGTATATTGCCCATGCTGGTATTGAACACCTGGCCTCAAGTGGCCCTCCCGCCTCTGCCTTCCAAAGTGCTGGGATTACAGGTGTGAGCCACCACATCTAGCCAGTTTTTGTTTTTTGTTTGTTTTTTTTTTAACAAAAATTGGAAGAAAATGTATACTGAACACCCGTATACCCATCAACATTTAGCAATTGTTAACATTTTCCCATACTTGCTTCCTTGTTTAACTTTTGCCAAAGTATTGTATTTTTATTTATTTATTTATTTGAGACCAAGTCTCACTCTGTTGCCCAGGCTGGAGTGCAGTGGCGTGATCTCGGCTTACTGCAACCTCTGCCTCCTGGGTTCAAGCGACTCTCGTGCCTCAGCCTCCCAAGTAGTTGGCATTATAGGCACGCACCACCACACCCAGCTAATTTTTGTATTTTTAGTAGAGACGGGGATTCACCATGTTGGCCAGGCTGGTCTCAAACTCCTGACCTCACCTGCCTCAGCCTCCCAAAGTGCTGGGATTACAGGCGTGAGCCACCATGCCTAGCCTTGCCGAAGTATTTTAAGTAAATTACAAATATGAGAAAAATTTACCCCTAAAGTATGACCAAAGTCTGGGCACTCCACTGCAATCCAGCCTGGGCAACAGAGTGAGACCCTGTCTCAAAAAATAAATAAAAATAAAATAAATAAAGTATGACCAAAAATAAGAACATTTTCCTAAATAACCACAATTCAGAGTTTCAATAACACTAAATTCAGACTCTTGCCACTCTCACACACACTCTCATAATAGCTAATAGCCCGTGTGCAATTTTCCCCAGTGTCTGCAAAATGTGTCTTATAGCTCATTTGTTGAAACTTGCATGCAATCCAGGACTGCACATCGCATTTGGTTGTGATGCTCATCAGATCTTATTTATTTATTTATTTATATTTTTGTTGCGACAGTCTCGCTCTGTCACCCAGGCTGGAGTGCGGTGGTGCAATTTCAGCTCACTGCAACTTCCACCTACCAGGCTCAAGTGATTCTTGTGCCTCAGCATCCCAAGTAGCTGGGACTACAGACGCGCACCACCATGCCTAATTTTCGTATTTTCAGTACAGACGGGGTTTCATCATGTTGCCCAGGCTGCTCTCGAACTCCTGGCGTCAGGTGATCTGCCTGCCTCGGCCTCCCGAAGTGCTGGGATTACAGGCATGAGTCATTGAGCTCAGCCAAGATCTCTTTTAATCTAGGACCACTCTCCCCCTCTTTCTGTGAAGGAACCAGCTGTTCTGTGGAGAATTCCTCCTCCTACATTCACCTGTCCCTCCTTATGGTGTTGTTTAACTTGCACCTTTATCCTTCAACATTTCTGTAAACTGGAAGTTAATTGTAAAGTCTTCGTAGATTCAGGTTAAGCCTTTGGGCCACACTCGTGACGGGTTTTAAAACCAGACAGGAAGGTTAGATCTGCAGCACTTCCAGCTTTGGTGCACGCACGAATATCCCGGGGTGGGGGCCTTGTGAAAAAGCTGATTCTCATTCAGCAGGTCCAGGTTAGGTGGTGACGCCCAGGCTGCCGGTCTACGGCTGACACCGTGAGCAGCTTAGGGAGATCCTGCTTGGCGGAGGGAGGGCCAGAGGGGGTCCGGTGGAGGCAGGAGCTCAGGGAGGAGTGTGGAGGAGGAGGGGACCCCTCCAGGGTCAGTGAGTGCTCACCCCCACTGGTGGACTGAGAGTTGGGCGTGGTGTTGGGTTGGATAACGTCAATGCTGTCACACGCTTCTTATCTCTAGGGACACTCCAGGCAGTGGCTTGTCCCAAGGTGCTGGAACATTCTGACCAGCCAGTGGGATTAGAGCCTCTATAACCTGGGTGCTCCCGGGCAGGACTCACTTGGTAGTGGCCTCAGATGACCCCTGCTCTCCCCCCACCCCCCGCAAAGACTGTGCCTCCAGGTCTTGGCCTCGAGGGCCCTGAGGGCCTGGGCCGGAGGCGCTGAAGTGGGAGAGGAAGGAAGTGGGGAGCAGAGGAGGCCAAGGCTGTCGCCTCCCAGCCGCTCTAGGGGCCTCGAGTAAACAGGAAGGCCTGGCGACTCCGCGAGGGGGGGCTTTAGAGGAGTGGGGGCCAGGAGCCCTGTTGGACACGTGCAGCCTGTGCGCACAGGGCTCCCTCACTAGGGAAGTGGGCCCAGAGAGGCTGTGTGGTTGGGCCCAGAGAGGCTGTGTGGTTGGCCCCAGGTCGCACAGCAGCAGGGGCAGGGGGTGAGACCTTCTCCCTGTGCCCAGGGGTTCTAGTGCGTGGGCTCCTGCATGGGTTGCCATGGTGGGAATATACACTGAAATAATAATAAGCCAGGCTCAGTGGCTCACGCCTGTAAACCCAACACTGGGAGTGCTGGGTGAGTCCCTTTCCCTCTTGGGCCTCAGTTTCTCTTTCTATGAGCTCAGAGCCCTTACCACTCAGAGGTTCTAGAATCCTGGCCCAGTGGAATCCTCTGTCTCCTAGGGGGGTTTATGGGTTCTTTAGCTCTAGGGGGTGTGTTTCATCAGGAAGGCCAATTTCACCCAGGATTTGGAGGCTCCAGCTCCCAGGGCCCCTTCCTTGGGGAAAGAGAGGGTGACTTTAAGGGACTCTGCTCTTCTAGAACAGAGTAGGGTCTGGCGGGACGTGACCAAACCCTACTCTTGGGGAGTCATTCCCCCTCTTCAGAGACCCTGTCCCTGCGCTCAGAATGCCCCCAACACCCATACCCTGGGGACTCAAATCATCGCCCGTGAGACCTTGAGCCGTATAACCCAGTGGCCAAACCCACTCATTGATTCACAAGCTTCTTCAGCACCTGCCAGGCCAGGCACTACTCCTAGTGATGGGGATTCAGCAGCAAACAAGGCAGAACCCCGGTCCTCATAGAACTTCTGTTCTGGAAAGGAAGACAAATCAATCAACAATATCTAGTGTGTCAGCCGGGTACTGTGGCTCACGCCTGTAATCCCAGCACTTTGGGAGGCCGAGGATGGTGCATCACCTGAGCTCAAGAGTTCGAGACCAGCCTGTCCAACATGGCGGAACCCCGTCTCTACTAAAAATACAAAAATTAGCAAGGTGTGGCGGCGAGCACCTGTAATCCCAGCTACTCAGGAGGCTGAGGCAGGAGAATCCTCTGGGAGGCAGAGGTTGCAGTGAGCCGAGATCATGCCACTGCACTCCAGCCTGGACAACAGAGCAAGACTCCGTCTCCAAACAAACACAAACAAACAAAAAAACAATATCTAGTGTCAGATGGTGCCATGTGGGCCCATTGCTAGTGGGAGGAGAGGGCTGTTTTAAATGCGCTGCTCAAGGAAGACCTCGCTGGCCGTGTGACATTTGATCAGGGATGAGGGAGCGAGCCCTGTGGCGACCTAGGGGAAGAATGTTTCAGCGAGCAGTAACAGCAGGTGCAAAGGCCCTGGGGTGGGCGTGTGCTTGGCACATTTGAGAAAGAGCAAGGAGCTGGGGTGGAGTAGGGTGGAGGTGAGCAGAAGGGGAGGCTGAAGAGGGGGCAGGGAGAAACTCATTGGCCTGAGGGGCTTTGGCTTTGACTCTGAGGGAGACGATGGCCAGTGGAGGGTGCTGAGCAGAGCCAGGACGGAATTGGACTGAAGCTCCCGTGATAGCGGAGAAAAGGCTGGGGGCAAGTTGGAAGCAAGGTGGGCTCAGTGCAGGGACTGGGGACTGTGACATTCCAAGAGGGAGGTGGCTGTGGGTGGTGAGAAGCAGCCATATTCCACAGTCCCTGGGAATCTGAGGGAGGGCCTGCCAGATTTGCTGTGGCTTGGATGAAGGCATGAGAGAAAGACCCAAGGTCAACCCCAAGGCTTGTGTAGTAGGAGGAGGTCAAGGTCTGAGATGGAAAGACTGAGGCAGGAGCAGTTTGCAGAGAAAGAACAGAGCCCAGTTTTCAACGTGTGGAGTCTGAGATACGACATCCAGGGCCCTGGAGCCAGGGGGAGTTCTGGCTGGAGACATACAGTCGGGAGCCCTTGATATCTAGATGGTATTTAAAGCTGTTGTCTGGACAAGGTTGCCTGGAACAGGCCTTCTCAAACGTTGACGTGCACACGATTCCCTTGGGGATCTTGTGAAAACGCAGGTTCGGATCCAGCAGGTCTGGGACAGGACCTAAGAGTTTGATTTCTTTTTGTTTTTTTTTTTTTTTGAAACGGAGTTTTCCTCTGTTGCCCAGGCTGGAATACAGTGGTGTGACCTCAGCTTGCTGAGATCAACCTCCGCCTCCCGGGTTCAAGCAATTCTCCTGCCTCAGCCTCATGAGTAGCTGGGATTACAGGCGCGCGACCCCACACCTAATTTTTGTATTTTCAGTAGAGACAGGGTTTCACCATGTTGCCCAGGCTGGTCTCGAACTCCTGACCTCAGGTGATCCACCTGCCTCGGCCTCCCAAAGTGCTGGATTACAGGCGTGAGCCACTGTGCCCAGCCCTTGCATTTCTTTTTATTAAAATGTTTTCATTTTTCATTTTTATTATTTATTTGAGACAGAGTCTCGCTGTGTCACCCAGGATGGAGTACAGTGGTGCAATCTCAGCTCACTGCAACCTCCACCTCCTGGGTTCAAGAGATTCTCCTGTCTCAGCTTCCCAAGTAGCTGGGATTATAGGCACCCACCACCACACCTGGCTAATTTTTGTACTTTTAGTTGAGACGGGGTTTTGCCATGTTGGCCAGTCTGGTCTCAAACTCCTGACCTCATGTGATCCACCCACCTTGGCCTCCCAAAGTGCTGGGATTACAGGCGTGAGCCACCACACCCGGTCCTTCATTTTTTATTTTTTAGAGACAAGGTCTTGCTCTGTCACCCAGGCTGGAACACAGTGACGTGATCACAGCTTACTGCAGCCTTGAACTCCTGGGCTCAAGCAATCCTCCTGCCTCAGCCTCCTGAGTAGCCGGGACTGCAGGCTTTTACCACTAAGCCTGGCTCAAATCTGCATTTATAAGAAGCTTCCAGAAGAAACAAGACCACACTTTGAGTAGCAACAGTCTAGGGCATGACATTTTATGGCCGAGACTCGTTGGTGGGTAACAAAACCAACAGATGAGCTTGTGACGAGTAGTGAAAGAAAATGCAACAGGTTGGGGGTTACTGGAGGGCATCACAGCCGCAAATCTATCTACAGGACCACAAAATGCGTTTCCATTATTTGAGTCTGAGTCCCAGGGTCTGTGTTGGGACGTGACACCAGGGTCGCAAAGGTTTGCGAAAACCTGGCTTGGGAGTGAGGGTAAACAAAGAAGGAAGGGGCCAGCAACCAAGCCTGGGGGAACAAGGAGGAACCAGGGAGGAGACAGATAAGGTGACCAGGGAGGTGGGAGGAAAGCCAGGACAGAATGTTCTGGAAGCCAAGGGAAAAAGGCCTGGATTTCAATTATCCTCTGCCTCTTCCCAGCCCTGTGGCCTTGCAAACCTGAGCCTCAGTTTCTTCCATCGTAAAATGCTGACATGACAGCCTCAGCCACTGAAGTGGCTGCAAAGTGGCACTTGGCACAGGGCCAGGCAACCTCATGGATGGTGGTGCAATTCCAATTCTTGTCTTGCCCTTTGAACTCCTCCAGACCAGCAGGCTGCCCTCCCCTTGTGCAGATGAAGAAACTGAGGCTCAGAAAGTGGAAAGATCTGGCTGGGTGCGGTGGCTCACGCCTGTAATCCCAGCACTTTGGGAGGGTAAGGCGGGTGGATCACTTGAGGTCAGGAGTTCAAGACCAGCCTGGGCAACATGGTGAAATCCCGTCTCTACTAAAAGTACAAAAATTAGCCGGGTGTGATGGTGCATGTTCCCAGCTACTCGGGAGGCTGAGGCAGGAGAATTGCTTGAACCCAGGAAGCGGAAGTTGCAGTGAGCCAAGATCATGCCACTGCACTCCAGCCTGGGTGACAGAGTGAGACTCTGTCTCAAACAAACAAAGATCCTGCCTGATGCCACCTGGCCAGTGTAGGGCAGAGCCTGGGCACCCTGCTCCGCCCTGTGGGTCTGGCCCTGCTGTTATCAATGGCCCCTGGCTCCAGGCCAGTGCTGGAGACAGTCAGCCGCCTGGTGGGTCCCTGGGGGCCGCCTGAAATTCCTTCAGTGGCCAGTGGCCAGGGTGGACGTGCTCTGTCTTTTCCTGCAGCCCTGGCCTTCCTGGCCAGCCAGGAGGAAGAAAGAGCAGAAAGTGTGCATCTGCCCTCTGTGGGGTCCAGGCACAGGGGCCTGGCCATCAGCCACGCGTCTCTCGGGCGTGTGGACAGACGGCACCTGAACACATCCGTATCAGTCAAAGCCCCGGCAGGAAACAGATGGCACGTTCCAGTAGGATCATTAGAGGAGAGTTTGGTGAAGGGTCTGTTTACACAGGTGTGGTCGGGGTGTAGGGAAGCCCCAAGGGACGGTGCAGAACCCCAGGGCTGGCAGCGGCGTGGGCTGTGACCACCCTCAGCCTGAAGAGGCCAGGGGAGGAGCTGAGTCCACAGCTGGACAGAGCTGGGTGGAGGGGGTCCCCAACAGGACCGTGGCCTTCAGTGGAGGGAGGCCACCAGTATGCAGTGACCCTGCAGGGAAGGGGCTGGAAGACGGACCCTCCTCCTCCTGCCTCCTCTGACCTCTGCAGGGGTGGGGAAGTGGATGTGTCCCACAAGAGGGAGAGTGCAGCTGGGGGATGTAGAAGACAGCTACCCCAAGGCCTGTGCCCAGCAGGGAGGCCATGTGGCCACCAGGCTTCCTCGGGCAGGAGACCCAGTCCAGGACTGGCCTTTTCTCCTGGGAACCAATGACAAGGCCCACTTCTCTGGGCCTCCATGACCCCCACCCCTGCCTTGACTTCTAGGGTCCCTCATGCTTTCAGCAAATCCATCTCAAGAGCTGAAAGGCCCTGGGCTCTGTGCTGGGGACACAGCAGTGCAAAGGGTGTCAAAGTCTCTGCCTTCATGGGGCTTCTAATCAAGTAGAGAGATACATGCAGATGGCTGCACACAGGCTTAGGTGTGACAGGGAAGGTCAGGATGCTGTGGGAGCCAGAGGTGACTTCCGCTTCACCCCCCACCCGCGGTGGTCCCAATCTCTTCCTTCCTCCATGAGGTGTCTGGGGTCGGGGCCCCAGTTCTTCCTGGAGTCCATCTGGAGTCTCTCCTACTTTCTAGAGAATCCATTGGGTCTTGTTTACAACGTGGATGGGGACAGACTGTGCAGCGTGGAGGGAAGGGGAGGGAGGGAGTTTTGGGAAGAGCCTCCTGTGGGGTCCCTGTCACTGCCCCAGATGCCCCCAACACCCTGTGATACCTGCAGCCCCTGCCACATCTGTCCCTCACTCCAAACTCAGCTCAGGGGATGGTGGCAGGGAAGGAGGTGAGCTTGGACCCAGGCAGCCCTGGGGTCACCACCCTCCAGCTGGGGTTCCTCCTCTGTAAAGTGGAGGTATAACGGTACCCACCTCCTGGGGTGGCTGTGAGGATTCAGAGCTGATAAGGTGAACGCCTAGGGCGGGCCCTGGTGCAGAGAGAGCGCTCAGCTCCTAGGGCTGGATTAACTGTCCCTGGGGCACAGATCTCGGTCTGGGGCCTGTGGAAACCTCAGAGCCACCCCTGAACCCCCACCGAGCCACCCTTTGCCTCGCAGTGCCCATGGCCTTGTCTCCGAGGTTACAGGAAAAGGCAGAGGAGATGCCCTTCTCAGGGTGGCCCTCTGGGAGAGGACACTCTCCCTTGACCTCAAAGCCACGCTTGGCTGCAAACTGGCCAGGCAGCCACAAGGCTGGGCAAGCAAAACTATCCCTAATCCCCACCCAAAGAGCCACACCGACCCTCCCAGCCGCTGTGACAGCTCCTGCAGAGACAAACACACGGCCTACTCTTGTCACCCGGGCCGGCCAATAAGCACGGAGAGGCAAGGCCTCAGACCCTGGACAGACATCCTCCCTCCAGAGGCACCCAGGGCCTCAGCCTTCTCCTCCCTCCCTGGGCCTCAATTTCTCCACCTGTGACCCAGGGCAGGTGGATCCAGGGAGAAGAACCTTCTGGCTCCATCTCACCGTGGGTCCTGCCAGCACACACAAAGATTTGGCCTCTCAAAGCCTAGCTCTGCCAGCGTCCTTCTGCTCAAGAACTCTCCATGACTCCCAGTGGCCCTAAGGACAAAGTCCTGGCATTTGAGGCCCTCCCAATGCAGGGCCAGACTCTGCCTCTCCAGCTTCCTGTCCCCACCACACCCCTGCTGGTCTCACGGTGGTCCGACTGTTTCCTGCTTCTGTGCCTTTGCTTAGTCTGGCACCCCTGCCTGGCATGCTTTCCTCACCCCTTCTTCTCCCCAATCCCAACTCACCCAGTCTTTCAAAGGGCAGGCCTAAATACCAGGCCCTCCAGGTGGCCCAGGATTCCTTCTCTGAGCTTTCATGGGCCTGGCCCTGGGTGCTACCTGTGAGTAGTCCCACGGTGGGTACATAGTAGGTGCGCTTACTGTTTGCAGAATGAACATGGGACAGTTTGGGGACTGTCACCCAGCTCAGGGAGCACTGATGGGGAAGCATCTCCTGTATGTCCCAGGGCTCAGTGCTGTAGTGTCCTGACCCTCAGAAATCTCATAATGGCTTGGTCAGGAAGGCATCGTGCCCCACTTTGCAAACAGGGGGTGCTGAGAATTGAGGGGCCTTGTCCAAGGTCTCATGGCTAGGAGCAAGCAGAATCGGATTTGAACCCAGGGCCACGTGACTTCAGAAGTGCCATTAAAGTCCCCATAATTTGGAGCTGTCTTCTTTTTTTTTTTCTTTTCTTTTTTTTGAGACCGAGCCTCACTCTGTCACCTAGGCCAGGAGTGCAGTGGTCTGATCTCAGCTCACTGCAACCTCCGCCTCCTAGGTTCAAGTGATTCTCTAGCCTCAGCCTCCCAAGTAGCTGGGACTACAGGCGCACGTCATCATGCCCAGCTAACTTTTGTATTTTTAGTAGAGATGGGTTTTCACCATGTTGGTCAGGCTGGTCTCGAACTCCTGACCTCAAGTGATCCGTCTGCCTCGGCCTCTCAAAGTGCTGGGATTATAGGCTTGAGCCACTACACTCGGCCTGGAGCTGTGTTTTGTCGGTGAAGGATTTTCCACCCATGAAGGGGTCAGACGTGAAGTGTGTGGCCCTGGGCAGCTCCTCTGAGCCCAGAGACGCCAGCCCTAGCCGCCTTGCTGTGCCACTTTGGGACTTCCCTCCCTAGCCTGAGCTTCAGTTTTCCTGCCTGTTAGGCAGCCCCATGTCAACTGCACTTAGTAGGCCGGGTTTGATGCCCGACAAGACGTGAAGTGGTGGAGGTGGGCAGGATCCCAGCGCTACCATCTTCTTGAACCAGTGATCTCAACACATCGGATTTCTGTTTCCTCATCTGCAAAATGGGATCAGTGAGCTCAGGTGGGTCACAAATTCTACAGGAACTACTTTAGCCAAGACCGGCCCCCTGAAAGTTCCCCTCGGTGGGCTGTTAGGGTGATTGTTTTCATCTGTGGGGCTCCCTGATGCGTCCCACCCACCAGCCTTGGAGAGGGTGGGATGGGAGGGTGGGGTGCTTGGGGAGACAAGCCTAGAGCCTGGGCCCTCCCACCCCACTGCCTCCCCCCATCCCAGGGCCCCCCACCCAGTGACAAAGCCCGTGGCACTTCCTCTACCCGGTTGGCAGGCGGCCTGGCCCAGCCCCTTCTCTAAGGAAGCGCATTTCCTGCCTCCCTGGGCCGGCCGGGCTGGATGAGCCAGGAGCTCCCTGCTGCCGGTCATACCACAGCCTTCATCTGCGCCCTGGGGCCAGGACTGCTGCTGTCACTGCCATCCATTGGAGCCCAGCACCCCCTCCCCGCCCATCCTTCGGACAGCAACTCCAGCCCAGCCCCGCGTCCCTGTGTCCACTTCTCCTGACCCCTCGGCCGCCACCCCAGAAGGCTGGAGCAGGGACGCCGTCGCTCCGGCCGCCTGCTCCCCTCGGGTCCCCGTGCGAGCCCACGCCGGCCCCGGTGCCCGCCCGCAGCCCTGCCACTGGACACAGGATAAGGCCCAGCGCACAGGCCCCCACGTGGACAGCATGGACCGCGGCACGCTCCCTCTGGCTGTTGCCCTGCTGCTGGCCAGCTGCAGCCTCAGCCCCACAAGTAGGTGTCCAGGGACCCAGGGTGGGGAGACTCGGCCTCCGGTGCACGGACCAGGCCCCAAGTATTCCCGGCCTCCTTCCTGTATCCTGAGCTCACGCCCAGCAGAGCCATCCTTGGGGCTCTGGAGGGTCACCAACCCTCCCAGTTTGCTGGAACTAAATGGTTATGCAGGACTTTCAGTGTTGAAAGAAAGCCTCGGGCAAACTGGGCTGACTCTTTCACTTTAACCCTGGTCTCTGGCGTCTGCTCACCCAGCTGCGTTCCATTACTCCCCGGGAAGCCTAGGTCCCAGAATGCTGTGCAGCGACGGGAGAGTTTCCTGGCCTCTCTGGGCCTTGAGTTTCCCCATGAGGAATGGATGGGAAGGAGGGCCCACAGCCTGGGCTCTGAGCACCGTCTCTGGGTTCAAATCTCACATAGGCACTTCCTTGTGGTGTGATCCTGGGGGACTGCCTTCGGGCCTCTGAGCGAAGTGGGGAAGAGAACAGACTTCCCTCTCAGAGCTGCTGAGGAGGTGGGTGGTGAGGGATCATTGCAGAGAGGGCTCTGGCAGACTGGCCACTTCTGTGTTGTTTTATTTTTAGCTTTAAGTTCCTCCAGCTCACCTTCCCCAGGGCCTTTGGGCAGCTCCTCAAACCCTTTGAACAGGCCAAGGCTGCAGGGCCCTGCCCTGCCTCCCTCCTACCTCCCTGATCCCCAGAAAGGGTGCAGGAGTGGGTGCAGGCCAGGTTAGGGGTTCTGTGGGGCTCCTTGGCCTGGGGGCTCTTCCAAGGGGTCATGGCCTCTGCTGCTTTCTGAAACTGACCAGAGGAGGGGCGGTGAGGAGCAAGGGACCCCCAGCCCCATGTCCCACTCCCTATCCCTCGGCCACCTCAAGCCGCTGGCCGGTCCTGTGGACATCCTTTGACCCACCTGTGCATCCAGGGGCTTCCTGACAGATTTGGGGGAAGAGGGGCAGAAATGAGCTGAGAGTGTGGGGAGGAAGGGGAAGGAAAACAGCGGTGGGGCAGCCAACTTCTCCCCACCTCCCCACCTGATGGCATTTTAGAGTCCCTGATTCTGGGTCTCTAAAGCTCTGCCCACCACCTGATTGACAGGAAACTGAGTCTCAGACATATTAAGTGACTTAGCAGGGATTTGACTCCCGGCCTGCGGCTCCCTAAATGTTTGCTCCTAGTAAGGTGTGATAGGGCGAACCCTCTTAATGCGGCTCACAACGACCCTGCAAGATGGCTGCCATCATCATCCCCATTTTACAGAAGAGAAAAGGGAGGCTCTAACCTGCCAAGTTCACATGGCTAAGACGGAGCCCCTACCTGAGCTCCAAGATCTCCCTCTCTCGTATTTGTCGCTGCAGTAACACTCTCTTCCTCTTGGTCGTTAGAGAAAGGTCCATGCAGACATTTAGGGCCTGGTTTTAAAGGATCAAAGGCAGTGATATGCTGCTGAATAATTAACAACGGGGTGGGGAGCTCAATTTGTAGCGTTTGTGGATTTTCACAGCGTAAGTACTCCCACCCGGCTGACTTCAAGCCACCAACTCACCAAGTTTGGAGCTGGGAATCAGTGCCCGGTAGCACCTGGCGGTTGGTTCTCCAGAGTCTCTGCAGGCGCAGATCACACCGAGAGCAGAGATGACAGTCAGGGGTGTAAAACGATTAGAAAGAAATGAGTTTGGACATTCATGACCTTTTAAAAATATATAGTAATAGCTATGTAACAGCCAGTTGGAAAAACTCCTGGAAACGTATCCGTCTGTTCCTGTGAGCAGGTAGGAGCTGGTCCCAGTGCACCAGGAGTCACAGGCTCAAAGGTACAACAGACCATCAACCCAACTCATTTATGGTCTGGGAAGCTGAGGCCCATGGAAGGCAGAGGGGAGCCTGGGGCCAGGGCCTGGAAGCCAGCTGGGGGTAGGGGTCGGAGTGACCCTGACCTCCTAGAAATGGGTCTAGAATTTGGGGGCACCACTTGTAAGAATCTCCTAAAACTGTACCTTGCATGTGACTTGATACCCTCACAAATCAGCCTTCAGTAGTCAGCCTTCTAAAGTTATTCGTCCAACTCTGTAAAGATGCGTGGTCCGTGGGTACCTGTAACAAAAACCCGATAACTGGAAATCATCTAAGTGTCCATGAGCAAAGACTGTTAATAAATTACCACACGACGGAATGTCATGCAGCAGGCACCAAGAAGGCAGAGTCATATGAACACTGCCATGGACGGATGTCAGGGACACACTGTTAGGTGCCCAAACAACAATAATTCCATTTTGGCAACAATAAAATAGTAATAATGTACAATATGCACAGAGAAAATTCTGGAATAGAGTTTTCTATTTAACCCACTATTACTGTTCTCTGGTCTGGGGTTTTCTCTGTGGGACTTTCACTTTCTTTTTTAAATTTTTTTGAGACAGTCTTGCTCTTGTCACCCAGGCTGCAGTGCAATGGCACAATCTAGGCTCGCTGCAACCTCCGTCTCCCGGGTTCAAGCAGTTCTCCTGCCTCATCCTCTCGAGTAGCTGGGACTACAGGCGCCGGCCCCACACCCGCCTAATTTTTGTATTTTTAGTAGAGACGGGGTTTCACCATGTTGGCCAGGCTGGCCTCGAACTCTTGACCTCGTGATACGCCTGCCTCAGCCTCCCAAAGTGCTGGGATTACAGGTGTGAGCCACCATGCCTGGCTGGGACTTTGACTTTCTCAGACACACTTTCCTGTCATGTTGGGTTTTTTTGTTTTCTTTTGTTTTAGGGACAAGCAGGCCGGGTGCAGTGGCTCACGCCTCTAATCCCAGCACTTTGGGAGGGAGGCTGAGGCGGGTGGATCACCTGAGGTCAGGAGTTCATGACCAGCCTGACCAACATGGCAAAACCTTGTCTCTACTAAAAATACAAAAATTAGCCAGGCGTAGTGGTGGGCGCCTGTAATCCCAGCTACTTGGGAGGCTGAGGCAGGAGAATCGCTTGACCCTGGGAGGTGGAGGTTGTGATGAGCCGAGATCAAGCCACCGCACTCCAGCCTAGGTGACAGAGCAACACTTTGTATCAAAAAAGAAAAAAAAAGAACAAGCATGTAGAGATTTTTTTAAAGCAATTAAAATTAACCATATAGCTGCCTCAGCTTGCCCCTCAAAAAAAATAGAGAAAAGGGAAAAAATCACCTCGGAACTCCTTTATTGATACAGGTACCGTTAGTATGGTGGTAGATGGCTTACTAGTTTTTTTTTCTAACTTTTTAAGCTACTTTTAATCCAGATGGGTCCACATTTTGGGAGTCTTTTGTCTATTTCTTTCGAACCAGGTCTCCATGTTGTCCTGTGGACTCCATGACCATCCTCTTGCACTTCTGGAATATTCTGTCCCATCAACTTGTCACCGTTTGCTTATTGTTAAATATTTAGGTGGTTTCCCCTTTGTTCTAGTTATAAATACTACCACAATGCACAGTTTTGGTACGTGCACCTTTTCCTGTATTTTGGATTATTTCATGTGGATTGCGTCCCGGCAGCAAGGCTGCAGCGGCTCGTGGCCTGTGCTGGGTGGCTGGGATTGAAGAGTGTTCCTGAGTGTGGAGGATCCTTTGCTGGAGGACTTAAAGTCCCCATGCTGCTGGCTGTCTGTGTTGGAGTCTGGGACTTGCTGGAGAAGGGTCAGTGGCGCAAGAGCGAGACCACAAACACCTGTCTCTTAGAGGCTGCGTTCCCATTTGCTAGGAGGAAAAAGAGCCTGGAGCAGGAGCCGTGTGAACCAGGAGAGGGTGGGCTCCCCGAGACACGGGGGACGTGACCATTAGCATTCTCCCTCACCCCAGCCAGACAGACGTGACCCAGAGGGACAGAGGGACTTGCTTGTGGTCACGGATGTGTTGGTGCTGGGCCCTCGGGCGACAGACCCATTCTTTTGCCCCAGGGCTGGAGGTGGATCTGGGCAAGAGTGAGGCGGCCACCTCTCCTCTGTCCCCAGCATGTCAGGCATAATGCCAGCTCCTCCTTGCCTCTATCCCCAGTTTATAGATGAGAAAATTGAGGCTTGGGACAAATGACAGGTCCAGATTTCAACTCCAGGCCGTCTGCTTCCAAATTCAGCTTCTTTTCCCCACAACTTTTGTGACCTGAATGCTGGAGACCTAAAGAACTGTTTACCCTTGGCTCTGGGACCCTGCTTCCTAGTTCCAGCCCAGGCTTTGGGGCACCAGCCTTGGAGGCTGAAGGGACCCTCAGCCAGGGTTCAGCTGGCTTCAACCCCTGTGGCAGGAGTGGGGGTGGGATAAAGAGATAATATAACAACTGACATTTATTCAGCACTTACAGTATGCTAGACGCTGCTCTAAGCGTGGTATGTGTACTGTCAGACTTAACGCTTGCAAAAGCCCTACAAAGGAGATACTCTTTCTGCCCCCATTTGACAGATGGGGAGACTGAGGTACTCGTATAACTCAGTCAGGTGAAGAAATTTACCCAAGTAACACTGCCCTGAAATGAGCCACTGGGGCTCAAGCCCTGGGCCTAAGCACTGCAGTGTGCTGCCACAGTGGAGAGGATGGGGATCTTCCTCTTGCCTGATCTTCTCCCCGCAGGCACTCAGCCTTTTCTCTGGTCCCCATAACGGCCCTCCCATCCGGGGTACAACCCCTGGGACCCTGCCTTTACCTTCAGCAGCCCCATCTATGCCCTGCTCTGTCTTCCTCCTGCCTTCATCCTTAGGTGAAATCTCAGACTGTCAGACCCCTAGTAGAACTTAGAATATGTCCTATCCACCCCCGCTCTTCCCCACCCACTAGCCATAGGGAAACAGAGTCCCAGAATGGTGGGGGGACTTGATGTGGGTCACCCAGCAGGTCAGAGGCAGCCCTGACCAGCCAGTTCCACAAATGGATGTTTGTGGTGTTAGAAACAAAATGCTTGTTCCTCAGTGCCGCAAAGAAATAGCACTTGAACATAAATTTAATCTTCTCAGCAAGGCAATTTTTACTTCTACAGAAGGGTGCGATTCAAGAATGGAGTAATGGCGAGAGCACATCTGAACAAGGGAGGGGAAGGGGTTCTTACTCCTGACGCAGGTAGCCCCTACTGCTACGTCGTTCCCCTACGGGCTAGTGTTGGACCGCACAGTCTAAGCTAATTCCAGTTAGCTATTTTAGAGAGAGCAGGGGTATGAGCCAGAGTGGCGGGGTGAGTAGTTTGGCGGGAAGGATGGTTAGGAACAGGTAACTAAAGGTGACTTAGGTCAAAGCAGGTGACCAGGGGTTTGTGAGGTCAAAGCACATGACCAGGATGAGTCAGGATGGAGCAGGTGACCAGGGGAACAGATGTGAACTACTGATTAAAACTGGTGGAAAAGGTTGTTTACTGAAACCATGAGGAAGTTAAACTTTAAAATGGAGGACAAAGAACTGAACATACTGACATACTGATTCTTTGAAGAGAAATCTAGAACTCACTGTATCCAGTGGAAGTGGATGTTTGCTCTGAGCCCTGGACTAACTGATTGGGACATGGAATGCTGTGGACTCTCCTTGTCCTGGAAAAACTCACTGTCTGCTGGGAGTGCAGACACACTGACAAATCAAAACAGCACACCTGGGCATGTATGGTCTGGTTCTCCAAGGACACCCAAGGACGGATGCACCTAAGAAAGGAGGGACTGGCTTCAGTGAGATTTTCAGGACAGGGTTTTGAAGGATGAATAGAAGTTTGCTAGGGGCTGGGCATGGTGGCTCATGCCTGTAATCCCAACGTTTTGGGAGGCTAAGGTGGGAGGATCACTTGCGGCCAGGCATTCAAGACCAGCCTGGGCAACATAGCAAGACTCTTTCTCCACAAATATTTTTAAAATTTAGTTGGGCATAATGACTCATACCTGTAGCTGCTCGGGAGGCTGAGGCAGAGGATTGCTTGAGGCCAGGAGGTGGAGGTTGCAGTGAGCTATGATTGCACCACTGCACTCCAGCCTGGGAAACAGAGCAAGACCCCGACTCTCCAAAATTAAAAAAAAAAGGCCAGGTGGTCAAACAAAGGATGAGTGTTGGTCTGGGAAAGGGCATGGCAGAGGCAGGAGCGAGGTGTGTTTAGGGGAAGAGCCCACATATCCCCACTGACTGGGCATAAATAATTGTGATAGTAGTCACCAGTTCCTGAGCAACCCCCACTTAGCAGGAGCCGGCCTAGCGCTGTGCAGGTGTAATTTACTGGCCTGCTTGCCGACTCCATGGGAAGCTGTTATGATGACCCTCATCCCCATGTTACAGATGAGAACACTGAGGATGGAAAGGCAGCTGGCAGGTGGAAGAATCAGGACCTGAACCTTTGGCATCTGTCAAATCGCTGTGCTTTTCACCTCTACTGTAGGCTGCAGTGCAGGAACTTGACCCTGCAGGCATCGTAGAACCAGGGGGGAGCCCGGGGCCAAGGCATGCTGAGACCTCCTGGTGGCTGGGGGCAGTGGCTGGGCTGGATGCTGGGAAACCTGTGAGGCTGTAATTGGGCCTGAAAAGGGTAAAGAGTGGCCCGGGGGTACTGAACAAGACGGGGCAGGCATTGCAGCAAGAAGGACCCTTGTTGAAACGTATCTTCCTTGGGAGGCTGAGATGGGTGGATTGCTTGAGCCCAGGAGTTTGAGACCAGCCTGCGCAATACGGCGAAACCCCGTCTCTACAAAAAATACAAAAATTAGCTGAGTGTGGTGGTCCACTTGTAGTTACTCAGGAGGCTGAGGCATGAGAATCGCTTGAACCTGGGACGGGGAGGTTATAGTGAGCCGAGATCGAGACACTGTACTCTGGCCTGGGTGACAGAGTGAGACTCTATCTCAGAAAAGAAAAGGGGGGGTGGCAGCGGGAAGAAAAGTATCTGTCCTAGTATGATGAAATAATATTCACAGCTTCTGTGTCTGGGGCACCTACTTAGTACCAGGCACTCAACAGGGGTTACCCCATCAAACTGACACACTCAGCCTGTGAATGCCTGCTGCTTGCTGGAGCCAGACTGTCTGGGTTTAAATCCAGGCCGTGACACTTAGTAGCTGGGTCACCTCGGGCAGCTGGTCTTCAGTTTCTTTAACCGCCCTGGTCTTCAGTTTCCTGGAGTGTGCATGGGTGTAATAGCGCCGCCCACCTCACAAGGCTGCTGTGAGGATCAAATGAGTTCACTCGTGTAAAGCTGCCTAGGCTCCCAGTAAGCATGATGGGAGCATCTGCAGTGATTATTGGTGGTCTGCAAATGGGGAAACTGAGGCTCAGAGAGGTTAGGCTTCTGCTCAAGGTGACCAGCATTTTAAGAGGCAGAGCTGGGATTTGATCCAGGCCATCTGGCTCCAGAGCTGTTTTTCTTGATCATCCTCCAAGGTGCTGAAGGTAGCCCTCTGGAAATCTGGGAGGTGCTGTGTGCACATGGGTGGCGAGGGTGGAGAGGGGACAGTGGTGGGAGGTGGCTTCTGGGTCTCTCACTTGGGGTTCCAGTCACCCAGGCCCCCAGCGGCTCCTCCTCTGACCCAGTCCCGGGAGGCCCTGGCGTTTCCCTTGGTGCCAGGGGATTGTTTTCAACTTGGTCTGGGCCCGCCTCAGGCTCCGGGAGACAGGCCCAGGCGTCACACTCCCTCCTGTCTCCCCATTCTCGTCTGCGGGGTGGGGGCGGCCAGGATTCGAAAAGGCCCCAAAATAAATGGACCTCTTATCTGATCTCCCCGCCAGGCCTGTTATCTGATCATTACATAATGGCCAGGCTTGTGGCCTCTCCCGCTGGCTGACGGCATGGAGGAGGCGGCCCCAGGCGGCCCCAGCAATCCGGGAGGAACTGGGGTTCCTGGAAGTCTGGGGAGGGGGCAGGGAAAGTCCCAAAGGGAAGGAGGGAGGCGCTGCGATAATCTGCAGGCCAGACACTGGGTCATGTTGGGAGACGCGGGTCCGAGGCCCGGCCTGGTCAACCATGTGCTGTGAGACTTTGACCTGTCCCGTCCCTCCAGACCTCAGTCTCCCCATCTGAGTAGGAGGGGCTTAAGCTAGGTAACAGCCAAGGAACCTGCGCTCACCGATGAGGAAAGGAGAGGGTGGGGAGAACATGGGGGCTGGTGGGTCAGAGGGACTGGAGACAGGAGATGGCACCAGCCCTTGATTTTGTTGGGGTGAGGGAGATCCCAGTGACCTCTCCATCCCAGAGGACCGTCACCTGGAGGCCACCCCATCCCGCCACTTCACCCCACCCCTTAGAACAGTCAATTCTACAGTGACTGAAGTCAGTCAAATAATTGTAATTAAGAGAAAGCTGCCGGCCAGGCATGCTGGCTCACTCATGGTGGCTCACACCTGTAATCCTAGCACTTTGGGAGGCTGAGGCGGGAGGACTGCTTGAGCTCAGGAGTTTGAGACCAGCCTGAGCAACATAGTGAGACCCAGTCTCTACTGAAAATTTAAAAAATTAGCCAGGCGTGGTGGCGCACAACTGTAGTCCCAACTACTTGGGAGGCTGAGGCAGGAGGATCGCTTGAACCCAGCAGCTCAAGGCTGCAGTGAGCTGTTATCACACCACTGCACTCCAGCCCAGGAGACAGAGGGCAACCTTGTCTGAAAAATAAACAAATAGAAATTTAAGAAAGAATTGCCATGTGCCCAGTCTCATGGAGTCCTCCCAGCCACCTCTGTGGATCATGTGGGCTCTGTTGTCATTTTATAGACCAGGTATTGAAGCCCCAAGAGGTGAAATCATTCACCAGAGCCACATAGCTGGTAAGCATTGGGCCTGAGAGGCAAACCAGGTCAGCCTGGCTCCAGGGAGCTTGCTTTTAACCAAAATGCCACTATGTCCAGGCACTCCAGAGTCCCTGGGACATGTAGGATAGGGTCAGAGAGACGACATATAAGGCCTGGGCCCCCGTGGCAGCCAGAAGTCCTCATCCAGATCTTCTCCTTCCCAAGACAGAGCTGGGAATGGCGTTGCCATGGCAAGGGGTGACCATCTCACTTCCTTTGCTGACTTCTGGGGCCCAGAGCCCAACGTGCTGTGGGAAGGTGAGGAAGGAGGCCGGTGAGGCTCCAGACAGCCCAGGGTTCAGAAGAAGCCTCCCTGCCCCCTCCTCTGAGCCGGCCTTGGCTGGACATGAAGCCAGTCTCTCCGCGCCCATCTTTGATCTCCAAGAAAACAGGAAGTGAGCGCGACAAGATGGAGACACAAACTTCCAAACAGTCTCCCCTTCTGTCCTCCTTCCCTCCTCCGGAGCCCCCTTCCCCCGGCACATTCCTCAGGACGAGGTGTAGGAGCCTCATTTCCTTTTCCGACCCTGCTGGGTCAGGGTGAAATTCCATTCCTTTCCCTCAGGACCTGTGTTTCCGGGCTCTGCGGTCTGCTCTGGCAGCCTCCAAACCTGGGCCGCCTTCTCGGCTCGCCCTGTCCCTTGGGGCTAGGGAACTCTCAACCCCTTCAGACCATTCCTCCCACCACCTTGAGGCAAGAGAGGGGAAGCTTTGTCTCCTGAGCTCAGCTCCTGCCTTACCTGGAGGGAGACTTGGGTTCACACCTAGGCCCTGCCATGAAGTTAGGGTTGCCAGATACATCAAATGAAAATCAGCCGGGTGTGGTGGCTCATGCCTGTAATCCCAACACTTTGGGAGGCCGAGGTGGGAGGATCTCTTGAGTCCAGGAGTTCAATACCAGCTTGAGCAACATGGTGAAACCTCATCTCTATAAAAATGCAAAAATTAGCTGGATGTGGTGGTGCATGCCTATAGTTCCAGCTACTCAGGAGGCCGAGGTGGGAGGATCACTTGAGCCTGGGAGGTTGAGGCTGAGGCTGCAGTGAGCTATGATTTTGCCACTGCACTCCAGCCTGAGCAACAGAGCAGAGTCTGTCTCAAAAAAATAAAAAATAGGCCAGGCGCAGTGGCTCATGCCTGTAATCCTAGCACTTTGGGAGGCCAAGGCAGGCGGATCACCTGAGGTTGGGAGTTCAAGACGAGCCTGACCAACATGGAGAAGCCCCATCTTTACTAAAAATACAAAAAATTAGCCAGGCATGGTGGTGCATGCCTGTAATCCTAGCTGCTCGGGAGGCTGAGGCAGGAGAATCACTTGAACCCAGGAGGCAGAGGTTGCAGTAAGTCGAGATCACACTGTTGCACTCCAGCCTGGGCAACAAGAGCAAAACTCCGTCTCAAAAAAATAAAATAAAATAAATAATAAAAAATAATTTTTAAAAATAAATAAAAAATAAAAATATAGGAGGCTGGCCGGGCACGGTGGCTCACGCCTGTAATCCCAGCACTTTGGGAGGCCGAAGTGGGCAGATCACCTGAGGCCAGGAGTTCGAGACCAACCTGAGCAACATGGAGAAACCCCATCGCTACTAAAAATACAAAATTAGCTGGGTGTGGTGGTGCATGCCTATAATCCCAGCTACTTGGGAGGCTGAGGCAGGAGAATCATTTGAACCCAGGAGGCGGAGGTTGCGGTGAGCCAAGATCACACCATTGCACTCCAGCCTGGGCAAGAAGAGCAAAACTCCATCTCAAAAAAAAAAAAAAAAAAAAAAAAAAAAAAAAATATATATATATATATATATGTATGTGGATGTGTGGGTGTATATATGTATATCTATATATGTATATATGTATGTATATATGTAGATCTATGTATATGTGTGTGTATGTATATATACACACACACATATATACATGGGGCCCAGTGAAATCCGAATTTCAGATAAACAATGAAAATTTAGTATAAGTACGTTCCATGCAATATTTGCAATATACTAATACTTAAAAAAATGCACTCATTGTTTATCTGAAATTTAAATTTAGCTGGGTGTCCTTCTATTCATCGACCCTATACGTAGTAGCGCTGTGACCTTGGGCAGGAGACGTTTCCTCTCCTAGCCTTGGTTTTTTTTAATCCATGGAACGAATATAATGATATCCACCTCATAAGGTGGCTGTGATGATGCAGGAAAGCCGTTAGCTCATGTCAAGTCCCTAGGAGACGTTTGGAAAGTAGGAGTCATTGTCATCACCTTATTCTCACCTGGCCTCTTTCCGGATGTTTCTCCAACAGGTCTTGCAGAAACAGTCCATTGTGACCTTCAGCCTGTGGGCCCCGAGAGGGGCGAGGTGACATATACCACTAGCCAGGTCTCGAAGGGCTGCGTGGCTCAGGCCCCCAATGCCATCCTTGAAGTCCATGTCCTCTTCCTGGAGTTCCCAACGGTGAGTGTCCCATGGCAGGGTCGGGTGGGGGCTCAGAGGAAGCTCCAAGGCAGATGGGGTGAGGGGTGCCTTCCTTGTGGCTGTCCCTGGGGCAGTGGCTGAGTCCTCGTTAGGCCCCCTGCCAAGAGAGTGATGTGGGCATCTCACAGGGCCCATAAGAGGTGGCATTTCTAGGGGCAGGGTCTGGATCAGGGCAGTCTTTTGGGTGCCACCAGAAGACTCAGGTGGGAAGAGCTGAGTAGAGAAGAGCCAGATGGGTGGGGGGGACCAGGTGAGTGTTGCTTATGCACCTCCAATGATGGAGACCTCACAGAATCTCAGAAGAATGCAGCTCCTCTCTAGGGAGCTTGGACTTTGAAAAGTGCTTCTTGGGCCAGCCACAGTGGCTCACGCCTGTAATTCCAGCACTTTAGGAGGCCGAGGCGGGTAGATCACGAGGTCAGGAGATCGAGACCATTCTGGCCAACATGGTGAAACCCCATCTCTACTAAAAATACAAAAATTAGTTGGGCGTGGTGGTGAGCGCCTGTAATCCCAGCTACTTGGGAGGCTGAGGCAGGAGAATTGCTTGAACCAGTGAGTTGGAGGTTGCAGTGAGCTTGAGATTGTGCCACTGCACTCTGGCCTGGTGACAGAGTGAGACTCTGTCTCAAAAAAATAAAAAATAAAAAAATAAAAATAAAATAAAAATACAAAAATTAGCTAGGCATAGTGGCGCATGCCTGTAATCCCAGCTGTACTTGGGAGGCTGAGGCAGGAGAATCGCTTGAACCCAGGAGGTGGAGGTTGCAGTGAGCCAACATTGCACCACTGCACTCCAGCCTGGGTGACAGAGTGAGACCCTGTCTCAAAAAAAAAAAAAAAAAAAGAAAAGAAAAAGAGAAGTGCTTTTCAGTTGAGCCCAGATCTTTCTCCCTGGAATGTCCCCTGCTGAATATCTGTGACCCTCAGAGATCCAAAGGCTGCTGCCGGCCTGGAGACGATTCTCCCCAGGAGACCCCCACTCCCAGCCCACCATCAGTTTGTCTGATACGTCTGTCCTGAATAATAACAACACCTTTGTTAAGCGCTATGTGCTAGAGACTGTGCTAGGGCCGACTCTATGCCAGGAATTAAGCATCTCACATGTATTAAGCCTCCCAAGGCTCATCTGCCAGGGTCTGTTATTATCCCCACTTCTTGGAGAAGGAAACTGAGGCTGGCTGAGAGCGATGGAGTGACGTGCCCAGGGCCAGAGTTCACACCAGATCCCTGGGGATGCCAGAGCCAGCCTGCCACTTGGTTCCCCACGTGGATCTCAGTGTTCAGGTGGCTTCTGGCCTGTTGGACTGGAGATTACACCTGGTTGATGTGGCCTTTGGTCCCGATACTGACTTCGCCGTGTCAGCTCCGGGTAAACTTATGGCCAATCTGCCCCCAAAACTGTTAAGTTGCCTTGCGTTTGTGCAGTGATAAGAAAGTGCTCAGACCACCAATATCGGGGGACCCTGCTCCCCACCGCCCTGCCCTCTACGAGGACTGTGGGCTTTGATAATTTCCAAATCATAGATAGTGCCAAACACACTTTGTGTGGTTTCCATAGGCATTGTCATTTTTTTTTTTCAAATTTGGTAATGATATTCAAAATACGACTGCCTCTGTTAGTTCGCATTGTTTGTTTTAATGTTCAGGTCCCTGTGCCTCCTCTGGGTGACTGGGATCCCCCAACCCTAATTGCTCAATACTGGGCCAGGGTGAGAGGAGGGCCCCTAGGCAGGTGTCTAGGTCTATGGGAGATAGGTGTGTAGATAGCCAGCCAGGATCCAGGGGACTGGTGCATTCTCACGGGGCACAGGGCCAGGGCACTCCAGCTGCTACGGGATTAGGCATGGCTTGTTACGGCCACACCATCCTGAACACATCCGACCTCATCTGATCTTGGAAGCTAAGGAGACTTGGGCCTGGAGGAAGAAACATCATGGATGTCCAGGAGCTCACCAAGGAAGGAGGTGGTGTGGAAGAGCACAGAATAGAGTGAATGCGGAGGCAGAGGGAACAGGCTCTGGGGTCATCAGGTGGCAGGAGCTAGAGGTTCCCCAGCAGGACAGGGGAGATGGCAAAGGCCTGTCGCCATATTAAGAAGTTTGATCTTTATCCCGTGGGCAATAACAGTTCTTGGAGGGATTTTAGGGGCATGGCAGGGGGCCACTGTAACTCATGCCATATTCCAAGGATCCTTGAGTTCATGACAACAAAATCTCCCTGTTAGCCTCTGCCTCTTCTAGAGAACTCGCTCCAGGGAGCTTCCAACTTTTAATTCAAGGAGCCAGGCTGCAGGCTCCAGGGCTTTGAGGGATGTTCATTTGAGGAGGTGGTAGAGACATCTGGGGTCCAGGAAACCCAGGGTTCAGTCCTGGATCTGTCCCTGGCCAGCACCTCGCATAGCATCTGGTGTGCAGAGGGTGGTCCTTCTCCCCACTTGCTGGTAGACACACCTTTCTCGGACTCAGGAGCTCACCTGAGAACACAGAGTAGCAGAACCTGGCCCAGGGGCCTGGCTTACACCAAATCACTCTGTTTGTTTGTTTTTTGTTGTTTTTGTTTGTTTGTTTTTTGCCTCAGACTCCTGTAGCTGGGATTACAGGCGTCTGCCACCATGCCCAGCTAATTTTTGTATTTTTAGTAGAGACAGGGTTTCACCATGTTGGAGAGGCTAGTTTTGAACTCCTGACCTCAAATAATCCGCCCACCTCGGCCTCCCAAAGTGCTGGGATTACAGGCATGAGCCACTGCGTCTGGCCCCAAGTAACTCTTGAACGTGTGAGTGAATGCACGCATGCGTGCACAAATGTGTGCGCCGCTGTATGACCTTGATGCAGGGGTTGAGAACACAGGTTCTGGAGCCAGGCAGCCCTCCAGCTGAACTGTGGCTCCGCCTCTGAGAGCCACATCGCCTTGGGCCACCTCCGAGCTTTGATTTTCCCACGGGAAACCTGGACCCATTAGCAGCACCTACCTCACAGGTGTGTTGTAAGAATCCAGCAGGACGGTGCAAGCAAAACACCAAGCGCAGGACCTGCCTGGAGTGACGGCTCAGCGTATGGTGGCTACGGTTATTGTTATTATTATTTCTCTCTGGGTTCCATTTCTCCTCTGTGAACATCCCCATTTTGCCAGGGTTGTTACCGTTTACAGAATGTCTTCGTATCAGTTGAATAATTTGAACCTCAATGGTTATTGCTACAAGATCAATGGGGCAGGTCAGGCGCAGTGGCTCACACCTGTAATCCCAGCACTTTGCGAGGCTGAGGCAGGCAGATCACTTGAGGTCAGGAGTTCGAGACTAGCCTGGCCAACATGGCGAAACCGCATCTCTACTAAAAATACAAAAATTAGCCAGGCGTGGTGGCAGGTGCCTGTAATCCCAGCTATTAGAGAGGCTGAGGCAAGAGAATCGTTTGAACCCGGGAGGTGGAGATTGCAGTGAGCCGAGTTCGCACCACTGCACTCCAGCCTGAGCGACAGAGCAAGACCCTGTCTCAAAAACAAAACAACAACAAAAAAAAGATTAATGGGGCAGGGCTGTGAATTCATTTTCAGCAGGGCAAGCTGAGGTCCAGCCTCATGGAGCTGGGCCTTCCTCCTCCTGCTGCTTCTTGTCTCCCTGCTCTGAGGGTTGAGCCCATGATGCTGCCAGCCCCTACTGCTGTGACCACTGAGGACCCTGTGGTTTCCCTGGGAGGCACCTTCCTCCCCAGGCATCCCCTAAGAGTGGGGTCTAGAGCTCATAGTCCCCATTGCGCAGCCCTCACCAGGTGCCACTCTGTGCCCAGCCTGTGTTGATGATGCAGACAGAAGGTAGAGCCAGGGAGGCAGAGGTGGCATCAGCAGCCCTGGTATGAGTGGTGGGATCAGCAAATGGGGCTTCAGGGGGCCGCAGGTGATGGGGTGATGAGCACTGAAGGTAGAGGAGGGAGGGGCGTTAGGGAAAAGGCCCCTGGTGTCTAGCCCAAGAGCAGGGTAGAGGGCATTCCAGGCAGAAGCCAGTGCACAGCAAAGGCCTAGCGGCATGGGGCTGGACGTGGTAGTGGGGGTGGTGGCTTTTAGCAGCCAGCCGGATCCCTCCTGACCTATGGCCGGCTTCTTCGATCTCTGGCACAGAGAAGTGGCTTTCCCGTCCATCCCTCAGAATCCTCAGATTTCCTGTGGGTGGGTGGTAGATGGGCGGTGGCAGCCGAGAGCCTTGGGGAAGTGCCGCTCAGTGCGTGTGCTGGGCAGGTCTGCAGACAGCCCCGCTGGGCAGGGGCTGGATCTCGCTGGGTCCCTGAAGGGCAGGCCGGAGCCTGGATTCCGGGAGGGGGCCCAGGGTCACATCCTGACCCTCGGAGACAGGAAACCAGCCTGGTGTCTCAGCAATTCCCGTCAGGCTGACTGGGCCGATCTGCTATCCTCCTAACAAATGCACAGGCTGCCAGGCCAGGGCAGAGCTGGGTCAGCACTGATTCACCCACTCCTGGGCAAACTTGGGGCAGCTGAGACCCCACCCACCCCTGAACAGACACAGCCTGTCAGGCCCCAGCACTGACTCACTCTTGACCAGAGGGGCAGGCAACACCACTCAGGCAGAGAGAGAGAGCCGGGAGGGACCTTAGCTCCCCCAGACTGTCCTGGGAGGCAGTGGGAGGCCATGGAAGGCAGTACAGCCCTCAGACTTGGGCAAAGGGGACCCCTGCCTGGGCTTGGGGGAAGCAGTCTCCCTCTGGCCCTCTGCCAATGGCAGCCCTCTCCCAGGGTGGGGACTCTGTGGGGCCAAAGGGATGTACCCCCCTGAAACCTGCACCCCTCCCTTCTAGATGATGCTCTGGGTACCCAGGACCCCAAAATCCCAAATGGCTCTGAGCCTCCTCTCAGGGCTGCAGGGATCTTTCCTGTTCCATCCTCCAGGGGAGCACTGCATGGCTATGTGAGCTCCCCCAGACCTGAAGGATGGTTGAGTTGGCTACTTGGGGAGGCAGGCATGGTGGAGTTTGGGTATCCGGGCTGAGCTGTCCACATGTGGACACATGAGCACCCTTGCTGGCTGTCAGAACCACAGTGATGAGAAGGAGAAAGCACTGGGGCCAGAGGCTGCCATTTGTATTCTTGTCTCAGGCCTTGCAAATATTAGAGGCAGGCTTGCTGAAGGGGCAGGATTGGGGGTTGGGGAGGGTCAGACAGGCTGAGCAGGGATTGTGCCTGCCCTCTTACTGCTGAATCTTTGGTGTTAAGCTCGAAGTCAGCCCAGGAATCAATATCTGTTGGATGGATGGATGGATGGATGGATGGATGGATGGATGGATGCATTCATGCATGGATGAGAGGATGGATGGATAAGGGCGGGAGGGAGAGAGAATAAAAGAAAGGAAGGAAAAACTGTACATTCTTATAAGCATTTGGTGATTGGCTATTCCCAAGTGGGCTGATGATGTTCCTTGCTGTTTATGTCTGGTCGTTCGGAGGTGTTGGTTTGTTCTCTGCCAAGCTCTTGAGGACAGAGTTATGCCTTTTCTGTCCTTTGAGAACACAGAAGCCCCAGGCTGGGCCCAGTGCCAGCCTCTCAGACAGGCAAATGAGTTGGAGAGGTGAGGACACGTGGGCTGACCACCAGAAAGGCTGGAGGTACCAGGGGCCCCCTCAGCTGAGGAAGAAGCATATCTCTCCAGGGCATTCTGAAAACCCACTCTGTGGCCATCTGGCTGGAGACCAGGACTCCTAGATGTAAAATGCTGGGACCCCCAGAAGGCAGCCTGGGATCTAGGGGCCACACAATTCTAGAACATCACTGAGCTCAACTCCTCCCTGCACAGATGGGGAGGCTGAGGCTCAGAGATAGGATGCCACAGCGAGGCATGGCTGAGAGATTTGTAGTTCTCACCAGCTGCAGCCCACCTCTAACTGGACCCATGCTTCCCAGCCCCTAAACTGTGGATGGCTCTCCTTGGATGACTGTGTGCAAGGGGAGAATCAGAGGGATTAAAAAGCCAACCAGGCCAGGCGTGGTGTCTCACGCCTGTAATCTCAGCACTTTGGGAGGCCGAAGTGGGTGGATCATTTGGGTCAGGAGTTCGAGACCAGCCTGGCCGACATGGGCGAAACCCCGTCTCTACTAAAAATACAAAAATTAGCTGAGCATGGTGGTGGGTGCCTGTAGTCCCAGCTACTCAGGAGGCTGAACCAGCAGAATTACTTGAACCCAGGAGGCGGAGATTGCAGTGAGCCGAGATCGTGCCACTGTACTCCAGCCTGAGTGACAGAGCAAGACTGTGTCTCAAAAAAAAAGCCAAACTACTCCCACATGTTTAGCTGGGCACTGGACAACCTACTTTGCAGGCAGAATTGCACTGAAACCTCATAAGTCAATGAAGTGGGAATACCATTTTCCAAATCAGGAAACTGAGGCCCAGAGAGGCATAGTGACTGTCCAAGGTCACAGGCTAATGACTGAGCCCCCATCTGAATTCAGGTTGGTCTGGCTTTGATCCTTTCCCCTGCCACCCTGCCTGTAGGACCATCTGAGTTTTCTGGGGTGGACAGAGGGACGGCTGGCTCCAATCTGACCGCCTCCAGTCAGGCCCTGGGAGGGTGGGGGCTGCAGGCAGCCCTGAGGCTCCACTCCTAGAAGAATTGCTGGAAGCGACTTTCTATAAGTGGCTACTAGCACTCAGGGCCTCCTCACCGAAATCCCCCCTTCCTGCCACCAACTGCTGGGCAACAATGGCATCTGTGGGACATTGGTACAAAAATAGAAACGCGGTCTCCCGCCCACCCACTCAGGGAGGGGGCTGGGTAGGCGCAGGCTGGCCGGGCTGGGGGTGAGGGGCTGGCCAGACTGCGGAATTCCCAGGGTCCCATGAGGAAGGCTGGGAGCTTGGGGTTGGGGGCAAGGCTGGCGCCATCGTTTTTTGCCTCTGGGGCCCCCGGCCGGGAGAGAAGGGGGAAGTCGGTGTGCGTGTGAGTGGCCGTGGCGGTGAGTCAGGGCCGTGGGGAGGGAAATGTTTGCTGTAGAAACCCTGACTGGGTTTTTCTGGTAACCAGCTGTTTTTCAGCTTGGCCCTGCAGCTCAGAGAACCTGAGCACCCAGCTTTCCAGCCCCCCTGAGTTTCCCAACTACTCACTTGCCCCCACCTCCTACCTGCCCTCAAGCCTGCAGGGAAGGACTTGGTGACAACTGAGTGGTAGCTTTGGTTCGTGAGCTCTGGGATGAGAGCTGAGTGTCCCAAGAAACATTCCGAAGTTCCAGCCTCCTCGTCACCCCTCACAGACAGCATGACCAGGCTGTGACCTGCACTTCCCTTTTTTTTCACTTCCTTTATCCATAGCCCAACCTGGTACTGGTTCCCAACCCTGTCCTACCCCCATTTCACAGATGAGGAAACTGAGGCATAGAGGAACAGGGACAGTGGCGGAGCAGCAGTAGGACTGGATGGCCATGGGGCTCCTTCATCCCCACTCAGGGCTTGGCCACCAGACTGCACTCTGGCTTCTGCAGCATGCTTGGCCTGTGGGTGTCACCATGGGATGGCGGATGGATGTCCTCATGCACCACAGGCTGTGCTGTGTCCTGGCCATGATCTGACTATCCAGAGGGCCCATCTCTTCATCGTGTGGGCCTTGCAATTCTTTCCTCCAGGTTGGGACAAGCAGATGGGGCCGCACAGCAATGGACTGTAGGGCAATCTGGGAGAGAGGTGCAGTTGAGAGGGAGGACATGGTCCAGGGAATGCAGGCCCCGCTCTGGCACCACGCCCAGCCTAGAAAGCGTAATATTTTTAAAAACTGCCAGGCATGGTGGCTCACGCCTGTAATCCCAGCACTTTGGGAGGCCGAGGTGGGTGGATTGTTTGAGTCTAGGAGTTCAACACCAGCCTGGGCAACATAGTGAAACCCCATCTCTACAAAAAATATAAAAATTAGCCAGGCATACTGGTGTATGCCTGTAGTCCCAGCTACTTGGGAGGCTAAGGCGGGAGGATCACTTGAGCCTGAGGGGCGGAAGTTGCAGTGAGCAATCACGCCACTGTACTCCAGCCTGGGCAACAGAGGGAGACCCTGTCTTAAAAGAAAAAAATTATATATATATATATTTTATTCAAAACTGATGAAACAATATATTTTGAAAACCAAAAGTTATAAACCCACTAGAAAACATTAATCAAAACATGAACTTATACAAACATAAATTTGAAACATATCTTATCCCATAAATTAGCATAAAATAATTATTTAAAAATAACCAACCTAACTGGGCGCAGTGGCTCACACCTATAATCCCAGCACTTTGGGAGGCTGAGGCAGGCAGATCACAGGTCAAGAGATTAAGACCATTGTGGCCAAAAAGGTGAAACCCCATCTCCACTAAAAATACAAAAATTAGGCTGGGCGTGGTGGCACACGCTTATAATCCCAGCACTTTGGGAGGCTGAGGCGTAGGGATCATGAGGTCAGGAGTTCGAGACCAGCCTGGCCAAGATGGTGAAACCCCATCTCTACTAAAAATACAAAAACTAGCCAGGCGCAGTGGCAGGTGCCTGTAATCCCAGTTACTCAGGAGTCTGAGGCAGGAGAATTGCTTGAACCCAGGAGGTGGAGGTTGCGGTGAGCAGAGATCGCTGTACTTTAGCCTGGGCAACAGAGCAAGACTCCATCTCAAAAAAAGAAAAAATTACAAAAATTAGTTGGGCATGGTGGCGCACACCTGTAGTCCCAGCTGCTCGGGAGGCTGAGGCAGGAGAATCGCTTGAACCCGGGAGGTGGAGGTTGCGGTGAGCAGAGATCGCTGCACTCTAGCCTAGGCGACAGAGCAAGACTCCATCTCAAAAATATATATATACAAAAATTAGCTGGGCATGGTGGCGCACGCCTGTAGTCCCAGCTACTTGGGAGGCTGAGGCAGGACAATTGCTTGAACCCAGGAGGCGGAGGTGGCAGTGAGCCGAGATCATGCCATTGCACTCCAGCCTGGCAACAGGGCAAGACTCCATCTCAAAAAACAATAATAAATAGAAAAAAACTAAATGGCACACTAAAATGAAAAAAAAAATTGTGTTTACAACTAATTGATCACAACCAGTTACAGATTGCTTTGTTCCTTCTCCACACTCACTGCTTCACTTGAGGAGCCTAAAAAAAGGAAACAAAATATTTGTGACACATTGAAAATGAAATATTATTATTTGTTCTTTTTGTGTTTTAAAGAGGAAACTTAAAAGCAAAGAGTAATTATGGTATCATTATTGAGTAACAGAAATATTTCTGGGCAGATTTTTCCAGTGGCTGAAACACTGTCTCTGGCTTTGTGACGTCAGTTGGGGAAATGGCAAGATGATTAAAAGTTAAATCTCAAAACTTTCCACTGGTGTCTTCATCTTGAAATAGCCTTCCCCTTTTTCATAACTTTGAAAAGAGCTTTTGGATCATCTTTTAGACTGGCAGCTTTTGTATGAGAGCACTGGGAGTCTGTGTTTCAGCAAATTACATTTGTCTTTGTCCTCCTGAGTTGGTGGCAGGGCTTCTGAGGCATTTACCTGTCTTTTTTTTTTTTTTTTTTTTTTTTGAGGCGGAGTTTCACTCTTGCTGCCCAGGCTAGAGCTCAATGGCGCGATCTTGGCTCACCACAACCTCCGCCTCCTGGGGTTCAAGCGATTCTCCTGCCTCAGCCTCCCGAGTAGCTGGGATTACAGGCATGCGCCACCACACCTGGCTAATTTAGTATTTTTAGTAGAGACGGGGTTTCTCCACGTTGGTCAGGTTGGTCTTGAACTCCCAACCTCAGGTGATCGGCTCACCTCAGCCTCCCAAAGTGCTGGGATTACAGGCGTAAGCCACCACGCCTGGTCTACCTGTCTTAGTCTCAGCACTCACCTGTTCACATGCCACTAGTTCAGAAAGTCTTTGAGGTCATTCTTTCAATAGACACTGGCTTGTAGATTGCTGTGTTCTTTTTCTTCTTGGGAATAAGGTTAGAAAAATGTGCTAGGGAAGGATGTGCTACACAAAAATGTGTGGAAAAATGTGAGAGCGGCCGGGTGCAGTGGCTCACGCCTATAATCCTAGCACTTTGGGAGGCCAAGGCGGGTGGATCACCTGAGGTCAGGAGTTTGAGCCCATCCTGGCCAACATGGCGAAACCCCATCTTTACTAAAAATACAAAAATTAGCTGGGCATGGTGGCATGCACCTGTAGTCCCAGCTACTTGGGAGGCTAAGGCAGGAGAATCACTTGAACCCAGGAGGTGGAGGTTGCAGTGAGCCGAGATCGCGCCATTGCATTCCAGCCTGGCAACAGAGCAAGACTCCATCTCAAAAAATAATAATAAATAGAAAAAAACTAAATGGCACACTAAAATGAAAAAAACAATTGTGTTTACAAGTAATTGATCACAACTAGTTACAGATTGCTTTGTTCCTTCTCCACTCTCATTGCTTCACTTGACGAGCCTAAAAAAAAGAAACAGTGAGCTAGGATCGCACCATTGGGGTTTCACCATGTTGATGAGGCTGGTCTCGCACTCCAGCCTGGGCAGGAAGAGTGAAACTCCATCTCAGAAAAAAAAAAAAAGTGAAAAGAAAAGAAAAATGTGAGAGCACAGGCCTACCTGGGCACGAATCCCAGCCCCTGGCTGACTTCCTGTGTCATCAAAGGCAAATGACTTCACCTCTCAGGGTCTTGGTTCCCTCATCTGTAAGTGAAAATAAGAATAGTGGCCGGGTGCAGTGGCTCATGCCTGTAATTCCAGCACTTTGGGAGGCCGAGGCGGGCAGATCATTTGAGGTCAAGAGTTTGAGACCAGTCTGGCCAACATGCTGAAACCCCATCTCTACTAAAAATACAAAAATTAGCCAGGCATGGTGGCAATCGCCTGTAGTCCCAGCTACTCAGGATGCTGAGGCAGGAGAATTGCTTGACCCAGGAGGCAGAGGTTGCAGTGAGCCGAGGTTGTGCCACTGCAATCCAGCCTGGGCAACAGAGCAAGACTCTGTCTCAAAAAAAAAAAAAAAAAAAAAAAAGAATGGTAGCTCATGTCTGTAATTCCAGCACTTTGGGAAGCCGAGGTGGGAGGATTGCTTGAGCCTAGGAGGTTGAGGCTGCAGTGAGCCATGATTGCACCACTGCACTCTAGCCTGGAAAAGAGAGTAAGACCCTGTCTCAAAAAACAAACAAAGAAAAGCCAGCCTGGCCAACATAGTGAAACCCCATCTCTATTAAAAATATAAAAAATTAATCTGGTGTGGTGGCACACGCCTGTAGTCCTAGCTACTCAGGAGGCTGAGGCAGGAGAATTGCTTGAACCCAGGAGGCAGAGGTTGTAGTGAGCTGAGATTGTGCCACTGGGTTCCAGCCTGGGTGACAGAGCAAGACCCTGTCTCAAAAGAAAGAAAAAAAAAAAAAAAAGGCCAGGCAGGGTGGTTCACACCTGTAATCCCAGCACTTTGGGAGGCCGAGGCAGGTGGATCACAAGGTCAGAGTTCGAGACCAGCCTGACCAACATGGTGAAACCCCGTCTCTACTAAAAATACAAAACTTAGCCAGGCATGGTAGTGGGCGCCTATAGTCCCAGCTACTCGGGAGGCTGAGGCAGGAGAATGAATTGAACCTGGTACGCGAAGGTTGCAGTGAGCCAAGATCGCCCCATTGCACTCCAGCTTGGGCGACAGAGCGAGACTCCGCCTCAAAGAAAAAAAAAGAAAAAAAAAAAAAGCCAACCTGGCCAACATGGTGAAACTCCATCTCTAGTAAAAATACAAAAAATTAGCCATGCGTCGTGGTGGGCACCTGCAGTTCCAGCTACTCGGGAGGCTGAGGCAGGAGAATTGCTTGAACCTGGGAGGCAGAGGTTGCAGTGAGCCGAGATCACATCACTGCACTCCAGTCTGGACAACAGAGGGAGACTCTGTCTCTAAAAAAAAAAAAAAAAAATGGTATTTACGTCTTAAGGTTGTTGAAAGGATTAAATGAGTTAATGTGTAAAGCACTTAGAACACTGCTGGGATTTAATAGGCCCTATTTACGTGGTAGGTAGGTATTGCTGTTGTTATAAAAACATTCTAAATGTATACATCATTGAACAATTAAAAATTTTAATGCAGTGGGTACGTCTCAAGACATAAATGATTTCAACTTCACATTCTTATATCAAAATAATGGCATTATACCAAAACAACCCCCCAGGATTTTAGTACTTTAAAACGGTAAGACAAGCAGGAATATTGCAAACTGGGAGAGCAATTGTGACTGTCTCATGTGGGCTGGAAGCAGAGCTGTCACTCAGGGACTGCAGGAAAGGTGGTGGGGACGATGGGGCAGGGGATCGCTGCCTCCATGCACAGGACACTCCCTAAGGCCCAGTACACAACAGGTTCTCATTTGATCCTTGATGGATGAAGTTCAGGCTCATCCCTTTTTTTTGTTTGTTTTTTGTTTTTTTTTTTGAGACGGAGCGTCATTCTTGTTGCCCAGGCTGGAGTGCAATAGCGCAATCTCAGCTCACTGCAACCTCTACCTCCTGGGTTCAAGAGATTCTCCTGCCTCAGCCTCCCAAGTAGTTGGAATTACAGGCATCCACCACCACCCCACCTGGCTAATTTTTTGTATTTTTAGTAAAGACGGGGTTTCACCATGTTGGACAGACTAGTCTCGAACTCCTGACCTCAGGTGATCCACCTGCCTCAGCCTCCCAGAGTGCTGGGATTACAGGTGTGAACCACCATGCCCGGCCTTTTTTTTTTTTTTTTTTTTAGATGGAGTCTCACTCTGTTGCCCAGGCTAGAATGCAGTGGTGCCATCTCAGCTCAATGCCACCTCTGCCCCCAGGGTTCAAGCAATTCTTGTGTCTCAGCCTCCCCAGTGGCTGAGATTATAGGCACCCACCACCACGCCTGGCTAATTTTTGTATTTTTAGTACAGATGGGGTTTCACCATGTTGGTCAGGCTGGTCTCCAACTCCTGACCTCAGGTGATCCGCCCACCTCAGCCTCCCAAAGTATTGGGATTACAGACGTGAGCCACCGTGCCCAGCCTAATTTTTTTTCTCTCTTCAGATTTGCCGGGCTTACCTCCTTCATTTGTTTATTGTGAATTCCCTGAGGATGGCCAGAGGGACAGGCACTACCCTGGGCACTGGGAGGTGAGGGTGGACAGAGCAGGCAGGGAGAGTGGAGTGGAAGCATCCAAATCATCACTGCCTGTCTGGGTGGCACAACCTATACAAATCTGACTGGACTGTGTGTGTCTCTCCTCTGTGTCCCCCAGGGCCCGTCACAGCTGGAGCTGACTCTCCAGGCATCCAAGCAAAATGGCACCTGGCCCCGAGAGGTGCTTCTGGTCCTCAGTGTAAACAGCAGTGTCTTCCTGCATCTCCAGGCCCTGGGAATCCCACTGCACTTGGCCTACGTGAGTGTGTTCCCTCCAACCCCAGGCTGAGGCTCTGGCCATGGGAGGTCCCTACTGTCCATCTCTGTGGGTCAGGGTCTCCCACCCCAGCGGCCCAGCCCTGCTTCTCCCTTTCATCTTGACATTATTCACCAGGGTCCTGCCTGGTGAAGCCAATGGTCTCTACCAGAGAGAACCCAGAGGGCACCAGGACTACAGTAAAGAGTCTAGACCAAGAGGTGGGAGTCAGGTTGATGTGCAGCCCTGGCCAACTCTGATCCTCTGCATAGGCTCAGTTTGCCTCTCTGTCCAGTGGGACAACTGAACTCAATATTTTATATGATAATCTTTTCATTGTCTTTGAAAAAGTTACACGACATATATTTGAAAATATTTAAAGACAGAGGAAAAGGGCCAGGAGAAAACCTAACGTGTTAACAGTGGTTATGGCTGGGAAGTGGGATTAGGAGAGACATTTAGTTGGTTCTTCACACTTTGTTGAGTTTGCAAGAGTTGCTCTAAATGGATTTGGCCTATTTTGGAGAAAAAAGTATTTTTAAAAAACTCAAGTTTTCAGGTCAGCTGTGGATTTGGGAAAAACAATTAAAAACAAACAACCAAAAGCCTCAACTTTTAAAAGTGTTAGCTATATCCACCAGAGAGAGGAGGTCAGGGAGCTGGGACCCACTGCCAGAGGTCAGGGCTGGAGGAGGCAGGGTGGCTTGCCAGCACTGCCTCCTCCATGAGGAATGTCTGGGAGGTGGCCCCCAGATGTGAGCAGCTGTTGTTTACAACAGAGAAAGCAGAGGGTAGGAAGGGGAGAGCCCGGGGGAGAGCAAAGATAGCAAAGGGGAGAGAGGCATAGAAAGAAACATGCCCACTGCGGGAGGGAGGCAGGCTTGAGCGAAGTTGGGCGTGGGGGACAGGGGAGAAGCTTCCGGACTGGTGACAGGGACAGCACAGAGACAGTCAGACATGACCAAGCCAGCATGCCAAAGTCCTAGGAGGGAGGGGGCCAAATCCAACCACCAGGGCCAAGAGGATTTGACTCCTTGCAGCCCATCCCTCGGCCGCCCAGAAGGGGAATCGAGGTCCCAGAGGGGGCGTGGCCTTTACCATGGATCCTCCCCCTTCCCGATCTGAGTCCGTGCAGCCCAGGGTGAGGCAGGAACATGAAACGCGCCCGCCAGCCGGAAGGTCGCAGTAGCCGCCGGCTCTGGCCTCGGCCGCGCCGCCTTCCTCCTGGGGCCGCGCTGCTTCCCGAGCGGGCTCCCTGGGGCCGGTGGCCAGAGGGGACAAAGAGGCCAAGGCGCGGCCTCGGTGGCCGACCCAGTGCCAGGCGACCAACAGACGTCGTGCCCTGCTGTATCCCCATTTTACAGGGGCTGACTCAAGGATCAGATCCCTTTCCCAACCCAGCTGTAAAGCCAGTGTCCCAGCCCTTTCCCATTCCGCGGGCTGGGTTCCTCACCCAAGATGCCCATCACTTTGCCCCCTTGTTGAATCCCTACAGAGAAGGTATCTACTTCCTTCTAGATGGGCCATTCTAGGGTGTCTTGTCTACTGTTGCCATCTGGCAGTCCTCAATATCTAGCTTGGGCCAGGCGACCTGGCTTATGTCTGTAATCCCAACACTTTGGTAAGCCGAGGCAGGAGGGTCTCCTTTTTTTTTTTTTTTTTTTTTTTTTGAGATGGAGTTTCACTCTTGTTGCCCAGGCTGGAGTGCAATGGCCCCATCTCGCCTCACTGCAACCTTCGCCTTCTGGGTTCAAGTAATTCTCCTGCCTCAGCCTCCCGAGTAGCTGGGATTACAGGCACCTGCCACCACCCCCACCTCATTTTTTGTATTTTTAGTAGAGACAGTGTTTCATACCGTGTTGGCTAGGCTGGTCTCGAACTCCTGACCTCAGGGGATCCACCCGCCTCGGCCTCCCAAAGTGCTGGTTTACAGGCGTGAGCCACTGTGCCTGGCCAGGAGGGTCTCTTGAGGCCAGGAGTTGGAGACCAGCCTGGGCAACATAGTGAGACCCTCGTCTCTAAAAAATTATAATAAAAAATATTTTTAAATCCAACCCGAAGCCCTTTTGCCCTTCTGCTGCTGCTGTTTCATTCAGCTCAATGCCCTTGGCTTTGGAGACTGTACACTAAGAGCTCAGTCAGTGGCCCCAACAGCTTCCTCTGAATCCTTCAGCTTTCCAGAGTCACTCTTCCAGGAAGTCTTCCCTGTCTGCTTTCCTCCTCACCCCCAACCCCCATTTCTTCTGAGGCAATGGCAGGGTAGGCAGTGAGATGCTGAAGCCACCCAGACTCCCCATCCCTGTCCAACCAGGAGATCTGTCTGGCTCCTTTGTTTCTTATTAAATAAAATTCTGTCTTCTATTGTTTCAAATGACTTGATGCATGTCTAGTTTCTGAATGGTAATATCCCCTAGGGCAGGGACCACTGATATCTGTCTTTAATTCATTAATTCATTCATCCATCCCTTTCTTCTTTCTTCCCTTTCTCCCTGTCTTCCCATAGGCGGGGAGCACCCATCACATGCTGGGTGTCAGGGTGACGCTGGCATGTCAGGATCCTGTGATGGGCCCAGGGCCCAGCACAAAGTCAGACAAATCTCTCTCAGTGCGTACTACGTGTCAAGCACTGTGCAAGGATGGGCAAGGTAGACGTTGCCCCCTGTAGACCCTCACAGTGTAGGGAGATCCAGAGCCTCAGGGTATAGGGAGAGACAGCCGCAGGATGGCGTAGATGTGGGTTGAATGAGAACAGCTCTGGAGGGGTGGGTGATGTTTGGACAGGTGGATGAACAAGGTGGTGTGTTCATCTGGCCCCCCAGGTATGCAAGGGAGAAGGGGCTGATCTGACTGCTAGGGGGCTCCGGGCTGACTGCAGATCCACCAGCCAGCATTCTCAGCTCCGGCCTCTTTCTCTCAGCCAATGGGCTGACTCCACAAATTACTTCCTGACCTCCTACATGGGATAGAGAGGGCACAGGGCCAGGAACAGCGTGCTGAGCCTCCACATGTCTCCCCAGAATTCCAGCCTGGTCACCTTCCAAGAGCCCCCGGGGGTCAACACCACAGAGCTGCCATCCTTCCCCAAGACCCAGATCCTTGAGTGGGCAGCTGAGAGGGGCCCCATCACCTCTGCTGCTGAGCTGAATGACCCCCAGAGCATCCTCCTCCGACTGGGCCAAGGTCAGTTTCCCCAGCAACCTCTCTGGGCTCATGATACTGCTCAGGAGGAATCTGAGCTCCTCTGGCCCACACCTCAAACTTGGGCACCAAGAGTGCAGGAGGGGACACGCTGTGCCACAGTTCACATGCCACAAGCCAGTGCTGCCTTGGGACAGTGATGGCTCCTCCACCAAATATCAGATTGAAGCATGTGGAATATGCCAGGTTCTGACCTAAAACCCCAGCATTTTCATACGATCTATTGTGCATCTACTATGTGCCAAAGCCCTATCATGCTAGGCACTTGGGGACACACTCAGGCCCTGCCTTCCTGGAGCTGATACTGTGATGAGGGAGGTGACAATAAACATGTACATGTACACAGATAAATCTATAATTTCGGGTCTTGCTGGGTGGTTTCGGGGCTGCAGCCTAACATGTGTCATGGGCTCATCCCTTATGTTAACACACGGAGGCCCGGGGACTTGCACAGGGTCACTTGGCAGGTGAGTGGTGGAAGGGAAGTTCGAACCTAGGTCCTCTGACGCCTCTCCCCCTCTGCAGCACCGTCCTGCCTGCCCCACCACTATCTTTGGCTGTGGGTGAGGGCGGGGCTCTGTTAGGTGCAGGGCTGCTGAGGGAAGGGACTGAGGTGCGCGTGTCTCTGCAGCCCAGGGGTCACTGTCCTTCTGCATGCTGGAAGCCAGCCAGGACATGGGCCGCACGCTCGAGTGGCGGCCGCGTACTCCAGCCTTGGTCCGGGGCTGCCACTTGGAAGGCGTGGCCGGCCACAAGGAGGCGCACATCCTGAGGGTCCTGCCGGGCCACTCGGCCGGGTATGGCTCTCGCCCCGCCCCTGACACTAGTCCCCACCCCGAGAGACCACCCCCCTGACCCCCCCCGCCCCCTCTCCGGTCCCTTATAAAGCCCCACCCCAGTCCCAGCCCCAGCCCCGCCGCAGCCCTGTGAGAGCACAGTCGCTTTCTCCTACTCTAGGCTACGCCCCCTATGGGCCCCTTCCCTTTGGGCACAAGCCTGGCCCCAGTCCCATCCCTATCCCATAAACCCACACCTGGCCAGGTAAGAGTGCAGCCGCCGCCCACCCGACGCCAGGCCTCGCTCCCCGCCTGGCCTGTCCGCTTCAGTGTTCCATCCGCGTCTGTCTCCCCGCAGGCCCCGGACGGTGACGGTGAAGGTGGAACTGAGCTGCGCACCCGGGGATCTCGATGCCGTCCTCATCCTGCAGGGTCCCCCCTACGTGTCCTGGCTCATCGACGCCAACCACAACATGCAGATCTGGGTGAGTTGTGCGCAGCTCCCGGGACACAAAACCCAAACTCCCAACCTCTGGATCAGGGAAGTTTCCTGGAAAGGTGAACCCCCGAGCTGAGCTGAAGGACAAATCACCTATGCCCATACGTGAGGGAAGGGGCCAGGCAGAAGACGCAGCAGGAGTGGGGACACAGCAGGACCGAGGCCTGGCATAACCCTGGCTGGCCTGCTGTGGCACAGACTGTGTCCATGGCCCCCTGTTCTGCCTCTCTCCCCACCATTAGACCACTGGAGAATACTCCTTCAAGATCTTTCCAGAGAAAAACATTCGTGGCTTCAAGCTCCCAGACACACCTCAAGGCCTCCTGGGGGAGGCCCGGATGCTCAATGCCAGCATTGTGGCATCCTTCGTGGAGCTACCGCTGGCCAGCATTGTCTCACTTCATGCCTCCAGCTGCGGTGAGCACCCTTCCCCTGCCCCTCCCTTCCCTTCCCCTCCCTTGGATCAGTGGCCACACTGTTGGTGAAGCACCTCTGTGTGAGCTTGGGCAAGGTACATCAGCCTCTCTGAGCCTCATTTTTCTCATCTGCACATGGGAACAATGGGAGTAGCTAATCATAGAAGAGCCTGAGAATCGCTTGAACCTGGGAGATGGAGGTTGCAGTGAGCCAAGATCGTGCCACTGCACTCCAGCCCGGGTAACAGAGCAAAACTCCGTCTCAAAAAAAAAAAAAAAAAAAAAAAAGCCTGGTGCGGGCACACAGTGATCACACAGTGACCAGCCGCCTGGCCTGCCTCTGCTACCCCACAGGTGGTAGGCTGCAGACCTCACCCGCACCGATCCAGACCACTCCTCCCAAGGACACTTGTAGCCCGGAGCTGCTCATGTCCTTGATCCAGACAAAGTGTGCCGACGACGCCATGACCCTGGTACTAAAGAAAGAGCTTGTTGCGGTAAGGGAACTCCTGCCCCTCTGGCTCAGGATGACATGGACATCTGGTTCCTCCCCTAGCCCAAGACTCTTGGGGTCCTAGCCCAGGCAGGGGGGCAAGTCACGTCCCTCTGCAAGCCTTAGTTTTCCCACTTGTATAATGGAATTGATAATGGTACCTACCACGTGGTGAGAATTAAAGGCAGTCTGACAGGCCAATCACGTGGCACAGTAAGATGTGGTACATAGTAAGTGCTTAGTAAATAATGCCAGCACTAGGTAGTTGTCATTATTAATCCTAAATGCTCCCTGAGCTGGCTGGTCACTTAGCAGAATACCTACACAGGCCAGGCATGGTGGTTCACGCCTGTAATCTCAGCACTTTGGGAGGCCAAGATGGGTGGATCACTTGAGGTCAGGAGTTTGAGACCAGCCTGGCCAACATGGTGAAACCCTGTCTTTACTAAAATACAAAAATTAGCCAGAGGTGATGGGACACACCTGTAGTCCCAGCTACTTGGGAGGCTGAGGAACAAGAATCGCTTGAACCCAGGAGGCAGAGGCTGCAGTGAGCCGAGATCACACCACTAAACTTCAGCCTGGGCAACAGAGTGAGACTCTGTCTCAGAAAAAAAAAAAAAAAAAAAAAAAAGCCGGTGCCTGTAATCCCAGCACTTTGGGAGGCCGAGGCGGGTGGATCACAAGGTCAGGAGATCGAGACCATCCTGGCTAACACAGTGAAACCCTGTCCCTACTAAAAATACAAAAAATTAACCGGGTGTGGTGGCAGGCGCCTGTAGTCCCAGCTAATCGGGAGGCTGAGGCAGGAGAATGGTGTGAACCCGGGAGGCAGAGCTTGCAGTGAGCTGAGATCGCACCACTGTACTCCAGCTTGGGTGACAGAGAGAGACTCCATCTCAAAGAAAAAAAAAAAAGCCTATACAATATGATCACTGCCTGGTTGACAAACAAATATATTTGTTATAAAAATAACACATGGTGAATACAAAATATTAGCCAGGCATGGTGGTAGGCGCCTGTAGTCCCAGCTACTTGGGAGGCTGAGGCAGGAGAATGGCCTGAACCCGGGAGGCGGAGCTTGCAGTGAGCCAAGATCATGCCACTGCACTCCAGCCTGGGCAACAGAGCAAGACTCGTCTCAAAATAAAATGAAAGAACACATGCTGGCCAGGCACAGTGGCTCACACCTGTAACCCTAGCACTTTGGAGGCCGAGGCAGGCAGATTGCCGGAGCTCAAGAGTTTGAGACCAGCCTGGGCAACACGGTGAAACCCTGTCTCTACTAAAATAGAAAAAATTAGCCGGACGTGGTGGTGCACGCCTGTAGTCCCAGCTACTCAGGAGGCTGAGGCAGGAGAATCGCTTGAACCCGGTAGAGGGAGATTGCAGTGAGCTGAGATTGTGCCACTGCACTCCAGCCTGGGCGACAGAGCGAGACTCCATTTCAAACAAACAAACAAAAAACATGCTTTAAAAAATATGTGAAAATTAGAAAATCTTAACCTTCTGACACAAAGACAATGGCTGCCAACATTTTGGTGTGCTTCTTTCTAGAGCGTTTTCTCTGTGTATTTCTTATATTGATGTAATCATAAGAGATGTGTTCATTTGTCTCTTACTATTTCACTTAATGTATTTTTAGAGCTTTGACAGCTGTACCTAATATCATGTTTAATAAGCACATATTATTCCATCATATTGACATGCTATAATTAACTCCTCTTCCCTTGTTACACATTTAGGTTGTTCCCAATTCTGTAGTATTATAAATATGCAAAAAATGTCATTGTGCATGAAACATTTCTTTATATAGGATTATTTTCTCAGGATAGATTTCCACATTAGTGGAATTACTGGGTCAAAATGAATGAAGTTTCAATACATGTTGCCAACCCACTTTCCCAAAGATGATTTGAATTTTCACCACTGATTTACGAGAACACCTCAACCTCTTCGCTGTCTCCAGACTATAATTCAAAAAAAGAGAAACCTTTGCCAGTGTGGGAAGAGGCACATGGCGTTCCATTCTTGTTTTAGTTGTAATTCTCTGGTTAGTAGTGAGTGTGGGCATGGTTCCACGTGAGTGATGAGAACCTCAGTCTCCTTATCATTGAGGCTTGGTATTTTTCTTGATGATTTTTATAAGTTTTAATAAAGAAAAAAAGGTTGCCCCTTTGGCCACCACTTCCCTTGATTTGCTGTAATTCTTTCAATTTTGGCTACAGTGGTTTTTCTTTTCTTTTCTTTTTTTTTCTTTGAGACAGTCTTGCTCTGTCACCCAGGCTGGAGTTCAGTGGTACAATCTCGGCTCACTGCAACCTCCACCTCCCGGGTTCAAGTGATTCTCCTGCCTCAGCCTCCTGAGTAGTTGGGAATACAGGCGTGCACCACCACGCCTGGCTTTTTTTTTTTTTTTTTTTTTTTAAGACAGTCTCACACTATTGCCCGGGCTGGAGTACAATGGCACAATCTCGGCTCACTGAAACCTCTGCCTCCCGGGTTCAAGCAATTCTCCTGCCTCAGCCTCCCGAGTAGCTGGGATTACAGGTGCCCACCACCACTCTTGGCTTATTTTTTGTATTTTTTTTTTTAGCAGAGACGGGGTTTCACTATGTTGGTCAGGCTGGTCTCGAACTCCTGACCTTGTGATCCGCCCACCTCGGCCTCCCAAAGTGCTGGGATTACAGGTGTGAAATCAGGCGCCTGGTCCGCAGCCTAGCTACTTTTTTGTATTTTTAGTAGAGACAGGGTTTCACCATATTGGCCAGGCTGGTCTCGAACTTCCGACCTCAGGTCATCTGCCTACCTCAGCCTCCCAAAGTGCGGGGATTACAGGCGTGAGCCACTGCAACTGGCCTTCTTTTTCTTGTTTTAGAGACGAGGTCTCGCTCTGTCACCAAGGCTGGAGTGCAATGATGTGATCTCGGCTCACTGCAGCCTCCTCCTCTCAGGTTCAAGCGATTCTTGTGCCTCAGCCTTCCCAGTAGCTGGGACTATGGGTGTCTGCCACCACACCTGGCTAATTTTTATAATTTTAGTAGAGTCGGGTTTCACTATGTTGGCTAGGCAGGTCTCGAACTTCTGGCCTCCTGTGATCTGCCTGCCTCTGCCTACCAAAGTGCTGGGATTACAGGCGTGAGCCACCACGCCCAGCCTGTGCTAGACTTTTATATGACCGGCAGTGCAATAAGTTTGCTTACACCAGCATCACCACAAACACTAGGCAATAGAAATTTTTCAGCTTCGTTATAATTTTATGGGACCAGGGACCACCATCATATACACAGTCCATCACCGACCACAACATTGTCCCATGGTGCATGACAGTATTTACTATCTGGCTCTTTATAGGAACACTTCGCCCACGCCAGGCCTGAGACTGGATTATGCTTGCAGGGTTTGCATGCCCTTGGGGCTGTGAGTGATGATTATATGTGGAACTTGAAGGAATATATATATATATATTTTTTTTTTTTGAGACGGAGTCTCGCTCTGTTGCCCAGGCTGGAGTGCAATGGTGCGATCTCGGCTCACTGCAAACTCCGCCTCCCGGGCTCACGCCATTTTCCTGCCTCAGCCTCCCGAGTAGCTGGGACTACGGGAGCCCGCCACCACGCCCGGCTAATTTTTTTGTATTTTTAGTAGAGACGGGGTTTCATCATGTTAGCCAGGATGGTCTCGATCTCCTGACCTCATGATCCACCTGCCTCAGCCTCCCAAAGTGCTGGGATTACAGGCGTGAGCCACCGTACCCGGCCTGAAGGAATATTTTTAATAGTTCTGTATTTATTTTGATAGATATAAGAAAATTTGGCCAGGCGCGGTGGCTCACGCCTGTAATCCCTGCAATGGGAGGCCGAGGCAGGTGGATCACCTGAGGTCAGGAGTTTGAGACCAGCCTGGCCAACATGGTGAAACCCTATCTCTACTAAAAATACAAAAAAGTAGCCGGGCATGGTGGCACGTGCCTGTAATCCCAGCAACTCAGGAGGCCAAGGCAGGAGAATCGCTTGAACCCAGGAGGTGGAGGTTGTAGTGAGCCAAGATCGAGCCACTGCACCTGGGCAAAAAGAGTGAGACTCCATCTCAAAAAAAAGAACTTTTAAGTGGTGTAGGATGATGACATCTAACAAAAATGAAGAGGGAGCAGGGCAGGGGAATGGCTGTGACTTGGGACCCCTGGGTTGTGGTCAGTCCTTGGTGCTGGGGTGTGGCAGGCCACAGAGACCCCAGTGCCTCCTGATGGTGCCCCTCTCTTCCGACCCAGCATTTGAAGTGCACCATCACGGGCCTGACCTTCTGGGACCCCAGCTGTGAGGCAGAGGACAGGGGTGACAAGTTTGTCTTGCGCAGTGCTTACTCCAGCTGTGGCATGCAGGTGTCAGCAAGTATGATCAGCAATGAGGTAAGAGCTGGGGCCAAAAAGGTATCAGGACCAGCCTGGTTGGTGCCCCCTCAGGTGCCCTCCCTGATCCCCCAGGGTGGAGGTGTGTTTGGGAGAGCAGGCTGCAGGGGCTCAGAACACAAGACAAGCTTGGCCATTGGTTGGCTTAGTCTCCCCATCTGCAAAAATGGGCGTATTGGGTGGGATACCCTCTGGGGTCCTTTCTGGCTCTGACCAGCTCCCTGGCTTTATCCCCGCAGGCGGTGGTCAATATCCTGTCGAGCTCATCACCACAGCGGGTGAGATGGACAGTCACGTGCTAACCCACCTGGCCCAGGGGCTGCTGCTGGGCCGGGGCCTCTTCCTGGCCTGGGAGGGAGCAGGCCTCGGGAAACTCCTGGCAAGCCATGTGTGTCTGGAATGCCTCGGTCTCCCCTTCTGTATGACCGGAGCAGGACTGCTGAGGGTGACGCTCTTGGTCTCTCAAGTCAGAGGGCTTAGCACATACTGGCTGTGTGGCCTTGGGCAAGTCACTTTAGTTTTCTGGGCCCAAAGGTGGCCTAAGAAAGGACTCTGCGCCACAGGGTGCTTCTGGGCAGCCAATGAGGTGCTGTGTGGAAGCTCTTCACACAGCCTGGCAGCTGGTGCCTCCTTGATAAATATTAGTTTAAAAAAAAAAAAAAGGGCCGGGCGCAGTGGCTCACGCCTGTAATCGCAGCACTTTGGGAGGCCGAGGCGGGCAGATCACGAGGTGAAGAGATTGAGACCATCCTGGCTAACATGGTGAAACCCCGTATCTACTAAAAATACAAAAAATTAGCCGGGCGTGGTGGCGGGCACCTGTAATCCCAGCTACTTGGGAGGCTGAGGTAGGAGAATGGCATGAACCCGGGAGGCGGAGCTTGCAGTGAGCTGAGATCGCACCACTGCACTCCAGCCTGGGCGACAGAGCGAGACTCCGTCTCAAAAAAAAAAAAAAAGAGAGTCAGGCAACTCCACAGGGCCATGATGCCTGTTCCTCCCCACACCCCTCGCCCTCCTGGCTGGCGCCGCCAGATTGACCAAGTCTCCCTCCCGTCCTCCCCCAGAAAAAGGTGCACTGCCTCAACATGGACAGCCTCTCTTTCCAGCTGGGCCTCTACCTCAGCCCACACTTCCTCCAGGCCTCCAACACCATCGAGCCGGGGCAGCAGAGCTTTGTGCAGGTACCTGGCATGCCTGTCACCCCTCGGGCCTCCCAGCTCCTGGAACTTCCTCTCCGCCTTTCTTCCCACCATGACTCCAGAGGAGATGAGACTCCCAGAGTCAGGAGGGAGACAGCCTGGGTGCACGGGAGAGGGAGAGACAGAGAAGGCATTGCTCAGGGACACTGACAAGGATGTGGCCCTGTCCTCCTCCTCTGCCCCAGACAGGTCCATGTCTTTCTTTCCACTGTGAGGACTCAGGGGTGGGAACTCTTAATTCTAGCCGATATTTGAAGGCAGCAGGTGGGGTGGGGTGAAGAGCAGCTGCCCATGCCGCGTGGCCCTACCTACCCATGCAGGTCAGAGTGTCCCCATCCGTCTCCGAGTTCCTGCTCCAGTTAGACAGCTGCCACCTGGACTTGGGGCCTGAGGGAGGCACCGTGGAACTCATCCAGGGCCGGGCGGCCAAGGGCAACTGTGTGAGCCTGCTGTCCCCAAGCCCCGAGGGTGACCCGCGCTTCAGCTTCCTCCTCCACTTCTACACAGTACCCATACCCAAAACCGGCACCCTCAGCTGCACGGTAGCCCTGCGTCCCAAGACCGGGTCTCAAGACCAGGTGAGTGGGGCCTGGGCCGGCCCCAGCTTCAAGTGGGAGCTTCCAGGTCTGTGGTTTGCAGGAAGGGACATGGCAGCCCACAGGGATGTGGGGCCAGCTGGTGAGGGGCGGAGCCTTAATCAGGCATGTGGCCTGGCAGTCTGGCTGCCAGCAGCACTTTCTGCCACCCGAGAGCTTTCTGGTGGGACTGCTGTGTCTGGGGCACTGGCAGACTATGCAGCTGCCACTGTCCATCTATCCATCCATCCATCCTTTCACTTACCCGTCCGTCCATCCATCCATCCACCCTCCCACCCAGGAATCTAACCACCCGCACATCCATGTAGTATGGTCACCAGTGTAATCTCAAAGAACAGGAGACCTGAGGGAAGAGAGGCGGACAAAGGACACACACTCCTGGCTTTCTGTATTTGCCAGTCACAACACTTCACCATCTGGTGACCCCCACTCTCAGGCAATCTATCCTGGACGCCCCCAGAGTCACCCCCAGGCCCTTGCACAGACAGGCCTCCAGGATTACAAACTTCTCTGGTCATAGGAAGCTAGGGAAGCCTTCAACTCCCCTAAGTGGGCCTCTCCCTCCAGCCAGAGTGAGCCTGGGACTCTGGGCTGACCTGGCTCATAGCTCCAAAGTGTTCACAAGGGTGAGGGATGCATAGTGCTTCCACAGTGCTCCTGGGCATCAAGGCCTCCAGGAACTCACAGGAAACATTTCAGCAGCAGCCAGGGATCGTCCACTAGGCACCCTCCCACAGCACAGATCTTCCAGGACTCACCCAGAGGCATCCAGCTACGAAGCGGTGGAGATGGGATTCAAAGCCAAGGCTCTAGGGTGGGCTGGGGTCACGGAGCCAGGGAGTAAACCTGGAAGCCGCCTCCCAAAGGTGCCACATACTGCTCTCTCTTTCTCCTCCAGGAAGTCCATAGGACTGTCTTCATGCGCTTGAACATCATCAGCCCTGACCTGTCTGGTGAGCTCCCTCCAGGTCTCTCGGGTTTGTTCTAGTGGCTGAGGTCACAGTAGGGCACAGCGGGCAGCCCTGAGAAACGGCCTGGGCACATAGCACATGGCAAGGGGGACCCCAGAGAAAGCGGCCCAGAAGGGGCAGGAGGAGGGCTTCCCAGAGCCATAGCAGCCTAGAGCAGGGGCCAGAGCTGCACTTTGCAGATGGAGAGCCCTTGCCCGGGACCGCCCTGTGGGGTGGGAGTCTAGGCCTCTGCCCCCACTCACGGCTCCACTCCATCCCCACAGTTATTGGCTGACCTTGCTGGGAGGATGGAGTCTCCTGGGTGAGACAGAGGCCCTTTGAGGGTGGGTGCTGGCCTTGCCTTCCTTGAGGCCTCTCCCTGCAGGACGCCCCCTCTAGCCTCTCCATCAGTTCCCCCCAGGCCCAGGCCCACACCAGGCAGAAGAGTCCCGACACTGGTGGCAGAGGCAGGGGTGAGGGATGGGGGCACCTACCTCTTTGCCACCCCATCCAGGCCAGGATGGAGCCTCCACTCCCAGCCCAGGACCAAGAAGGCAGGGCTGATAACCCCATGACACAGAATCGGATGTCAGAGGCTCAAGGAAAGACTGCTTGGCCCATAGCCACACAGGAGTCAGGAATGTGGAGGGAATGAGGCTTGGAGCAATCCAAGAGCAGAGCTGCAGGGCACTCGGAGCTGCTCTGGCCCATTCTCTACCTGCTAAAGGCCTCAGAGAGGGGCAGGGTTGACCCAAGGTCATGCAGCAGGTGGGGCAGGCTCTGTACTCCCGAGCCTCAGTTTCCTCACGTTACCCCATCCATCCTCCCTGAAAACGCCATCTCCATCAGCCTTGAGGGGCAGAGGCATGACCCAAAAGGCCTGGCTGGGCCCTCTAGGTGGACAGTCCTAGCAACCATGGCTCAATGCCAGGCCTGGCTGTGATGAGCCCGTTTGCTGCAAGAGGAGACTGAGGTTCAGAGAAGTCGAGGGTCCATGGCTGAGCAGAGCTGGCACCAAAGCCCACATGGGCCAGCACAACAGGGTAGGGGATGGGGCAGGGGCAGAGTGGCAGTGCTGATGGCGTCGGCCCTCTCTAGGTTGCACAAGCAAAGGCCTCGTCCTGCCCGCCGTGCTGGGCATCACCTTTGGTGCCTTCCTCATCGGGGCCCTGCTCACTGCTGCACTCTGGTACATCTACTCGCACACGCGTGAGTACCCCAGGCCCCCACAGTGAGCATGCCGGGCCCCTCCATCCACCCGGGGGAGCCCAGTGAAGCCTCTGAGGGATTGAGGGGCCCTGGCCAGGACCCTGACCTCCGCCCCTGCCCCCGCTCCCGCTCCCAGGTTCCCCCAGCAAGCGGGAGCCCGTGGTGGCGGTGGCTGCCCCGGCCTCCTCGGAGAGCAGCAGCACCAACCACAGCATCGGGAGCACCCAGAGCACCCCCTGCTCCACCAGCAGCATGGCATAGCCCCGGCCCCCCGCGCTCGCCCAGCAGGAGAGACTGAGCAGCCGCCAGCTGGGAGCACTGGTGTGAACTCACCCTGGGAGCCAGTCCTCCACTCGACCCAGAATGGAGCCTGCTCTCCGCGCCTACCCTTCCCGCCTCCCTCTCAGAGGCCTGCTGCCAGTGCAGCCACTGGCTTGGAACACCTTGGGGTCCCTCCACCCCACAGAACCTTCAACCCAGTGGGTCTGGGATATGGCTGCCCAGGAGACAGACCACTTGCCACGCTGTTGTAAAAACCCAAGTCCCTGTCATTTGAACCTGGATCCAGCACTGGTGAACTGAGCTGGGCAGGAAGGGAGAACTTGAAACAGATTCAGGCCAGCCCAGCCAGGCCAACAGCACCTCCCCGCTGGGAAGAGAAGAGGGCCCAGCCCAGAGCCACCTGGATCTATCCCTGCGGCCTCCACACCTGAACTTGCCTAACTAACTGGCAGGGGAGACAGGAGCCTAGCGGAGCCCAGCCTGGGAGCCCAGAGGGTGGCAAGAACAGTGGGCGTTGGGAGCCTAGCTCCTGCCACATGGAGCCCCCTCTGCCGGTCGGGCAGCCAGCAGAGGGGGAGTAGCCAAGCTGCTTGTCCTGGGCCTGCCCCTGTGTATTCACCACCAATAAATCAGACCATGAAACCAGTGATGGGTTGGGCTGGGAGAAGGGCAGTGACATTCAAAGCCAGGGTGGGGTGAGGGCACAGGACAGGGCTGCTTTTGTAGTTGGCCCCCACTGGGCTGGCCTGGTGGCAGGGGTGGCATCCTGAACAGTAGCAGCATCCAGGGCACAGCAGGTTTTCATTCAGCCAGTTCCCCTCTGCCATTCACCCACTCGACAGCACACCCCAGGGTCTAGGCTGCAAGAAAGCAAACACCAGGAGGCCCCATCCACACTCTCACTCTGGGGTTCCGAACACAGGCCCTCGACTGCTCTAAGTTCAAATCCTGGACCTGCCACCTTGTTGGCCTGTGACTGTAGGCAGGTCCCATGGCTTTTTTTTTTTTGAGATGGAGTCTTGCTCTGTCGCCCAGGCTGGAGTACAGTGGCACTATCTCTATCTCAGCTCACTGCAACCTCTGCCTCCCAGGTTCAAGCAATTGTCCTGCCTCAGCCTCCCGAGTAGCTGGGACTACAGGCATGCGCCACCACGTCCAGCTAATAATTTTTGTATTTTTAGCAGAGACGGGGTTTCACCATGTTGGCCAGATGGTCTCGACCTCTTGACCTCATGATCCGCCCGCCTCAGCCTCCCAAAGTGCTGGGATTACAGGCGTGAGCCACCGTGCCCGGCCTCCATGGCTTCTTGAAACCAGCCACAGTTCCCTCGTCTGTCAAATGTGTATAATTCTCCATCACAAGGTCTCTGCAAGGGGGTCTGCAGAAAGCACTGCCTGGCATATGGTGAACAGGCTTCAGTCTGGTCTTCTTCTCATCTCACAGACAGGCCACCTGAGGCGCACAGGGAGGGAGGGACTTGTTCCAGGCCACACAGCCAGGCTCCCTCTACACAGTGCAGGTCCCTGACCACCAGCAGCCCCTCCCTCCGTCTCTGCTGAGGGAGCAGGGGGTCAAGGGTCAGTCGAAGGCTTTGCCATTTCTTTAAAAAACAAAGGCTTTAATTCACTCCAGCCACCCTCTGTCCCGCAGTGTCCCAGGCAGAGGCCCTCTCCCTTCCCAGAAGGCACTGGGAGGAGGAAATCTACCACCCAGCACATGGCAAGACCCAGGGCCTGGCCAGGCAGCGCACACAATAAGCTGGGCCTGAGCCAGGAGGCAGGCGGGGTGTTGGGGGAGACAGGCTGAACGGCCAGGCCACTGCAACAGTGAGAGACCCGGGGAGCCCCTCTGCTATCTCAGCCAAGAGGAAGGAGAGACCAAGGCACAGAGCCTTAAAAAAGACATCCTCTCCCGGCCTCCCATCCCAAAGCCCTGGCCCCTAGGCCAGTCTAGACAGAACCAGGAAAGCCAAAAACAAAAGGCACCTAGTATGTAAGTTCATGGGGAGAACGCAGGCAGGTGTGGGAAGCTCCCACCTCCAACCCCGGGCCTTGGCTACTGGGACAGTGCGGGCTCCAGCAGCTTCAGGACACCACCCACCAGGTGCAGGCTGCCAGTGACTAGCACATGGATGGCAGCAGCCTCACGGAGTATGCTGGCCCCACTGTGAGCCACAGGGTGGGTGAGGAGGCCCTTTGGGGGACTAGGTGGCTGGAAGATGGGGTCTCGGCCTTGGCTGATCCATTGCAAGGCATGTGAAATGCAGCTGAAGACGAGGGAGCTGGCACTGCAGGTGTGGGGTGGGTGGGGCGCCAGAAGCAGGGATGCGGACCCACCGGGCTCTGGGCTGGGGGCACTCCAGAGGTCCGGGCTGGCCTGCTCTTCGTCCAGGTGGTTCCAGTGCTGCTGGTGTTCCAGGCAGCGGAGCAGGACCTGGTCCAGTGTCACTGTGAAGTTCTGTTGGTCTGTGGGGCACAGAGAAAGGCCTATCAGCGAAGGGGAGAGGGAGTAAGGGACAGGGGTGGAGAAAGGGGCGGGTGCACCGTGAGCACCTGCTTCGCACCAAGCCTTTTACGTCATCAGGCCAGCAGTCTCGGCTAGTGGCCTTCTCCATGCACACAGTGAAGAAACTGAGGCTCAGGCAGGTTCAGTGACTTCACCAAGGTCACGAGAGGCAGAGCCAGACAGTCTGACTCCAAAGCTTTTGCCCACTAGGCACCCCTTCCCCACTCTGGCCTCATTGTCTCCATCTATAAAATGTACATCCAGCTGGGGACCATCACCAGGTGAGCATAGTTATTTCTGGGGATGCTGGTTAAAAACGCAGATTCCAGGCTGGGTGCAGTGGCTCACACTTGTAATCCCAGCACTTTGGGAGGCCGAGGCGGGCGGATCACCTGAGGTCAAGAGTTCAAGATCAGCCTGGCCAACATGGTGAAACCCCGTCTCTGAAAAAAACACACACACACAAAAATTAGCTGGACAAAAATTAGCCAGGTGTGGTGGCACACGCCTATAATCCCAGCTATACTTGGAAGGCTGAGGCAAGAGTATCACTTGAACCCGGGAGGTGGAGATTGCAGTGAGCTGAGATCAAGCCATTGCACTCCAGCCTGGGCGACAGAGCAAGACTCCATCTTATAAACAAACAAAAAACAAAAATTAGCCGGGTGTAGTGGCGTGCACCTGTAGTCCCGGCTACTCACGAGGCTGAGGCAGGAGAATCATTTGAACCTGGGAGGCAGAAGTTGCAATGAGCCGAGATGGCACCACTGCACTCCAGCCTGGGCAGCCTGAGTGACAGAACGAGACTGTCTCAAGAAAAAAAAAAAAAAAATGCAGATTCCAGAACTCTCCCCAACCAGACTGATGTGAGGACTGGAGATTTTTTATTTTTAGAGAGGGTCCAGGGTCTTGCTCTGTCACCCAGGCTGGAGTGCAGTGATGCAATCACGACTTCATGACTCACTGCAGCCTCCACCTTCCAGGCTCAAGCGATCCTTCCACTTCAGCCTCCTGAGTAGCTAGGACCACGGGTGTACACCACCACACCTGGCTAATTCTTCTATTTTTTTTTATAGAGATGAGGTCTGGCTTTTAACTCCTGAGCTCAAACGATCCTCCTGCCAAAGTGCTGGGATTATAGGTGTGAGCCACCAAGTCCAGCCTGGGATCTGTAATTTTTACACTATTTCAAACTTTTTTTAACATGATACATGGTAAAAAACACATTTTACACTGCAACTCAGTACTCACATACTTATACATATGCCTGGAACAGACTAATCTTCACCAAACAGGACCTACCCTTACTCTGTGCAACGTACACTGGTATTTTCTATTCTACTCTATTTCATATAAAATAAAAAATGCTGGCTGGGCGTGGTGGCTCACAACTGTAATCCCAGCACTTTGGGAGGCTGAGGTGGGTGGATCATTTGAGGCCAGGAGTTTGACACCAGCCTGGCCAACATGGAGAAACCCTGTCTCTACTAAAAATATAAAACTTAGCTGGGCATGTTGGCACACGCCTGTAATCCCAGCTATTCCAGAGGCTGAGACATGAGAATCATTTGAACCTAGGAGGCAGAGGTTGCAGTGAGCTGAGATTGTGCCACTATATTCCAGCCTGGGGGACAGAGTGAGACTCTGTCTCAAAAATTAATTTTTTTTTTTTTTGAGACAGTCTCGCTCTGTCGCCCAGACCTAGAGTGCAGTGGCGCGATCTCGGCTCACTGCCAGCTCCGCCTCCCGAGTTCACGCCATTCTCCTGCCTCAGCCTCCTGAGTAGCTGAGACTACAGGCACCCACCACTACGCCTGGCTAATTTTTTGTATTTTTTTTTTGTAGAGACGGGGTTTCACCATGTTAGCCAGGATGGTCTCAATCTCCTGACCTCGTGATCTGCCTGCCTTGGCCTCCCAAAGTGCTGGGATTACAGGCGTGAGCCACCGTGGCCAGCCAAAAATTTTTTAAAATAAAATTAAATAAAGTATACTTTGGTGTATAAAAGAGTATAAGTACACTAAAGTGTTCTTACACAGTAAAACAAATTTATTTCCTACCCCAAACCTCCAGTTTGGAAGCCCCCACTGTCTACCTCAGGGACCCCTGCTCATCCCCAGGGGCCATGCCTGTCACCTCTCACCTGCGTTGCCTGTGGATGACACCTCTGTCAGGTTAGGGCAGAAGACGGCATAGTCAAACTGGCAGGGCTAGAAGGCCAAGGGAAAGACTTGGTGTCAGACCCCCGAAAGGATGTCCACCAACTTCCATATGGCCCCCTGCGCCCACATCTCTGGAGATGCAGCCTCCCTGACAACTAGAATGATGCTGTATAAACCTAGCCAAGGTACTTCAGCACCCTGCCCCCATCTGCCTCAGTATACCCTGCCTGGCCTGTGGCCTGAGCAGCGAAGCCCCAACCTACTGTACAGACAGGGGAACAGTGGCCACAGGGCAAGGGGACTTGCTGAAGGTCACTCAGATAGTGAGGGGGCCCCAAATCCAGGCTGGAAAAAGGCTGTGGGTAAATGGGAGAGGTTCTGGATACAGCCTCAGCCTCCTGGTCTGTGAAATGGGAGATGATACCTAGGGGCCACTTCAGCCCTGACAGCTTGGGCAGCCTCAGTTTCCCCAAGCAGAGAAAGGCCCAATGACTCCTTCAACCAAACCTGAGAAGCGGGTGCCCCTAGCAGCAACCCCATTTTACGGAGAGGCAAACTGAGGCTCGGGGAAATGCCGCTTCTCGTCCAGGGTGATATGCTAGTGCCTAAAGGGGCATGACAAGCGAGTCCAGAGTCTACACCTTTAGCCACGATCTGGCCCTCCTCTTAAGCCTGGACTTGAGTCTAGACACGCGGGAATATGAGTAATGACCTATGACTGGCCTCCCCACGGCCCTGCAGCACCTGGCAGAACCAGCACAGGCACCTTGTCACATCTAATCCTCAATACAACTCAAGGGGGAGGGGATTGGCACCCCCCAGGGTCACACCGCCAGACCCAGGGCTTCAGGACTGCCTGCCGCCCACCCCCAAGTTGGCCCCTCACCTGCAGCAGCTTCAGCAGGGCCGCCGGGTCCCGGTCCCCGGTAGCATTGAAGAGCAAGACTCGAACCTCGGGGCCACTGCGACAGAGGTGAGGAGCTGGGTCAAAGGGCGCCGCCCGTTCTCCCTGCGGTACCAATCCCGTCCCCGCCCACGACCCCGCCCCTCCCCATGGGCCCGCCCCCGCCCTTCCCCACGACCCCGCCCCGCCCTTCCCCAAGATCCCGCCCCTCCTCGTGGGCCAGCCCCGGCCCCACCCCCAGCCCTGCCCCTCACCCGCTCGGCCTCTCGCGGCCCTGCAGCGCCTGGCGGAACCAGCGCACGCAGGCCTGCGCGCTGCTGGCGGTGTGCGCACCGTCCAGGTACCAGGTGAGGGGCCCGCGCCGCAGCACCTGCGTCCGGCCCGGCCACTCCGTGTTCCGAAGCCCTGGGGGAGGGCAGCAAGGCAGTCCTCCAGGCCCTCTCCCACCCCCGTCCTCAATTCCGCACACACACTCCTGAGCCCGTTCTCCCCTGCAGGCTGCGCCCGCCCTCAACACTCAGGACCCCGGCAGCCCAGGAACTTTTTACTAGCACCAGTCAATGGCTTGGGCTTTTCGGCTGTCTCATCTGGTGGAATCTTTCAGGCAACCCTGAAAGGGCCTGCTATTCCCGTTTGACAGCCTGAGAGCCCTTAGCTGGGGCCGGGATGTGATGCGAGGTCGGTTTGTCTCCAGGACCTTGTCACTTGCCCTTGATAACAGGCGTGGCACACAGCGGGCCCACCATTTGCTGAAGGGGCTTAACAGCATGAGCACCTGCTGGGTGCTGAAAGCTTTGGGGGAGGCAAGAAGCAGATGACTGGATCACCATCCTCCAGAACCTCAGGGTCTGATGATGATGATAGTGACAGTGACAGCAGCTACCACTGGCTGGCACTTTATCCCACATTGGCCAGGCTCTGCACTCAGCACCTTAGTGATGTCACCTCAGCGAATCCCCACCACAGCCCGTGGCAGTGGCTCCTATCATCATCTACTTTGGCAGATGAGAAGACAGGCTCAGAAAGAGTTCATGAGCTCAAGGTCAGGGAGGTTTGCTGACATCAGAGTCCTTTCTCTTAAGCACCACTTCAAATTGTCTCTTATCTCCCAAACAGAAAACCAAAAAAAAAAAAAAAAAAAATCTGAAGGGGCACAGACACACGCAGTGGTCCCAGCTGGGCAGGAAGGTCTAACTCACCGAGCCGCATGTGGGATGTGGGCTGGAACACAGGTGCCAGGGGCAGCTGCCACAGGAGCCCTGGCCTGGATGCCTTTGGCTCCCCAGCACCTGCGGGGTGTGTGAGACCAAGTGTGTCCGGGACCCTCCTAGGCAGGCTCCACAGGTGCCACCCACCTGCCTGCCCACTCAGCTGCCCACTCACCATGGCGGTCCTGCCGCTGCAGCCAGCAGTGGGCCAGCTGCAAGGCCAAGGCGGCGTTGGACCGCTGGTGCTCCCCCTCCAGGCCCAGGGTCAGCGGCGGCCCCCCTTCCTCGAGGGCCTCCAGCATCGGACACAGGTATAGAGGACACTAGGGGAGACAGGCAGGAGCGGGTCAGCAGAGGCCCTCCCTGACCACGTCAGCCCTTGCATCTCTCCCCTCCCCCAGCCACCAAGCCCTGCTCCCAGAACTGAGATGTGTTCCAGCAGGCCTGGCAGCTGGCCCAGCGTCCTCACTGCACAGATGGGCAAACTGAGGCCCCAGAGGATGCAGTGCCTCCTCAAACAGGAGGGACACAAACCCACCCTGCCGCTGCCCCATTCCAATCAGACTTACTGAGATCTGCTGGGCTCGGTCCCTCAGCACTGCCAGGGGACCTTCAGGTTGGAGCACAGTGAAGGCAGGGACACCTTGCTGTGGAGGGAAGAAGGAGAGAGAAAGGGCTACCTAGCATCCTCCACACTCCTATCTCTGGCCCCCACATCCCTGGGTCTGGGCTACCACTGTCTCTCATCCCTCATGTTTCTTTTCTTTTCTTTTTCGAGATGAAGTCTCACTCTGTCACCCAGGCTGGAGTGCTGTGGCGCAATCTCGGCTCACTGCAACGTCTGCCTCCCGGGTTCGAGTGATTCTCCTGCCTCAGTCTCCCAAGTAGCTGGAACTACAGGCGTACACCACCACACCTGGCTAATTTTTGTATTTTTAGTAGAGACAGAGTTTCCCCATATTGGTCAGGCTGGTCTCAAACTCCGGATCTCAGGTGATCCTCTCACCTCGACCTCCTGAAATGCTGGGATTGCAAGCATATAAGCCACCATGCCCAGCCATCCCTCACGTTTCAATGGGGAAATAGTCTGGAGAGGAGACTCAACTTGTTCCAGTCACACAGTGAAGCCAGGATGAAAACGTAGACTCCCAGGCCTTCCATGTCTCTCCCTTCCCCCAGTCTGCCTGGTCACCTTAAAGATGCCCCCTTTCTGCCATGCGATCTTCTCCACCGTATCCCCCAGGAGGCTGGTGTGGTCGATGCCAAGAGAGGAGACTCCGCACACCACAGGCTTCCTGCAGGGGAGGAAAAGGCCATGAGGCCCTGCCCTGAGCCACCAGGCGGCAGGTGAGGCTGTGCTCCTGGCTGCCACCCCTCGTCCCAAGCAACTGCGCTCACCTGATGATGTTGGTGCAGTCATAAGCCCCGCCAATGCCCACCTCCACCACTGCCAGGTCCACCTGTCAAAGACCAGAGGGCATGGCAGGGGATATGAGGGTGCCCAGAGGCCGCATGGAAGCAGGGAGCCCCCAGGCCTGCTGAGGTTCCCGTTCCCAAGGCCTCAGATGCAGGGTTCTAGGGAGAGGGCACACACCTTCTCTTGGAGGAAGACGTGGAAGGCCATGAGTGTCAGGAAGCGGAAGTAGGGGGGCATGGAGACACAGCTGCCATCCTGTGGCACAGGGACATGTCAGGGCCCAGAGCCCATGCAGCCCCTTCTCTGGGGAGATGGGGTGCTGGAACACGTAGCACCCCCAACCATACCCACCCGCCAGCCCTCCTGCATGCGGCACCTTGGTCTCCTCCAGCCGGTGGTAGAGGCGCCAGAAGTACTTGGTGAAGAGCTCAGGACTGATGGGCTGCCCATTGATGCGGATCCGCTCCCGAACCTGCACCAGGTGGGGAGAGCTGCCGGGACAGCTGGGGTCATCAGGACTCCCTTCCCGAGCGTCCTGGCCTTCCCCCACCCTGCAGGGACTGATGCTACTGGCCTCCGTGCCTCATCTCTCCTGTGTCCCTCGGTTTGTTCCTGGTGCCCCATCCCCCCGGACTATCTGTAGCCCCCCAGTCCTCCCCATCTTCTATCTCCAGGCCTCTGCACCTGGCTCACCCTATTCACCACGTTGGTCTCAACTAAGACAGCCTCCTCACCCAGGCTGGTCTTGCACATTCTATGGGCTCCAACAGTCCCATACCAATCAGTCACTCTGCTGACATCTGTCCCACAATGTCATCTGTCTTACAGCTCTCAGAGACAAAGCCCACAACCAATGTTCAAGCTGCAGCCCTGGGCTGGCCCTCAAGGCCATGTGGGCCCAAGTTGAAGGCTAGGTTTTTATCCCAAAAATGATTGTAGTTTTTATTTATTTATTTTTGAGACAGGGTCTTGTTCTGTCGCCTAGGCTGGAGTGCAGTGGTGCAATCTTGGCTCACTGCAACCTCTGCCTCCCAGGTTCAAGCGTTTCTCATGCCTCGGCCTCCCAAGTAGCTGGGACTACAGGCACACACCACCACGCCTCGCTGATTCTTGTATTTTTAGTAGAGACAGGGTTACGCCATGTTAGCCAGGCTGGTCTTGAACTCCTGACCTCTGGTGATCCACCCACCTCAGCCTCCCAAAGTGCTGGGATTACAGGCATGAGCCACCGTGCCCAGCCAATTTTTTGGTATTTTTAGTAGAGATAGGGTTTCGCCATGTTGGCCAGGCTGCTCTTGAACTCCTGGCCTCAAGTGATCTGCCTGCTTCGGCCTCCCAAAGTGCTGGGATTACAGGCATGAGCCACCACGCCTGGCCCAAAAAGTGATTTTAGAAGACAGGTTGGTGCCTTATGTTTCAATCCTCAAAGCTACTCAGGTAGTAAGTCCTCCTCTCCATCTCTTTATTTGAACAAGAACTGTTTAGGGAAAACATATCGGCTTGAAATGACCTTAGGCAGCTGATTTCAGAAGTTCGTGGTGATGGGCTTAGAAGACATGCGTGGCACAGGAAGAGTGATCCCGGTTCCACCTGGCCATCCTCTTGTGTAAGTCTAGACAAGTGAGACCAAGAGGGGGCGCTGCCCCAGGGCAAAGCCACAGTGGAGAGTGGCCAAGCAGAAGGGCTCCTATCTGCAGCCCGCCTAGGAGACCTTAACGTGGATGGCACAAGCCACCCTTATCGTTTAAGCCCTTGCAAGGCAATTTTCTCCTTACTCTAAAGACATACTAATTGATAAATATCTCTATGTGATTTTAAAGTTATATATGGACTTTAAAATTTTTTCTTTTCATTTTTTTTTTAATAGAGATGAAGTCTCACTACGTTGCCCAAGCTGGTCTCAAACTCCTGAGCTCCAGTGATCCTCCCACCTTGGCCTCCCAAAGTGCTAGGATTACAGTTGTGAGCCACCACACTCAACCTGGACTTTAAGTTATTAAAGAGACATCTGACCATCTGACTATTCCAGCTATGTAATTTTCTTTTTTTTTTTTAAGATAGCAGTTTGCTCTGTCGCCCAGGCTGATGTGCAATGGCATGATCACTGCTAACTGCAGCCTTGACCTCCCCAGACTCAGGTGATCCTCCCATGTCAGCTGCCCAAAGTGCTGGGATTATAGGCATGAGCCACCACACTGGACCTCCTGCTACATATTTAGTTTATACATTAAAGTTGCTGCCCCTTCCCCAATTTTTTTTTAATTATGAAAATTAAGGCCAGGCACCGTGGCTCACACCTGTAATCCCAGCACTTTAGGAGGCCGAGGTGGGCGGATCACTTGAGGTCAGGAGTTCGAGAACAGCCTGGCCAACATGGTGAAACCCCATCTCTACTAAAAATATAAAAATTAGCCTGGTGTGGTGGCAGGTGCCTGTAATCCAAGCTACTTGGGAGGCTGAAGCAGGAGAATTGCTTGAACCTGGCAGGCGGGGGTTGCAGTGAGCCAAGATCGTGCCATTGTACTCCAGCCTGGGCGATAGAGTGAGACTCAGTCTCAAAAAAAAAAAAAAAATTAAAGGTTGCCATAAACATGGGCCAATATGGTAAGTGCTAACTGAATGTTTATTGAATGAATAAACACTGGGCAGAGAGACATGCAGCTGACCTCCTGGGGGTGACCCTGGTCCTGAAGCACTGGCTGGTTCCATAGCCCCCCAGGGTCCATTGGGACACAGACACCACATCCCCCCACAAGCCAGTACCTAAAGAATCCCGTCTTCAGGCCATAGCTTCGGAGGATACATTCCGTGAAGGCACAGGTGGAGCCCTTGAAAGAAAAGGGATTGTCTGGGCAGGCTCTACTCCACCAGCCACTTAATAGACCCCCTACCCCAGGGTCCTGCCCCTCACCTTCCCCTTCGTCCCAGTGACGTGGATGATGTTCAGCCGGTCCAAGTCCTCCACCTGGGACAGACAGACAAGGTCCCTGCCTCAGCTACGGGAATCACAAATGGGGGTGGGAGGTGGTCACAGGCCCTCTCTACCTTACCTGCAGCCCACTCCGTGCCAGGTACAGTTCCATGGCTTCCAACTGTGTCTGAGGGTCACCCCGCTGGCGCTTCACCTGCTCCAGGTAGCCGGCATTGGTCTGCAGGGTATTGAGCATGCGCACGGCATCCTGGCAACCACAGTGCCCAGATAGTAGGTTAAGGCTCACTCAGGGTCCACAGGCACAGAGACAGCCAGCAGACCAGTGGCCAAGCCAGGGCAACAAGGCCAGTACCAGGCCCGCCTGCCATGCCAGCACTGTTAGCCTAGCCTGTAGGTTAAGCAACAGAGAGTATGGCATCTTTCCAGCTCTGGCAAAAATGGGAGTCTGGGGCAGTTCAGCCCCACCCAGGGAGTGCTACACAAAGAAGGTGGCATGACTAACGGGCTAGCCTTGCTTCCTGCCCAGGCTCCCCCGACTTCACTCCTGGGCCTTTGCCCTCATTCTCTCCAATGGGGTCCATTGCTATATTGCTCCCTGCCAGAGCGGGGCCAGAACTACAGAAGGCTGGGGTATTCGAATTCTGGAGTTCCCCGAAGCTCCACCCCAACCCTCATGACTCTGGGGTTCCACATTCCAACCCACAGAGGAGCAACTCAGAGGGAGGAGGGGTGTGCCAGGGGTCACTCAGCCAGGAAGGCAGGTAGGTACGGCTTCAGGAGGGTTCACAATGGAAGTGGGAGTGGGGGTGCTATTTCATTCCCCTTAGGCCTCATATTCCGTGCCTCCCACCCTCAGGACCTCAAGGCTGGTTGGAGGCTCCACCCTCATCAAACCAGTGCCACCCGCCTCACTGGCATCAGGGTCTGGTCTAGGGCAACCGGCTCTTGACACAGCGCCCGCGGACATTTTCTATTTTCCAGGTTCTGGGGCCCTCCACTACCCCTGATTCCTGCCTCTCCCCCAAATCCAGGCACTTGGATCCCCAATCTTCTGAATCCTGGACAGCCCACCCCCAGATCAATACTCCTGGATCTTTCAAGCCTGAATTCCTGAGTCTCTTCCCTACCCTCTTTCCCCACTCTCACTGCCGGTTCAGACTCCGGGATCACTGGAACTCCAGAAGCACCGCTGAGCCTCTGGGCTTCTGGATCCTAGCTCCTGTGCCACTTCCCACTTCCCAACCCGGGGCGGGGACGCTATAGTCTCCGAATTCCCAGCCCCGGCGGCCCGGGCCCAACTTCCTGGTCCCTGTCCCCACCCCCAGCCTCCAGGATGTTCCGCCCCCCGAGTCCCCCAGTCCAGGGCTCCCGATACCCTCTCGGCTAGCGGAGCCCGGATGTTCTGCGGCTCAGCGCAGGCCCACGTGTCGTCGCGCCCAGGCCCGCTGGCCCGCTGGCCCGCCTGATACCTGGTACTCCATGCTCGGCTCCTGCGGCACCGGCCACGCGCTCAAGCCCCGCCGCGCCGCGACCTGGGTCGTTATGCCGCGCGCAGACGCCGCTGCCAGGAATAGAGCGGCGCGCAGGTGGCTCCGCGCCCGCGACATAGTCCCGGCGCCCCCGGCAGCGCTCTAGGCCCGGGCGGGAGACGCCCCGCCCCGCCCCCAGCCAATCAGCGCAGCGTCGCCTCACCCCGCCCCCCCCGCCAATCAGCACCGCCCCGCCCCGCCCGCCATCAATCAGCACCGCCCCAAACTACCACCGACCAGCCCCCTTGCGCCACTAAAAAGCCGCCCCTTCCGCGTGCACCATCCTGGTGAGGGGCAGGCCTCGGGACCAGGTTTATGAGTGTACGCTCCGGGGCGTCCCCTCCCTTAGCGGGCACGCACTCCTTTCGTCACCAACCTCCCAAGGCCCCCCGCAGCACGTCCCAAAATAGCCGGTCCGGGTCAGCAGCCCTCAGTCTCTGCCCCGAACAGGGATAGGATGACAAAGCTGCGGACACCTGGTGGACACCTCTAAACAGCTGCTGCCGTTTAGAGAACGGATTTGAGGGCCACCTGGGGATGGTGGGGCAGTAATCCTTTTCTGTGAGGAGGACACCTATTTGTCGTCCTGGAGTTTTCAGAGCTTTTTCCCATCTATTAGCTTCTTGGCCCCAACTGCTAGCATGAAAAAGTTGCATGGTGAAATCCTTTTGACAGCTGAGGCCCAGAACTGGGGAGGAGGAAGCTGCAAACAACCCACTACGGAAAATCAGTCTGATAAAAGGCAGCCCTTCAAATGATTGATGGAGTTTCCGTACCTCCTTCCCCTCTCCCTCTTCCCAGCATTGGGAGAAAATATTTATGAGAAATTGTTTGATTTCGAAATAAGCAAGTGATGTTTTGGGAAGAGTCTGTCATTGGCTGGACTTCTGCTCTTCACACACTGCTGGGGTGCCCCGACCCTGGCCCCATGGCAGATAGAGAAGTTCTTTCTTGGTTTCCTTATTTTTAGTCATTGAAACTTTCTCTATACATATGCATGTATATAGTTTAATGACTGCATAAAAATAATCAAGAGACTGGACGCAGTGGCTCACGCCTTGTAATCCCAACACTTTGGGAGGCCGCAGCGGGTGGATCATGAGGTAAGGAGTTCGAGACCAGCCTGGCCAAGATGGTGAAACTCCATCTCTACTAAAAATACAAAAATTAGCCGGTGTGGTAGCAGGAGCCTGTAATCCCAGCACTTTGGGAGGCCGCAGTGGGTGGATCATGAGGTAAGGACTTCGAGACCAGCCTGGCCAAGATGGTGAAACTCCATCTCTACTAAAAATACAAAAATTAGCCGGGTGTGGTAGCAGGCGCCTGTAATCCCAGCTACTCGGGAGGCTGAGGCAGGGGAATTGCTTGAACCCAGGAGGCAGAGGTTTCAGTGAGCTGAGATCACACCACTGCACTCCAGCCTGGGTGACAGAGCAAGACTTTGTCTCGAAAATAATAATAATAATAATAATAATCATGAGGCTTTAAATATTTTTATTTTGCTTACTCCCTTCCCCCTTCCCCCATACACACACACACACACACAGTTCCTCCTCTGGCAATCCTGTTGACGACTAAGTATGTGTCCCATAGTTTTCTATGCTCATGAAACCAGACACACCTAGACATCTATAGGGTCTTGCCAATGCAGGTGACAATATTTTTGCATCTTAGCTTTTCAAAAATGTTTATTTTTAGAGACAGGGTCCCAATCTATAACTCAAGCTGGAGTGCAGTGGCACAATCATAGCTCACTGCAGCCTTAAACTCCTGCCCTCAAGCAATCCTCTCACCTGGGCCTACCAAAGTGCTGGAATCACAGGCATGAGTCACCATGCCTGGCTGCAACTTAACTTTCTTACTCAATGACAAGCTTATTATTTTTTTAAGACATTTACTTAGCAAACACTTTTTTTTTTTTTTTTTTGAGATGGAGTTTTGCTCTGTCACCCAGGCTGGAGTGCAGTGGCGCCATCTTGGCTCACTGCAACCTGCACCTCCCAGGTTTAAGCAATTCTCCTGCCTCAGCCTCCCAAGTAGCTGGGACTACAGGTGTGTGCCATCACACCCGGCTAATTTTTGTATTTTTAGTAGAGACGGGGTTTCGCCATGTTGGCCAGTCTGGTCTTGAACCCCTGACCTCAGGTGATCCACCTTCCTCGGCCTCCCAAAGTGCTGGGATTACATGCTTGAGCCACCACGCCCAGCCCTTCGCAAACACTTTAAGTAGTACCTTTCTAGATTCAGACACTGCTATAAACACTTCTGACACAGTTGCTCATTTAATCTTCATCACAAACCCATGAAATAGGTACTAATATTATCATATAGGCCCAAAGGAGTAAAAGCATATGCTCAAGTCACAAAACCAAGATTTGACGTCTGGCCCCAGAGTCCTTATTCTTAGCCTCTGCGCCTCCTTCCCTGTCTCCCCAGGGACACTGCTAATTCAGCGTCTTTAATGGCCGTATGGCCTTCCCAGGAGCATCCTGGATTCGCCTGTGGAAGGGCATTCATTCTGCCTTCAGTGTTTTGCTGCTATGGATATGCGTTTACGTCGAAGGGCTTGATTTCTGGGAGTTGGATTGCATGGAGGGGTGGGGTTGGGTCCAGGGATGTTTGCAATCCTTTTCCCCAATGCTGCTGTAGTCTTGGCATCCCAGCAGCTGTGTGTGAAGGAGGCACCCCTCTCCCAGGATGCCCCCAGACCACAGGGTGCAGAGAACCATCTCAGTGTTTCTGTCATTCCCCTGCTGCAGTGAACTTGAGTATCTTCCCATGCATTTATGTCAGTGAACTGCCTAACCCATCCTTGGCCCATTTTTCTAATGTCTGATTCGCTTTTTCATGTCAGTTATAATAGCCCTTTGTGGGCTGGGTGCAGTGGCTCACACCTGTAATCCTAGCACTTTGGAAGACTGAGGCGGGAAGATTGCTTGAAGCCTAGAGTTCTAGATCAGCCTGGGCAACATGGTGAAACCCCCTTCTCTACAAAAAGCAAAAATTGCTGGGCATGCTGGTGCACATCTGTGGTCCCAGTGATTTGGAGGCTGAGGCAGGAGGATTTTTTTTTTTTTTTTTGAGACAGAGTCTCACTCTGTTGCCCAGGCTGAAGTGCAGTGGTGCAATCTCGGCTCACTGCAACATCCGCCTCCTGGGTTCAAGCAATTCTCCTGCCTCAGCCTCCCAAGTAGCTGGGACTACAGGCATGTGCCACCATGCCCAGCTAATTTTTGTATTTTTAGTAGAGATGGGATTTCACCATGTTAGGCAGGCTGGTCTCAAACTCCTGACCTCAGGTGACCCACCCGCCTCAGCCTCCCAAAGTGCTGGGATTACAGGCGTGAGCTACTGCGCCCGGCCAAGGAGGATAATCTGAGCCCAGGAGTTCGATGCTGCAGTGAGCTATGATAGCACCACTGTACTCCAGCCTGGGTGACATAGCGAGACCCCCATCTTTTTAAATAAATAAATCAAATGTTTAAAAAGTTAAAAAAAAGAAAAAAAGGCACTTTGTGTAGTACTGATATTATCCCTCAGTTTCTGTCCTCTGTAGGGCAAGTATTTTTTCCAGATCTACTATTGGTGGCCTCAGTGGACTCATCTGTAGGAGGTGGCATAGGTGCTCTAAGCCATTCCTCCAAGAATGAGATCCCAGAGCCGGAGTCCCTCCTGTGGTGTAAGGTGGAAAGCCTGTCCACATTGCTGGAAAAAACACTTTTTCTTATGTTTTCTTTTTAAATTCTGGTATTTTTTGGATAATATATCATTCAAATAGTTCAAAGACTGGCTGGGCGTGGTGGCTCACGCCTATAATCCTAGCACTTTGGGAGGCCAAGGCGGGTGGATCACTTGAGGTCAGGAGTTTGAGACCAGCCTGGGCAACATGATGAAACCCCGTCTTTACTAAAAATACAAAAATTAGCCAAGCTTGGTGATGCGCACCTGTAATCCCAGCTACTTCGGAGGCTGAGGCACAGGAATCACTTGAACCTGGGAGGCGAAGATTGCAGTGAGCCAAGATTGTGCCACTGCACTCCAGCCTGGGTGAAAGAGCAAGACTCTTCTCAAAACAAACAAAAAACAACAAATAGTTAAAGGGTCAAAACTGTGTACAGCAAAAAGCCTCCCTCTCTGGGAGCCCAGATTCCAGCATCCTAATCCTTCTCTCTCAAAGCAGTCAATGTTATCAGTTTCTTATCACCTTTCCAGAGGTATGTTATGCATTTACAAGCAAATACAAATATATATTGATTTCCCTTTTATACCCACATATAGCAGCAGACTGTAAGGCAAGCCTGCCTTGTACTTTCTCCATGTCCCTTTTTAACCAGGGCCCTATTCTGGGCTGTGTCGGTACATAAGGGCCACTCCGTTGGCTAATTTGTTTTGAAGCTGTGTAGTACTCCATGGTGTGGAAGTACTACTGTGTATTCAGCCAGTTGCCTATTGATGGACATTTGGGTTGTTTCCAATATTTTGCTATCACAAGCAATGGATAATATTTTACCCAAGCTACAGTGGGTAACATTTTACCTTCATCATTTCTTCCTTGTGTGGGTTATTTCATGGATAAATTCCAAGTGCAATTGCTGGGTCAAAGGTGACCTGCACTTGACATTTTTTTTTTTTTCTGAGACAGAGTCTCACTCTGTCACCCAGGCCAAAGTGCAGTGGTGCCATCTCGGCTCACTGCAACCTCCACCTCCCAGGTTCAAGCAATTCTCCTGCCTCAGCCTCCCAAGTAGCTGGGACTACAGGTGTGTGCCATCACACCCGGCTAATTTTTGTATTTTTAGTAGAGACGGGGTTTCGCCATGTTGGCCAGTCTGGTCTTGAACCCCTGACCTCAGGTGATCCACCTTCCTCGGCCTCCCAAAGTGCTGGGATTACAGGCATGAGCCACTGCGCCCAGCTGACATTTTTATACACATGGCCACATTGTCCCCCAGAGGGGTACAAGTTTCCCCGACTTCAGCAGTGCATGAGCCAGCATTTCCTCACATCTTCAGCAACACAGCCAGCTTTGATCCTTGCCAATCGTAAGGTGGAAAAATGGATTCTCTGAGTAGTTATCATTTACATTTATCGTGAAGGAGGCTGAACACTTTTTTTGTGTTTAACAGCCGTTTGTGGCCGGGCACAGTGGCTCTTGCCTGTAATCACAGTACTTTGGGAGGCTGAGGCGGGTGGATCACCTCAGGTTCAAAATCTGTCAACATGGTGAAACCCTGTCTCTACTAAAAATACAAGTTAGCCAGGTGTGATGGCACCTGCCTGTAATCCCAGTTACTTGGGAGGCTGAGGCAGAAGAATCGTTTGAACCTGGGAGGTGGAGGCTGCAGTGAGCCAAGATCGCACCACTGCACTCCAACGTGAGGGACAGCAAGACTCTATCTCAAAAAAAGAAAAAAAAGCTGGCTGGGCGCAGTGGCTCACACCTGCAATCCCAGCTCTTTGGGAGGTTGAGGCAGGTGGATCATGAGGTGAGGAGTTCAAGACCAGCCTGACCAACATGGTGAAACCCCATCTCTACTAAAAATACAAAAATTAGCCAGGCATGGTGGTCCGTGCTTGTAATCCCAGCTACTAGGGAGGCTGAGGCAGGAGAATCACTTAAACCCGGGAGGCAGAGGTTGCAGTGAGCCCAGATCGCGCCACTGCACTTCAGCCTGGCCGACAGAGTGAGACTCCATCTCAAAAAAAAAAAAAAAAAGCTGTTTTGTTTCCTTTACAGCCCACTCACCTCCTTTGTGGCTTTTTACTTGAAAAGCCACAAATATTTATAGAAGGAACTAGAAGAAACTGTAAACGGAAAAATCAAAGGGATCTTCATCATGCAGCTGGAGAGGGAATCGCCGTTGGCCTTTTGGTGACCACGAAGGCACTGCGTTCTCTCTCTCCAGGAAGAACAATAGAAAACAAAGGGGGCAGGGGAACCAGTAAGTGGGCCAGTGCCCACTCATGCGGGCAGATCTGCAGGTGCGTGTGGACAGGAGGAGGGGCTGGGGTAGGAGCAGACTGAGGAACTCTGCCTCAATCCCCACCTTCCCACAGGGAAACGATGTCATTCATTCACTTATTCATTGGAAGAAATTATCTCTGCCAGACCCTGGACTAGATGCTGGGGTCACTGTGGAGAACAGAAGACAAGGTACTGCTCACAGAGCACCCAGTCCTGGGGGTGAGAGGGCAGCAAATAAAGAAATTCACAAAGGAATATACAGATTTACAAACCCTGATCAGGTCAGATGGTAACCACTGTAGAGTGGCAGGCTAAGGCTGAGAGAGAGACAGACAGAGTGGGTCAGGTCTTTCTGAACTCAGATCTGCCTGGGATACTACACTCTCTCCTGCCCCGTCATACACTTGGGATTAATAAAACCCACAAGTTCACTGTGGCCTGGTCCCTGCCTGCCTCTGGACTCATCCCCCACTTACAGGGCACAGTCCCTGCCAGCTGGCAAGGACTTCAGCAACTGGCCTTGGCCTCTCCCACCTGCAAGCTTTTGCTCGCGATGTTTGCCTCTGCTGAAACACCCTTGCCTTGTGTTTGTCCTCTTTCCTTTTTTGGGGTGGGTTTTTCTTGTTAACATTTATTAAGTAGGCACTCGGCTGGGAGCAGTGGCTCACACCTGTAATCCCAGCACTTTGGGAAGCCACGGTGGGTCAGTCGCTTGAGGCCAGGAGTTTCAGACCAGCCTGGCCACAACAGTGAAACCGCATCTCTACTAAAATTACAAAAATTAGTTGGGCCTGGTGACACACTCCGGTAGTCCCACTACTTGGGAGGCTGAAGCAGGAGAATCCCTTGAACCAGGGAGGCGGAGGTTGCAGTGAGCCAAGATGGCGCCACTGCGCTACAGCCTGGGCAACAGAGTGACAGAGTAAGACGCTGTCTCAAAACAAATAAACATTTATTAAGCACTTATCCCTGTGTTTGGCACCTGGAATCTCATGAAAATTGTGTGAATTACAGATGATCCCTATTTTACAGGTGGAAAAATGGAAGCTCAGAGAGGTTAATCAACTCACCCAGGAATACAGCAGGCACATGGACGTGGCAAAGCCGATTCAAACCCAGATTACTGACTTTAATGTTGGTCCTTGCACCTTACCACCACCTGTCTGGTCACCCTGGCCCTCTCTGCTGTCGAACTGCTGTGTGACCATGGGCAAGACACTTCCCTCTGTGATCCTGTCTGACCCCTAGTCTCCTCTTTAGGAGGATGAGGATTTTTTTTTTTTTTTTTTTTTTTTTTTTTTTTGAGACGGAGTCTTGCTCTGTAGCCCAGGCTGGGGTGCAGTGGCGTGATCTCAGCTCACTGCAAGCTCCGCCTCCCGGGTTCATGCCATTCTCCTGCCTCAGCCTCCGAGTAGCTGGGACTACAGGTGCCTGCCACCACGCCCGGCTATTTTTTTGTATTTTTAGTAGAGACCGGGTTTTACCGTGTTAGCCAGGATGGTCTCGATCTCCTGACCTCGTGATACATCCACCTTGGCCTCCCAAAGTGCTGGGATTACAAGTGTGAGCCACCGTGCCCGACTTTTTTTTTTTGTTTGTTTTTGAGACAGAGTCTCACTCTGTTGCCCAGGCTGGAGTTCAGGGACCTGATCTCGGCTCACTGCAACCTCCACATCCCGGGTTCAAGAGATTCTCCTGCCTCAGCCTCCAGAGTGGTTGGGATTACAGACATGCGCTATCATGCCCGGTTGTTTTTCTTTTTTTTTTTTTTTTGAGACGGAGTCTCGCTCTGTTGCCCAGGCTGGAGTGCAGTGGTGTGATACCGGCTCACCGCAACCTCTGCCTCCCGGGTTCAAGTGATTCTCCTGCCTCAGCCTCCCAATTAACTGGGACTACAGGTGCCCACCATCACGCCCGGCTAATTTTTGTATTTTTAGTAGAGACGGGGCTTCGTCATCTTAGCCAGGCTGGTCTCGAACTCCTGACCTCATAATCCACCAGCCTTGGCATCCCCAAGAGCTGGGATTACAGGCATGAGCCACCGCACCTGGCCGTCTTACCAAAATTTTCAGAGGAAAAAAATGTGGGATCTTTTTTCAATTTGTTCTCACCCTCCAAGCATGCTGGGTGCTGCGCTGAGCCCTGTGAGGGGCTGGCAGCATCGCCCCCAAGAAACTGAGGCTTAGACAGGAAAGGCCACCTGCCTGGTCACCGGGTTCTCCTACCTGGAAGGAGGCAGTTTTAGCTGAGGAAGGATATCCAGATGGGCCCTCCATGGTTCCTTCCCACCAGAACTTCTCAGCCATGGGCAAGGAGGCAGCCAGGGACCCAGCACCTTTCATCCCTTGGTTTCCTGCTCCCCTTCTGGGTAGGGCACGAAGTGACGCACAGGTGTGGGCATCTCTGCCAAGCCAGCTCTGCCCAGGATTTAACTAGAGCTGTGAGGCTTGTTGACCCAGAAAACGTGATTTGGGAGACGCCAAGGCCTCCCCTCCCCTGACAGGACTGGGGGCAGAAGTTCTGGCCTTTCCAGTGTGCAGGGAGAAAGGTTTTACCTGATAGGTTCCTGCCCTCATCCTAGGGTCAGCCCAGGGACTTAGCCTCCCTGGCGGGTTTCTGGAGTGGAGCATGGGACTGGTCAGAACCTTACCGCGAGTTAAGTAACAACTGGGTGGAGGTTAAAGGTAAGCACGCAGACAGGCAGGTGGGTGGGAGGGGAGGGGGCTATGCTTGGGAGGCTTCCAGACCTTGGGGCTGGCTTTATCTGGCCTCTTCCAGGCCTCCTTATCCCAGCCCACCCACCTTACAGTTAGGGCCCGTTTTGCCCTTGCCCTGCCAGGGTGAGATCCTGGCCAGGGAGAGGCGTATACAAAGTACAGCGTGGACACACGACACCCCTGACTTAAGAGTCCAAGTCCGCTGGAGGAAGAGGCTTTGTTTCACCAAATCACTTGGGCAAAAAGAAGCCAGGTAGCCAGGAGTGGGTGGCAGGCACCTGTAATCCCAACTATTCGGGAGGCTGAGGCAGGAAAATCACTTGACCCCAGGAGGAGGAGGTTGTAGTGAGCCGAGATCACGCCACTGCAATCCAGCCTGGGCGACAGAGCCAGACTCTGTCTTAAAAAAAAATAATAAAATAAAAATTATACTGAGGTGGAGTTAAACTGTAACATACTTGATTCCCTCAGCCCTTTTTGGCTGTTTTACTATAGTCCCTATTTTGATTGTTATGCTAATATTTGTGGAAAGAGATCTTGTATTTGCTGAATCATAATCACATCAGTACTACTTTGGCTGGTTTAAGTACAAATGAATAAAACCACCATTTTTCCTTTAAAAAAAAAAAAAGGGCAGGATGTGACTCCAGGCTCTTAAAAAACAAACAAAAAGCCAGGACACAGAACTCAGTCCCCCGGCCTAAGCTCATCCCCGCGAGCTGGCGAAGGCCTTTCCCATCTACACAGCCTCCTCAGCCATCTGTTCACTGCACTCACTCCACTGTATCCCAGAGACTCATGTGTGCCAGGCACTATCTAGGTGCTGAGAACATGGTGCCAGGCACTATCTAGGTGCTGAGAAAAGCCGCACAAGGCCCTGCCCTCTGGCGAGCCTTTATTCCAGGCGACATACCTCCCTCCACAGGTGAAAACAGCACCCATGTCACACCAGAGCTTGAGGCCAAAGCTAGAGAACCCTCACCTGACTGGCCAGTCCCTGTTCCTCCCTGGGGTAGACTCTGGGGAAGAGGGGTGAGGATGAGCTTGGGTCAGCAGCTCCAAGGTTTAAGGTCTGTCTTGGTTGTTTTAAAATGCAGCTTAATTGGCTGGGCCTGGTGGCTCACACCTATAATCCCAGCACTTTGGGAGGCCAAGGCAGGAGGATCCCTTGAGCTGAGGAGCTGGAGACCAGCCTAGGCAACAAAGCGAGACCCCCATCTCTAAAAAATATATGTATTTTTAAAAATGTTAGAAAATGAAAAGATGGCTTAATTGCATGAACAAATGTATTAGTTAACCAACTATGAGGAAACACTGAGAAACATAACCACACACTCTACAAAGCTCCCTGGCCCTTGGCACTTGGACCCACACCCACACCCCACAAAGCCTTGTCTCTTGATTTCTGCTTCCATGTCATGCTGACCCCCTCAGCTCCCCACTACTTTTCCCCTTACCCCACTTTGTTGTTTTCCATGGAACTCAATCAAACCAGTTTAGACCTACTGGAAGGTGAGCTCCACTGGGGTGGGGGCGGGCCACCACTGTTTCCAGCTGTATTAAGTCCCGAATGGGATGACCCTTGGAAGACACACCTAATAAATATGCTCAATGAACGAATGAGACCATCGAAATTGCAGTGAGTGTTCAATGAGATAAAGACTATCATTGTGTAATTGCTCTTAAAAAATTCCTGTAAGTGGAATTGCTGAGTCAAAGAATATGAACCTTTTAGAGAAGCTTTTTATCCTTCAAAGAAAATACAATTAGGCCAGCCCTGTGAGTTTATCCACACTCAATTCCTAGTGACTGCTGTCAGGACAGCACACAACAGCTTTAATTTCGATTTTTTTTTTTTTTTTTGATAAGTCTCGCTCTGTCGCCCAGGCTGGCATGCAGTGGTGTCATCTCAGCTTACTGCAATCTCTTGCCTCCTGGGTTCAAGCGATTCTCCCACCTCTGCCTCTCAAGTAGCTGGGATTACAGGCATGCGCCACCATACCCGGCTAATTTTTTTTAGTAGAGATGGAGTTTCACCATATTGGCCAGGCTGGTCTCGAACTCCTGTCCTCAGGTGATCCACCCACCTTGGCCTCCCAGTGTTGGGATTACAGGCCTGAGCCACCACACCCAGCCTGGATTTTTTTTTTTTTTTTTTTGAGACGGGAGTCTCGCTGTCACCAGGCTGGAGTGCAGTGGCACGATCTCAGCTCACTGCAACCTCCGCCTCCCTAGTTCAAGTGATTCTCCTGCCTCAGCCTCCTGAGCAGCTGGGACTACAGGCATGTACCTGGGACTACAGGCGTGCACCACCATGCCCAGCTAATTTTTTTTTTTTTTTTTTTGAGACAGAGTCTTGCTGTTGTCACCCAGGCTGGAGTAGTGGCTCAATCTTGGCTCACTGCAACCTCCGACTCCTGACCTCGTGATCCGCCCGCCTTGGCCTCCCGAAGTGCTGGGATTATAGGTGTGAGCCGCTGCGCCTGGCCAATTTGGATTTATTTGACTACTTATACTGGGTTGAAGTGTGCCCCCCGAATTCATGTCCTCTCCAAACCTCAGAATGTGACCTTATTTGGAAAGAGGGTCTTTGCAGATGTAATCGGTTAAGATGAGGTCAAACTGGGTTAGGGTGGCCCCTAAATCCAGACTGGTGTCCATACAAGACAGACACATAGGCCGGGCGTGGTGGCTCATGCCTGTAATCCCAGCACTTTGGGAGGCCGAGGCAGGTGGATCACCTGAGGTCAGGAGCTCGAGACCAGCCTGGCCAACATGGTGAAACCCCGTCTCTACTAAAAATACAAAAATTAGCCAGGCGTGGTGGCAGGCGCCTGTAATCTCACCTACTAGGGAGGCTGAGGCAGGTGAATCACTTGAACCCAGGAAGCGGAGGTTGCAGTGAGCCAAGATCATGCCATTGCACTCCAGCTTGGTCAACAAGAGTGAAACTCCATCTCAAAAAAAAAAGAGACAGAGTGAAGAATGCCATGTGAACACAGGCAGAGACCGGAGTGACGACTCTACAAGCCTAAGGGATGCAAGGACTGCCAGCAGCCACCAGGAGTCACGGGAAGGATTCTCTCTCCCTCAGATCCTCCAGAAGGAACCAACCCTGCCACCAATGACTTTGGGAACCAACAGAATAAATCTGTTAATTTAAGCTAGCATGCTTGTAGCAATTAGTTATAGAAGTCTCAGGAAAACAAATACACCAATCAAGAATTTTTTCCTTGGCTGGACACAGTGGCTCACACCTGTAATCCCAGCACTTTGGGAGGCTGAGGTGGGTGGATCACCCGAGGTCAGGAGTTCGAGACTAGCCTGGCCAAGACTGCGAAACCCCATCTTTACTAAACATACAATTAGCTGGGTGTGGTGGTGGGTGGTAATCCCAGCTACTCAGGAGGCTGAGACAGGAGAATCACTTGAACCCGGGAGGCAGAAGTCGCAGTGAGCCGAGATCTCACCACTGCACTTCAGCCTGGGCAACAGAGTGAGACTCCGTCTCCAAAAAAAAAAAAAAAATTTTTTTTTCTTACTTTTACTGGCCTTTTGTGTTGTGGTCTGGGTCAGTTTCTGTAAATGAAGGACAGTTCTGGTCAAAGGTTTTGCCAACCTTCCTTCCTGGCCCCACTTCAAGGTCTCCGCCTGTAAGAGGATGTAGGAAATTGACCTCCAGAATGTCTCTTCCTAACTTCAGGCTCACAGAAAACGTGCCTGCCAGAATGTGCCGCTCCTCAAAGGTTCCCAAGGATTCTACCTTCAGTCTGTTTTTTTCTCCCACATACTCCCCACCCCCGTCCAAACTACTGCCACCTTCCAAGACCCCTGTGATCCCTTCACCCTCTGCCCACTTTCTCTCTCCAGCCTGCCCCAGGCCCTCTACCCAGCAGTCTGAGGGACCATCCTTCTCAGGTGACAGGTCAAATTGTCACTCCAGTGATTTGCCCAGCTGGGTGACCATCGCAGCCACAGCAGCTCACAGCAGGCCCTCACCAATTCCCTCACCAGGGACATGAGATGCGTTCTGGAAGGCACCCAAGAGGAAAAACAGACAAAGGTCCTTTCCAATTATGGAAGAGAACATGAACTGAGATAAAAAAGTCAAGACCTCCAGTGACTTGACAATCAAGTCCCAATGGTCAGGCCCAACCTGCTGCTGACTGTGGGGGAACAGTTGGCGGTGTGTGCGCAGAACAAAACACACAAGTCCTGGAGGAAAAAAAAAAATTTAAAAAAAAAAAAAATTCAACTTTTAATTCTAACGGACCAAACTGTGCCCAGGAATGTCTCCAAACAATGGAACCAAAAGAAACACAGTAAAATTCTCCTGTTGAAGAAACCAAGAGTTTGTGCCAGCCCCAGTGTTTCTGAGGGTTAGGCCAAAAACAGCCCATTCCTGAGGCGAGCCCTGTCCCCACGCAGGGTTCTCAGCCCGAGAATAGGATTGTGGGTGGGTGAGGGACCTGTCCCCTCTTCCACCACGCCGGGAGCTCTTAGAAAAAGTCACTGGTGGGCGAGCCCATCCTCCTACCCCATGGAAACCCTCTGGGAACCATCCAGAAAACCAGCAAGGACAAGACAGCTCCAGTGCCCTCCTGGTCTCTCAGCCAATGCTCCACTCCAGTCCACTCAGCGGGCTGCTCCCAGAGCCCAGGGTGGGGATTAAATAAAATATGCATGAGAGATATAAACTCAAATGCCCTGTCTCCACGATGCAAGTCACATAGCAGAAGAAAAAAAACACAAGAGCCCTAGTGGCAAGCGCCGGCCCTCAGAAGACGCGCTCAAACTCCGTCTGGTTGGTGGTGGCGGGATTGCGACTCTGGTTGGTGGACTGCTGGGTGATCTGGCTGCCCTTCCGGCGCGGTGGTGCCAAGTACTCGAACATGGACGTCAGGTGGGTGGAGAGCATGCCCTTGAGGTCGGAGGGCATGGGGTCGGACCAGAAGAAGTCGTGGTTGAGGGCGTCATCGCTGTCGATGCGCTGGGCAGGGTCCAGCACCAGCAGCTTGTCGATGAGGTCCAGTGCGTATGGGTCACGCACATAGGCCTTCAGCCTGTCCTTCACCTTCCGCTTCTGGCCCTTGACCAGCTCCAGCTTTTCGTACAGCTCATAGTTGTCCACGTTTGGCCACACCTGGGAGGGAGGGGGCGTTGAGAGAATATGGAGTCCGGTCAGGAGGTGCGTGGCTTATCCCTTCATAAAGGCCTAAAAGGACTAAAATACCTGCTCCACTCGGAGGCTCCCAGACTGCTACTCGACCCCTCCCAGAAGCAGTGCCCGCTATGGATTGGCACATACCACGTGCCAGGTCCTTCCACCCACATCACCTGGAATATGGGCTCCAACCCTGATACACGTCACATTTCTGGTTCACAGAAGAGAAACCCAGCGCTGACTCAGATGTTCTGCCCAAGGCCACAGAACAGCTGATGGAACCGAGACTGGCGCACAGCCTGTGTCAGGTGTTTTTTTCTCCCACACACTCCCCACCCCAAGACAGGCCCTGTCACCAAACCAGCCTCCCTTCCAGAGAGGAGCGCTCCTTCCATTCTACTCCCCACTCCTCCTCTGCCGGGGGACCTCGATCTCTGCACCCCGTGGGGACCGGGGCCCCGTACCTCAGGGGTGATGGAGCCGCAGAGCTGACTGATGAGGGCGAGTTGGTGCTGCTCCGTGTTGCCCTGCATGATGGGGCTGCGGGTCCACATCTCTGCCATGATGCACCCAGCACCCCACAGGTCAATGGGGGGGCCGTAGTCCCGCTCCCCTGGGAAGAAGAGCGCACCAGGAGGGCCCCTTGAGCCCGAGGGCCTCCTGAGGCTCAATGCCCCAGGGCCGGCAGCTCAAGAAGCCCTGGCAGTTGGGGGGAAGGGGCCAGGTAGATGCCTGGCCCTCACCCCCCTTGGCCCGCTCGGGAGTCCTCACCGAGCAACAGCTCCGGGGGCCGGTACCAGAGTGTCACCACACGGTTGGTGTAGCGGTTGGGCTGGCTGTTCTTGGCCAGGCTGAAGGCCCGGGCCAGCCCAAAGTCTGCCAGCTTCAGGACCCCATCACGAGTGATAAGCACATTAGCAGCCTTCATGTCCCTATGCAGGATCTGCAGGAAGGGCAAGAGTGGGTCCTTTAGTGACATCCACCCGGGAGTGGGAGCCAAGACCAGCCCAAGCCTGGGTCCTCCTCCCAGCTCTGGCCCCCACCTTGTTTCTGTGGATGTAGTAGAGGCCGTTAAGCAGCATCTGCATCACCCTCTTGATCTCAGACAGCGTGAACTTGACCAAAACATTGCTCAACAGCCCAGCAAGGTCATGCTCGCAGAAGTCGAACACCAGGTATATACTACCCTTGCAGCGGTTATAGGGGGAAGCTGAGGCAGGAATAGAAAGAAGAAAAAGTCAAGAAAACCACACCCAACACACTTTCCCACAACCAGCTTCTTTCTTCCTGCTCCAACCCACGGGCACCCATGCCCTCCAGAGCATCTGTCTGTTCCTTCCTTCACCGGTCAAATATTTTCTGAGTGCCTCTTCTGGGCCAGGGCAGGCCCCGAGGAAGCACCAGCTACGATGAAAGAGGACCAGAAAAAGCAGTCACCATGGGTCCATCTGAGTTAAGAAGAGGCAGTTTAGGTGTGCCTAGTTCCAAGTTTACAAACAAAACCTTAGGCTACAAGTGTCATCTTCTCGTAAGAACCAAATAACTTACCTTTGGTTCGACAAATCTCAATCAAGTTGACCACATTCTCGTGTTTTAGAAGCTGAAGGATCTTGATCTCCCGCAAGGCTGTAATGGGGAACTGGGTGAGAAAGAGGGGAAAGTGGTCAAGAGTGAGCGCAGTACAGAGCCCAGCCCTGGGGTCTGTACTGACAGCCAAGTTGGGAGACAGAGCAAGATCATGGGCTCTGAAACCAGCTGTCTCAGAAGCCTTGTCTATAAAATGGATATTAGTAGCATGCACACTTCAAGATGATGGTTTGAGACAACAAACTGAAACAGCAATACTTTGCTATTAGCCACTAAACGCTCGGCGGTTTCAGTCTTCAAATTTCAGCTCTATGGCTGTTTCGTTGGCAACAAACATGATGATTTAAAAATGTCCTTGCTAATGCACATTACGCAAAAGAAGGTTTATGGGAAGTTGTACTAGAGCTAAGATGGGGTGGAGAAGGGACCGCTCCTTTTAAATACATTAAATAATTGAGTATCAGACACCTTTCAAAAAGCATGCATATATAATCTTTCTTTTACATTAAGCGAAATTTAACACTAAAAAAAGGTGTTTAAAGGCTTCCTAACTTCGTGAAATAAAGTGCACACGATGCATGCATCAACTCCCCCTCCTGGCCTCACCCATAACTGCCTAAGAATGAAACATTTAGTTTTAGGGTGGAAGCCACATTCCCTGGAAATTTCTGAACTACTACAAAAAAATTAAATCTCAACCTGAGACTCCCAGAAGCAGCAGGGTGGAAAACCGACCCGGGGTCCCGGGCAGTTAGCCGGCCGGCCCGCACGCCCGATCCGTACTCACCCCCTCCTTCTCGTTTTCCATCAGCACCTTCTTCAGAGCCACCTTCTGGCCGGTCTTGCGGTGCCTGGCCTTGAACACCTCCCTGCAGGCGGAAAGGGAGACCCGAGAACTCATCAGGCCATTTCCGCAGGGCCCGCCCCTCCCCCACTACAGGAGGAGGGGCAGCAGCAAAGAGATTCCCGGGCGGGGCTGGGCTAGGTACCCAGGGCACGCGGCTACCCCGCCACCCGGCAGCCTGTCTCGTTCGGAGCCTCTGCTTCCTTCCCTCAGTCCCTTCTCCTCACTTGGGCGTCCCTTGGAGAGATCCCGCTCCCCTCACGGGCGCCTCTCTGCAGCCCCTCCCCGCCCCCACCACGGGCCTCAGGCTCCTCCCCACCAGCCGGCTCCGTCAGGCCGGGGCGGGGTGCGGCGCGGCCTAGAGACCAGCAGGCAAGCCCGGGGACAGACGACTTCTCTACCAACTCGGGGGGGGCCCGGGCATCCCGACGTCGGCCCTAGGGGTGCAGGCCCAGGGCTCCCGGCCCCGAGGGGCCCAGCCTTACCCGAAGGTGCCTTGGCCGATCTTGGCGAGCTTCTCGTATTTGGAAACTTCATCACAAAAAGGGCACTCCACCGAGTCGTACTGCTTTGCCATGGCCGCCTCCAACGCGCCGCCGCCGCCCCCAGTCGCTGCTGCCGCCGCTCCTGCTCCGGGTCCCGCCGCCGCCGCACTCCAGGCCCCTCCGCGGCCGCGCCACTTCCGCCTCCACGGCCACTTCCGGCCTCGCGGCGCCGACCCCGCCTCTTCCGCCCGCCGCCCACCGCCAGGCCCCCTGGGACTTGTAGTTCCCGAGAGGCCAGGGGGAGCCGGAGCTGCAGAGGCGCCTCCGCCGCCGCCGCCGCTGCCCCCGCCTCCGCCGCCGCCACTACTAGCGGCGGCCCCGATCGGGGGCGCGGGGAGCCGGGGCGCCGGAGCTGGGGCTCGGGGTGGCGCGTCCCGCTGCATGGGCCCGGGCCGCCGCTGCTGCCGAAGCTGCTGCCGCTCTGGCGCCCGATCCGGGGCCAGCCGCAGTGCCCTGCTCCTCCTCCTCCGACGGCGCCGCCTCCGCCGGGCTGCGCGGGGCGGCGGGCGGGGGGTCAGCCCCCGAGCCGCGGCCTGGGAGCTCCCTGGCCGGACCCGGGCCCGGGGCGGCCGGGCGAGGGGGCGAGACGGGAAGAGCCGACTAGGAGACGGCCCGAGAGCCCAGGAGGGGGCGCGTTATAAAGGGGGAGGTGCCCGGCCTCGCCCTCCCCTCCTCCTCCGCCCGCCCCCGCCCTCCTCCCTCCCACCCTCCGCGGCCGCACCTGCCGCCGCCGCCACCGCCCGCCCGCTCGCTGTCCGCCGGCCGCCCTCGGCGCGTCACCGCCCGCGGCCCCTCCTCCGCCTTCGGAGGTGGGGCCCCGCGCTCGGCACCTGGCTGCGGGCGCCCTGCCGCGTGCCTCAGTTTACCCCCACATGTCGGCTGCAGCGGAAAGCCCCTTCCTCCCCGGCTCGGAGTGCCCCCACAGAGGCGAAGGCGGGAGGCGCGGAGGGAGCGTCCTCCGGCCCTGGGAGGAGAGAACGGCCCCCGCCTCCGCCTCCCCCGGTCCCCGCCACCCTCCGTTGACATGGCAACCGACGGCCGCCAGGGGGCGCGGCGGCACTAGCGGCGACGAGCAAGCAACGCCCGGGCCTTCTATCGCTGGGGTCTGGCTCTCCGGGAGGCAGGGATGGGACCCGCAGGACTCCCACCTCCGCTGAGTCGTGCCAGAGCTGGTCGGGCCCCGAGTCAGTAATCGCAAAAAACAGCTACCATTTTCTCAGCACTCTTGTGTACTCAGGAAGTGCTGGGCGTTCCCGCCGAATCCTGAATCAACAGCCCCATAGTCAGGATCACTAACCCATTTTGCAGAAGAAGACGTTGAGGCTCAGAGGTGAGGTCATTTGCCCAAGGTCACACGGCGACAAAGTTGGGACCCGAACCTGGGTGTCTGAGTGAGGGGATTCTCTTGACTCACGCTATTCGCTGTTGGGCCAGGAGGATAGCAGTGGGGAGGCCTGCTGTCCTTATGCAGGCGCGAGCTCACCGTTCACCCCCCCCATCTCCCTCCCCCATCGCGCCCATCCCTTCCCTCGCATCTTCCTGGCTCCAGCGGCCCCCAGATTCCCCCTCCAGCTCTGCCCAAGGACAGCCTCCAGCAAAGCCGTCTTTTCTGCCTCCTCTGCCCCGCTTCAATCTGCCCCCTCCTCTCCAGCCCTCTGCGGGTGGATCCTGAGACCTAGCCCCCCAGTCTGGCCTCTCTGTCCCCGAAGAACCTGAATGTGACATTGGAGGCTCTTTCCAGTTCACACCCCACCCCTCAAGCTGTGGCCATGCAAATCTCTCTACTGTCTCCCCAAGCCTTTCTGCGTTCAGGGCGGTGCTCCCCTGATCCTACACTCCCCCAGACTCTCGTTACCCTCTCTTCCTGCAAGAAGCCATTGGAGTGGGCGCGGTGGCTCACGCCTGTAATCCCAGCACTTTGGGAGACCAAGGCAGGCGGATCACAAGGTCAGGAGTTGGAGCCAGCCTGGCCAATATGTTGAAACCCCGTCTCTACTAAAAAGACAAAAATTAGCCAGGCGTGGTATTGGGCGCCTGTAGTCCCAGCTACTTGGGAGGCTGAGGCAGGAGAATTGCTTGAACCCAGGAGGTGGAGGTTGCAGTGAGCCGAGGTCTTGCCACTGCACTCCAGCCTGGTGACAGAGAGAGATTCCGTCTCAAAAAAAAGCCCTCGGGGTGGCTCCCAGCTCTCACCCCACACTGCTTAGCCTCAAAGCCTCCTAGGAGGAGGCAGGAATGGCTTTGGTGACCTTGATGTCACAAGAGGTCTTGTTCTGGGGAAGGGCACTACCAGGGAGGGGCTGGAAGGTCAGGCTGAGGAGGAAGGAGCCCTCTCCTGAGAGTAACGTGAAGCAAGAGAGGGGTTTAGGCAGTTAGTGACGTAGGGTCGGCTTCATGGCTTACACTATTAGAAGCAGGAGGCTGTTCCCTAAATTGGAGGTGGGGAGGATAAGGAGTGAGACCATAAAAATTTTAGTAATGACAACTTATTGACGGAAAATAAATGGTCCAAGCCCTACACTTGGCACTTTATGGGAATTATCTCGGTTGCCACTCAACCACATGGGTACTGTTGTCACCTCCATTGTACACATCAGGATCCCGAGGTGACATCACTTGGCCTGGGTCAAACAGCTGGTCAGTGACCATACTGGTATTTGAACCAGGTCAGTCTGGCACAAACCCCAGCACTTCCCCATCTCGGGGCCCTGCCCATCTGGCCTAGGGGTGGAGCCACGGCATTGCTGGGGTCTGAGCAGTAGTGCGGTGGGCGGGGATCTGCGGTGGGCTTGTGTGGCCTCCATTATCCGACTACATCTCAAGCCAGGGCCTGCCGTTTCCCATGAGCCCTCCCTAAGTCACATCCTGTGGGCAAAGGCCCTAGCAGAAGTTCCGGTGGAGTTGTCACCTACACCCCGCCATCCCTCGTCTGAACCCCAGCATCCGCCCGCCACTTCCCCTTGGGGCCTCAGGGCCTCAGTCCCCACTGTGGGATGCAGGCAGGCAAGAGAGGCAGGAAAGGCCGGAAGCCTGTCAGAAAGCTACCCAGGCTGCCCAGGTCCGGGGCCCCAGATCACCAAGCTGGCAAAACCCAGGCAGAAATAAGAAGAAATGAGTGATTTCTCATTGACTGGAAACGTTTCCTGCTTCCCAGGGGTCGGCTAAGCTGGCAAGGCTGGGCATGTGGCCAGTCCTTGGTAGATGTCTGCCCCAAGAGAGCCGCTGGTCCTGCTGCCATTTAACAGAGAAGGTGAGGGCAGCACAGGAAAGGGAGGCGCTGGACAGCTGTCTGACCCCAGCCTGGACCCCCTGTTTTCCTCTGAGCAGAGACAGACGGGAAGCATAGGAGGGAAGGAGAAGATGGGTTCATGGAATGGGCTGCTCTTGGCTTTTGGTGCATCTGAAGAGACAGTGGGTCAACTGGATAGCAGGGGTACAGGACGGAGAACAGCCTGTGATACCCACAACCCTCTAAAATCACAAAAGTTGCCTGTTTGCAGTGGCTCATACCTGTAATCCCCACTTTTGGAGGAGGAGGCAGGTGAATCACCTGAGGTCAGGAGTTCGAGACCAGTCTGGCCAACATGGCGAAACCCCGTCTCTACTAAAAGTAGGAAAATTAGCTGGGTGTGATGGCGTGCATCTGTAATCCCAGCTACTTGGGAGGCTGAGTCAGGAGAATCACTGGAACCTGGGAGGTGGAGGTTGCAGTGAGCCAGGATTGTGCCACTGCACTCCAGTCTGGGCAAGAATGAGACTCCATCTCAATAATAATAATAATAGTAATAATAATAATAATAATAATAATTGGCCGGGTGCGGTGACTCATGCCTGTAATCCCTGCACTTTGGGAGGCTGAGGCAGGTGGATCACCTGAGGTCAGGAGTTCGAGACCAACCTGGCCAACATGATGAAACCCCGTCTCTAATAAAAATACAGAAAATTAACCAGACGTGGTGGCGCCTGTAATCCCAGCTACTCAGGAGGCCTGAGGCAGAAGACTCACTTGAGTCCGGGAGTGATTGCAGAGTCTGAGCAGGTTGCGGTGAGCTGAGATCTGGAGACTGCACCCAGCCTGGGCAACAAGAGCGAAACTCTGTCTCCAATCAATCAATTAATCACAGAAGTTCTGCCCACACTAGCCAGGAACTGACTCAGTGCCTGGCCTGGGGTTGACTTGCATTGTCTCCCTGAAACTCTCCAGCAGCCCTATTAGGAGGTTGTTATTATTAGACCCAAGTTACGAAAGGGGAAATTGAGGCCCAGATTGGTGTGGCCTGCCCCAGGCTACACAGCCAGGAAGCTATGAAGCTGGGATTTAAAGCCAGGTTTCTTTACTCTCAAAGCCCAGGGTCATTTGCCATCATCCCACACTGTCCCCAATGTCAGGTCAACTGAGGGAGAAGCATCTGTTGAGCACCCATGATCCAGTCCTCATATGGAAGGGGGCTAGTGTGGATGGGTAAGGCCCCGGCCTCTCTCAGAAGGCTTCAGGTCTGTTCGGAACATGCAAATAAAGACACAAGGGGATTAAATCAAAATGATACTCTTGGTATAAATATTTTATTTTGCTGCCATGAGATCATGTAAGGGATGTTATATTTATCCTATTTTACTGATGGGGAAAAAAAAAAGAGGCTCAGAGAGGTGACATGACTTGCCCAAGGTCATGGAGGTGGGGATTGAACCCAGGATTGCGTGGGCCTGATGCCTTTGACGATGAAGTTTAAGGTCTCCAACTCTGCCCTGTCTGTGAGCCTGTCTTCTCCCTCCTCTCCATAGGCCCCCCAACACTATCCCTGCTTGAGTCACAGACTGAGGAAGAGGGGCAAGGATAGGGGACAGAAGTGAGAGCAGGGGGCTGGGCGTGGTGGCTTACGCCTGTAATCCCAGCACTTTGGGAGGCTGAGGCTGGAGGATCACCTGAGGTCAGGAGTTCGAGACCAGCCTGAGCAACATAGTGAAACCCCGTCTCTACTAAAAAATAAATAAATAAATTAGCCGGGCGTGGTGGGGCACGCCTGTAATCTCAGCTAGTCAGGAGGCTGAGGCAGGAGAATTGCTTAAACTCAGGAGGCGGAGGTTGCAGTACTAAGATTGCGCCACTGAACTCTACCCTGGGTGACAAGTTTTGTTTTTTTTTTTTAAGTCTCTGTCGTAAGTTTTTTTAAGACTCTGTCTCAAAAAAAAAAAAAAAGAAAAGAAAAAGAAAAAAGTTCAGGGATTCTGGGGCACTGTAGCCTCAAGCCAACCTGTAGGGATCCAAAGGAGGTAAAAGCCTGAGGCGGGGAGGGCAGAGCTGCATTCCCAGTGGTGTGAGGCCAGCCTGAGCGAAGGCCTGGAGGCAGGAAAGCACTCGGGGGTGTTCAGGACAGGGGACCATGGGCTGGGCTGACCTGCCCTCCAGTGCAAGCTGAAGAGCTCCTGCAGGACAGCCACCCACCGGCAGGTCCTCGGTCGCACTCCTAACGGCCACTCCAGGCAGCACAAAGGGGGCTCTGAGCTCAGCGGAGCCACCACACTGAGCCCTATTCATTCTCCTAGGGGTGCCAGAAACTGCCCTGGCGCCCGGGCCAAGAGCAGACAGGCCCCAGCACTGACGAGGCGCCTCTGCCGCAGCAACACAGCATCTCTGTGGCTGAGATTCCCAGGTCTTGTGCCTTGTGCCTGCCTGTCCCTGTCAGGATTCCCTGTCCTGTGCCAATCTGCCCCTTATCTGTGTCCATCTCTCAGCAACCACAGCCAGGGCTCGCGGAGGCCCACGGTGTGCTGGCTTGGACCAGTGTTTGCTTCTCTCACCCTCCCAACAACCCCATGGAGGGGGAGCTGCTGTGGCTCTATTTAACAGATGAGGAAACTGTGGCCCAGAGAGGCAAAGTGTCTTGTGCGAGATCACACAGCAAGTCGGGAGCAGGCCTGGCCAGGAAGCAGCATAGCCTTGGCAGCTAACCCAAGTCACACTGCAACCCCATCCTGGGACAGAAGCCGCGGACCTACTTTCTATCTTCCGCTAGGGGACACCAGCCAGGGAGTTAGGACACTTGGTTGTCAGTCTGTCCAGTGTCTGCCTCTGCTTTTTTTTTTTTTTTTTTGAGATAGGGTCTCCCTCTTTCGCCAGGCTGGAGTGCAGTGGCGCGATCTCGGCTCACTGCAACCTCCGCCTCCCTGGTTCAATTCTCCTGCCTCAGCCTCCCGAGTAGCTGGGAATGCAGTTGCACACCACCACACCCGGCTAATTTTTTAAAATGTATTTTTAGTAGAGACGAGGTTTCACTATGTTGGCCAGGCTGTGCTCAAACCCCTGACCTCAGGTGATCCACCCACCTCGGCCTCCCAAGATGCTGGGATTACAGGTGTGAGCCACCGCGCCCACCCTGGGGCTGTTACTGTTAATGGAGGATGCAGGAAGTGCCCTATCAGATGGCAGTGGACTCCTCTCACAGCCTGGGTTGCCAGCCTGGGGTCCAGGATAAAATGTTGAACCCCCACTGGTTGGCAGGTTGGCTGCATACCTCCCACTTCTCCCCATTCTAGAAATCAGGTGACTGAGGCTTGGGAGGTGGAAGTAGCTGGGATTGGCAGCCCTGGGTCTTGGGCCCCGCCCCCAGCCCCAGCAGCTGCTGACACCCTTTGCAGATGTCCAGGATGACCCGTGGAGGGGAGGTTGCATTTCCTCATCTCGGTCTGCCCACCTGAGCATGCACACATGGCAAGTTTGTAGGGTGGAAAGGCACCAGCCCGTGGGTTAAGGGGCCTAGAAGGGAGAGTTGTGGCCCAGTCTGGGCCAGCAACCAGCTGTGTTACCTGGGGAAATCCCTCTGCCTCTCTGTGCCTCGGTTTCATCATCTCTGTCCAGTGAGTACAGTGGAACACATGATGACATCTCCCTGATAGCTTGGAAAGTGGTGACTGTGCTTTGGTAGGCACCGATTCTGTGCCAGGCCCTACACCCATGGCTGAACCCGATGAAGTGGGCACTGCGAGTACCCCCGGTTCACAGGGAGGACGTCACACCGTGGCGAAATGGCCAGCCAAGAGTGGAACTTGGGTCTGGGGGGCCCAGAGTCCACAGGCCTGACCACAGCACTCTCCCATCTGCAGCTGCCAGTCCCTCTCCTGGGTACAGAGGCTGAGAAGCAACTGCCCTGCACACAGGCCTGACTCCCCTCACCTTCCCAGCCTGATGGCCAGGCCCCCTGACAGCTGTTGGCAGGTCCCCAGCGGCCCCCAGCCCACTGGGCTCCGTTCCCAGAGCCTGCGGCCTGCTCCTTAGACCTTCCAGGTCCCAGGGGCTTGCGGTCTGGCCCCTGCCCCTGCTGCTGAGGCCAAGGAGGCGGCCCACAGGGGCTGGGGCTAGGAGAGGCCCCAGCCCCCGCCCCCTGCGGAGAGGGTGGGGAGGGTGGAGCTGTGGGAGTTTCACTGGTTTAAAAATACACAGAGGAAGCGAGTAAGAGAAAGGGGAAGGGGAGGTGGGAGAGGCACCTCAACTTTGATGTCCCGAGCCTTGAGTGGCCACTCGCAAGCTGGCCAAGGGCTTCACACAATTTGCCAAGATGACAGAGGGGACCAAGAAGACCAGCAAAAAGTTCAGTGAGTGTGGGGTGCCGTCTGCACTGTCCTCCATCCCTGGCTCTCCTCTGGGCCTCTCTCTGCATCTGTTTCTTCATCACTGTCTCATTTCTGTTTTTCTCTCTCTCACTCTTTTTCTTTTTTTGTTTTTTGCTTTTGGACACCAGCGTCTCTGTCACCCAGGCTGGAGTGCAGTGGCACAATCTCGGCTCACTGCAGCCTTGACTTCCCAGGCTCAAGTGATCCTCCCACCTCAGCCTCCTAAGAAGCTAGGCAAGTAGCTAGGACTCCAGGCACAATTAAATCTTTTTTTTTTTTTTTGGCCAGGTGCAGTGGTGGCTCACGCCTGTAATCCCAGCACTTTGGGAGGCCGAGGCTGGTGGATCACCTGAGGTCAGGAGTTCGAGACCAGCCTGGCCAACATGGTGAAACCCCTCTCTACTAAAAATACAAAAAATTAGCTGGGTATGGTGACACGCACCTGTAATCCCAGCTACTCAGGAGGCTGAGGCAGAAGAAACGCTTGAACCCAGGAGGTGGAGATAGCAGTGAGCAGAGATTGCACCACTGCACTCCAGTCTGGGCGACACAGCGAGACTGCATCTCAAAAAATAAGTAAATAAATAAAGTAAAATAAAACTGATTTTTTTTTTTTTTTAGAGACCGGGGTGGGTTCTCACTTTGTTGCCCAGGCTGGTCTCGATCTCCTGGGCTCAAGCGATCCTCCTGTTTCCCGCCTTGTTTCTGTTTCTCTTTGTCCATCACTGTCTCTCTGCAGACGTCTCTGCTTCTGGGCATCCCGTGGCTTTCTGGCTGTCACTCTGGCCCAGCATCTCTGTCTCTCTGACTGACTTCGTTCTCCATCTCTGTGCTTCTCTTTATCCGTCTCTTTGTCTCCCCACCGCGTCTCTCGATCTCTGCAGTCCACTGTGTCTCTGGCTGTCTCTGACCTTGCGGCCGGGCAGGGGAGGCATTCGCACACTCCATCCCCTGCCCGCAGGCCTGGGCTCACATGGGATCTCAGGTGGGGAGTTACTGGGGCAGCAGAGGGATGGGGGCGTCATGGGATCCCAGGTGGGGAGTTACTGGGGCAGCAGGGGGATGGGGGCATCATGGGATCCCAGGTGGGGAGTTACTGGGGCGGCAGGGGGATGGGGGCATCATGGGATCCCAGGTGGGGAGTTACTGGGGCGGCAGGGGGATGGGGGTGTCATGGGATGCTGTCTCACATTCCCAACAGCAGTGAGGCTGGGACCCAATACTTGGGTGGGGAAAGAGCACAGAGGTACTAGAATCAGGCTCCACGGTGAGGGGCCACACTTGCCCACTGCTCTGTTTTCCTGTGTCTGTCCTTCCCAGTCCCAGCAAACTTTTTCTGTCTCCTGATTCCTTTGATCTGACCCCACCAGGGTGGGGGACATGTGGCGTAAAGGGCAGTGATTGTGACTGCATTTCCCAGATGGCAATGCTGAGGCGATTATGACTGCATTTCCCAGATGGCAACGCTGAGGCCCAGAGACTTGCTTGAGGTCACACGGGCTATTGAGCAGGGCCCAATCCCAGACCCTGGACTCTGGGCCTCAGTTTCCCTCCCAGCCCCCACTATCTCCTCCAAACGTCTGGTGCCCAGGAGGCAAAACCAGTGGTGCTGAGAAAGAAGGCAGTTGGGGGTCCTCCCTCTGGCCACTGATTCAATTTCCACCCCCACCGCATGCAGCAGAGCGGCCACATTTGCCGACACGTTTCTCAGGAGACCAAGGCAATAACCAAATAGGGCCGGCAGGGCTGGGAAGCAAACCCCTGAGCACTGACCCAGCTGTGCTGAGCCCTGGGCCTGTGTCCAGGCTCAGCCATGGCCTTGCTGTGTGACCCTGGGGGAGTCCCTCCCCATTGCTGGGCCTCAGTTTCCTCCCTTGTCAACTGGGGGCATCCTACCTGCATCCCAGCACGGGTGCGAACAGCTGAGGAGGTGGAGGATGCTGAGGATGTGGAAAATGCCGGAGTTTTACCTTTTTGCTCATCTGGAGGCTGTGGGGAAGTCAGTTGGTGGTGGCTGTGAGAAGGGACAGTCCCACAGCTGGGGGCAGGGGGAGGGAACTCACATACACCCCCGCAGAAACCAGGAGATGGTATCACCCCAGCCGTTCCTCTTGAGTCTGGAGCTGGGCTCAGCTGACAGGAAGGAGAGAACCACAGACAGTGCGACCCTCAGGCTCACAACAACCCCCTCCTCATTCCACCCCCACCCCAGGTGCACAGAGGCTGGCTGGAACACTCCCCAACCCCCTACATGAGCACAAAACACGCACACCTGCTCCACCTACCAGCGGTGTGAGCTCGGTTCATTACACTGCTCTGAATCTCAATTTTCGCATCTGGAAAATGGGGATTAAACTGTGTCACTGAGTTATGCTGAGAATTCATGCAGCACATTTGGCAGATGCAGAATCATTTTCAGAAATTTTTAAATTATTATTATTAGTGGCCAGGCACGGTGTCTTACCCCTGTAATCCCAACACTTTGGGAGGCCGAGGTGGGTGGATCCCTTGAGGTCAGGAGTTTGAGACTAGCCTGGCCAACATGGTGAAACCCTGTCTGTACTAAAAATACAAAAACCAGTTGGGCGTGGTGGCACGTGCCTGTAATCCCAGTTACTCGGGAGGCTGAGGCAGGAGAATCGCTTGAACCCAGAAGGTGGAGGTTGCAGTGAGCCAGGATTGCACCACTGCACTCCAGCCTGGGTGACAGAGCGAGACTCTGTCTCAAAAGAAAAAATAATAAATAAATAATTATTGCTATTAGAGACAGGCTCTTGCCCTGTTGCTCAGGCTGGAGTGCAGTGGTGCCATCATAATGCACGGCAACCTTGAACTCCTGGTTTCAAGCGATCCTCCTGCCTCAGCCTCCCAAGTAGCTGGGATTACAGGCACACACCAGCATGTCCAGCTAACTTTTTATTTTTATTTATTTATTTATTCATTTTGAGATGGAGTCTCACTCTTGTCACCCAGGCTGGAGTGCAATGGTGCAATCTCGGCTCACTGCAACCTCCACCTCCAGGATTCAGGCTATTATCCTGCCTCAGCCTCCCAAGTAGCTGGGATTACAGGCATGCACCATGCCCAGCTAATTTTTGTATTTTTAGTAGAGACAGGGTTTCACCATGTTGACCAGGCTGGTCTCGAACTCCTGACCTCAGATGATCTGCCCGCCTCAGCCTCCCAAAGTGCTGGGATCATAGGCATAAGCCATGGCACCAGGCCTTACTTTTTTATTTTTTGTAGAGACAGGGTCTTGCTATGTTGCCGAGGCTGGTTTTGAACTCTTGACCTCAAGCAGTCCTCCTGGCTCATCTTTCCAAAGTGTTGGGATGACAGGTGTGAGCCACCACACCCAGCTGAGAAACATTTATTATCGTCATCATCATCATCTTTGCTAATTCTGATTGAGGCTATTCTGTGTGCCAAGCACCATGTTAAGCATGTTATTTATAATCTTTTCTTTCTTTTTCTTTTTAATTTTGAGACGGAGTTTTGCTCTTATTGCCCAGGCTGGAATGCAATGGTGCAGTCTCGGCTCACTGCAACCTCCGCCTCCCGGGTTCAAGCAATTCTCCTGCCTCAGCCTCCCAAGAAGCTGGGATTACAGGTGCGCCACCACACCCGGCTAATGTTTGTATTGTTAGTAGAGAAGGGGTTTCATCATGTTGTCCAGGCTGGTCTCGAACTCCTGACCTCAGGTGATCCACCCGCCTCGGCCTCCCAAAGTGCTGGGATTACAGGCATGAGCCACCACGCCTGGCCTAAGCTTTTCTGTAATTCTCACATTGCCCTAGTGGGTAGGTGCTAGAATCTCTATTTTACTGATGTGGAGAATGAGGCTAAGCTTAGAGAGGTCAAGTGACTTGCCTAAGGTCACACAGCTAGGATGTGAAAGAGCAGGAATTCAAGTCCAGGGCCCCGTGACTCCAAAGCTCCCATCTTATACCATTTCTAGGGGCGTGTTAACAATTTTAGAAGGGGTGTCTGGGAAACCGCCAGCCCTCTTCAGCCCCTCACCGAGTGAAACTGCAGGAATTGTTCATTATTATCACTGATGTTGACATTGTCATTAACTTCTTTTCCTTCCCTTCCCCTCTGCTAGAGTTCTTCAAGTTCAAGGGCTTTGGGAGTCTCTCCAACCTCCCTCGGTCCTTCACTCTGAGACGATCCTCAGCTTCCATCAGTAGGCAGTCCCATTTGGAGCCTGACACCTTTGAAGCCACGCAGGATGACATGGTGACGGTGCCCAAGAGTCCCCCAGCCTATGCCCGCTCCAGTGACATGTACAGCCACATGGGCACCATGCCTCGCCCCAGCATCAAGAAAGCACAGAACTCACAGGCTGCCCGGCAGGCCCAGGAGGCGGGTCCCAAGCCCAACTTGGTACCCGGAGGTGTACCCGACCCCCCAGGCTTGGAGGCAGCCAAAGAGGTGATGGTGAAGGCCACTGGCCCTCTAGAGGACACCCCAGCAATGGAACCCAACCCTTCAGCAGTGGAGGTAGACCCCATCAGAAAGCCTGAGGTCCCCACAGGAGACGTAGAAGAGGAGAGACCTCCCAGGGACGTGCACTCAGAAAGGTAGGTGCCCAGGGGCTGGTTGGGACCTGCAGGGATGGCTTCTGTTTTTTTCTTTTTCTTTTTTTTTTTTTTGACACAGAGTGTCGCTCTGTCTCTCAGGCTGGAGTGCAGTGGTGTGATCCCGGTTCACTGCAACCTCTGCCTCCCGGGTCCAAGCAATTCTCCTACCTCAGCCCCCCGAGTAGCTGGGACTACAGGCGCCCAACACCACTCTTGGCTAATTTTTGTATTTTTAGTAGAGACAGGATTTCACCATGTTGTCCAGGCTGGCCTCGAACTCCTGACCTCAGGTGATCTGCCTGCCTCGGCCTCCCAAAGTGCTGGCCGGGGCTTCTTTTTAACCCAGTACACATCTGGGTTAAAAAGAAAAAAACCTACACATTGACCAGGTGCTTACTGTAGACCAGGTACTGTGCTAAACCCTTTACTTGTAATTAGCAAAAGAAAACTGGCAAGGAGAGACTGTTACTGTTTCCACAGGACAGATGAGGAAGCTGAGATTCACAGAGTGACATCATCTGCCTCAGTCAGGGTGCATATTTGCTAATGACAAAGCCAGCATGTGAACCGAGACCCCCTGCCTTCAAAGTCCCAGTTAGCCTCTAGCATGGGCCCTCAGCTGCTGGATGGGTCCTAAACCCAGTCACTAGACCCCTGCCCTGAACCCCCTCACGCAAATCATCACCATTAGTTCTGCTGGACAATACCTCCACCTAGTCTAGAAAACCATTTGTCAGCTTAATTTGGTTATAGGGTGAGTTGAGTTCATGTAAAAATACAAATTGTGATGATAGGACAATAGCTCCCATTTAGTAAGCATTTTTACTGGGTATCAAAACAAGTATCTCACTGAAAACTCCATAGAAGATTCAATCATTAAGGCTGGGTGCAGTGGCTCATGCCTGTAATCCCAGTATTTTGGGAGGCTAGGAGTTTGAAAACAGCCTGGCTAACATGGTAAAACCCCGTCTCTACTAAAAATACAAAAACTAGCAGGGCGTGGTGGTGCGTGCCTGTAGTCCCAGTTACTCAGGAGGTGGAGGCACGAGAATTGCTTGAACTTGGGAGATGGAGGTTGCAGTGAGCTGAGATCACACCACTGTACTCCAGACTGGGCAACAGAGCAAGACTCAGTCTTGAAAAAAAAAAAAAAGATTCAATTATTAGCCCCACTTACAGATTGGGAAACTGAGACTCAGCCAAGGTTACACAGAACTGGGATTTGAGCAGGAATCTGCTTGCTTCCAGAGGCTGCACACTTATGTACCACATTAGACTCACCACCTTCTCAATCCTAGGGCCATGCCTTTCACACCCCGGGAGACCCCTCAATCCCAGCCAAAGGAGTCCCCGGCTTTTCAATCCTTAGAACCTTTGTCTCAACCACACCAGTCACATGTGCCTGTTGAAATAAAGAAAAAAAGTCAGCTGGCCGGGCGCAGTGGCTCACGCCTGTAATCCCAACACTTTGGGTGGCCGAGGTAGGCAGATCACAAGGTCAGGAGTTCGAGACCAGCCTGGCCAAAGAGACCAGCCTGACCAACATGGTGAAGCCCTATCTCTACTAAAAATACAAAAATTAGCCGGGTGTGGCGGCGGGCACCTGTAATCCCAGCTACTGAGGAGGCTGAGGCATCAGAATTGCTTGAACCTGGGAGGCAGAGGTTGCAGTGACCCAAGATCGCGCCATTGCACACTCCAGCCTGGGCGACAAAGCGAGACTCCAACTCAAAAAAAAAAAAAAAAAAAAGCCACCTGAGCAAAAGTAATTGTAGGGCCAGAGTTCTGGGACCTTTCTTTCTTTTGTTTTTTTCTGGTAACTTTCTTGAGCAGCTTTTTCCTGAGACACCAAGCACAGCCTCTGTCTCTGAGCTGTAATTGCCTAGACCCCTGATCAGTGAGGAGGACCATGTAAAGGGGTAGAGTGAATCCAGTCCAGATTCTGCCTCTTACTGGCTGCATGACTGGACAAATCTCTTCCTCTCTTGGAGCCTCAGTTTCTCATCTGATAAATGGACGTAACAATAGCATCTACCTGGTCGGGTTGTGGTGAGGATTCAAGAATAACATACCTGTAAAATCTCAACACAGTGGCTGGCATGCTGCACTCAGTAAATGGGAATGCTGTATTTACGATTAGTAGAACTCATGTTTTTCCACCATCCCCGGCTGCCTTCTGTCATCCCCTCCTACATTCGTCCTCATTCGGGAGTAAAGGACCAAGGATTGTATGTAGCTGAGAGGGCCTGATGATGGGTCCTGGGGCGTTCTAAGACACCCCAAGGTATGAGACTGCACCAGGAGCCTGGCCCCTCCCACCCAGGGAAGCCGAGTTTCGCGGGAGCGGGGCGGGGCGGGGTGGGGCGAGGCGAGGCGGAGTTGAGGGCGTGTCTAGGGGCGTGGCCTACCCCAGGCTGCGCGGAGAGCTGCTGGGGAAGCGAGCGTTGGAGCCGGGCGGGCGAGGCGGAGGGGTGTGCTAGGGGGCGAGGCCTTCCCGACACTGACTGATGGGGAGGGGGCGGAGCGAGACCGCAGGCGGAGGGCCGTGTTCGAGGCGGAGAGCGTCCTTCCCTGCCGGTGGAGTAGGCGGTGGAGTGGGGCCGGGCAAGGAGCGCAGGGGCGTGTCTGGGGGCGTGGTCTACAGGTCAGTCTCCGCCCCCGGAGTCCGGCACTGAGCTCTGCAGCTCAGTGGCCCGAGAAAGGCAGGAGCCGCTGGGTTTAGGAGGTCCCCGGGTTGCCGGCGGCGACAGCGGGGGAAGCATGACTGCTGTGGGCCGAAGGTGCCCCGCGCTGGGGTCCCGAGGGTGAGTGACCGAGCTGGGCCTGGGGAGGGCCAGCGGGGAGCAGGAGAGGTCGAAGGAGGAAATCTGCACCCCTGGGGCAGCTGACAAATTTGGGGGCGGGGTTAGCATCAGGGACTTTTCTAAGCCAGTTTTCTTTGGGTGTAACTTTGTCACCGCAGGTCAGGCATCTGCTTATCTACTCTACACAACAGCCCCAGGAGGGAGGTACTACTATCACCCCCATTTTATAGATGAGGAAAGAAAGATTTGCCTGCCGAGTTTGACACAGCCAGTGAGCGTCAGAACCAGGGTTTAAACCCAGCTTCCTGGCCCATGCTCTTAACACCTGGGCAGCACATTCCTCTCCAGCAGGGCCAGGGCCGCTGAGAAAGGTGGTCTTGAGAAACCTTGAGAATGGCAAGTCCAGGACCCAGCCCAAGCCTTCTTCCCCTGTGGACAGAGCCCTGGTGGGCCTAACAGTGCCTCTGGCATCATGCTTAGCCAGGAGCTGACCAAGGAAATGAAGAGACTCTTCTCCTCCAGCATCTGGAGTGTCCCGAGGAGGATGGGGTTAGCAGACCAGATTGAGCCCCCTTCTGGTGCCCCGGGACCCAGTGCTCCATCTGCCCTCCAGGGACTGTTGAACATTCCTTCCAGAAGTCCCTGAACCTCAACCCTGTGCCCTGGAGTCAGGGGAGCAGCCTGGCCCATGAGATCTCAGACTAGCCCTGCCCCATTCTGGTCCTTAGTCTCCCCAGTAGCCCAGATGGGCCTGAGATGGTCTCTGAGGATCCATTCAGTTTGGGGAGGACATTTGGGAAATGCCAGTGAGCAAGTTCGGGGGCCCTGTTCCTGAGTGTCTAGAGGAGGCCATCCCAGGCCTAAGCTGGGGAGACAGTGTCCCTCCCCCACCCCGGGGAGACAGGGTGCACCTGGAGCAGGAGGAAGGAAGGGGAAGAGGTGAGGCTGCAGGGGTTTCCTGGTGTCCTGTTCCCTGCTGAGATCATGGGGATGAAGAGGAAGGAGGGAGGAGGGACCTTTAGCTCCCCTGGCTAAAAAAGGAAAGCACCAGCCTAGCCTGCCCCCTACCTCCCAAGGACCTTCAGTCTTCTGCAGGTCCCAGAGAGGCACCCTCCCTCCTCAATCCATCCTACAGAGGAGGAAGCAGAGGCCTAGAGAGGGACAGGAAGCCCCAGCACTCCCTACCCCACGCCTACCCACACTGGAATTGTCAGGCGAGGGTCCCACCAGGCATGATCACCAGCTGACAACCAGCAAGCACCTGACAGGTGTTGTCTAGCTCAACACTAGACTGGGGTGTGAGGTGGGAGCCTCTACTTGCTCCATTTTGCCAGTGAGGAGACTGAGACTCAGAGAGGGGAAGGGACTCTCCTGGGGTCACAGAGAAATTGGGTGTCAGGCCTCACTATTTGATCCCAGGCCTGACTAAGCCCAAGCTCTAAACCACTAGGTCACATTTCCCCTCCTGCAAGTAAAAATCTCAAAGTTTTTCTTTTGTTTTTTCTTTATTTCTTTTTTTTTTTTTTTTCGAGATGGAGTTTTGCTCTTGTTGCCCAGGCTGGGGTGCAATGGTGTGATCTCGGCTGACCGCAACCTCCGCCTCCTGGGTTCAAGCAATTCTTCTGCCTCAGCCTCCCGAGTAGCTGGGATTACAGGCATGCGCCACCACGCCTGGCTAATTTTGTGTGTGTGTGTGTGTGTTTTTAGTAGAGCCGTAGTTTCTCCATGTTGGTCAGGCTGATCTCGAACTCCTGACCTCAGGTGATCTGCCCGCCTCAGCCTCCCAAAATGCTGGGATTACAGGCGTGAGCCACCGCACCCAGCCAGCTTTTTCTACCATTATTTCAAATGACTTCCCATGACTCTCTGGAAAGGAGCCCATTTTACAGATGAAGATGTTGAGATTTTTGTGAGGCTAATAACTTGCTTGAGTTGATGCAGTTAGTTGAATGGGAATGATATTCATTGTCATTTTGACTGAGGTACAGCTATGCCTCAGACACTGTTCTAGGTCCTGGGAGATAGCAGTGAGCATGGCAGACAAAACCCTGCCCTCATGGAGTCCCCATTCCAGGGCAGGGGAGACAGAAGATAGACAAGATAAATGAGTTCTGTGGTCGACTAGAAGAGAAAAGCCTTAACGAGAAAATTTAAAATCAGCTCTAGAATTGGTTGGCGAAAGTGGGGAGTGGCTGGTGGTGCCAATTTAAGAAGGTTAGCCAGAAAGAAAGGCTCAGTGAGGAAGTGGTGTTTGAACAAAGGAGACGAAGGGACAAACCCTCTTGCTGGCTGGGAAGGAGCATACCAGGCCAAGGGAACAGCGTGTATAAAGGCCCTGACGTGGCATGTTTGGGGAACAGTAGAGACCACTGTGGCCGGGGCAGAGCAAGGTGGGGAGGACAGGGAGGGGTGGGCTGGGAGGCTGGGATGGAAATGGGAGCAGATAACGTAGGGCCTGGAAGAGCCCAGCAAGGACCTGGCTTTGGCTCTGAGCAAAACGGGAGCCATTGCTGGCCTTGAGCAGCAGCAGGCCCCACTGTGACTTATGTTGTTAAAAGACCTCTTTTTAGGAGAATCTTTTCTGTGTTTGATGTTTTTTTGAGACAGGGGCTTTATTCTGTTGCCCAGGCTGGAGTGCAGCGGCTCGATCATAGCTTGCTGCAGCCTCGAACTTTTAGGAGGATCTGATTGCTGTTCTGTGTCGCTTTTTAGTGCCTCATCTGAGTGTCCTTTGCCTCCCACCTAGAGATCCAAGCCCCTACCCTCACTCCCAAGGGGCTGTTTGGAAGGAAATGGAGACTTGAGAACCAGGGGTACCCTGTGTTGCCCCTTCCCCAGCCCTGGTGCCAGGCACTGAAAACAGGCCAGGATACTCCCCCCACCACTCCATTTCCTTTTGGAATGTTGATTCTGGTCCAAGAATTCCCAACTCTCCCCAGAGTCCCACGACCCTCTCGGCCCTGCAGGGTGACGTCAGCTGCTGGGCATCTGGTAGCGATTACCCACCAGGGGTGGGGGTCGTGGTGGGCCGTGTCTGTGCAGCCTCTTCAGACTCTGGGAGGCTAGTCCTTGTCTTCCGAAGGGGCCCAGCTGCTCCCGGCTCTCATTTCCTGTGGAGACTTTCTCACAGTCCTTGAGACCCCCGGACGCCTTGGGCTGTGGGAACCGGGCTGGCTTGGGAAGGATGGGCTGTTCCCCCGGCCCCTAGCTGGATCCACATCCCCCCAAACCCCCAGGGGACCCAGTTGCAGGCTGCTGGACCTGCGTGGGGTGAGGGCTGGGGAGGATAGGGGTCAGGTACAGCAGTAGCTCAGAGGCCCACTGACTGTGTGACCTTGAGCCAGTCCCTTTTCTTCTCTGAGCCTTAGTTTCCCCATCAGTAAATTGAGAACAGTGACAGCACCTGCTTCATAGAGTCACTGTGAGGACGGGATATGTCAGGTGGAGCATTTATTCTGGGCTTGGCCCAAGCAAGTACCAGTAAACAGGAGCTACTCATGCTGTAGAAGGGGAAACTGAGGCCTGATGAGAGGGACTTGCCCAGAGCCACACCACTTCCTACCTCCCAGCCGAGGGCCCTCTCAGGCTCCACCCCATTTCCTCTTCCTGACATTGGTTCTGGGCTCTGGTTGAAATATTGTTTTTTTGTTTGTCTGTTTCTTTGCCTTCCCTCTCTAGCTTCACCTCCTCTGCACCCAGAAGTGGCTCCCAATGTCTGGGGGAGTCCGCCCATGTAAGGAACAGAGCAGGGAATTAGACATCAGGCCATCTGGTTCTAGTCTGAGCAGCTGCATGCCCTGGGTCAAGTTACAAGCTTCAGTTTTCTCCCCTGTAAAATGGGGCTTCGAGATCCAGGCGTTCCCTCATCCACTAGCACTCAGTAGATGCCTTTTCTTTTCTCTCTTCTTTGGCAGGTTTTGAGACTTGGGTGGCAGCTGTCAGGGCCCAGCATCCTCAGCTCCGCTCTGGGAAGAATGGCCCCTGCTCTGCCTTCTCCTCACAAGGCTGTCGCCCGTCCTGAGCTCCTGCTGGACACTGCAGCCCACTCAGGAAAACTGAGGGCTCCAGACGGTGGAGAGGGAGCAGAATGTGCTGGGCACAATGGTGGCCCATCTTGGGGAGTGGGGCAGGGCCAAAGCCAAGAGCCTTCCCGGCAGGGAATCCCACAGGCCCCATGGCTGGTGTCCTGGCAGAGACGGGGCTTTCCACCCAGCTCTTTTTGCCCAGGGCCTTTAAGGACTGAGAAGCTCAGAGCAGGCAGGTGCCCGTTGCTTCTCTGCGGTGGGTGAGTGAAGATGGGCGTGAAGGAAGGAAAGAAGCTGGGCACAGGGCTCACGCCTGTAACCCCAGCACTTTGGGAGGCCAAGGCAGGTGGATCACCTGATGCCAGGAGTTCAAGACCAGCCTGGCCAACATGGTGAAACCCCATCTCTACTAAAAATACAAAAACTAGCCGGGCGTGGTGGCGCAGACCTGTAGTCCCAGCTACTCAGGAGGCTGAGGCAAGAGAATCACTTGAACCCGGGAGGCAGAGGTTGCAGTGAGCCGAGATCATGACACTGCACTTGAGCCTGGGCAACAGAGCAAGACTCCATCTCAAAACAAACAAACAAACAAACAAACAAAAACAGGAAGGAAAGAAACTTCAGCCCCCCAGGAGGGGCATGGTGGGAGGGTGGCAGATCTTCATGGGTGGAGTCTGGAGCAACAAGAGGAGCCCCACATGGGCCAGGAAACCTTGCACCCCTCCTTCTCATGTGGTCCTCACAGACCCTCTGGGAAGATAGTTATAATGTGCCCACTTTACAGATGACGAAGTTGAGCTTCAGAGAGGGAAGGCAGGGAGCCAGGGATCAGGGGCAGGGGAAAAGCTGAAAGGCAGGTGGCAGAGGTTGGGGAGGTCTCCACTTGAGGACGTATGTCCAGGCCTCAAGGCCCAAGGGAACAGACAGGGAGAGAGAGCAGACAGGCCTATGCAGAGGACCAGGTCACTATCATGAAAGAGGGCCAGGGTGGGGCAGGATGGCAGCCTCTCCCCACCCCTTCTCCTACAGGGCCCCTGGGGGAACGTCACCCTTCCTTCTGGCCCAGGATGAAGGCCCTGAGGGTGAAGCTCAGATTTAAACATGCATTGGGAAAATAAGGATAATGGGCTTTAATTGCTGCTCATTAATCCAATTAATTAAGCTAATGTATGCAATAAGTGGTATCAGTTATCAGAACAAATCAGTTAATACAGGCAGTGAAAGGGGTTGGTTATTTAAATAATTAATGCTGATGATTAATGGGACTGATTTAGCTCAATTATCACTATTATTTATTAATTGATTTCACCACTAATATGGCAGGAGAAGTCTCTTTTAGGTTTGTAAAATGAGGAATAAATAAATTAATTAGTGGAGCTGAGTTTTAAAAATGGATGCTTTGATTCCTGGATTTGATCATTACAATGGGAGGGAGAGTTTTCTAGAAATCCCCAAGCAAACTGAACTCTGAAGGCTGAGTAGGAATGACCCTAGCCAAAAGGGAGCAAAGACATTCTAGGCAGAGGGAACAGCACGTGCAAAGGCCCTGAGGCTGCAGGGGGTGGAGCTCTTTGGAGGAAGTTTGAGGAGGCCAGAGTGCAAGGAAGGGAGAGGAGAGAGAAGAGATTTGACCAGCAGAGGCTGGGTCACAGAGGGCCCAGCCAGGAGGACTAGACTTTGTCCTCAGGGCTGCAGGGGGCTGCTGTGACACTCATTCATTCATTCAAAAAAATATATTTACTAAGTTCCTGATGGTTCCTGATGTTGTCTAGACAGAAACACAAACCCTTGTCCTTGTGGGGCTGACATTCTAGTGAGAGGAGCTAGTCCCTGCATGAGAGGAAATGCGTGCTAAGTCAGATGAGGGGTCAGGGCAGAATTAAGCAGGGAAGGGAATGTGGTAGTGGAGGAAGATCACACTTTCAGAAAGGGTGGCCAGGGAAGACCTTGCTGAGAAGGGGACATTTTAGTGAAGAACTGAAGGAGGGGTTGGGTGAGGTCGCTCACACCTGTAATCCCAGCACTTTGGGAGGCTGAGACGGGAGGATCGCTCCAGCCAGGAGGTCGAGGCTATGGTGGCCATGATCTCACCACTGCATCCCAGCCTAGATGACAGAGTGAGACTCTGTCTCAAAAAAAAAGAACTGAAGGGCCAGGCATGGTGGCTCACGCCTGTAATCCCAGCACTTTTTGGGAGGCTGAGGCAGGCAGATCACCTGAGGTCAGGAGTTCAAGACCAGCCTGGCCAACATGGCGAAACCCCATCTCTGCTAAAAATACAAAAAATTAGCCCGGCGTGGTGGTGGTCACCTGTAATCCCAGCTACTTGGGAGGCTGAGGCAGGAGAATCGCTTGGACACGGGAGGCGGAGGTTGCAGTCAGCCAAGATCGCACCACTGTACTCCAGCCTGGGCGATGGAGCGAGACTCCATCTCAACAGCAACAACAACAACAACAACAACAAAGAGCAGGAGGGAGGGAACCCGGGGGATATCTGCCGGAAAAATATTCCAGGCAGCAGGAATAGAAAGTGCAAAGACCCTGAGGTGGGGTGGGGGAGATGGAGCAGCGCAGGTGAGGGGGAGTGTGGTGGGCCATGGGGTCAGTGTGCAAGGCTGTTTCCAGGACCTTGGCTCTTACTGTGAGTGAAGCTGGGGGGCCACGCAAGTGGGTTGGAGCAGAGGAAAGCTGTGATCTGGCCTTCCTTTGAACAGGACTGCTGTGGCTGCTGTGCGGGGAGAATAGGTCTCAGGGACACAGATGGAGGCAGGGAAGCCAGTGGGAGGTGGTGGTGATAGTCCAGGCAAGTGATGGCAGCGGATTGTAACTGGACATGGTGATTGTGTCTTGGACATGTCAGAGTGTTGTAGCGCCACCCCATGGTGAGGCCATGGGGTGAAAGAGTGGCCCCAGAGCCTCAGCTTCCCTGAGCTGGTCCTCTGCCCTGAGCACCCCTATAGGCTCTGGCCACCCTAGTCAGGCCTGATCTCTTGTGCAGGCACCCTGTCTCCAAGGCTCTGCCCCTGTCCCAGAGCCCGAGGGGAAGTACAGGAAGCAGGAGGAAGCGCTGGGTTGATCCAGTGTCCTGGCCAATCTGTTCCCAGCAGTGGGAGGATTTCCGGGCCTGAATAGCAGGAAATGTTGGGATGGGATGCCTCACCCGGGAAGAGTGGGCGGAGGTGGCTGGGGGAGGGGTCCCTACTCTACCTCACTCCCACTGCTGCTGGACAGAGAGAACCCAAAAGCCTACTGTTGCTGGGCTGTAGCTTGAGGGACTGTGGTTAGTTACCAGCTAGGGCTTTCTAGGAGAGAAGATTAGCGATGAAGAACCCTAGTATGTTAGAACAGGGAGGGCTATCAGACAACGTCTTAAGGAGGAGCTTTTGGCTTTAGGACTGGGGGAACTCACAATTTTATTTTTTATCTCAGCTTTCTTTTGTTTGTAAATACTAGGCTCCTGTATTTGAGGAGGAGGTCCAATATTTGACTCCCCTCCCCATTTTGCAGATGGGAAGGCTGAGGCCTTTCTTAACCAGAGAACCTGGACCCAGCCTAACAAAATTAATGATGACAGCGATCAACAATTAAAATTGGCTCTTTACTATTCATGCATCCCTTTAAGCAATATTTCTTTCTTTCAACCTCTTCTTCTTGGGTTCAAGTGATTCTCCTGCCTCAGCGTCCCAAGTAGCCAGGATTACAGGCGTTCACTGCCACGCCCGGCTAATTTTTCTTTAAGCAATATTTCTTGAGCTCCTGCAGGCACTGTGTTGGGGACTGGGTCTCAGTGGTGATTTAGACAAAGTCAACACTTTCATAAGGGCATCAGATAATTAAGTCAATAAATAAATATGAAGTGGCCATTTCAGGCAGAAATTGCAAAAATTGAAAATAAAGTAGGGTTGGGAACACAGAGTGAAGGAATGAGGGACTATTCAAGGTGGGGAGGTCAGGGAAGGCTTCTCCGAAGAGGTGACATTAAGCAAAGCCCTGAATAAAGAGGGAGGAGGGACAAGCTTCATGAAGCCCTTGGGGAAGAGCATTCCAGGCAGAGGGAACAGCAAGTGCGAAGGCCCTGTGGCCGGAACAAGTTGCCAAGGAGGGTGGGGCAGAGGCAGAATAAGGGACATGAGGTGCAAGGGAGACAGCCTGGAGGGTCGGCAGGGTGGCTGTCGGGTACCAGCAGGCCACACAGGGCCTTGTGGGTTGGAGAACAGATGAGCCAATTTATGCCTGTTTTTCTGGCATAATCATGGTACCGTCTTTACTCTCACAAAGGAAGAAAAGTTCTGGTTTGGATGATAAATTGCATGGCCATGGAGAGGAGTTTAGATTTTGTTCTTCTAGAGATGGGAGCCGCTGAAGGGCTGAGGATGGTTCGTTTGCCATCAAATGCTTAGGTTGTAAGCTTAGGTGCCTTCTGGCCTTGGGGCAGAAGCTGACTGTGGGTGGCAGTGGACACGGAGCCCGAGGGAAGGCTCCTCTGCTCCACTGGAGACACGAGGGTGGCCCCACTTTGGGGACGGGGTGGACATGCGGAGAGGATTCTGACGGCGGAGCGGCAGGATTTCCTGGTGGACTGGGCGTGGAGCTGAATGGAAGACGGGGCACAAAGGACCACAGGGTTTTTGGCCAAAGCTGCAGGAAAGAGGAAACTGACATCAGCTGAGACGGGGAAGATGGGGAGGGGGCAGGGAGGAGCCACAGTTCTGCTTTGGATACACAAGTTGTAGATGGCCTTCAGATATCCAAGGGGAGGCGTCCAGGAGGTAGTTGGGTTTCCAAGTCTGGGGTTGGAGGGGCAGGTCCAGGCTGCCTGAGGGTAGGGGTAGCATTTAAGGCCATGCGGTGGGGGGAGTGGTTCACGGTGGCCCTCAGGAGGAAGGAAGGAAAAACAGCCGTCTCTGGCCTCTGGCCTCTCCAGGCTCTCCACCCTGGGGGCAGAATCAATTCTGTAGCCCTCTAGCACCGGCAGTGGCTCCGCAGTCAGCTGGGCAGTGGCCGTGACTGGGTCACTCTACCCTAGGAAGTGAGTGCAGGGTAAGAGGACGGGCTGATCCCCACTTGGGGCCCTCCAGTGTTTAGAGTCAGGGATGATGGGGGTGGGGTGGGAGGAGGGGGTAGGGAAGGCAGACAGAAGAAGAAGAAAACCAGGGAGGCGTGGTGTCTGGAGTCCAGTGAAGAAAGTGGTTTGGGAAGCAGACTCCATAATAAGCATGTAATGTTCATCACGCCCTGGGTCCTTGAGTCAATGCCATTAGGCAGAGGCTGTCATTATTCCTGATTTACAGATACGAAATGCAGGCTCAGAGAGGTGAAGGGACTTGCCTAGGGGTGCACAGCTGGAAAGTGGAGGAGCCAGGCCAGCTGATAAGTGCCCCCTCCTGCCTTCAGGGTGATCCTGCTGGGGTCCTAAGGGCCAGGTGCTGGCCCCAGGCAGGCAGGCAAGAGACCGGCAGCTGGGGAGCCAAGCAGGGCTGGGGATGCTCACTTGTCTTTTCTCCTTCCAGGGCTGCTGGAGAGCCAGAGGCTGGCAGCGACTATGTGAAGGTAGGAGGGGCTGGCCAGGGGTTGGTCAGAGGACACTGAAGGTCTCAGAGCCTGCTCCATTACGGGTGGGCAGAGCCCTTCCTCAAGCCTTGTTAGGAGCCAGACCTCACTGTGTATTCCCAGGAGGGGAGGTTCTCGGAGTCGAGGCAGCATTTGGATCCAGTTTCATTCTCAGCACCTTCTTCCTACACCAGCCATTATTCTTTCCTGGCCCCAAACTCAGGGCAACCCAATATTTGATATCATCTGACCCCACTCACTTGCCAGCTGGACGGGGCCCCAACAGTGTCTCCATGTAAAGGATGCAGCTTTCCAATCCCACCCAATCTTTGTGCACCTACTGTGTGCTGGCGCTGGAAGCAGGGAGCAGGAGAGGATGACTCAGTTCTTTATCACAGATAATGGGCACAGCTCAGATTTATCCAAAGCTTCATTTATCCTGGGTACTGGGAACATTGAAATGCAGTTTTGGCCGGGCACGGTGGCTCATGCTTGTAATCCCAGCACTTTGGGATGCCAAGGCGGGTGGATCACCTGAGGTCAGGAATGCAGGACCAGTCTGGCCAACATGGTGAAACCCCATCTCTACTAAAAATACAAAAAATTAGCCAGAAGTGGTGGTGCGTGCCTGTAATCCCAGCTACTCAGGAAGCTGAGGCAGGAGAATCGCTTGAACCCAGGAGGCGGAGGTTGCAGTGAGCTGAGATTTGCGCCACTGCACTCCAGCCCGGGAAAAAAGAAAAAAAAAGAAAATGCAGTTTTGAAATAACAATGATAGTAATAATAATAATCATAAATAACATATTGAGTGCCTACTGTGTGCAGACCCCGTGCTGGCTGCTAGACACTGGAGGAGAGGCATTCTTTACATGAGAGGTATTTGATTTTCTCCCTCATCACTGGGTAGGGAGAGCCTTCTTGTGCCCGTTTACAGATGGGAAACTTGAGGTCCAGAGAAGTGCAGTGACTTGCCCTGGGTCACATTACTTTTTTTTTCTTTTTTTTATTTTTATATACTTTAAGTTCTGGGGTAACACGTTCATGTGCAGAATGTGCAGGTTTGTTACATAGGTATATACATGCCATGGTGGTTTGCTGCACCCATCAACCCATGATCTACATTAGGTATTTTTCCTAATGCTATCCCTCCCCTAGCCCCCTACACCACATACTCTTAATGGTGAAAACCACAGTTACTTTTGCACCAACCTGATATTATGAGGAAGAACTGGGATTACACCCCAAGTTTGATGCCAGGACTATAGCCAAAGCCCTTGACCTTCTACCCCCAGGAGCCCCCACCCTAAGCAACGCCCTGTGCTGAGCACTGAGAGTAGGCAGAGGGCAAGGAGCACCAGGCCCTGAATTCAAAGGGCTCCCGGTCCATGTGGGACCCATGGAAGAAGCATATAGTGCTTTGCGCTTGTTTTTTGCAATCCATCAGATCCAACTTTTATTTTTATTATTATTTTTTTAAGAGCCACCTCTTAAAAGATCTCGCTCTGTCTCTCACTGCAGCCTTGAGCTCATGGGCTCAAGCAATCCTCCCACCTTAGCCTCCTAAGTCCCTGGGACTACATGTGTGTGCCACTGCTAATTTAAAAAAAAAAAAATTTTTTTTTTTTTTTGAGACGGAGTCTCACTCTGTTGCCCAGGCTGGAGCACAGTGGTGCGATTTTGGCTCACTGCAAGCTCCGCCTCCCGGGTTCACACCATTCTCCTGCCTCAGCCTCCCGAGTAGCTGGGACTATAGGTGCCTGCCACCACGCCGGGCTAATTTTTTATATTTTTAGTAGAGTCGGAGTTTCACCGTGTTAGCCAGGATGGTCTTGATCTCCTGACTTCGTGATCCGCCTGCCTTGGCCTCCCAAAATGCTGGGATTACAGGCGTGAGCCACCACGCCCGGCCAAAAAACAATTTTTTTTTAAAGGTGGGGTCTCACTGTGTTGCCCAGGCTGGTCTCAAAAGCCTGGCCTCAAGTGATCCTCCTGCCTCAGCCTCCCAAAGTGCTGGGAATACAAGCACGAGTGACCATGCCCAGCAAATCCAAATTTTAGTCCCGTCAAAGCATGATGGGCCAGGCCCAGTGGCTCAGGCTGGGCACAGTGGCTCATGCCTGTAATCCCAGCACTTTGGGAGGCCAAGGCGGGCAGATCACCTGAGGTCAGCAGTTCGAGGCCAGCCTGGCCAACATGGCGAAATCCTATCTCTACTAAAAATACAAAAATTAGCCAGGCGTGGTGGCACATGCCTGTAATCCCAGCTACTGGGGAGGCTGAGGAAGGAGACTTCCTTGAACCCAGGAGGGAGAGGTTGCAGTGAGTGGAGATAGCACCACTGTACTCCAGCCTGGGCGACAGAGCAAGACTCCATCTCAAAAGAGATTAAAAAAAAAGCATGATGTAGGCTGATATAGAAAACCCCACAAAACTAAAAAACAAATTTTAGTCTGAGATCTGCCACTTACTTGCCACTGGATTTGGGTGTGGCATTGCCTCCCTGAGCCTGTGTTTGACTGTGTGAAATGGTAACAGGGGTGCCTCCAACCCAGGGTTGCTATGGCTTCAGTGAGCCCGTGGCCGTGAGTGGGCGACCTGGGCCTGGAACAGGGCGGGCTGGCCTAGCTCCTCACTGCAGGGACATTTCATCACCCTGAGATGCTATCTGCACAACTCTATGTAAGTGACTAGTAATGGAGCAGCGAGGGAAGTCCTCAGATTGCTGCCCCCTCACCATCACCAGAAGCTGTGGGAGCTCCAGAGGTAGGGGATGACTTTTAGTTGGGGAGCTGGAGAGCTGGAGATCAAGGAAAGCTTTCTGGAGGAGGAAGCATTGGAGCCAGGCCATTGCAGTTGACTGGGAACATTCACTGAGATCTCTCCATGTATGAAATGCTAGAAAGGAGACAAAGTTAAGCAGAGATGGGTAGGAGAGTGGCCCTGGCAGAGGCAGGAGTGTGGACAAAGTCAGAAAGTAAACTGCGTGAGCCCAGAAACAGAGCCCAGGGTAGCAGCAAGTTGAGCAGAAATTCCAGAACCCTTATGCCACCGTGGGAGGGAGGACCTGGGGAAAACCAACACCAAAGCCAATGGGTGGAATGCAGGGGGCATATTTCAGCATCCCATTGACCCCAGCTGCCTGGTAAGGTAGTGAGATCCCTGTGAGGAATGTTGGCTTTATATTTTTTTCCTTTAGTTTATTTTTAGGGTTTAAAAATGTAGGTTTTTTTTTTTAACATTGTAAAATAAATAATACCTGCTCAGTAGAACTGATTAAACAGTCTGCCAAAGGACAAAGTCAAAGGAATGTTAATTTTAGTTTCAAGACTCAGATGAGGTTCTGGGCACGGTGGCTCATGCCTGTAATCCCAGCAACTGGGAGGCCACAGTAGGAGGGTCATTTAAGGCCAGGAGTTTGAGACCAGCCTGGGCAACATAGCAAGATCCTGTCTCTAGAAAAAATATATAAAAATTAGCTGGGAAGGCTGGGTGCGGTGGCTCACACCTGGGCTCACACCTGTAATCCCAGCACTTTGGGGGCCTTGGGCCTTGGAATTGGGAGGCCAAGGCGGGCAAATCACTTGAGGCCAGGAGTTTGAGAACACCCTGGCCAAGATAGTGAAAACCCTCTATTAAAAATACAAAAAACTGGCCGGGTGCAGTGGCTCACGCCTGTAATCTCAGCACTTTGGGAGGCCGAGGTGGGTGGATTACTTGAGGTCAGGAGTTCAAGACCAGCCTGGCCAACATGGAGAAACCCCATCTCTACTAAAAAAATGATATAAAAAAGTTATCCAGGCGTGGTGGCACACTACTGTAATCCCAGCTACTCAGGAGGATGAGGCAGGAGAATTGCTTGAATCTGGGAATTGGAGGTTGCAGTGAGCTGAGATCTTGCCGCTGCACTCCAGCCTGGGTGATGGAGCGAGACTCCATCTCAAAATAATAATAATAATAATAATAATCATCATCATCATCATCATCATCATCATCATCATCATCATCATCTGGGTATGGTGGTGCATGCCTGTAATCCCAGCTACTCAGAGCTACTCAGGTGGCTGAGGCATGAGAATCACTCGAACCCAGGAGGCAGAGGCTGCAGTGAGCCGATATTGAGCCACTGCACTCCAACCTGGGTGACAGAGTGAGACCATGTCTTGAAAAAAAAAAATAGCTGAGCATGGTGGTGTGCACCTGTAGTCCCAGCTACTCGGGAGGCTGAGGCAAGAGAATTGCTTGAGCCCAGGAGGTCAATGCTGCAGTGAGCTGTGATTATGCCACTGCACTCCAACCGGGCGACAGAGGGATACCCTGCCTCTCAAAAAAAAAAAAAAATCAAATGAGGGTTAAAAGGAATCAATAGTTGGGTTCCAAAAGCCCCCTCCTAGGCTGGGCACGGTGGCTTATGCGTGTAATGCGGGCAGATCACTTGAGGTCAAGAGGTCAAGACCAGCCTGGCCAACATGGTGAAACCCCATCTCTATAAAAAAAAAAAAAAAAAAAATTAGCCAAGCATGGTGGCAGGCACTTGTCACTTGTAATCCCAGCTACTCGGGAAGCTGAGGCAGGAGAATTGCTTGAGCCCAGGCGGCCGAGATTGCAGTGAGCCAAGATCACTCAACTCCACTTCAGCCTGGGCAACAAGAACAAAACTCTGTCTCAAAAAAACAAGAACAGGCCAGGCGTGGAGGCTCATGCTTGTAATGCCAGCACTTTGGGAGGCCGAGGTGGGCGGATCACGAGGTCAGGAGATCGAGACCACGGTGAAACCCTGTCTCTACTAAAAATACAAAAAATTAGCGGGCATGGTGGCAGGCGCCTGTAGTCCCAGCTACTCGGAGAGGCTGAGGCAGGAGAATGGCATGAACGCGGGAGGCGGAGCTTACATTGAGCCGAGATATTGCCACTGCACTCCAGCCTGGGTGACAGAGCGAGACTCCATCTCAAAAAAAAAAAAAAAAAAAAAAGCCCCCTCCTACCTTGAGATACTCATCTTTGAGGAGTCAGCTTCCAGAACTTCAGAGTTCTCAAACTATTTTGTGCATCCTTTGATTCTAAGGCAAGGATTCTTAAATTCCAAGACCATAAAATTCCAGGCTGCATGCCCAGAGCTTCAGATGTATTTACAGAAAACAAACAAACAACTGAGGCCCAGAGAGGTGGACTCACCCACCTGCGGTCACACAGCCTGTCAGAAGGATTTGGACCTGAGGCCTGACTGATGGGGAATCAGCAATGGCTCCCTTTGCATTGAAGAGCCTATGGTTCTGAGACAAAAAGTCCAGTTTCTTTTTCTTTTTCTTTTTGAGACAGAGTCTTGCTCCATCACCCGGGCTGGAGTGCAGTGGTACAATCTTGGCTCACTGCAACCTCCGCCTCCTGGGTTCAAGCGATTCTCATGCCTCAGCCTCCTGAGTAGCTGGGATTGCAGGCATGCGCCACCACACCCGGCTAATTTTTTTGTGTTTTTAGTAGAGACAGGGTTTCACCATGTTGGCCAGACTGGTCTTGAACTCCTGGCCTCAAGTGATGCACTTGCCCCGGTCTCCCAGGGCGTGGGATTACAGGCGTGAGCCACCATGCCAGGCCAAAAAGTCCAGTTTCTAAGACAGGAAGCTTGAAAATAATAGCGTGCACTTATTGAGCGCTTACTTCATGCCTGGCAACTTACATGCACCAGCTCAGCGAAAGCTCAGAAGAGTTCTGTGAGGTCAGCACAGGCTTTAGCTGCGTTTGACAGGTGCATTTTCCACAAGTGAGTCGTAGATCCCAGGGAAAGAGCTGGTGGGAGTGGGCGCACCAGTAGTTAGGGGACAGTTGAATCCAGGCTGCCCCTCTAACCACTGGGCTTTACTGGCTCTCTGCACCCCCAGAGTCTTGTCAGTGAACATCCTCGATTCCCAGCAGAGTCTCTGATTCCAAACCAGGGATGAGAAATCCTGGGCTCTGGGAGATTTCCTGAGGCCACAGAGAATTTGGTCCAGCACATATACGGATTTTTCCAGTTTTAGATATGATTTAATTCAAAGTCTCTGCCCGCTCCCGGTCTGTTAGAGGTGCGGCGAGTGGGGGAGGCAGAACCTCCCCTCGCTGGCCCATGGGTCCCCACCCGATCCCGCTGCCCCCGGTAATACCCTCCTTGGCAGGTCCTCCGCTCCGCGCCCGCAGCTCCAGGCAGCCCGAGCGCGCGGAACTGGAGGGCGGGGGGCGAGGGGCTGGGAGCGGGGGGCGGGCGGAGGGAGGAACAATGGCCCCCTCCCCTCCCCTGGCCGGCTGGAGGGTGGGGTCTCCCCGCCCCGCCTCCCCGCTCCTCCCCCGACAAGGCGATGAGGTAATCGCGCCGCTGAGAGGCACGCGCAGCCGGTGCCTAGCCGGTTGGTCCCTGCGCCCCTGCCCCGCCGGCCACCGCCCCCCCACACCGTCCCGGCCCCGGCAGCCTGGCCCCACCATGACCGAGCGGTGCAGCCTGTGGAGTGCCCTGTCGGCCGCCGCCTGCTGCTTCTACCGCGGCTCCTTCGTGCAGGTGCAGGTGAGGGGGCGGCTCGGCCCCCGCCACGCGCGCCGGGCTGGGACCCCCGGCCGCTCCGCCCGGGGCCCTAGAGCCAGCCGGGGAGCTGCAGCTCAGCGGCGCCCGGCAGGGTCGGGCTGGGCTGGGCCCGGCCGACCCGGGGAGGGGGCGGGGTCACCCCAGCCTCACCTCTGGGCGCCCAGGCGCTCCGCGGGGTGAGGGTTCGGCGGCCACTCCTGGGACTCTGGGCTGCGGTAGATGCCGGTCCGTTTCTGCCTCCTCCGCAGGAGGGAGAGAGCTGGGGCAGGGGGGACTGGGAGATGGGGTCTCCGGCGTCCTGCCGGTCCTCCGCCTGGTACGCTGGCCCTTGCGGCTGACCTGGGCACCCTGGCTCCCCATTGTACCGGGGGCGCCGGACTGGGATCTGAAGACTGAGTGAGGAGCAGGAAACGCGGGGGATGCTTCGGATGCCAGGGTTGGGGCCAGAGCGCCCGCCACCCTCCCGCCCTCTAGGTGGGCTTGGACATGCCTGGGGCGCGGGTCTCTCCCAGCCCAGCTGGCCGGGCAGTGCAGGACGGCGCCGCGGCGGTGAGAGGGTTAAACGGAAGGGGGTGGAGGGGAGGACCCGGACCCCGCCTCTCTGCGGAGCATCCTTTGGGGATGGCTTTGCTTGGGGTTGGGACGCCGAGGGGAGCTGGAGGGGATGCTGGGCTCGGGCTGGCGGGAAGGGGTTAAGACCCTGTCCGGGGGTCTCCGCGCTCCTGCCCCCTGAGCCCCCTGGGAGATGCCAGGCGCGTCGGCTCTTCGCTCCCCCAGGCTCACACACGCTCGCGGAGCCCGCCTGAAGGACTGCCCCGCCGGCGGCGGAGCGCAGCATCCCCGCACCGGCCAATCAGGCGCGCGCAGGCCGGGAGGCGGTGAGATCATCTCTGGCCAATAGCAGGGCGCCGAGCGCAGGGATGCTGCATTCGCACCCCAGCACCCCCAACTCTAGGGAACTGGGGGCTCCCAGGTCGAGGTGAGATCAAGGCACAGGGACCCTAGGATTCCTCACCCTCAGGTGTGTGGGAGGACCAAGTTGGTCCCCCCAAACTCTCCGTGACCAGTGATTAAGCTGGAAAAGGGGAGCCCAGTCTCCCAGCCCCTTTAACGGATGAGGCTGCCCAGGCCCAGAGAGGGGAAGTGACTGGCTCAAGGTCACACAGTGGCAGCCTTGGGGCGGTTCTTCAACATCCAGCCTCCTCCCTCCTTTGCCCACGTCCCTCTAGCTCCAGCTGTGGAACTGGGGGAAGGTCTCAATCGCATGCCCTTTGTCAAGGAGGACGCCAGAAGGCTGAGGTCTTGGTTCCCTTTTTCCCTGTGACGCCCACTCTCCCCTTTCCAGGGTTTGGTGTGATATGAGGAAAGAGGACTAGCCTGGTGTGAGCACCGCAGAGTGAGAGGGAGAGAGACCAGGGACCCCCAGAAGTAGGGGACCCCTTGGAGAAGTGTAGGTGTCTGAGAAGGCCCAGATCCTAGCCCAGCCCTGGGCCTCTCTGCCCTTCGGGGGCATCGGTTTCTACCACGGCCGGAGGATGTGCAGAATTCCCACTCCCAGGCCCCGCCTTTCTCCTGAGCACCTGTGCAAACCGCCCACTCCCACCATCTGTCCCCAGAGCCCTGCAGGCTCCTCAAGGTCCAAATTTTCATGGGTCCACCACCAAGCTGCTCCTGCCCCAGCCTTGCCCACTCAGAGCATGTCCCAATCATCCTTCTAGGATCTCGGCCAGGAGTCCTCTCTGACCCCTCCGCCCTGCTCCCCCACATGAATCAATGGCCATCTAAACTCCCTTTCCCCCACTCCTTCTGCCCACGCCTTATCTGCCCTGCCACTGCCTGGAAAACCCTAGGCTGCTCTCCATAAGTGGACTAAACCTGCCCCAACACTTCCAAACCCCTCCATGGCTCTGCTGTGGCCTCCAGATAAACCCCAGCTCCCTGAGGCAGCCGTGCCACACCTGCCCCTGCCCCCACAGCCCCTTGGAAGCTTCTTATTCATCTCCCCTCCCTCCCCTTGGCTCTGCCCGTAGGACCCTGACTTTGCCGCTCTCTCCCCAGAAGCTCTTCCCTGTCCACCTGTCCACCTGCCCTCTCCACCCTGGTGCTTTTGCTTGGCTCACCCAGTCCTTCAGACCTCAGCAGAAACACCACCTTTTCAGGGAAGTGATTCCTGACTCTGCCCCCTGACTAGTTTGGTGGTGCACCATCTCTGTGCATCTCGGGACATTCAGGAAACCTGGAATTGATTGTCAGTGTCTGCAAGGCCTCCCCCAGGGCAGAGGCCACCTTGGGTCCTCAGCCCTGGCACAGGACCAGGATAGGGACCTAGTCAATGTTGAATGGAATCAGAGATTCTAGATATCTCTGACACTGGGAATCATGGTGTCTTGGGAGCAATGCAGACTAGGCTAAACCCAGGCAGTATGGGAGCAGAGGGGTGAGGGATGTAGCCACAGAATTAGGAGGCGAGATCTGTGGATAGTCTGAGGAGGCAGGGAGTGGACTGGAGGACCTTCGGACTCTCAGGAGCGAGGGGCCCCAGGGAGAGACTCACCTGGGATGAAGGCCCTTTACTGCCCTCCCTCATCTGTCCTGCCTTCTGGCCAGCGCTGGGGTCTGTCTGTCTTGGAGTAGCCATCTTTGGGGCCTGGAGGTGGGGGAAGGAGAGGAAGAACCATCCCATGTCCTCGCAGTGATGAGGATGTCCATGTGCTAGTAGTACTCTGGAGTGCTGTCTCTTTTCATCTTCGCAGTGAGGTGAGGCAGGTTCTGTCACTGTACCCATTTTAATGAGGAAGAAATTGAGGCCCAGAGAGCTCACAAGGCACAGCCAGGATTGGGCTGGGCTCTGGTGGGCGTACACCTGGCATTAAGGGCTTCCTTTCCTCTTCCCTTAGGGCCCCTGGGATCCATCAGCCTCCAACTTCAGGCCACAGTAATCAAGAAACCAGGAGTTTCTGGGCCAGGTGGGAGGGTGGAGTACTGGACATTATCTCCCTCAGTGGCCTTGGGCTTCCCTGCTGGGCCATGGTCTCCCCATCTGGGTGAGGATTGCTGAGGATTTCAAGGGAGAAATGGCCTTGGAAATTGTAAGGGGCAATGCAGATGTCTGTTTGGGGTCCCCGTGTCCCTGTTTATAGTCCCTTCCCCACCCTTGCATTGTAGAATGCACCATCCCAGAACGTATCCTTGTCCAACCAGTTCTGTGGTTTTGTTCATAGCTTTTCCTGCAGTTACCTGCTGCCTTACCTCCAAGATTCACCTGTAGAAATCCCCCTCCAACACTTCAAGAACAGTTTGGTGCCCTTGGTATATAATGAGTGTTTTCTTACTGCCATCTCCTCCAGGAAGGCTTCCGAGACCCCTCTGTCGTGCCCAGGCTTAATCCCGCTTGTAAAAGCCACCCGGCTCTTTGCCGCTGTCCAGCGCTGTGGTGCTGACCGCACTCTACTCAGAGGCTCCTGTTGCTTTTGCCTCTCCTCAGACTAGGCACTGCCTTGAGGGCCGGGCTTGGTTTATATATCACTGCATCCACCCCTGGCATATAGCACAGGGCCTGGAATGCAGCTGGCATTGTTTTGTGGAAGGAATTGAGATTTCTTTACTCTTTCTGGGACCCATGGGAAAGGGTCTGGCACCTGTGCCTTAGTGTTCCCAGAGTCCCAGGATAGGAGGAGTTCATCCATGGTAGAATGAAGTTGGGAGGGAAAGAAGAAGGAGACTTTAAGTTGGATGCCAACTCTTGCTGTTTTCTACCCAGTTCTCCAAGGAGAAGTACATCCTGGACTCATCGCCAGAGAAACTCCACAAGGAATTGGAGGAGGAGCTCAAACTCAGCAGCACGGATCTCCGCAGCCATGCCTGGTACCATGGCCGCATCCCCCGAGAGGTGAGTAGGCCCCGAGCTGGACTTCAACCCGGGACCCTCCCACCCACTGCCTTGGCCAGCCCCAGCCCTGGCTGCAGCCACCTGGGAGGCTCTGACCTGTTGCTTGGTGGATTCAATCAGAATGGACTGGGATGAGGTCTAGCTCTGCCCTTTACTGACTGTGTGACCTTGAACAAGTTGCTTCACCTCTCCGAGCCTCAGTATCTACTGCAAAGGGGTGTTGTGAAAATTAAACGAAATAATGCAGGTAAAATGTTTAACATGATGCTTGACACCATGAATGTTGGCCTTTGTTCTTATTATTATGCTGTTATTGTTACTGGTCTACATATCTGCCTTTTGTATGTTTGCTTAGTGAGTACCAATCTTTGGGCTACTTAGTTTTGGCAAAGTTGAGTTTCTTGGCTGAGGTGACTTTATAAGCCACAGAATTAAGTTGATAGATCACTTGTTCCTTCTTTCATTTATGCTATGATCTTTGCCAAACACCAACTCTGCCAGGACCTGTGCTAAGCACCAAGGGTGCAGAGGTAGAAAAGGTGGTGGCTTCTCTTGATGGCTAATGGCCCAGGGTGGGGGACTGACAGGCAGGATGACAGTCAGAGCCTAGTGGAAGAAGTACAAGAATAGAGTGCCTGGTAAGAATATGGGCGAGTCCCGAGGAGGGGACACTGAGGATGGAAGCCTTTGTGAGGTGGATAGGAGTTCACCAGGTGGGGCCAGGTGCGATGGCTCATGCCTGTAATCTCACCACTTTGGGAGGCTGAGGTGGGCAGATCACCTGAGGTCAGGAGTTTCAGACCAGCCTGGCCCACATGGTGAAACCTCGTCTCTACTAAAAATACGAAAATTAGCCAGGCATGGTGGCATGCACCTGTAATGCCAGCTACTCAGGAGGCTGAGGCAGGAGAATCACTTGAACCAAGGAGGCGGAGGTTGCAGTGAGTGTGCCACCTCACTCCAGCCTGGGTGACAGTGAGACTCCATCTTAATAATAATAATAATAATAATAACAATAATAATAATAATAAAGAAGTTCATCAGATGGACAAGGCAGGAAGGGTGTTCCAGGACAAAAAAGCAGCTTGAGGGTGCAAGGGCCAGAGGCATGCCAGAGCACTGGGTGGTTGGAAGAATGAGGATTAGGAATTCACTCTGCCCAACCGGAACCCTGAGAAGGGATGGGTCTGAGACCTGGGTCTCAGGTCACAGCCATTCTCACTCCTCCAGACCCTGGGCCTCTGTGCCTCCCATTCCAAGGTGTTGGGTCCTCCCATTCCTGAGCCTCTGTGCTGCAGACTCAGGGCCTCTGGCTGAGGTGCCCCCTGTGAACCTGGGTCATTGCATCCCCGCTCTCAGATGTCAGATGTCTCTGTTCATTGGGTCCTCTATGCCCTGGGTCTGGTCTTGCTGTGCCCCCTAATCCTGGGTTGCTCTGTCCCCCAGATCCTGGGTCTGACCCTCTCCTGGCCCCACCCTACTCCAGCCTAACCATGCCTTCTGCAGGTCTCGGAGACCTTGGTACAACGCAACGGCGACTTCCTCATCCGGGACTCACTCACCAGCCTGGGCGACTATGTGCTCACGTGCCGCTGGCGCAACCAGGCCTTGCACTTCAAGATCAACAAGGTGGTGGTGAAGGCAGGCGAGAGCTACACACACATCCAGTACCTGTTTGAGCAGGAGAGCTTTGACCACGTGCCCGCCCTCGTGCGCTATCATGTGGGCAGCCGCAAGGCTGTGTCAGAGCAGAGTGGTGCCATCATCTACTGCCCGGTGAACCGCACCTTCCCACTGCGCTACCTCGAGGCCAGCTATGGCCTGGGACAGGGGAGTAGCAAGCCTGCTAGCCCCGTCAGCCCCTCAGGCCCCAAGGGCAGCCACATGAAGCGGCGCAGCGTCACCATGACCGATGGGCTCACTGCTGACAAGGTCACCCGCAGCGATGGCTGCCCCACCAGGTCAGCCAGGGCCCCATTTGTCAAATGGGGTTGTGGGTAATGAGAGGGCTAGTGAGAAAGAGAAGGCCTAGGTACACTGAAATGGGATGAAATTACTCTCCTGGAGCCTCTGTGTGCAGGGAGGAATGGGAGGAAGGTTGGGCCATACTCTGTGGATGTACAGAACACAGGGCTTGCAGGGAGTCAGACCCAGGTTGCAGTCCCAGCTCTGCCACTCGCTGGCCATGTGCCCTTGACCCTGTCACCTCTCCTCTGTTATCCCCATGTTCCTACCTATAAAGGCTTTCATTCAAGCAGCCCTCCCTACCCCAGGGGAGCCCTGAGTCCTGAACCGGAGAGGGGCCTGGTCCCCGCCACCTGATGCCACCCCTCCTCATCCTACCCAGCTAGGCCAAGGTGGGCATCTGAGCAGAGGGCTTTACAGCATGCAAATCACTGCACAGGGAATGGGATGTTCTCAGCAAATTTTAATCACACCTGGTTGTCTCCGGGGCTAAAATCAGGCCCCAGATGCTGGGAAAAGCCACAGCAGCTGACGGTTCCTGAGATCCTACTAAGTGTTAAGTGCTGTATGTGCCCAATCTCATCAACGCCCATTTCCTCCTGGGAGGTGGGTCCTGCCCATACACCCAATTTGTAGATGAGGACATAGGCTTAGAGGGGGGAAGCCGCTTGCTAGAGAGTGGTAGGATCAAGATTCAAACCCAGGTCCGTAGACTCTGAAGTCTGTGCCCCAAGTTTCTGTGGTTTCCCTGGCTGTTTGCAAAGAGATCTGCTGTCCTGTGCCACCTGCACTTGGATAGGCCCTTGAGGCTCTGTCTCCCTGGGGCTGGGTTGGGTGCTCCCAGTCAAGGAATTGATGAATGGATACCCTGTGGGCTGCAGCCACTTGGCCTGTGGTTGGGAACCAGTAAACATAATGGTGTCAGGATCCACGGACCATGTGTGCCTGAGGCATCCTGAGCATAGTTGGGAGCAGTGAGGAGAGGTTGGGATGGTGGGCCCACTCCTTAAGGCTCACTACTCTTCCTGCTAGCCCCTCTCCCCAGACCATTCTCCAGGTTGGAGGAAAGATTCTGCTTATCAAGCTGAGGGCACTAGTGAGGGGCCGTGTCTGCCCAGAGAATGGTTGTAGTTGACTAATTTGCACAAAGGCACCTCATGGGGTAGTTGAATTCTGGCCTATACCCCCTTTCCCATCCTCTCCTCCTTGGGAAAGGAGAGGGACAGAGGAGCTTGAGAAGTGTTGGCTCAGCTGGGTGCCCCCAAGCCTCATCCTCAGGCTGCTCTAAGCTTTGTGGGAGGGGAAGCTGGATAGGAAAGGAGGAGAGCAGGGTCATGTGGAAGATACCGACTAGGAACCGGGCTAATGGCCAAGCGTGGTGGCTCGTGCCTGTAATCCCAGCACTTTGCGAGGATGAGGTGGGTGAATCACCTGAGGTCAGAAGTTTGAGACAAGCCTGGCCAACATGGTGAAACCCCATCTCTACTAAAAATACAAAAAATTAGCCACGCTTGGTAACGGGCACCTGTAATCCCAGCTACTCGGAGGCTGAAGCAGGAGAATGTCTTGAACTCGGGAGGCAGGTTCAGCAGTTGCAGTGAGCTGAAATCACGCCACTGCACTGCAGTCTGGGCGACAGAGTGAGACTCCATCTCCGAAAAAAAAAACAAAAAAGAAAAGAAAAAAGACAAAAAAAGAAAAAAAGAAACCAGGCGTTCTAGCCACCAGGGTTCCTAGCTCTGCTCCTGACTCGCTGTGCCCCCTCCCTCATCTGGGCTTCAGTTTTTTTGGTACCTGTCAGTCGGGAGGTTGGATTTGATAATCTCCAAGCCTTCTCTGCCTCTGAAGTTCAAGGTGCAGAGGTGGGGGGTCCCAGAGGCAGGCTGAGGCCCCTGACCTCCGGGCTCCCTGCCCATGATGGTGTCTGCTCCACAGTACGTCGCTGCCCCGCCCTCGGGACTCCATCCGCAGCTGTGCCCTCAGCATGGACCAGATCCCAGACCTGCACTCACCCATGTCGCCCATCTCCGAGAGCCCTAGCTCCCCTGCCTACAGCACTGGTATGGCCAGCAGAGGGGGTGGAGCAGGTGGAGGGAATCTGTTGTTGAAGACTTCTGTCACCTATGTGTGGTTATGTGTGTTTCCGCCTCTTTTATGAGGCGCGACCTTTACCAAGAGAAAGAACTGACACTGGAATCCTGCTAACAGAACTGTTGATATCAACATATAAGATGTATCCATGGTTTGTTTATTTAGCAACTATTTATTTGTTTTTGTGACAGTTTTGCTCTTGTGGGCTGGAGTGCAGTGGTGGGATCTTGGCTCACTGCAACCTCCGCCTCCTGGGTTCAAGCGATTCTCTTGCTTCAGCCTCCCAAGTAGCTGGGATTACAGACCCCTGCCACCACGCCTGGCTAATTTTTGTATTTTTAGTAGAGACGGTGTTTCGTCATGTTGGCCAGAGTGGTCTCGAACTCCTGACCTCAGGTGATCCACCTGCCTTGGCCTCCCACAGTGCTGGGATTACAGGCGTGTGCCACCATGCCTAGCTAATTTTTGTATTTTTAGTAGAGATGGGGTTTCACCATGTTGGCCAGGGTGGTCTCGAACTCCTGACCTCAGGTGATCCACCCGCCTCAGCCTCCCAAAGTGCTGGGATTACAGGCATGAGCCACTGCACCTGGCCTCTATTTTTCTTAATAGACTTTATTTTTTAGAGCAGTTTTAGGTTTGCAGCAAAATTAAGTGGAAAGTACGGAACACTGTGCTTTCTTATAAATACGAAGAAAGTTTCTCTGTTAGAAACATTCCAATAGATCATTTCTGGAAAAAAAATAAAAAGAATGTTTTCAACAGGCCGTATTGTCCACGTGGCAGGCCAAGTGTCACGAGAGGGGGCTGACTCAGGAGGAACTTTCGCCTAGGGTGGCATTCCATTGAAGTGTTGCTGTCTGTATCGGTTGTCACAAATCCTTCCCTAAACACAGAGCCACCAACTTTGTCATAACTACAAACTTGATTTCAAAGCAATACCCTGAGTATAAAACCTAAAATTCCTTGCCAGAATGACTTATTGGACAGTTTCTAAGCAATCTGGTATAGTAAAGCAGCCCAGATGTCAAGACTTAAATCTCAGCTGTACCACTTGCTGGCTGGGTGACCTTGGGCAGGTTAGTGCACCTCTCTGAGCTTCACTTTTCTCATCTGTAGAATGAGGATTATAAAAGTACTTACTTCATAGGACATTGAAAGGATTAAATAGACTGAGGTACAAAGAAGGGTCTTGCAGGCACTAAGAGCTTAGTAAATATCGCCTTTGAGGTTTGATGATGGTTTTACTGTCATTATGTCTCCAGCATGTTGCCAGCTCCTAGCACACAAGGTTTAGCAACAAATCATTATTGCTAATTCAGGCCGGGCATGGTGGGGCACATCTGTAATCCCAGCTACTCAGGAGGCTGAGGCACAAGAATTGCTTGAACCTGGGAGGCGGGGGTTGCAGTGAGCTGAGATCATGCCATTGCACTCCAGCCTAGGCAACAGAGCGAGACTCTGACTCAAAAAAAAGTTAGCCAGGCGTTGTGGCACATGACTGTAATCCCAGCTACTCGGGAGGCTGAGGCTCAAGAATTGAAGAATTGCTTGAACCCAGGAGGTGGAGGTTGCAGTGAGCCTAGATGGCACCACTGCACTCCAGCCTGGGCCACAGAGCGAGACAGTGACTCAAAAAAAAAAAAAAAAAAAAAAAAAAGGAAATCATTATTGCTAATTCGTCGAGAAACAATCACATGTGGCACAAGAAACTCCAGCAGGTACTCAGCTTCCCCGGATCACTGAAGCTCCTCCAAGCAGTGGGTCCCCAAGGCTGCAGCAGCCTCAGGGTGGGGCCATGCAAACTCCTGGGTCCTGGTGATTTCAGAGCATCACCTGGGCTGGTCAGCTTGCCAGAGTCAATCGGCCCTGGTCTCTGGTGATGCAGGGAGGTGGGGACATCACCTCTGTACTCCCTACAAGGAGTGAGGGAGCCTGTTCTTTGGGAAGGGGTGCGGGAATCTCACTTTGGTGGGGAGCTGCTATAACGGGGCCTCTCTCTCTACCTTTCTGCAGTAACCCGTGTCCATGCCGCCCCTGCAGCCCCTTCTGCCACAGCATTGCCTGCCTCCCCTGTCGCCCGCCGTTCCAGTGAGCCCCAGCTGTGTCCCGGAAGTGCCCCAAAGACCCATGGGGAGTCAGACAAGGGCCCCCACACCAGCCCCTCCCACACCCTTGGCAAGGCCTCCCCGTCACCATCACTCAGCAGCTACAGTGACCCGGACTCTGGCCACTACTGCCAGCTCCAGCCTCCCGTGCGTGGCAGCCGAGAGTGGGCAGCGACTGAGACCTCCAGCCAGCAGGCCAGGAGCTATGGGGAGAGGCTAAAGGAACTGTCAGAAAATGGGGCCCCTGAAGGGGACTGGGGCAAGACCTTCACAGTCCCCATCGTGGAAGTCACTTCTTCCTTCAACCCGGCCACCTTCCAGTCACTACTGATCCCCAGGGATAACCGGCCACTGGAGGTGGGCCTTCTGCGCAAGGTCAAGGAGCTGCTGGCAGAAGTGGATGCCCGGACGCTGGCCCGGCATGTCACCAAGGTGGACTGCCTGGTAGGTGCTGGCTGTGCACTGGGGTGGAGGGAGCATCTCTGTTCTGTGGGGCAGGGCAGTGAGAAGCTGGCTCCCAGATTCCCCAAGTACAGCAGGTGGGCCTGGATTCTAGCTCCATGGCTGTCCTTTGCCTGCTCTGTGACTCTGGGCTGGTCATTTAGCCTCACTGGGCCTCCAGTTTCTCCTTTTAAAAAGGCCGGGGGTGGTAGCTCACACCTGAATCCCAGCACTTTGGGAGGCCGAGGCGGGCGGATCACCTGAGGTCAGGAGTTCAAGACCAGCCTGGGCAACATGGCGAAACCCCGTCTCTACTAAAAATACAAAAATTAGCTAGGCGTCGTGGTGGGCGCCTGTAATCCCAGCTACTTGGAAGGCTGAGGCAGGAGAATCACTTGAACCTTGGAGGCGGAGGTTGCAGTGAGCTGAGATCACACCACTGCACTCCAGCCTGGGCAACAGAACGACACTATTCAAAAAAAAAAAAAAAAAAAGCACATAAGATATCCTTGCTTCCTCCAGATGTCAGTTTGGCACTAAAACTGGGCAGCCCTGAAACCCAGTGGTCTCTGGCTCCCTGAGGCAGTTGGGGACACTTCTCTAGTGTGCCATAGAGCCTCTTGAGGGTTAGCCAGCTTGTCCTGGGACTAGAAAAGGCCTGACTCTCTGCCCCCACCGCCCCCCCGCCACTGGACAAATAAGCAGAAATCATTACCTCCTCGGCCCATAAATTGTCAATGCCTGGGCCTTAGCTTTGTTAAATCTTTGAACATCTAAAGACCCCAGTTCTCTCTGTGCTTCAGTTTCTCCTTTCACAGTTTGGGAGAAACTGATTATTGGGTTATACTGGTCTCAGAGCGCGGGAAGCAAGAAAAGAAACAAGGCAAAGATGTCACTCCATGAAGAGTCCAGGGTGGCAGGGAGGACCCAGGTTCTAGGCCCAGTGTGTGACCTTGGGCAAGCCCATTCCCTGCCCGGGCTTCAGGGTTTCCCTCTGCAATGAACAAGTATCCAGCTCTTAACCTTAACTGAATATTTATTTATTTATTTTATTTTTATTTTTTGAGATGGAGTCTCACTCTGTCACCGAGGCTGGAGTGCAGTGGCGTGATATCGGCTCACTGCAACCTCTGCCTCCTGGGTTCAAGCGATTCTCCTGCCCCAACCTCCCGAGTAGCTGGGACTACAGGCACGCGCCACTATACCCGGCTGATTTTTGAATTTTTGGTAGAGATGGGGTTTCGCCATGTTGGCCAGGCTGGTCTCGAACTCCTGACCTCAGGCGATCCGCCCACCTTGGCCTCCCAAAGTGCTGGCATTACAGGCGTGAGCCACCCCGCCCGGCCGACCGTAACTGAATATTTAATTGCCAGGCACCTCTGGACATTTTCCTATTAATTCCTACTTCACAGATGGGGAAACTGAGGCTCGCTGAGAAAGGCAGAGTCACTTGCTCCATATCAGAGGGTTAGCGGTGGAGCTGGAATTCAAACCCCGCCTCCCAACCAGGCTACCTACCCCCTTAGATAAAGCTCTCTGACTCCCAGATGGCTGGGGCCAGCCCTGACAGGATATTAATCAGCCCTCTGGGCGTCTTTGCAGGTTGCTAGGATACTGGGCGTTACCAAGGAGATGCAGACCCTAATGGGAGTCCGCTGGGGCATGGAACTGCTCACCCTCCCCCATGGCCGGCAGCTACGCCTAGACCTGCTGGAAAGGTGAGACAGCGCCGGCACCCGGGGACTCGCGGGGAACCCCCGGCTACCGCACTCCCCGCTGGACGGGGCGGGTTGGCCAATCACAGCCTCAGCTCGGCTCCCAGGGGGCTCTGGCCACGCCTCCCATCCCATTGACCAATCGCAAGCCCTGATAACCCGCTCTAAACAGGCTGATTTCCCAAAGACTGAATCCTGTATCTCCGCATTCGCCTTCCTTTCGCATCCCCTTGACCAGTCATCCCCTTGACCATCAGCCTGGCCTCGCCCATCAGCTGGGGCTCCTCCTTGTTCGTTCTTAAAACTGCTCTGCCTGGCCGGGCGCGGTGGCTCGAGCCTGTAATCCCAGCATTTTGGGAGGCCGAGGCGGGCGAATCACCTGAGGTCAGGAGTTCGACACCAGCCTGGCCAGCATGGCGAAACCCCGTCTTTACTAAAAATACAAAAATTAGCAGGGCGTGGTGGCGCGCGTCTGTAATCCCAGCTCCTCTGGAGGCTGAGGCAGAAGAATCGCTTAAACCCAGGAGGCGGAGGTTGCAGTGAGCAGGGATCGCGCCATTGCACTCCAGACTGGGCGACAAGAGCGAGACTCCGTCTCAAAAAACAAACAAACAAACAAACAAACAAAAACAAAACAAAAAACTACTCTGCGTGATGCATTTCCCTGCTGACCCACAGCTCTGGCCCCGCCCCTGATTTATGCTGACCAATCAGAAGCCCGAGGCCTTGCTTTCCACGCTCTGGCCGCGCCCCCTTATCCCATTGACCCTTACAACCTCTCACGTTGGCTCCGCCCTCCGCCTCTCCCGGCCCAACCACAGGCAGCGCCCCAGGCCCGCACCCCTCACCCCTGTCCCCGAGCCCGCCGCCTCTGACCCCGCCGCTCTGACAGGTTCCACACCATGTCCATCATGCTGGCCGTGGACATCCTGGGCTGCACCGGCTCTGCGGAGGAGCGGGCAGCGCTGCTGCACAAGACCATTCAGCTGGCGGCCGAGCTGCGGGGGACTATGGGCAACATGTTCAGCTTCGCGGCGGTCATGGGTGCCCTGGACATGGCCCAGGTACTGAGAGCCGCGCAGAGCTGGCACCCGGTAGACTGTCTGGAAGAGCCCTGGGGTGCCTTTGGGATGGCTGTATATGGAATCAGGAGGAGCTTTGGAATTTCTAGGCAGAATTGGTGAGACTACCCGGGAGAACTGAGTTCTGCAAGTGCCGACCCACAGCAAGTTCTTCCCCTTCTCTGGGCCTCAGTTTCCTCGCTTGTAAAATAAAACAAATGAGGAGCATTATATGAGTTTAAAGAATAAGAATAGGCCGGGTGCCGTGGCTCATGCCTGTAATCCCAGCACTTTGGGAGGCTGAGGCGGGCGGATCACGAGGTCAGAGGTTCAAGACCAGCCTAGGCAATATGGTGAAACCCCGTTTCTACTAAAAAGTACAAAAAGCCGGGCGTGGTGGTGCGCACCTGTAATCCCAGCTACTCGGGAGGCTGAGGCAGGAGAATCGCTTGAACCAGGGAGGCAGAGGTTGCAGTGAGCCAAGATTGCGCCACTGCACTCCACCCTGGGCAACAGAGTGAGACTCCGTCTCAAAAAAAAAAAAAAAAAGAATAAGAAGAAAGTGGCAACCATTTAGTGAGTATTTCCTATAGGCTAGGTGCTATACTAAGTGCTTAACCAGCACTGATTTCTCAGAACCATCTCATGAAGTAGGTGCCTTTAGCATCCACATTTTACAAATGGAGTGTTTGAGACAGAGCAGTCCTTGCCTAAGGTCATACGGTCAGAGGCTGAAAGAATTAGGACTTGAACCAGGTCTGGCTGACTTCAGAGCTGAGCCTGCCTCTCCTATGACTAATAAATAACAACAGCCAGGCGCGGTAGCTCACGCCTGTAATCCCAGCACTTTGGGAGGCCAAGGTGGGTGGAGCACAAGGTCAGGAGATTGAGATCATCTTGGCCAACATGGTGAAACCCCGTCTCTACTAAAAATACAAACAAATTAGCCGGGCGTGGTGACACATGTCTGTAGTCTCAGCTACTCGGCAGGCTGAGGCAGGAGAATCGCGTGAAGCCAGGAGGCGGAGTTTGCAGTGAGCCGAGATTGCGCCACTGCACTCCAGCCTGGGTGACAGAATGAGACTCCGTCTCAAAAACAAAATAATAAAAAATAAATAAATAAGAACAACAAGTTCCCAGAGGCAGTGTCCTGCGTTCAACTCCCACCCAGCTCTGCCACTTTTTTTCAGAATAACCTTGGGCAAGTCATTCCTGTCTCTGAGCCTTAGTTCCCTAATCTGTAAAATGGGTTGTGAGAGCTTCATGGTAGACATGAAAAGTAGTCATCACTGTCCCTGGTACATGAAGGATGGCCATAATAATAATAACGATCCCACATCTGGGTGTCCACTCAGCAGGGCAGCAGGGTGGCCCCTGCAGGCCCTCTGCCTGGCTGGTCTCTCACAGTTTGGCCTCCCCAGATTTCTCGGCTGGAGCAGACATGGGTGACCCTGCGGCAGCGACACACAGAGGGTGCCATCCTGTACGAGAAGAAGCTCAAGCCTTTTCTCAAGAGCCTCAACGAGGGCAAAGGTACTTCCTTGTTGCGTGACCTTGGACAGGCTGCAGCCCTCCCTGGGGTTGCAAAGACTCCCAGCATGGACAGTGATGACAGCCTGGCTGAGCTCTGTGCAAGCTACTTTCCCTGAGCTCACTGTTCCTGCTGGCAGCTGTGTCAGCCCTGTTCATGTCCAGGCTCAGCCCTTGGGGCTGGGCCAGGGCTGCAGTGGGTTCAGTTGGGGGAATCCGAAAGAAAGGGTTTGTCCCAGGAGTCAGGAGCCCTTGGGGCTCTCTCCCGGACCTCAGCCAGGCCCGTTCCCTCCTGCACCTCAGCTTCCAGGACTGCAGTGGATGGTGGGGCACTACAGGATCTTTAAGCGCCTGCTGCCTTTCTCCTTGCAGAAGGCCCGCCGCTGAGCAACACCACGTTTCCTCATGTGCTGCCCCTCATCACCCTGCTGGAGTGTGACTCGGCCCCACCAGAGGGCCCTGAGCCCTGGGGCAGCACGGAGCACGGCGTGGAGGTGGTGCTGGCTCACCTGGAGGCCGCCCGCACAGTGGCACACCACGGAGGCCTGTACCACACCAATGCTGAAGTCAAGCTGCAGGGTGAGTGGCGGGTGGCATCTTGGGGGGCTTGCAGGCCTGGGCCTCCCTCCACCTGCCTCACTGCTTCCCTTTTCTCCAAGGCATCCATTCACATTTCTCCACTCCTCTGTCCTGCCCTGTCTCCCTGACCCCTTCCTCTCATGTCTTTTCTTTTCTTTTTTCTTTTTTTTTTGAGATGGAGTCTCACACTGTCGCCCAGGCTGGAGTGCAGTGGCACAGTCTCGGCTCACTGCAACCTCCGCCTCCCAAGTTCAAGCGATTCTCCTGCCTCAGCCTCCCGAGTAGCTGCAATTACAGGCGTGAGCCACCATACCTGGCCAATTTTTTGTATTTTTAGTAGAGGTGGGGTTCCACCATGTTGGGCCGCTGGTCTTGAACTCCTGACCTCAGGTGATCCACCCGCCTTGGCCTCCCAAAGTGCTGGGATTACAGGTGTGAGCCACCGCACCCAGCCTAAAATGTATACATCTTTCTTAGGAAATAATTTGGAACTTAACAGAAAAATACGAAAAAAGAAAAAAAATCACCAAAAATCTGCAAACATATTTAACATTAATATTTTATGGTCTAGTCATTTTTAAATTATATGCTGCAAATAACAGGACAAAGATGCTAAACTACAGGGTCGTGTTGATTCACAAACCTTGTTGGATCCCTGGCGGAGTTGAGGGGAGGTCCCTAACAGGGGGGTCCTGAAGAATGCTAGGGCTCTGGACAGGAACCCCAGCCTCTGCCCTGACCCTATGCCCCAACACTGCAGGGTTCCAGGCCCGGCCGGAGCTCCTGGAGGTGTTCAGCACGGAGTTCCAGATGCGCCTTCTCTGGGGCAGTCAGGGTGCCAGCAGCAGCCAGGCCCGGCGCTATGAGAAGTTCGACAAGGTCCTCACTGCCCTGTCCCACAAGCTGGAACCTGCTGTCCGCTCCAGCGAGCTGTGACCCCAGGGACATTTCCCCTCTGCAGCTGCGGACAGCGTCAGGGGCAGAGGGGCACACAACTTTCCCCAGAGCACCCCAAGGACACTGTGATCAACCCGAGAATGTTCTGGGTTCAACTCAAGCATCTCCCTTGCACCTCCAGGGTCCTGCGTGGACTCTGGGTTCCATCCCACCTGCTACATGCTCACCAGGTCTCCATTGAGGAAGAACAGGAACGCCGGTTCCCCCACCAGCTTTTGCTGCTCCCCTTCCTGCTGGGGTTCCCTGTTTTCGAGCCATGGGAGGCAGGCTGCTCACGCCTCCTCACTCTCTGTCTGTCCCTCACCAACACCAAGGCCTCCATCTCACTGTAAATAAGTCTCTGTTCTGTAAATAGATGTACAGAAGCCATGTTATTTCTTTCATATAATAAACTTTTATGACTCTTTATTCTGTCTCTCGGGCTCCTGGGGTAGAAGGAAGCACCTTTTCTCAGGCGAAAGGTAGAAAACTTCATTCAACAAATGTTGTGAGTGAGTGCCGAGTATCTGGGGCCAGTGGCATGGGAGTAAGAAGAATTTACCAAGACAGTTGTAGGTAAAGAAAGGCAGATTTATTTCAGGAAGCATGAAAATGCATTGCAAGGTAGCAACGGGCAGATCAGCAGAAGAGGAGCTGACTGCAAAGAGACAAAGCCTTGCTGTGAGTTTTTATGGGATGGCATTTCTGCTGTGTGCTGAACAGGGCTTTCTGCAGTACTGATAATGCCAAGGTTGCAGTGGGCTAACCTACATGTGTCCGGTGAGAAGTTGGGCACAGGAGGGCTGTGTGTCCTGAACCATCAAGAAGGCAGACTTCTGGCCAGGCATGGTGGCTCATGCCTGTAATCCCAGCACTTTGGGAGGCTGAGGCAGGCGGATCACCAGGTCAGGAGATCAAGACCATCCTGGCTAACATGGTGAAACCCTGTCTCTACTAAAAATACAAAAAATTAGCCGGGCGTGGTGGTGGACGCCTGTAGTCCCAGCTGCTTGGGAGGCTGAGGCAGGAGAATGGCGTGAACCTGGGAGGTGGAGCTTGCAGTGAGCCAAGATCGCGCCACTGCACTCCAACCTGGGCAACAGAGCGAGACTCCGTCTCAAAAAAAAAAAAAAAAAAAAAAAGGCAGACTTTGAGCTTATCTGCTTTCTCTTTTTGCTTTCCCCTGGTCCCATCAGCATGACTCATTTTCCCTAATTAGGACTCAACAACAAATACTTCTTTAGCACCTGGGACAGTCCAGATTGTGCCAGGAGCCAGGGTTACAGCAAATATGAAAACCCAATCCTTGCTTTCTGGGAGCTCACAGACCAGCGGGAGAGATAAATAGCTAATTCCAACCCAGTGCTCCTATCCCCTGCCCTGCCCTGGGATGGATGCCATGGCAACAGTTCCCACAAATGCACAACCAAAAATCCGAGGATTTGGGGTGGAAGGGCTTTTTGAAATCTATGATCCCAACTCCCCTCTTGAAGACTGGTACCTGAAAGGAGAAGGGACTTTTCCCGGGTCACAGCAGCAGCAGAGTGGGAAAGGCTCCACCTGGCTTCCTGGACCCAGACTTCTCTCCTTTTTTCTCCTTGATAGTGGGAACTACTCATTTTCTTCTTTTCTTTCTTTCTTTCCTTTTCTTTCTCTCTCTCTCTCTTTCTTTCTTGTTTTTTTTTTTTTTTTTTTTTTTTTTTTTGAGATGGAGTCTTGCTCTGTCACCAGGCTGGAGTGCAGTGGCACAATCCCAGCTCACTGCAACCTCTGCCTCCCGGGTTCAAGCGATTCTCCTGCCTCAGCCTCCCCAGTAGCTGGGATTACAGGCATGCGCCACTACGCCCAGCTAATTTTTGTGCTTTTAATAGAGACGGGGTTTCACCATGTTGGCCAGGATGGTCTTGATCTCTTGACCTTGTGATCCGCCCGCCTCGGCCTCCCAAAGTGCTGGGATTACAGGCGTGAGCCATCGTGCCCGGCCTCCTTCCTTCCTTCCTTCCTCTCTTTCTTTTTCTTTCTTTCTTCTCTTTCTTTCTTCTTTCTCCTTCCTTCCTTCCTTCCCTCCTTCCTTTCTTTTCTCTTTCTTTTTCTTTCTCTTTCTTTCTTTCCTTTCTTTCTTCCTTCCTTCCTTTCTTTCTCTCTCTTTTCATCCTTTCTGTTTCTCCTTTCCTTTCCTTTCTTTTTCTTTTTGAGATGGAGTTTCACTCTTCTCACTGCAACCTCCGCCTCCCGGGTTTAAGCGATTCTCCTGCCTTAGCCTCCAGAGTAGCCAGGATTACGGGAGCCTGCCACCACGCCCGGCTAATTTTCGTATTTGTAGTAGAGACGGGGTTTCGCCATGTTGATTCACGCGCCTCGGCCTCCCAAAGTGCTGGGATTACAGGCATGAGCCACCGCACCTGGCCGGAAATACTTATTTCTTTTTCAGGCTCTGATATTTGGCCCCAGAAGTCGTGTGTGTGTGTGTGTGTGTGTGTGTGTGTGACTATGTGTTGAGGTTGGTAGGGACAGGGTCTTTGAGGTGGGCCATGAAGGCTGTTGTCTTGGTTCCCTTACTCCAGTGGGTGGGGGAGGTGGGCAACGTGGATCAAAACGAATCCAGGCCAAGCTGGAGGCCTAGGGAGCCTGCGCGCTGAACCTCAAACGTCTGGAGTCCTTTGCCTTCTGAATCCTTTGACCAAGAGAGGCTGATAACATGCAACCACGCACTACGGCTCTGGTTGCAGCCAGACTTGGGTTTAGTTCTATTGTTTACCAGCTGCGTGACATTGGGTAAGAGGCTTAACCTCTTCGGTCCCAAATTCCTCCTTATTAAGATGGGGACAACAACAGAACCCATCTCCCAGGACTGATACCAAGCATTTGGCCACAGTTGCTGCTAGGTGAGGGACAGTCCTGTTTAATACACAACGGAATGTTGATGATCATGTATTGACCACTTTCTGAGCCAGACAATTTGTGTGCCTTTATCTCATTGGAACACCACCATTTCTCTGGATAGCAGATACTATTACCATATTATAAGGTATATAGGCACTTAGCACTAATGGCACAGAGTAAGTGCTCACCAAAAGCTGTTAGTGAGGGCACTTTTGTCATATAGAAGAAAAAAGGAGCATGGAAAAGGCGCTTTGCAAGGTGTAAGGTTCCGCACAAGTTTTTGCTGTAATTGTTACGTCGCCCTTTGTGGTCGTGATCCTTTATTTATTCTTTCTGAGCCACTACGATGGTCCCCTAGTTACCGTGGCCATGGAAACGCGGCCCGCCGTCCCGGATTGGACGGTTCGCGGGTTCCCCCTGGAGGCCACCTTCTGGTCCTGCTGCGGAACGACGGGCGGGCCTTGGAGGCGGGGAGAGGAGCGTCGGGAGTTGTAGGCGATGGGCGTGGCTGCTGCGGAGCGGTGCACGCCGGGAGTTGCAGTTCCCGGGCGAGGCAGTTGACTGCCCCACAACGAGCTCGGGCCTCACCCGGATGGCGGCTGCGACGCGCGGCTGCCGGCCCTGGGGCTCGCTCCTCGGGCTGCTCGGGCTGGTCTCGGCCGCGGCCGCCGCCTGGGACCTGGCTTCCCTGCGCTGCACCTTGGGCGCCTTTTGCGAATGCGACTTCCGGCCCGACTTGCCGGGTGAGGCGCCAGGGAGCCCGGAGCGAGGGGCGGGCGGACGCGGGCAGACGCGGGAGCGCTGGGAGCCCTGGGAGCCCGGCTGGCGCCGGCCAGAGAAGCTGAGGACCCAGAGGGTGGGACCGAGGGGCGGGGCCCGCAGACTTGGGAGGGTGGAGGGTACCCGTTGAGGTCCAGGAGGCCCTGCCAACCTGGAGAGAGGCCTCAGCCAGCAGAACCCTTGGTGGAAGTTCTTGGGCCTCCCCGGAATGGCCTGGCCGTCAAAGGAGAAGTGCAGTGCGCCTTGGGGATGGGCGGGGTCTGCGGCTGACCCCGTTGACAGCTCGCATTTAGAGCTGAGTGCAATCTAGAGGACCGCCTGGTGGGGGCGCTGCCGAGCTGAATCAGGCCCGAAGGTGGCTCTTTTCCGCCACAGACCCCAAGGTTTGCGTGCCATGTGCATAGGCAGCTTGGACAAACGTAAGGACACAGGAGTCCCAGACCAGGTTCCAGACATGATGTTCTCCTTGAACCTCTGCCTCGGTGGGATGTGTCCTCACCATCCTCCTGTGGCCCTAGGTCTGGAGTGTGACCTGGCTCAGCACCTGGCCGGCCAGCATCTGGCCAAGGCGCTGGTGGTGAAGGCGCTGAAGGCCTTTGTGCGGGACCCAGCCCCCACCAAGCCGCTGGTCCTCTCCCTGCACGGCTGGACCGGCACCGGCAAATCCTATGTCAGCTCCCTGCTGGCGCACTACCTCTTCCAGGGCGGCCTCCGCAGCCCCCGCGTGCACCACTTTTCTCCCGTCCTCCACTTCCCCCACCCCAGCCACATCGAGCGCTACAAGGTAGGCTGGATGCGTCCTTGACCACTGTTCTCACCATGGGGTGCCACCCTAGGGAGTAAGTCCTGAGCCCAGACAGGGGAGTCACCTGCTCCAGGCCACACACGGCTGCAGCCCCAGCCCTCAGGACCCATCCTGCACAGAACTTGGGAAGGTGTCATTCTACCTGGCAGGGAGTACTTTGATTCCTTGGGGCAGTAAGGAACCCTGGCAGTACCTACATGCCAGGGTTGTTGTGAGGGACATGAGATTATACCATTGCAGATATCATTTATGGAGCACCTATGTTTGTCAGATAATCTGCACTGTTGTCTTGCTGGAAATCAGCCCCAATTTGTGGCTCAGAGGAAGCATCAGGAAATATTGGCTCTTACTACTACTGTTGTTGATTGCAGGGTACCCACCAGGCTGATCAGTTTCAGCCGTCAACACTGCTGTGTAGTTTCAGGGAGCAGGAAGGAGCCTTCCCCTTTTATAGAAAGCAGCAAGTGTCGTGGAAGGAGCTCTGAACAGGGAAGTGGGAGGCTTGGGTTTGAGTCCCTGTTCTGACTGGCTGTGTGACTTTGGGCAAGTCTCTGCCCCAATCTGGGATACAGTTTCACCATCAGTCTCACTAAGAGGTTGGTGCTCTCTGGAAGACCACATCCTTCCCTAGAAAGGAGATTAGTTTTGGTTTGGGAAGAGGTCTGGTGTTGGGGGAGTTTCTCCAGCTCCCCTGGAACTCCTGTCTCTCCCCTACAGAAGGATCTGAAGAGCTGGGTCCAAGGGAACCTCACTGCCTGTGGCCGCTCCCTCTTCCTCTTCGATGAGATGGACAAGATGCCCCCAGGCCTGATGGAAGTCCTGCGGCCTTTCCTGGGCTCCTCCTGGGTGGTATACGGGACCAATTACCGCAAAGCCATCTTCATCTTCATCAGGTGGGGCCCGGCTTTGCAGTGGGCACAGTGGGGGGGCCACTTCTCAGAGGTTCAGCTCTACAGCCTTAGCCTGTGCTCCCAGCAGAATCCAGTTCCCCATGGGCTTAGCTGGGCTTTCCCAGTGCCCTCCGCCACTCTCAGAGATGACATTGTCATTCCGCCTGGTTGATTTCCCTTTGGACATTCTCAGCAAATTCTGGGCTCAGTCTTTTTGATCGCCACTTCTTTGTGGAAGCCCTGCCAGGTCAAGAAGTTTTCCCTCTTTTGTGGTGAGGAGGACACAGGCCTGGGAAAAATAGGAACAGAGTTCTTGTCCTTTAGTCCCAGCTCTCAGAATCCTCGCTGTGTTTCCTCAGGCAGCATGGCTCCGCCTCTCTGAGCCTCTGTCTCTGCTTCTGAACAGCGGGGCCAATAATGATGCCCCGATGCCTTCCTGGAAGTTCAGTGAGGGAAAGTCAGTTGAGGGACACAAAAGTGTTTTGTAAACTATAAAGTACGTGGCATGTGTAGGTGAATTACAGGGGCCATGGATGTGGACACCATGGAGGGGGAAGTGGAGCGTTTTCAGTGGAGTTGGCTCCTCCCCGCACTGAGCCATGTTCCTATGTCAGGTGGCAGCGGGGAAGCGAGGGTCCAATCCTGCCCTGCGCTAGTCCTCATCTGAGTCTCAGCCTGGGTCCCCCATGGTTTTAGCAACACGGGTGGCAAGCAGATCAACCAGGTGGCATTGGAGGCGTGGCGCAGCCGGCGGGACCGCGAGGAGATCCTCCTGCAGGAGCTGGAGCCGGTCATCTCCCGCGCGGTGCTGGACAACCCGCACCGTGAGTCTGGCTCAGCAGCCCCCTCCCGGGCAGCTTCACCCCACACCCAGGGGCCAGGCTCTCCCGGGGTCTCATGCTTTGCCCACTGACCCGGCAGTTCTGAGCCTGGCTTTGGCACTCCCAGCTTTGTGACTTTGGGTGAGCCTTACAGCCCCTGAGTCCTACACCCAGAAGGCGGCTGAGGGAACTGAGGCCAGCATTTTTCCTCCTGCCCCTGGGGGTTTGGGGCCGGCTTCTCCCCTCTTGTGAAGCACAAAGTCCCCTCCCCACCTACCCTTCCTGCAGATGGCTTCTCAAACTCGGGCATCATGGAAGAGCGCCTCCTAGACGCAGTGGTGCCCTTCCTCCCGCTCCAGCGGCACCACGTCCGGCACTGCGTGCTCAACGAGCTGGCCCAGCTGGGCCTGGAGCCAAGGGATGAGGTTGTCCAGGCTGTGCTGGACAGCACCACCTTCTTCCCTGAAGACGAGCAGCTCTTCTCCTCCAACGGCTGCAAGACCGTGGCCTCCCGAATCGCCTTCTTCCTCTGACTCTCTGAGTGGTGTCCTCGGCCCCCCTGATGGCCAGGCCATGCAGGAAAGGCCAGGGGCCTCTGTCACAGGAACCCAGAGCACCAAGTGAGATGAACGGAGTGTCGGCTAGGCCACGGGACAGATGGCCAGGAAGGGCCCTGGCCTCTAAACTGGCTCGAGAGCATCTTGGCCCCGGCCACCTTCCCCAGGGAAACCCCTGGTCACCCCAGAACCTCACTGAGCCTTGACCTCCCCCTGCAGCCTGAGCCTTCTTACTGTGAATTATAACTCAGGGACTGTGGCTCGTGGCGGTGCTCCCTCCTCAGTCTGCCACCCTTGCCCCTTGCCTCCTTGGTCGGGCACCATACCTCCTCCCCTCCACCCCACACCCTGTGTCCATATCAAGCCAGGTGGAGCCTTCTCAGTTTCCAGAAATGGAGGGACTCAAGCTGCCACTTGGGCCTGGTTTTAGATGTTTTTAATTTTGTAAAAGAAAACAAGTATAATAAACTCAGCTGTGGGACCAGAGGACTGTTGCTAAGACTTTTAATTGCTCTGGAAGGAGGCAGCTGGCTGAGTGCCAGTGTGGGGAGGTGGGTAGAACTCGTCCCCTCCCCAGCAAGAAGGGAGGGTCTGGATGGTCCCTTCAGACAGCTTCATAGTAGGTGAGGTCCTGATCAACCTCAGTTTTGCTGAGACTTGGGCTGGGTCCCCAGGTGGACTCGGCCTTGCTGGAAGTTGAGCTCATGCCCTGGCTCTTGCCCTGGGCACCCTCAGCCTTGCTGGACCTCTGGCCCTGGCCTTGGGCATACTCAGTTTTGCTGAGGCTCCAGTTTGAGTCATAGAAAGCCTCAGTCTTGGTGGAACTTCGGAGCAGTCCCCTGCTTCGGCCCTGGGTGGCATCAACCTTGCTGGGTCTCCAGCTCCGGCCACGAGCAGCCTTGACCTTTCTGGGCCTCTGCCTTGGGCTCCGGGTGGTCTTGGTCTTGCTGGGCTCCTGCCTTGGGCCCTGGGTGGCCTCAATCTCGCTGGAGCTCTGCCTCTGGCCCTGAGTGGCCTCAGTCTTGCTGGAGCTCTGCCCCTGGCCCTGGGTGGCCCTGGTCTTGCTGGAGTTCCGCCTCTGGCTTTGGGTGGCCTTGGTCTTGCTGGAGTTCCTCTTGTGTATAGTGGCCTTGGTCTTGCTGGAGTTCCGCCTCTGGCTCTGGGTGGGCTCAGTCTTGCTAAGGCTCTGCCTCTGGCCCTGGGTGGCCTTGATTTTTCTGGGACCATGGCTTAGTGCCTCCCTGTTGTTCCCAGAGTCCGAGGATTGCGTCTTCAACAGTGACGAGTCAGAGAATGTCACGGCGGTGGCTGAGGTGCTCCTGTATTCCTGGCAGATAGCCGACATCTCAGTCTCTGAGGTGCCTGTGGTCCTGACTAGGAAGGGGGTGCCAAAAGCACCCATCAGGCCTGCCGCACCTGCCCTGGACAGCTCTGGGAAAAGGGGCTTCCCAATCTCACACTGGCCTGTGGCCCAGAGGCTTCGCATCACCAAAGGGAAAGACCTGCAGATCACCCCCGCCCAGCCCCCAGCGACCCAGACCCTGAGGGGTGGGGCTGTGAGATGGGGGAGATGCCTAGGAGCCCCCTTCTCCCAGTCCCAGGCCTCTGCTCTGTGGCTGCCCCTGCCCTCTGTGCTCCTGTTGCAGCAGACAGCCCCAGCAGGGCCCCTGCGTCCCCCCGCCTGGCACCCTCCTGCTTTTCCATCCTCGTCCCCACTAAAAGGCGCTAAATGCACCCACACCCCGGCTTCCCCCGCACTGTGTCTGCCCTGTCTCCTGGCTGTGGGTCACCTGGGAGCCTTCTTCCTGTTGGAGCTTAGAATTCATGTCTCAGGGCAAGGACTATGCCAGTCATTCCTGTGCCTAGTATTGAGCACAGGCCTGGCCCAGGGCACTTGGGGAGTTTGCTGGATTCACAAAATGAAGAAGGGGCCTGGGCCCTGCCACTCGCCTCCCGAGCGAGGACTGCGCACACCCGCCTTGGGGCCTCTGAGGAGCAGCCTCCCCATTCTTCACTTCTGTCTCCTCCAGGCTAGGGCCCTATGTACTGGGGCTAAAAGCCCCCTGGCCATGCACAAGGTTTGTGGGCTTATTTCAGGGACAGGGCTAGGAGGGGATGAGAGCAGAGCAGCAGCTACCATGAAGTGCCTGGAGCAAGCCTCACCTCGTCCTGGGCAGCCCCGCAACAGTGTTACTCCCGCTCTAGAGCCACTCGCCCCAGGCCACCCAGCTGTCAGCAGCGGGGCCGAACGCACACCTAGGCCAGCGGTCTTCGACCCCTGAGCTTTGACTACCCTGCTGCCTTAGCTTCCTGAGGCCTGGCGGAAGCACCAGGGACTTACAGCTCATGCTGGAGGCTGAAGAGGTCTGGTCAAGGTAGCTGTCAGACAGGGACGCCACCTTGCTAGGTATGAGCTCTGATTTTTTCTCCTATGGCAAGAAACAGGCTTTGTAGTTCAGATGGTAGGAGGCCCGTGCAGCTGCACCTCTAGAAGGCCAGCAGCCCTGGGCCCCTCGGTGGTCATTCTCCTGAGCTTGGAGGTCTTTGAAGGTGCCAGGTTAGAGTGGGGTGGGGACACGCAGAGGCTAAGCCTGGCAGGAAGGGGAGCGACCAGGCTAGACAGGCATGGTGCCGTGAGAACGGTTGTGTTGAAGGAGCTGCTAGCGCCTTGGTTTTTTTCAACTGCAAAATGAAAATTAGTTCAGGTGTGGAACAGGCTTCTGTAAATTGTAAAGGGCTGTGCCCTGGGGAATGCTTACGGAGGACTTGAGGAGCTTCTGTAGGCTTTACCCCCATCCATTCTCCCAATACAAGTGAAGACGGAGGGATGGGGAGAGCTGCTAATGACCATTTCACTGAACAGGAAACCAAAGCTCAGAGCCCCTAAGCAACCTGTCCAGGGCCACTCGGCTAAGAAGCAGAGAGGCCGGGTTTGAATCCAGGTCTGCTGGCTGCCACAGCCAGACCCTACCTAGGCTGCGGGTCTCTGCCCACGTTCACACCTGTAGACAGCGAGGTACACCATAGTGCTCCAGGTGCCAGCTGGGAGTTGCGCTCTGGGCTCCATCCACTTCAGCCCAACGTCTCCCTGGGGGAGGGGGCCTCTGACTTCAGGGGTCACACAGAGGGAAGGTGTGTACTTTAATATTCATTCTAACATGAGCTAGAAAACTGAAGAGCTAGCACTTTCTTTCCTTTTTTCTTTTCTTCTTTAGACAGGGTCTGGCTCTCTCACCTAGGCTGGAATGCAGTAGTATGATTACGGCTCACTGCAGCCTCAAATGACTCTGGGGCTCAAGAGATCCTCTTGCCTCAGCCTCCCAAGTAGCTGGGACTATAGGTATACACCACCATGCCTGGCTAATGTTTGTATTTTTTGCAGAGACAGGGTTTTGCCATGTTGCCCAGGCTAGTCTTGAACTCCTGGGCTCAAGCAATCTGCCCATCTTGGCCTCCCAAAGTGCTGGGATTACAGGTGTCAGCCACCGCGCCCAGCCACATTTTCTATTGATGGCAAGGGATGCTGGTATTCCTCTACTTCAATTGCTTCAAGTTTCCTTTGAACATTAGTGTACTTGATGTCTACCAGCAGTAGAACAGAGGAACACACTGTGGGACTGTCAAGGACGGAATATTCTGCAGCACCAGCGAGAGGGAGCAGGCCGCTGCCACCCGCCGCAGCGTGAGTGACGCTCACCATGCTGTCCATTTATGTGAAGAAAAGACGAAACTCATGTTTGGTGTCAGGAATCAAGACAGCCTTGTAGGTGGGGTGGGTTACGGGAGGGGCCTCGAAGGGGGCCCCAAGGGGCTTCTGGGAGCTGGGAAAATGTTCTTTCTCGATCTGGATAATGCTATCATGGGTGTAATGCAGTTTGTGAAAATTCATCAAACCGGTACTTATGATTTGTGCACTTTTCTATATTTATGTTACGTTCAATAAGAGGTTTTCAGAAACAAATTTAAGAATTAAGAAAATTCTGGGGGCCGGGTGCAGTGGCTCATGCCTGTAATCCCAGCACTTTGGGAGGCCCAGGTGTGCAGATCACTTAAGCCCAACAAAAATACTAAAAATACGAAAAATTAGCCGGATGTGGTGGCACACACCTGTAATCCCAGCTACCTGGGAGGCTAAGGCATGAGAATTGCTTGAACCCAGGAGGCGGAGGTTGCAGTGAGCCGAGATTGTGCCACTGTACTCCAGCCTAGGTTGACAGAGCAAGACTCCGACTCAAAAACAAAAAATTCTGGCACAAGTGGCAAGTGGCTAGTGCCTACAGTAGAATTCATGACAGTGACCATGAGCAGGGCTGTGACTCCTCTCTCTGAGGGCCCACATCCCCACACACCCTCCGTCAGGAGCACCCCTTGCTGGTACCATCCCCATCTCATAGCAAGATGTCCCCAGCCCATCACACAGCTGAGGGAGTGCAGAGCCAGGCCTGGAAGCCAGACTCCACTGGCCTGCATCCTTCAGCCCTGGGCTGGGGTACGCTGTGCCCCAGACCCCAAGGGCTCCGAGCCCTGGCCTGTACTCCACTTACCTCTTTTTTCTCCTTCTCCTTTTCTTCCTCCTCCTCAGGGGCCTCAGCCTCTCCCTCTGAGCTTCCCGGTTTTACCTGCGGAATCTCAGGGGTGGCCTTCAGCTCCTCGGAGGTCGCAATCAAAGGCTCCCCCTGCTTCCATGAGTGCTGCAGGGCCAAGGCCTTCTGGCGCTCCAACTCGTGCCGTTTAAGCATCCTGCCAAACGATACCCCCCAGGTATTGTCAGTCTCCCTGGCCCATGCTGGTCTCTCCAAGGACTAGACAACGGCCCCGTCATGCAGCTGGAGCCAGAGGAGCCTGGAGCTGCAGCCATTCCCCAGCCCTGGCCTGTGCCCCTTGCTCCAGGGCTTACCCCACAATGCCTTGTGGGCTGCCGGCCTGCAGGCTGCCCTCCACCATCTGCTCCAGCTGCAGCCTGGCCAGGTGGGCTATCTGGGTGCTAAGCACCTCCTCCACCGACATGCCCGGGAAGAGGTTGGTCATCAGCAGGGACAGCTGCCACGAAAGGGGGTGACCAGAGCCAGGTGAGGGCCAGAGCAGCAGACAGACAGCACGATGCTGCCCTGACCCTGCACAGCCAGATTTGGCCCTTCCCAGGGCTGAAGAAGGAAGAGTTTTGCAATGTTTTTTGTTTGCTTGTTTGTTTTTTTTTTTTTTTTTTTTTTTTTTTTTTTTTTGAGACAGAGTCTCACTCTATCGCCCAGGCTGGAGTGCAGTGGCACAAACTTGGCTCACTGCAACCTCTGCCTCCCGGGTCGAAGCGATTCTCATGCCTCAGCCTCCTGAGTAGCTGGAATTATAACCGTGCACCACCATGCCTGGCTGCTTTTTGTATTTTTAGTAGAGATGGGGTTTCACCATGTTGGCCCGGTGGGTCTCGAACTCCTGACCTCAAGTGATCCACCCGCCTTGGGCTCCCAAAGTGCTGGGATTACAGGCATGACCCACCATGCCTGGCCTTATGATTGTTATCAAACCAGATTTCTTTGGGGGCCGAGGAGTATCTTTATGCACCGGGCATGACTCCGGAGCCTACACTCCTGACGTGGCAGGAACCTACCTTTGGTTGCTTGGGGTTGAGGAGCAGGACAGTGGCCACATCCTGGCGGGCCCCAAAAATGTTCTGCAGCAGCTGCCGGCTCTTGGCCCGGTACAGGTAGTACTGGGCCTTCTGGGGGTTGTGCCGGATGGCCGTGGAGAAGTGGTTCTCTGCCTTCTGGAACTGCCTGCACGACACAGTGGGTCCCAAGCTGCTATGAGCTGGGCCATCTGTGGGGAAAATGGTGGCTACTGGGCCCCACTGAGGAGTTAGAGGGAAACCAGGCTAGGTCTGCTCCCCTCACCACGCCCCTCTCCTCTCTCTCCATCAGGTACGTCCCTGATGAAGCCAACACTTCGATGCCAGTGTGAAACTCCAACATCAATGAATATCTTTATGATCTTGGGGTAGGGAAGGCGTTTCTGAGAATGGCATAAACCCATCGGCTAAAATGAATATATTAATTTGACTATGATTAAGTTCCAAGTTATTGAGTAGTAAAAATATCACAAAGAAAAGCAGTATAGGCCGGGCATGGTGGCTCACGCCTGTAATCCCAGCACTTTGGGAGGCCAAGGCAGGTGGATCGCCTGAGGTGGGAAGTTTGAGACCAGCCTGGCCAGCATGGTGAAACCCTGTCTCTACTAAAAATACAAAAATTAGCTGGGCGTGGTGGCAGGTGCCTGTAATCCCAGCTACTTGGGAAGCTAAGGCAGGAGAGTTGCTTGAACCCGGGAGGTGGAGGTTGCAGTGAGCTGAGATGGCGCCATTACACTCCAGTCTGGGCAACAGAGTGAGACTCCATCTAAAAAAAAGGAAAGCATAACGGAGAGAGAAGCTTTTTTTTTTTTTTTTTTTTTTTGAGACGGAGTCTCACTCTGTCACCCAGGCTGGAGTGCAGTGGCTTGATCTCGGCTCACTGCAAGCTCCACCTCCCGGGTTCACGCCATTCTCCTGCCTCAGCCTCCCGAGTAGCTGGGACTATAGGCGCCCACCACGACGCCCGGCTAATTTTTTGTATTTTTAGTAGAGACGGGGTTTCACCAGGTTAGCCAGGATGGTCTCGATCTCCTGACCTTGTGATCCGCCCGCCTCGGCCTCCCAAAGTGCTGGGATTACAGGCGTGAGCCACCGTGCCCAGCCTTTTTTTTTGGGACAGAGTCTCACTCTGTCGCTCAGGCTGGAGTGCAGTGGCGCAATCCTGGCTAACTGCCAGCTCCGCCTCCCTGGCTCAAGGGATTCCCGTGCCTCAGCCTCCTGAGTAGCTGGGATTACAGGCACACACCACCACGCCCAGCTAATTTTTAAATTTTTTTATATTTTTAATAGAGATGGGTTTCACCATATTGGCCAGATTGGTCTCAAACTCTCGACCTCAGGCGATCCACCTGCGTGGGGATTACAGGGATGAGCCATCGCCCCCGAGGAGAGAAGCAGCTTGATTGACCCAGGGATCCCAGCAGTTGGCCTCCTGCCCGCCCTGCCCTCGGGCCTGCCCCGCCCACCGTGGGGGCGGGAGCCCACGCACTTGCGCCTCTGCTCGCAGAAGCCCATCTTCTCCTGCAGCAGGCCCATGCGCGTGTTGGCGCCCTCGTCCTGAGGGCTCAGCGCCAGCGCCTGCTGGTAGTCCGCCTCGGCAAAGGCCAGGTTGCCCAGCTGGAAGAAGCAATCTAGGGTCCGGAGGCGGGGGTGAGTGGACCCCCAACTCCCAGTGCCCGGGAGCCCCAGCCCAGCCGGCTCCAGCCCGGGGGCCAGGGCCTGAAACTGGTGGCTGATAACCCCCCGCCGCAGTCTCCGTCCTCTCTAGTTTTCTGGGCGTCTGGGCACTGTTCCCCAGCTGCCTGTTTTGAGCATTTTAAGGAGTCTGGAGCCAGTTTGTCTAAGGCAACATTTCCCAAAGTGTGTTCCTGGGATACTGAGACTATTACATTTCCTCTTCCCTTGCTTCCTTCCTCTCTCCCTTCCTCCTTCCCCCCAGGGGCCTCAAGTGCCCAGTGGGGGCCTTAGAGATGGCGAGGCTCCCCCGCACCCCCCCTCCCCAGTGCCCTGGTCGCTGCGCACCGCCTCGGTTGATGTAGAGTCCTTTCTCCTGCTGCTCGTCCCGGAGGGCCTTGTTCAGCAGCAGCACGCCCTCCTGGTAGGCGCCCTGCCTGTAGCAGTGCACGGCAAAGTCGTTGTAGGTCAGCAACAGCTGGCGCTGTGCCTGCCGCACCATGTCCTCCTGGTCCTCGGTCACCATGTCCAGCACCTTCAGGAAGTCCTCCACTGCCCCATCGAACTCCTGGAGCCGTCGGTACATGGTGCCCCTGTCGGGGGGGGCGTGGGAGACGGCAGGAGGGACATGAGCGCCAGTGCACCCCCACCGACTGGCTAGTGGCCAGACAAGCCACTGCCGGCTCTGGGCCTCCTGACCCATGGAGGCAGTGGGGATCCCACCTCATTTGCTAGGTTTGTCCCGTGGGGCCAGCTCTGGACTGCTACTCAGATAACCCACTAGGCACTGAGCATTTTTTTTTTTTTGCAAAAATACCTTCTTTTTTGGGAGCCAGGTGTATGCCAGTCTCTACATTAAAGCATTTTGTACAAGAAGCAGGTGTTTTACCACCACTGTTTGGATAGGTTAATTGGCCCGAAATCACAGTGGCCTCTCATGTCACTGAATCACTTGTGGGATACTGAACCCAGCCCCTTGGCATAGGGAGAGATTGGCTGGGTGGACCGCCCCCTGGAGTCACTCCTGCCAGGGCAGCGGCACTCCCTCCTGAAATGCAGCAGGATGTGGTAAGTTCCTGGGACCAGACTCAAGCCTAAGTCTCCTCCACTGAGCTGGGCTCAGCGCCCAGCGTGAACTGCTTTGCAGGCTGCAGCTCTAGGATTCCTGGGGTAACTGAGACATGTGTTGGCATCCCTCTTCCAGCAGTAACAGAGACCACCTCTGCAATGCCTTAACCCAGTAGGAAGTAGGGAAAGACTGTTAGAGGCTAGCTGGGGAAACTGAGGCCCAGAGAGGGTCAGGGACTCTCCTTAAACCACACAGAAAGTCTGGCTGGGCAGGACCTGGGACCCAAGGCCAGCACCTTCCCATGCAGTACCGGAAGAGGAAGAGACTGGGGTCCAGAGGGTTGTTCTCGATGGCACGGTTGATCCGCTGCAGTGCGTGCTGCAGCTTGCCCTGCACAGCCAGGATCCCCGCATCTTGGCGCGCCTGCTGGGCCTGGGCCACCATCTTCTGGAGCAGCATCCTGGCCTGCGGGTGCTTGGGATTCAACAGCAAGGCGCTGTGCAGGTCCCGGTAGCAGAGGTGGGGCTGCAGGAGGCCATGGGTGGCATCAGGGGCACAGACCAACTGAGCCACGGGACCTAGAGGCCTTTCTTCAGCAGGGTGGCATCACACCATGCCTCCTCCGTGCCCCTCACATCCCTCCATGTTCCACCCTTTCTGCTTTTTTTTTTTTTTTGAGATGGATTCTCACTCTGTCACCCAGGCTGGAGTGCAATGGCGTGGTCTTGGCTCACTGCAACCTCTGCCTCCCGGGTTCAAGCGATTCTTCCACCTCAGCCTCCTGAGTAGCTGGGACTACAGGTGCGTGCCACCACACCTGGCTAATTTTTGTATTTTTGTATTATTTTTTAGTAGAGATGGGGTTTTACTATGTTGGCCAGGCTGGTCTCAAACTCCTGACCTTAGGTGATCCGCCCACCTTGGCCTCCCGAAGTGCTGGGATTACAGGTTTGAGTCTCCATGCCTGGCCCCTTTCTGCCTCTTGAAGGAGACAGGGAGCATCGTGGAGAAATTCCATCCCAGGCCCCATGCCAGCTGGCCCTTTCCAGATGTGACCTCAGGTGAGCCAGGCCAGCCCCAGTGGTTTCTGCAGATGCTACCTCCTTGTCAGGCCTCTGTGAAGCCCACTCAAGGTGCGGGGAGCATGTGACCTCCTGACTGTGACGGTTGTGTCCTCCCTCCCCTCCCCTGCACTCCCTCTTCTCCTCCCTGACCTTTGAGCCCAAGACTCCTCTGCCCAAGCCCAGATTCGGGCCTGGGTACAGTGGAAACCTCCCCCAGCAAGTCCCTTCCACTAGGAGGAGGAAGGCGCAGCTCAGCCAGGCAACAGACAGTTCAACAACACCCTGTTCCCTGCGGGGTGACTGGCTGGCAGGTGAACGGGATGGTGTGGACAGCAGGTGTGGGTGGAGGGAGGGAGGGAAATGGCAGGAGCTAGGGGCAGGGCTTCGGCATAAGCAGCCTTGGGCTCCAGGCAATGCCACTGGGAACAGGCTGTGTGACCTTGGGCAAGTCACCTGGGGCTGGCTCTTCCTCTGTGAAACGAGGACAGTGTGTCTCTATCCCAAAGGGTTGCTGCGAGCCTCACAGCTAAGCAGGGGCAAAGTGCTGAGAACACGCCTACGTATCGGAGGGGCTAAAATCACAACAGTCACCAATAATTATCAATAATTACTAGTCTCAGCCGGGCGCAGTGGCACACACCTATAATCCCAGCACTTGGAGAGGCCGAGGCAGGGGGTATCACCTGGCGAAACCTTGTCTCTCCTAAAAATACAAAAATTAGCTGGGCAGGCGCCTGTAATCCCAGCTACTCAGGAGGCTGAGGCATGAGAATTGCCTGAACCTCCCGGTAGAGGTTGTGGTGAGCCGAGATCTCGCCACTGCACTCCAGCCTAGGTGACAGAGTGAGACTCTGTCTCAAACAAAACAAAACAAAACAAATTACTAGTCTCATGCCACTGAATCGCTTGTGGGAGGCTGCAGCCCAGCCCCGGGGCACAGGGAGGAGTTGCCAGGGTGGACTGCACTCCCCGAAGTCACTCCTGCCAGGGTGGTGGCGCTCCCTCCTGCAATGCAGGCTGGCATTTCGGCCGCACCCAGGATGCTTGGAGAATGAGGTGAACCCGCCCCACCCCGCCCACCTGCTCCTCCCCATCCTAGCTTCCCAGCTCCCCATCCACCCAGGCCAAGCCAGAACACCAGGCACCCTTCTGGATCCTTCCTTTTCCTTCAAGCCCACCCCCAAGCCAGACTCCGGCCCTGCCTTCTGAAGGGCTGTGGGAATTGCCCCTCCTTGCCGCCCTCATGACTACCTTTCCCTCCACCTCACCCCACCCTGCAATGGTGCCCAGCCTCCTTCTCAGGCTCTGGCCTCCAGCCCTCCCCGCTGACCCACACTCCCTGCGGACACCAGAATGATCTTCCTAAAGCCCCCTGCCCTGGGGACACCTGGTGGAGGCTCCCACTGACTCCAGGGAGACTTCTCATCCCTGCCCTCCTCTCCTTGGTGCCCAGCACCCCCTCCACCTCCTTCCTTGTGACCCCAAGTTTCTATTGCTCCCAAGCTGTTCCCTGTACTGTCTGTCCCTGTGCCCAGCCCAGGTTGTGTGGGTGGTCAGGAGTAGGGATGATTCATTGAGGCAAACAGGAAAAAAGAAAGGAAGAGGGAGGAAGAGGAGAAAGAAGAAGAGGAGGAAAGGAGGAAGGGGGAAGGGAGGAAGGGAGGAGGGAGGAGGGAGGAAGGAGGAGGGAGGAAGGGGAAGGGGGAGGGAGAAAGGGGGAAGGGGAGGAGGGAGGAAGGGAGGAGGGAAGGCAGGAGGGAAGAAAGAAGGAGGGAGGAAGGGGGAAGGGCTACCTCATGTTAGGTGCCCTGGGTGCCCTGGTGTGTGGCTTCAGAGGATTGTGGCTAAAGCCCTCCTAGTGTGCTCATCTGCCCAGGGACACCTCCCCCAGGGTGTGAGCTCCATCCGGACAGGGATGACATGCTTCTCTCATCTTTTGCTTCCCATGGGGTGCAGCACAGGCCTAGCACAGAGCCAGGGCTGAGCAACAGTGGAACAAGGACCTGACATGGTAGTTGAGTGGTCCAGGCCAGTGTGGGCCTCTTCCCAGGGAGGACAGCACCCACTGCACTGTGGGATGGGGCTTCTGGGCTGGCTGACAGCCTTGCCTCTTCCTGCAATCTTGGGGCACACTGAGGACTCCCAGGTTGGGGGGCATGCCCCTGCCCGCCCTCCCCACTGTACCTTCTGGAGAAAGTTGTAGAGTCTGGCCCGGAAGATGTAGACATCGGCGTTGGTGGTGTCCTGCTTCAGCTCGTTGGTGATGAGCGTGAGGCAGGCCTGATGCTGCTTGAGGGCCAGGAGACAGGCCATGCTGAGGGCAGAGGGCACAGAGTGCTCGTTTCCCGGGTGGGGCGGCAGGAAGTGGGTGCTGGGAGAAGGGGCTGGCAGGGGCACTCACCATCGGTAACGGAAGCATGGTTTCTCAGGCTGGAGCTCAGCAGCATGTGAGAAGACATTCAGGGCATCCAGGAAGGCACACTGCTCAAAAAGGCATTGTCCCTGGGGACACAGGGGACAGTCAATTCTGCTTGCCACCCCAGCCCAGCTGCACCCCCCAGTTGGCAGCAGAAAGCCCTGAGGCAGGAGGGAGAGATACAAAGACAAGGACAGAGCCTTTTAGATCTGGCAGAGACTTGAAGAGGCAGAGACACAGACAGAGATGGAGAGAGATACAGATCTGGGGAAAGACAGCAAGAGACAGTAAGAGATGCACGCTTGGCAAGAGACAGGAATACAGAGATTCAGGAACAAAGAGAAATGTAGAAAACTCAGATAGCTGAGCCAGACATGGTTGCTCACACCTGTTATCCCATTCCAGCACTTTGGGAGGCCCAGGCAGGTGGATCACTTGAGGCCAGGAGTTTGAGGCCAGCCTGGCCAACATGGTGAAACCCCATCTCTACTAAAAATACAAAAATCAGCTAGGTGTGTTAGTGCATGCCTGTAATCCCAGCTACTCAGGAGGCTGAGGCAAGAGAATGGCTTGGACCTGGGAGGCAGAGGTTACAGTGAGCCGAGATCGTGCCACAGCCCTCCAGCCTGGGTGACAGAGTGAGACTCCATCTCAAAAACAAAACAAAACACTCAGATGGCAGAAGAGATCAGCAGAACTAACACAAACAGGCTGTAGCCTGGACCTGGGCCCTGGGTGCTGAGCCCTGTGCTAAGAACTTGAACTTGTTTTCTCACTGGCACTAGCATGCTTCTCTTATGGATAAAGGAACTGAGGCTCAGAGAGGTGAAGTGACTTGCACAAGGGTACACAGGAAGTGGCAGTGCAGGACATGGGCCCCCAACAGACAGATTCACACATGGTCTGAGGGCCCCAAATGTTTCTTTTTAAGAACAGAATTTTTTTTTTTTTTTGAGACAGCATCTTGTTCTGTCACCCAGGCTGGAGTACAGTGGCACGATCTTGGCTCACTGCAACCTCTGCTTTCTGGTTTCAAGAGGTTCTCCTGCCTCAGCCTCCCAAGTAGCTGGGATTACAGGCACGTGCCACCATGCCTAGCTAGTTTTTGTATTTTTAGTAGAGATGAGGTTTCACCATGTTGGCCAGGCTGGTCTCAAACTCCTGACCTCATGATCCGCCCAACTCGGCCTCCCAAAGTGCTGGGATTACAGGCGTGAGCCACCGTGCCCGGCCAAGAACTGAATATTTTTTGACATAAAGAAAAGACATCAAGCCCAGGCGCAGTAGCTCACACCTGTAATCCCAGCACTTTGGGAGGCCGAGGCGGGAGGATTACTTGAGGTCAGGAGTTGGAGACCGGCCTGGCCAACATGGCAAAAACCCATCTCTATTAAAAGTACAAAAATTAGCCAGGCATGTTGATGCACATCTGTAATCCTAGCTACTTGGGAGGCTGAGGCACAAGAATCATTTGAACCCGGGAGGTGGAGGTTGTGAGCTGAGATTGCGCCATTGCGCTCCAGCCTCGGTGACAGAGCAAGACTCCATCTCAGAAAAAAAAAAAAGACATCAAGGTTATCAAAATGGAAAAAAGCAACACTTCGTTGGTGTTTTATAGTTTAATATTGTTTTTCCTTTGAAATACACTTAGGGGTCACTGTGACCTTTTTAGTGCTTAGAGCCTCTGGACTCTAGATCTGTGCCGTTCTGTCCAAGACAATAGCCACTAGCTTTGTGTGGCTATACACATTTAAATTAATTAAAATAAAAATAAGAGGCCGGGCGCAGTGGCTCACATCTGTAATCCTAGCACGTTGGGAGGCCGAGGTGGGTGGATTGCCTGAGCCCAGGAGTTCAAGACCAGCCTGGGCAACAAAGTAAAACCCTGTCTCTACTAAAATACAAAAAATTAGCCAGGCGTGGTGGCGTGTGCCTGTAGTCCCAGCTACTCAGGAGGCTGAGGCAGGAGAATTGCTTGAATCCAAGAGACAGAGGTTGCAGTGAGCCGAGATCGTGCCACTGCACTGCAGCCTGGGTGACAGAGCAAGACTGTCTCAAAAATAATAATAATAATAAAATAAAATAAAAATAAGATATAAAATTCAGTTCTTTAGTCACACTTGCCACATTTCAAGGGCTCAACAGTTCCACGTGGCTGGTGGCTAGCATATTGGACACTGTCATTATGGCAGAAAGCCCAAATGGAAAATGCTGCCAAACTTGACTCAACCCTGGCAGTAAACCAGCCTTGGAGGTGAGAGGGGCAGCGGGGGGGACCCAGACACAGGGACAAGGAGGAATCTAAGGAGACAGAGCTGGGCCCAGGAGCCAGGAGAGCCCCTGAGAAGTGTGAGGTGGGTGCCCTGCATGGGCCCGGGAGGCCCCAGGCACCTGTAGGTAGAGCACAAAGGTGAGGCGCTCCAGGTGCTTGCAGTTGTCCTGCTGTAATGAGTAGGCCCTTCGCAGGTTCTGGGCGGCCGAGGAGAAGTCACAGAGCTGGAGGTAGGCCTCAGCCCGTAAGGCATAGAAGTCCACCTGAGGGTGAGGGGACCCAGGCTGCTAGATCCTCCCCACCATCTGCCCCTGGAGGGTAGGGGAAAGTCTCCACCCCCCTGAGAGTTGACATCCAATTCCCATCAGGGACTTGGTGGCCCTGAGAGGAGGGATCTGGCAGGTGCGACAGGGAGGGAGGAAGCATGTTCCAGCAACTGCCTGTGCCCACCCAGGTCTGCCTCTCACCAGCTGTGGGTCCAGGTGGAGTGCGCGGGAGAAGAGCAGCACAGCTGTCTCCCAGTCTGCCTGCTCCAAGCACTGCTGGCCTCTGGAGTAGCTGTGGGGAAAGTGGGGACAGGCAGAGGGGTGGCCCTGACTGTGGACCAGCCCAGGGCATAGGGCTGGGGTGGGGGTTGTGGGAAGCAAGGGAGCTGGGTGGAGAGGCAGGAGGAGTAGACAGAAGCCCAGGGAGGGCAGGCTGGTGTTCCTGGAGTCCAGCCAGGCCATCAGCCTCGTTCCCACTGAGGTGGAAGAGCCCCATTAGACAGTTGAGTTCACTGAGGCCTGAAGAGAGTAAGTGGCTCAAAGCTGCACAGCATGTGAATGGCTGTGTCGGGCAGGAACCTGGGACCCCAAAGCAAGGTAGTCACTCACTATTCCCTGACTTTGAGGGGCACTGTTAACCCTGTGACCTTTGGTTTTACATCACAGATGCTTTGGAACACGTGGCTGGTCCCAAAGATGTGCTGCAGGATCCCTTTGGGGGCTGGAATCACCCATGGCTTTGGGATGTCCCGTGAGGGGCCCTGGTCAACCTTCAGGGCATCCTAGAACCGAAGGACAGCAAGCTGGAGCAGGCCCCCGAGACGACCCCCACCCACTGACACACTCCCCAGCATTCTGCAGGGAGGGAGGAGAGGCGGAAATGAGGCCTGGAAGGAGGCACTCCCACTCGGGGTTCCGGTGGCGCTCCCAGCCCCATTCCCCTTAGGGACGCTCCAACCTGTCCCTCTGCAGTCCTGCCCTTCTCCCTCTCCTGTGGTCAAGGTCAGGGATCAGGGTCCTCATGCTTACAACACCGTCTGTTCTCCCCCAGGGCCTTCCCAGCTCCCACTTCCGGCTACTGACACCCCAAGCTTTGATGTCTCCAGCTCAGGCCTGGTCCCAAGTCTCAGGCCTTGGGGGTCCTACAGTCCCTTGGGTAACCTTCAGGACCCTCACTCCAGCAGGCCACACTGAGCACCTCACCTGACTTCTGCCCCAGGTTCTCCCATTTTGGTGAGGTCACCTTCCCCACCAGCTACCCAAGCCAGAGACCTCTGTCCAAGCAGCCGCCGAGCCTTACAAGGATCTTTCACATGCCTGGTTCTTGGCATGGCGGCCAGGGCCTTCCCTGAGTCGGACTGCTGCCCCTGCCTCTCCCGGCCTTCACCCTTTCCTGCGAACCCAGCCTCGGTCTCTCTGCCTGGCCCTCTGCCTTTGCGTTAGTCTTCTCCCAAGCCCGCACCTCGTCCGAATCTGTCATGAGGCCCCTTCCAGGAGGACCCCGAGGCCTCTGCCAACTACCTCGCGGCCCTGGCCCTGACGTTGCTAGGCACCATCACCAGGACGCCCACAGGCCCCACCCCTCTGGCCACGCCCCCGGGAACCAAGCTTTTTGAGCCGGAGGGAGGTAGAAAACTTTTATTAGCTGGAGAGGTTGAGGCCTACAGCGGGGAAAGGACTTGCCAGATTTTCGCCGCAAGTCAGGGCCATAGCGGGGGGCATAACAAGGCCTCCCAACCGAAGGTCAAGCAAGAGCTCCGAGCGTCCCACACAAGTCCCGAAGGGACACTGTGACGCCGCGCTACTGAAGGCGCCTGGGTTCCCGGACTCGGCCACCGCCTCGCCGCTTCCGCCCCTCAGAAGCATGGCGGCCACGTAGCCCGGCCCGGATTGGACGTTGGCGGTGGACGCCAAACAGTTGGCAACACGATTGGCTGCTGCGGGGTGATGACGTCAGGGGGCGGTGTCGGAGTGAATGGGGGCAGCATGAGGCCGGGCGGCTTTTTGGGCGCCGGACAGCGGCTGAGTAGAGCCATGAGCCGATGTGTTTTGGAGCCTCGCCCCCCGGGGAAGCGGTGGATGGTGAGTGGCGTGGGGCGGCGACGTAGGGGCTCCCGGTCCCTAGCTTCAGTTCGGCCATTATGTCCCGGGAGCCGAGTGCCCCCAAATTGCTGCTCTGTTTTCTTAACTGGTGAGTTCAGTGCTCGACGGGCTCCAAACTTCTTGAAGCTCCGTTCCTGCACTAGGGCGCCCTGCCTGCCCAGCCTTCTGGAGTTCTCAGGGGTCGGGTTTCTGGGCCCCTTCTTCGCGCCCCTTCCCCACTGCAGCGTTGCTCTGCGTTTCCGCTCCTCTGCGTTGGGGCCCACGGGACGCTGTGAGATCGGGGGTGGCGAGAGTTGTTGGGCCTCAGTTTCCCTGGTGCCGCCCGCAGGTGGCTGGCCTGGGGAATCCCGGACTGCCCGGCACGCGACACAGCGTGGGCATGGCGGTGCTGGGGCAGCTGGCGCGGCGGCTGGGTGTGGCGGAGAGTTGGACGCGCGACCGGCACTGTGCCGCCGACCTCGCCCTGGCCCCGCTGGGGGATGCCCAACTGGTCCTGCTCCGGCCACGGCGGCTTATGAACGCCAACGGGCGCAGCGTGGCCCGGGCTGGTGAGTTGAGAGCGCCAGGGGTGGGCGGGCGGGCCAAGGGGGTGGGGGTTGGGGCGCGGGGGCCAGAGGGGAGCACTGGCTGTGACAGATCCGCGGGTTCACCTCCAAGTACCTGTTGAGCTCCAGTTGCTGCATGGCTTTGGGTACTTCGGGGGGCCTCAGTTTCTTTATATGTGAAGTGGGATTAGTTGTGGTCCCTCATCATGGGAGTCGGGACAGTGCCTCTCTGGGCAGATGGGCAGTAACCAGGGCTGCCGTTTCCCTGTGCTAAGCGGAGCTGTTTGGGCTGACTGCCGAGGAAGTCTACCTGGTGCATGATGAGCTGGACAAGCCCCTGGGGAGACTGGCTCTGAAGCTGGGGGGCAGTGCCAGGTGAGGTCCTGAGATGGTCAGGGTTGGGATAGGGCTTCAGGCCTCCCAGTTGGGGTGGAGTAGGGCTGCTGACCCAGTCTCCACAGGAAATGGGCTGCTCTGACCCAGCCGGGGCAGGGAGGGGTGGAAGGACACTGCCCCAGGGAGGCACTAACTGCCCCTCCCATATCCCTTGAAGGGGCCACAATGGAGTCCGTTCCTGCATTAGCTGCCTCAACTCCAATGTGAGTCTACCCTTTTGTTGTGCAACTGGGTCGGGTGGGCCAGGGGTCCCCCAGCACCTCGCCAAAGCTTCCTGGGCCTCTCTGGCTCTCCCACAGGCAATGCCAAGGCTGCGGGTGGGTATCGGGCGCCCGGCGCACCCTGAGGCGGTTCAGGCCCATGTGCTGGGCTGCTTCTCCCCTGCTGAGCAGGAGCTGCTGCCTCTGTTGCTGGATCGAGCCACCGACCTGATCTTGGACCACATCCGTGAGCGAAGCCAGGGGCCCTCACTGGGGCCGTGACACTAGTGGCCATGGCTGCCTGCCTGACTGTAGTGCCCACCAACCCAGCCACTGCCACAGAGCTGCCACGCCAGCCTTGGTATCTACTTTTTATACAAATCTCCTCTAGACTGTTCCAGGCTGCCTGCGGATTAAAGTGGGGGTGACTGTGACTGGACCAGTCCATTTCTGGAGTAGGTTCTTCTCTCTGTGTCCTACTTGGGACGTAGGGGAACTTCAGGAAGACTAAACTTTTCAAGCCTTTTTAGAGAACCAGGGGCACGCATCTGTAAGATTAAAGATGCTGGCTTGGAGGCCGGGTGCAGTGGCTCACACCTATAATCCCAGCACTTTGGGAGGCCGAGGCTGGGGGATTGCTTGACGTCAGGAGTTCGAGACCAGCCTGGCCAACATGGTGAAACCCTGTCTCTACTAAAAATACAAAAAGTAGCCAGGCATGGTGGTGCATGCCTGTAATCCCTGCTACTTGGGAGACTGAGGCAGGAGAATCACTTGAACCTGGGAGGCGGAGGTTGCTGTGAGCTGAGATTGTGGCACTGCACTCCAGTCTGGGTGACAGAGTGAGACTCTGTCTCAAAAAAAAAAAAAAAAAAAAAAAAAAAAGAAAGATGCTGGCTTGGAAGCTGAGGCCTCTTCAGGGGGATCCCACTCTTTCCCTGCTGGTGGGGGAGGGAAGAACAGGGTCCAGCCAACCCCCCTCCCAGGGCATGTGTGGGCATGCTTTGGCCCATTGAGGCTTGGCCACTCCTTTCTTCAGCCCATTTTACAGATGGGAAGGCTCAGAGAGATCTGGTTACATCCCCAGGGCCACACAGCTGTGGCCTGGCAGAGCCTCAGTTTGTACCCAGGACTAGCTGCCACCTTGCTTTCCCTGGGGCCCCTGGCACCCTCACCTCAGGGCTGCTGTGTGCCCGGAAGGTCCCCACACGGGTGATATATGACAGCAGCCTGAGGTCCTGGGGGTTGGGTGGGATGTGGACCTGGCGAGGTACCAGGCCTAGATCCCCCGGCTGGTAGGGGGTGATGTCAGAGAGCTGCGGCAGCAGAGACCCAGTCCTGGGCAGCTGGATGCTGGGCCGGCTGTGGGGAGGGGGCCGAGGGTCACAGAGCCTTCGGCGAGCCAGGTTTCTGGCCCAGGGTGAGCCGAGCACTGTCCCCATGGCTGAATGCCTTTGCCCTGCTCTCTGTGGCTGCCTCTGAGGCCACACAGGGCCACTTGCTTACCTCTCCTTGGGTGGGCCATGGGACTGTGACTCCTGGTGGGGACACGCAGCCTTCTGAGGTCTCGTGGCCACAGTGGAGCTGAGCATGACCAGCAGTTGCTGCAGCATCTCCTTGTGCCATGGCTGGAACGTCACGTCAACGTCACTGTCCTCTTCATCGCGGTGCATCTGTTGGTGAGGGTGGGGTGGCAGCAGGCCCACAGTGGCCCCAGTACCCACCCTCGTCCAGGAAATTCCAACCTCAGTGCCCATTTCCACGAAGTTTTCCCTGTCTGTGGTGGGATACCCATTCTTCAGTCGGGAAGACTGAGGCCCAAGACCTTTCAGAGCCTCAGAGAAGGAATCCAGCTCCTTTAAGACCTTGGAGGGATCTTTGAAGGCCAGAATCAGCGAAGGACAGACTTTCCAGGAGTCTCTCAGGGAAAAGAGGGGCCTCTGATCCTGAGGCAGCCCCTTCTCTGCAAGCAGCTTCCATCTTGCGCTCACTCCCCCTCCCCTTGCGCCCTCCCTCTCTCCCTTCTGCTCACCTGCAGAATGTTCTGTAGGAAGGAGGTGGCCTGGACCAGAGCCGCCTCCAGGCTGGCCCGAACCTTCTGCTCATTAGCCAGTTCCTGCTGTAGCCGCTGCAAATCCACCTGCTGCTGCTCCAGCTGCAGGCTCAGCTGGTCTCTCTGGCTCCTGGACCCCAACTGGGATGAGTCAACAGCCTTCCCCCTTCCCCAGGACTGGGGCCACCTGGGGCCAGGGGCCCTGCCATTTCTCTCCAAGCCCACAGGGGCCCCCATCCCGCCCCAAGCCTCAGCCTGTCTGGCAGGCTCCTCTAGAGAGGGGAAGTCACTGGCCTGGGTCGTGGGATCGGAAAGAGCTGGGCCAGAGCTTGGCCCCAGCCTGCACCCGCCGCCCGCCCCTCCGTGGGCCATACGCACTTCAGTGCCTGGTTATCCACCTGCAGCTGCAGGGATCTCTGCTCCAACTGGCTCAGCAGGAGGCGCAGCTCCTCGGCCTCCTTGGTGTCCTGCTGCTGCTCCTGGCACTTCTTAGTCAGCATGAGGATGATCTGCGGGTGCGGACAGGTGGCCATGCCCTCAGCCTGCCCTGTCCCCCAGCTGCAGACACAGCCAGGCCTCCCGTGTTCCCCTATGCAGAGCGGCCAGTGAGCTCTCCAGGGCTGGACTCTGCTTCCATAAGTTATGGGGGCTTTAAATAAATACAATCCGGAGCTAGGCCCAGCACCCTGCAGCCCCCACAGGAGGCCCAGTCCTCTCTCTGCTGCCTCCCTCCCTCCTGACTTGACTGCCCCTGACTCTACCCCTGCAGGGCCCCCAGGGCGGCCTCCTGCCTTGCATGCCAAATGCCCTGTGCTGAGGCCTGCAGGCACACCTTCTGGTGGCCTCTTTTGTGCCTGGCCATGACCTTCTGGGTGTTCTCCAGCAGCTCCAGCTGTTTGCACAGATTGTTCTGTCTTCCCTTGAGCTGCTCATTCTCCTGCAGCAGCTTCATGCCTTGCTGGGAGACCCTGGCCATCTGCAGGGTAATGCCGTTGTTCTCTTTGATGGCCCGCTTGGTTGTCTCCCACATCCGGTTCGTGGTCACCTTGTGGAACTCATTGGCCACGAGGTTCACGCGCTGGATGATCTCTTTCCTCAGTCTGGCCAGAAAGGTGGGAGGGGAAGGGGTCAGACAGAGCGGGCACAAGCCCTGGGCACACCCCTTTGTGAGGTTCCCAGAGCACCTAGGGCTGTTAAACACCAGCATGCTCTCTCCCTGGGAGGGTTGGGGCTATGGGTGGGAGGCTTTCCCTGTAGATCCTCTGGACCTTTGTAATTGGTACCATTTCAATGTACTCCCACCTGTTAAGTAACATGATTTAATCCCAATAAGTGGCAAAAGGAAGCCCTGGGAGTCTCCAATGCCAGCGTGAGGACTGCAGCTGGGAGCTTATTCCTTTTCTCCCACCCCTCCATAATCACCAGCTGGGATTCCAAGGAGTAGCAGGTTGTCGGGGCGGCGGTCAGTTTCCCCATCTAACCCCCCAGTTAGAAGCTGAGGCCTGAAGACTAGGATGTTCGTAGCCCCAGGGATGAAGCCTCCAAAGGCCCCAAAGGGTGCCCCGCTTGCCCACCTGTCCTTGTCCAGCACCGACTTCTTCTCCAGGTTGTATGCATAGTCCCTGAACTCATTCTCCTGCTTCCGCACCTGCTCCTCCAGCAATGTGAACTTGTCCGTGACCTCCTCTTTCTGCAGCCGGAACTCCTCCAGGGCTGCCAGCTTCCCCCCTGGCCGCCACAGCGCACAAGGCCCAATGATGGGCTGCCTCAGAGGACAGGGCCTGGCGAGGACCTTAAAGATGCCCCTTAGGTCCCTGTCCCTTCCTGTGCGCCCTGTGTGGTCTCAGTGGGGCAGGTCTACCATCCCCCACCTACCCTGCCTGGCCCTGTCACCTTTACTGCCTTCATCTGGGTTGCCCTCCCTCCACCCCTCCATGAATCTTATGAAGTTTTGTTCAGGTTCCACCTCCTCCAAGAAGCCTTCCTTGATACTCTCATGAAAGCGACAGTAATGACAACAACTGTTTTGTTTTTTTTTTTTTTTTTGAGACAGGGTCTTCCTCTGTCACTCAGGCTGGAGTGCAGTGGCACAGTCACAGCTCACTGCAGTCTCAACCTCCCAGCCTCCCAGGCTCAAGAGATCCTCCCACCTCAGCTTCCCAAGTAGCTGGGACTACATATGTGCACCACCACACCTGGCTAATTTTTGTATTTTTTTGGTAGAGATGGAGTGTCGCTATGTTGCCTAGGCTTGTCTCAAGCTCCTGGGCTCAAGCAATCCTCCCGCCTTGGCCTCCTAAAGCACAGGGTTTTACAGGCATGGGCCACCACGCCCAGCCAGCAGCTGGACTGTATATATTCTCTGGGCTAGGTTCTAATGCCATCTGACATTTGAGCCTCACAACCCTTGCCAACTGGGGGACCTTGGTCACGACACTTCATCTTTTGAGGTGCTTCCTTGTCTACAAACTGGTTGGGGGATGTTTCCAGCTTCGTAGGATTGCTGGGACAATTAAGGAAGACAGTGTGTGCCAAGCAGCATGTGGCTATTATCCCTGTTTCCCAGGTGAGAAACAGGGTCAGTGATAGAGCTGGGATGTGTGCCTGCAGGCTCACCAGCCAGTCCCCTCCTCACCAAGGATGATGTTCTCCGTGGTGAGCTGGTCCTTGGTCTCCTGGAACTCGTGGCGCACCTGGGCCAGCTGCGCCTCGAAGGCATCCTTCTCCATCTCTTTGGCTAGCTGCAAGTTCTGGAGCTGCTCGTTGAGGTCTGTGATCTCATCCACCTGCTGGTTGAGCGTGCGCTTGAGGAAGGCCACAATCTCCTTCTTGTTATTGGCCAGCTGCTCAAACTCCTGGCGGAACATCTTCTCCTGCACAGCCAGCTCATCCCACTTCCGCTGGTACCTGGGGCAGGGGCAGAGCCGTGGTCCAGGGGTCAGGCTGGGCAAGCCAGGCCTCTGGTGCAGCTGGGCCCACTCTCCTGGACTCCCTGTCCCGTAAAGGGGCATTTGAGTTTCCTTGTGATCAGAATCCAGCCTCATCTCCCACTATGCCCCTTGGTCCGACAGTCATGACCACAGCCAATGCCTGTGCTTAGCATGTTATTTTCATTACATCACTAGAATGTAAACTCCATGAGGGCAGGGCCTTGTTATGTTTACAAGTATGTCCCCAACACCTGTGCCTGGCAGATAGCAGGTGTGCAGTGTGTTTGTTAAATCATTACAACAACCTATAAGAATGTAGGTACTATGATGATTTTATACCTATTTGACAGATGAGGAAACTGAGGCTCAGAAGGATAAAGGAACTCTGAGTTTGTAAGTGGCACAGCCAGGACTTGAACCTGAATCAGTCTGATCCCCAGAAGCAAGGCTCTTAGCCACAATGCCTGCTGCAGTCGGCCAGCTCTGCATCCCTCCATAACTCTTCCACACTTTCCAATCCCAAGTCTTTGTACCTGGCATCTCCCTTACCTTTTTCCATCCAGTAACCTTGGTGTTTTCTCCTCAGTGGACCCTTCTTGGCCCTGAGCCACATTTGTGGCCCTCTCTTTGGTGCTCCTGTAAGTTGGCCCTTGTCCCACTGAGTGGTCAAAACCTAGTAACATGTCCCTCTCCTCCACCTCTGTATTCCCAGGGCTTGGCAAATAGTAAGCACCCAATAACTCTGTTAAATACATTTGCCTTGAATATATTCTACCTGATATCTCAGCTCAAGGGAAGTTTGTGAATTTCAAGGGAAGTGTGTTAATCAGTATCACATAACCAATTTAGTGGTTTTCAATGGAGTAACTGAAGTTACTTGAAAAGTTTTTTTTAATTAAATTAAATTAATTAATTAATTTTTGAAATGGAGTCTCGATCTGTCACCCAGGTTGGAGTGCAGTGGCACGATCTCGGCTCTCTGCAACCTCTGCCTCCCAGGTTCAAGTGATTCTCCTGCCTCAGCCTCCTGAGTAGCTGGGATTACAGGCGCCCGCCACCATGCCCAGCTAATTTTTGTATTTTTAGTAGAGACTGGGCTTCAACATGTTGGTCAGGCTGGTCTCGAACTCCTGACCTCATGATCTGCCCACCTTGGCCTCCCAAAGTGCTGGGATTACAGTCCTGAGCCACTGTGCCTGGCCTGGAAAGTTGTTTTACATCATAATTTAGTTGACCAACATCTTTCAAATAGTGACTGCACACAGAGCATTTCAGGGGTGGGGGCTGAGGAAGCAGTCTTGCATAGGGGAGTCAGGAGGCCAGGGCTCCCATCTTGGTGCCTCCTCTTCCTGGGGGTGACTTCCCTTCTCTGAGCCTCAGTCTTCCCCATCTGTGCAATGGGGATGACATCAGGACCTCTCTAGTAAGACTGCTGTGAGGACTCAGTGAGCACCAGCCCATGGCCTGCCTGGCACCACGAGGGACTCAGCATTAGCTGTGGTCACCCACAGCATCAGTCACCTGGGGAAGAGCTGCCGCCTACTGGTTTGTCTTTTAAGGTCACCCTGAGACTGGGGCGGTGCCTCACAACGGGGAGGAAACTGGTTGTAACATAAGAAAATGACGGGCAGGTGAACATGGCTCTGAATGAAGAGTTAGAGGATCTCCCCCCAGCACTATGTCACACACAAAACTGGCTCTAGAATAGAATGTCACAGCCATGGAGGGGGAATCAACCTTCCCCACTTATATTTGGGGAAACTGAGGCCCAGCATGGAGAAACAACTGGGCTCATGTGCTGGGTGAGTCAGTGGGGCACAGGTGCCACTGCCAGGAAGTGGAAGTGGGGCCTGGGGGTCCACCCGCCTGCCAGAGGGCTGTTTCCACCCTTTCATAAAGCCTGTGATCCCATGGGGCAGGAGTGAGGCAGGGGGACGTGGGGATTGCCTGGGGTGGGGCCACGAGCTAGCATCGTGGGCCCAGGGTTCTAGGAGCTGGGAAGGTGGGGAAATCCATTTACCCTCAAAATCTTGAAACCTCCCAAAGGTACGTATGAGGAAATGAGGCTGGGGTCGGGATGGGGTCTGGACATCCCAGGGGAGGTCAGAACACAGGCCTAAGGCCCCATGGCCAAACCTGCATGGGGGCCACCTGGGCATGGGCTTCTGACCCAGGGCACCAGACTCCTGCCCGCCAGCCCACGCACCGGGCTAGCCGGTCCTCCAGGTCTCGGATCTGGATGTGGTAGAACTCCTTCATCTCCTTGGCCAGAGGCGGCTCCACGGCCACCACCGGCTCCTTCTTGCCCCCTTTCTTCTTGACTTCAAGCTCCTTGCCTGCCTTGCTCACACTCTTTTTGGGAGCCATGGCTGATGGCAACCAGGGCTCCAGGCCCCAGGAAGAGGCCAGGTGGTTGCTAAGGAAGCTGGTCCCGTACATAGCAACAGGCCGAGGGAGTGAGGCTGGGCTTAAAGGGACCCTGCCCTCTTCTTGCTGGGTGCCGGTACCAGGTCCCACTCCAAGGCAGATGGCATCAGTGAGGCCCCAGGCCCAGGAGTCCCAGGCCATGGCAGGCAGGATGCCTGGCTCCCAGGGCAACTTTTTGGGCTTCTGGGGACAACCCTCTTTCTCCCACGTGGAAATAAGCGCCATGGGGAAAGTTCATGTGGGTCAGGGCCCTGGAAATCGCCATCCTTTCCTTTGTGCTGATCAGAAGATGGACGACACTAACCCTGGGCACACAAAGCCTGTTCTGCAGCTGTGGCCTGGGGTGACAGTGTCCTGGCATGGGTGCATTGGGGCGTCCAGCTGATGGGGCCCTGGCTGGCAGCTGGGTGCCTCTATGAGCTCCATCCCCAGCCCCAATCTCAGCCAGCCATGCCTGTGTGCCTGCCTGTGTTCCCCACCAGCCCAGGCACTCACTCCGTGGGACAGCGGGCAGGTCCTTTCCATCCCTGTCATCCCAGGGCTTGTCACTTAGCAAGAGATGGCTATAGCACCACCCTGAAAAACTCTGACAATAGCCAAGGGGAATGGCAGTGGTACTTCAGCAAATGTGGTTTCTTGGAGCAACTAGATGTTGTGAGTTGTAGGACCCTTGGGGCAGGGGCAGGGGGATGAGGAGAGCTTGGGGTCACGGTGACGGGTCAGAAACACAGGGAGGTGGGGGCATTTTTACTGTTGGTGATGAGAAAGGTCAGAGAAGTGATTGGTTGGTCAAAAGTGGGCTCACATTTGGGCTCTGTCTGACCTCCAGTGGGTCCTTGGGCCAATGGCCTGAACCCTGCTCTGTGAAAGAGTTCACAAGACCGCATCTGTAAAGTTCCCTGTGCAGGGATACGGTCCAGGGATGCTGGGGGCACTTAGTGAGTGGTGGCCCATGAAGCTCCCGCCCACTTTGTGTGGTAGGCAGGCCTGCCTGGAATTTCCGACAGCCCTGGACCTCGCCTGTGGTGGTCTGCCCTTCCCAGGGTGCCTGTTCCCTGCAGGCAGGGCAGCCCTGGGAGGGCACAAATGTGACTGGCAGAGGGAAGAGACCCCCATGCTTCTGCACAGGCCTCAGCCTGAGTGCACTTACAAGTGAGGGAGCTCTGGCTGCCCAGGCCTTGTGGGGAGAGCGGGGAGGCCTGGCCCAGTGCCCTTCCAGCTCAATGCGATGGCCCTGCTCCTGCTGGACATTGCCCCCTCCCCCGCCTGAACAGCTGCTCCCACAGGAGCCTAGGCAGGCAAAAATTCCCACAGTGCTCCCAGTTGACCGGGGGCCTCCCCGTGCCTCCCCCATTTCTATTCTCTTTTCCCCAGGCCCATTGCAGGGGGTAGCTCTGAATTCCCAGCTTAATGGGGCCCACAGCCCCTCGGGCAGCCTGGAGCCCACAGAGGGTGTCAGCTTGGAGACCTGCCCTCCTCGCCTTCATCAGCACCAGGATGGCTTTGTCAGCACCACGTGGCAAGAGGGACGAGCTGAACTTCTAGGCAGGGAGGGGACGCTGCAGGGTGGAGGGAGAGCACTTTCTGGGGTTTGCTTGGAGACTCTCCCCAAAGCTCCCTACTTTGGACCATAGGCCGCTACTTGCCATGGGGGCACTGTCTCATTATCGCTTCTCCAGCTGCCTTCCGTAGTCTTGGAGACTGAGGCTGATGGGCCCAGAGCTGCTGGAGCTGTGAGACACAAACCCTGCAGGAGCTGGGTCTTCTGAGGGGAGTCAGGCAGTGCACAAAGCCATGCAGACTGCAGCACCGGCCAAGGACAGTGGACAGTGGCCTGGGGCACTGTCACCTCTGGGAGACTTTGGAGGGAAGAAACCTAGGCCCTGGGGAAGCAGGGAGGCCAGGCATCATTAAACATGCCCTTGGCCAGGTGCACTGGTTCATGCCTATAATCCCAGCACTTTGAGAGGCCAAGGTGGGAGGATCACTTAAGGCCAGGAGTTAAAGACCAGCCTGGGCAATATAGCAAGACCCCCATCTCTAAAAAAAAAAAAAATTAACCAGGCCTGGTGGCATCCGCCTGTAGTTCCAGCTACTCAGGAGGCTGAGGTGGGAGGACTGCTTGAGCCCAGGAATTCGAGGCTGCAGTGAGTTATGATCATGCCACAGTGTCTCTGTTCACGACGCCATCTGGTCTGAGTTAGGTACAGGCCAATAAAAGAGGCAGTTAATCTCCAACAAGGTCAGTGATGGGGAGGGGGAGTTCTGGTCTCTGGTCTTTCCTCATCATTTACAGAACGGGAACAATGGGGAAGAGGGTTAAGCTCCAGTCTAAGAGGCAGATCTGCAGAACAGGCTCCATGACCCACATCACAGTCGCATATCTCTCAAGGCTTAAAGTGGTTTTGGGGTTCCAACGGCTTTTACATTTTTTTTCTTTTTCTTTTCTTTTTTTTTTTTTTTTTTGAGACAGTGTCTCGTTCTGTCACATAGGCTGGAGTGCAGTGGCACCATCTCGGCTCGCAACCTCTGCCTCCTGGGTTCAAGCGATTCTCCTGCCTCAGCCTCCCGAGTAGCTGGGGACTACACGCACGCACCACCATGCCTGGCTAATTTTTTAATTTTTTTTGGTGGAGACGGAGTTTCATCGTGTTGCCCAGGGTGGTCTCAAACTCCTGATCTCAAGTGATCTGCCCGCCTTGGCCTCCCAGAGTGCTGGGATTACAGGCATGATCCACTGCACCCAGCCAGCTTTTAAATTTTATGTACTCTCACATGTTGGATACCCAGCTGGTATCAGAGAATTGGTGTGAAAAGTAACAAATATTTGGTGTTAGAAAAACACCATTTCTCCCCCTAACCCCCCAGCTCTGTGTCGTGGAAGTTTTACCTGGGGTGTTATGCTCTAGGCAGGTGTGGTCAAAAAGACAGGGGCTCTCCTCCCAGCTCCTAGTCTGGCTCTTCATTTCGCCCTGGGAGGGGAAGGCTGCTGGCCTTTCTCTACACAGCACCCCACCCCTCCCTGCCCATCCCTGTGTTGCAGAATCTCTACTGCAAGCAGGTACAGCAGAGAGGACTTTCCCACAAGGCCCACCTGGAGCGTGGAAGCTCTTCTCCAGGTGTGGCAGGTTGAGAATGCTTGGGCCCTGCCGGCCCAACTCCAGCTAGCTCATAGGATGGAGGCTTTTTCACACCAGGCGGGGCGAGACCAGCTGAGAATACCAGTGGCTGCCACCCCCTGGTACCCACTTATAGAGCAGGGTGTGACTTAGGAAAAGTAGGTCCCTCCCCCAGTTTGGGTGCCGTGGCACGTGGGTTTTTGCTTTGGGGAAAGAGGCAGGGGAAGAGGACAAACACCTCTGTCACTCTGCCGAGGGGACTCACTTTTGTCACAGCTTCAAAAAATCCATGTCTAAAGGCTGTCAGAGACAAAATTACAACCAATCAGTTTAAATAGCGTAATTGACTCTTTCTCTTTCTCTCTCTTTCCCTCTCTCTCTTTCTCTTTCTCTTTCTCTCTCTCTCTCTTTCTTTCTCTTGCTCTGTCGCCCAGGCTGGAGTGCAGTGGTATGATCTCAGCTCACTGCAACCTCCACCTCCTGGATTCAAGTGATTCTCCTGCCTCAGCTTCCCAGGTAGATGGGATTACAGGTGTGCACCACCATACCCAGCTAATTTTTGTATTTTTAGTAGAGATGAGGTTTCACCATGTTGGCTGGTCTCGAACTCCTGACCTCAGGTGATCTGCCCGCCTCAGCCTCCCAAAGTGCTAGGATTACAGGTGTGAGCCATAGCACCTAGCCTTAATTGGCTTTTATTTGTTATTCTAGAATTGGGCAATAGAATGAGTGTCCCGATTTGCTGAACAGAGGAGGCTGGTTTTACAGATGGAGAAGGCTGACAAAGCAGAAACAGAACAAAAAGTGGATTGGTTATTTCAAAGTGACTTTCAGCTGTGTGCAGTGGCTCACACCTGTAATCCCAGCACTTTGGGAGGCCGAGGCGGGTGGATCACCTGAGGTCAGGAGCTCGAGACCAGCCTGGCCAACATGGCAAAACCCTGTCTCTACTAAAAATACAAAAAAAAAAAAAATTAGCCAGGCGTGGTGGCACATGCCTGTAGTCCCAGCTACTTGGGAGGCTGAGGTAGGAGAATCGTTTGAATCCAGGAGGCAGAGGTTGCAGTGAGCTGAGATCATGCCATTGCACTCCAGCCTGGACGACAGAGCAAGACACTCTCTCAAGAAAAAAAAAAAAGAAAAATAATGACAAACGTTGGCAAAGCATGTCACAACGTCACAGGCTCATGTCAAAAGCCCAGCACCTCACACCTGATGAGTTCGCAACAAATGGTTGTGGTGATGATAATCAGGATGATGATCTGTCAATTAAGATGACACAAACATGCTGGTTTTTATTTGTTTATTTGTTTTTTGAGACAGGGTCTCACTCTGTCTCCCAGGCCGGAGTGCAGTGGCACAACCACAGTTCACTGCAGCCTTGATCTCCTGGGCTCAAGTGATTCCCCACTCCCACCTCCACCCAGTAGGAGGGACTACAGGTGCATGCACCACCTCCGGCTTTTTTTTTTTTTTTTTGGAGACGGAATCTTGCTCTGTCACCCAGGCTGGAGTGCAGTGGTGCGATCTTGGCTCACTGCAAGCTCCACCTCCTGGGTTCACGCCATTCTCCTGCCTCAGCCTCCCGAGTAGCTGGGACTACAGGCGCCCATCACCATGCCTGCCTAATTTTTTGTATTTTTAGTAGAGACAGGGTTTCACCGTGTTAGCCAGGATGGTCTTGATCTCCTGACCTCGTGATCCGCCCACCTCGGTCTCCCAAAGTGCTGGGATTACAGGCATGAGCCACCACGCCCAGCCTACCTCTGGCTAATTTTTAAACAATTTGTTTTTTAGAGACGGGGGTCTCCCTGTTTTGCCCAGGCTCGTCTCGAACTTCTGGGCTCCAGTGATCCTCCTGCTTCGGCCTCTCAAGGTGTCGAGATTACAGGCATGAGTCACCATGCCCAACCAAACATACCAATTTTTTTTTTTTTTGAGACAGAGTTTCACTCTTGTTGCCCAGGCTGGAGTGCAATGGTGCGATCTTGGCTCACTGCAACCTCTGCCTACTAGGTTCAAGCAATTCTCCTGCTGCAGCCTCCCGAGTAGCTGGGATTATAGGCATCTGCCACCACGCCCGACTAATTTTGTGTTTTCAGTGGAGACACCGGTATTTCTCCATGTTGGTCAGGCTGGTCTTAACTCCTGACCTTAAGTGATCCGCCCACCTTGGCCTCCCAAAGTGCTGGGATTACAGGCGTGAGCCACCGCTCCCGGCCCAAACATGCCAATTTTTAAAGATTTCAAGTAGATTGGGCACTTTACCAGGGAAATGACTGGAACGTTCAGGTTCATCAGCTCTGAGATGAAGAGCACTTTCTTTAGCAGGTCAGGTACTCCTGATCCTTGGGCTGGAGCCTGTCTGGCAAACAGCTGAGTCTTGATTAAGTGCCTTCATTCATTCATTCATTCATTCATTCCCTTTCTTTATTCAACTAATAGATCCCTGCTCCTATGCCCTTATTAAAGTGAGTGGCCCCATGTGTGTTGGGAAAGACATCAATCAGATGTGAACACAAGTAGCAGAATTACACCTGTGATTTGGTACTATGATACGTTAACTTGAAAAAAATCACATGATTTATAAATTTGGGAAAGGAGAGGAGGCTCCTTTAGAGGAGTTTACAGCCTGCAAGGTGGTCATCCCACAGGCTAGGAAGCGTGCCTCCAGCCAAGACCAGAGACAGGTAGGAGAAGGGGTTGGGGTAGGAGCTTTATGCTGAACGGGTTGGCTAAACATACATATTCAGCAGATTGTAGGAGGGGCTATGCATATTCATGAAGGTGGTTTGACACATGCATATTGAACAAACATGCATGTACCATTCGACCCATGTTTACTTTGGGGTGGAGACTTGGCATTTAAATATATTACAATTAGGCCCTATTCGTTGAAAGGGCTTTTCAGAAGATGAGGGCATGCAAGTGCTCTGTAAATTGGCCAGAGCCAGTTCATAGTCTTCTTATCTGGAGAAAGTTGCTGAAGTCAGCCTCTTGTCCAATGAAAGCTGTAGTTATGGCTGGTGGAACAGGTGGTCAGTCCCACAGCCTCTGGGAGCTGGGTGAATTGTAATTGTTTTAATATTGCTTATCTCCAGGCCATCTAGAACTTGTTTAGCTGCTAGAGAAAAAGAAAACTTGTGGCAAGTGTGGAGTGTGTGACTTAATCCTCACCTGCCATGGCCCGAGGTCCTGTTTATAATTTGATACTGTATTGCCATAGAAGAGTCTGCTCTGCCAGTCTTATGTTCTCTATTTTAACATGAATGCTGGTCGGTTGTTGTTTCTAAACTGTAAAACGGAGAGGCTTCATGAGGCATGTCTGACCCCCCCATCTCATCATGGCTGGGAACTGTTTTTAAGGTTTTTCTGGGGTTCCTTAGCCAAGGGGGACTCCATTCAGTCACTGAAGGGCTGATTTCATTTTTAGTTGACAGAGGAAAGGTACAGAGAGCTCCAAAAGCACAAGGAGGAGCCAGGAACAGCCCCCATCATGGAGGCGCTAGGCTTGGAGAAGGAGATGCTGCCCATAAGGGGTGTGGGTGGGAGGTGGAAAGACAGCACAGGGCCTAAAGCAAGAAAAACAACTCAGATTTGATGAAGGCCAGAGAAGCTGCAGCTGAGAGAAGGAGGGAGCGGGCAAGAGGGGGTCAGAGAGACAGCCTGACACATAAGCTTCCTAGAGCAGAGAAGGAGCAGTGCAGTATTTGATCAGCAGCAGAAGCGCAGGTTCCAAGTTGCTTTTTTATTTGACTTTATTATTTTTTTGAGACAGTCTTGCTCTGCTGCCCAGGCTGGAGTGCACCACAACCGGCTAGTTTTTGTATTTTTAGTAGAGACGGGGTTTCACCGTGTTGGCCAGGCTGGTCTCGAACTCCTGGCCTCAAGTGATCTGCCCGCCTCAGTCTCGGGAGGCATTTATATTATTCCCATTATATTGATGGGAAAATTGAGGTTAAGTAACTTCTCCAGGTCACACAGGGAAGTCAGGAGTCAAATCCCAGGCTCAACTCCATAGCCCATCTGGTGACCATTATGCAATAGACACTGAGAATTAAAAGTGCCTGTTCTCCTAGGAAGAGACTGTTCTGGTAACAGCTAACTCCCAGAACCAGTTTTTTTGTTTTTTTTTTCCCCTGATAGCCCATTTTATTTTGCTCAGCACAGTCTTTCATCCTACTTTAGGGTATCACATGGAAAAAATATGGAACGCTTCACCAATCTGCGTGTCACTGGTTCCAATTTTAGTATTCGTACTGCCTAACCCAGCACCCAGATAGAATGACCAACGCTTCACAACCCCGCCTCGGAAAGCCAGCCAATCAGCAACCGTCTTACTCCAGGAACCCCCGCCTCCAGGGCCAGAGGCGACCAATCCCTAAACAGCCCGGCTAGTAGACGCTTACTAGCCCCGGAAGCCCGGCCTCCCCAAGCCCAGTCCCGAGGCCGCGTCTGATCCGCCGCGTGACCGGTGTTGGGTGTCGGCCTTTTCCTTGCTCACAGTGTTTCGGCCTCGAGTGTCGGTTCCGCGTTGGTTGAGGGGAGTGCAGGCGGCCGGGCAGAAGGCGCCCTGGCGGCAACTCCGGGTGGAGTCCCACCCTTGCCAGAGCGCCAGGGGTTCCTTGGGCATTTTGGCTTCTGTGAAACACCAAGAAGTTGTCCTTGGTCGGCCGGGCGCGGTGGTTCACACCTATAATGCCAGCACTTTGGGAGGCGGAAGCTGGCGGATGACTTGAGGTCATGAGTTCGAGACCAGTCTGGCAAACATGGTGAAACCCTATCTCTACTAAAAATACAAAAATTAGCCTGTAGTCCCAGCTACTCCAGAGGCTAAGGAGGGAGGATCGCTTGAACCCGGGAGGGAGAGGTTGCAGTGAACCGAGATCACACCGCTGCACTCCAGCCTGGGCGAGACTCCGTCTCAAAAAAAAAAAAAAAAAAAAAGTTGGTCTTGTGGGAAGCCGCTGCTGGGACAGGGACAGCTCCAGGGGCGGCTAATTCAGGAACTTTAACCCATCCCTTTATTTTTGTTGTTGTTTTTCTTAGAAACAGACAAGGTGGTGGATTCCCCATACCATTACACCCTAGATCCAGGGATTCTATATCCACAGGGAGGGGCACACGTGCTTCAGAGAGAATGGGTAGGAATTTGCCCCAACCATTTTTATTTTTTGAGACAGGGTCTCACTCTGTTGCCCAGGCTGGAGTGCTGTGGTGCAATCATGGCTCGCTGCAGCCTTGACCTCCTGGGCTCAAGCAAGCCTCCCAAGTAGTTGGGGTTACAGGCATGTGCCACCACGACTGGCTAATTTTTCTTTTTCTTTTTTGTAGAGATGAGGTCTCACTGTGTTGCCCAGGCTGGCCATGAACTCCTGGGCTCAAGTGATCTGCTCTCCTTGGCCTCTCAAAGTGTGGGATTACAGGCATGAGCCATTGTGCCCGGCCTGTTTTTCGTTTTTCTAGTAGCCATTCTAATAGGTATGAGGTAGTGGTTTTGACTTGCATTTCAGTTGAGCATCTTTTTGTGTGCTTATTTGCCATTTGTATAATTTATTTAGAGAAATGGCTATTCAAATCCTTTGCCCATTTTTTCTGGTTTTGATTTCATTTATTTTTAAATAGATTCGGGGTCTTGCTGTGTTGCTTTGGCTGGTCTCAAACTCCTGGACTCAAACCATCCTGCCACCTGAGCCTCCCAAGTAGTTAGGACTACAGGCACACGCCACCAAACTTCTGCCCATTTTTAAGTCAGATTGTTTTTTGTTGTTGAGTATAGGAGTTCTTGCATCTGGATATTAGCCCCTTATCAGATATGTGATTTGCAAACAGTTTTTTCCCACTCTGAGACTGCCTTTTTCACCCTGCAGATTGTGTCCTTGGATTGTAGCTTTAAATTTTGAAGTAGAACAGTTTACCTATTTTTTCTTGTTTTGTCTGTGCTTTTGGTGTCATCCGAGCAAGCAATTTTAATGATAAACAGAGCAAGCACTATCTGAGCACTTCCCCTTCATAAAGAGGCAGCGCTCCCTCCAGGAGGAGACTCAAATTCTGCTCAGCACCATTCAGCCCAGTTGTAAGAAGGAGCGCATGTGTTGACAGTGTCCTTCCACATAGTCTGCCACGGACACTTCCCACCAGCCTTGTCATCTGGTGCTGGAGGTCAACAGCTGCTGTTTTTTGTTTTTGTTTGAGACAGAGTCTTGCTCTGTCACCCAGGCTGGAGTGCAGTGGTGTGATCTTGGCTTACCACAACCTCTGCTTCCCGGGTTCAAGTGATTCTCCTGCCTCAGTCTCCCGAGTAGCTGGGATTACAGGCACAAGCCACCATGCTCAGCTAATTTATGTTTTTTTTTGTAGAGATGGGGTTTTACCATGTTGGCCAGGCTGGTCTTGAACTCCTGACCTCAGGCGATCCGCCCACCTCGGCCTCCCAAAGTGCTGGGATTACAGGTGTGAGCCACTACGCCCGGCCAGCAGCAGCTGGTTTTACAAACTTCTTGCCAACAGCTGGTGCCACTTTTTACTCCAAGGAGCGTAACTCAGATCACTGTCTCTGTAGTTTGGGTTTCTTCCCAACCTTGAGCAATGGAATTCATCAGTTTCATTCTAGAATGTCTTCTTTAGTGCTTGGTCTGGAAAACTGGGCTTGGCTTATGGACTAGGTTACTGTGCTTCAGTTGAAATTGATTGAAATATTTGATTGAAGTAACTGAAATAACTAAAATATTTCAGTGTGTTCATCCACTCTGTGACAATGTTCTTTTATAACAGGTAATGCACAGGGGACCAGGCAGGTACAACTCACTGGCCCAGGAAAATCCAATTTTTATTGTACCACTTTATTTCCACTCTTTTTCTTCTTTTTTGCTGCTTGTGTAAAATCATCATCCTTGAAGAGTCATTTGTTCCAGCCTATACAGACTCACACTCTGTATTCACACTGGAATCCCACTGTCTGCTTATACCGAGAATGTTTTGTTTTTTGAGATGGAGTCTTGCTCTGTTCCCCAGGCTGGAGTGCAATGAATGGCACAATCTCAGTTCACTGCAACCTCTGCCTCCCGGGGTCAAGTGATTCTCCTGCCTCAGCCTCCCAAGTAACTGGGATTACAGGTGTCCACCACCACGCCCAGCTAATTTTTTTTTATTTTTAGTAGAGACGGGGTTTCACCATGTTGGCCAGGCTGGTTTCGAACTCCTGACCTCAAGTGATCCACCCTCCTTGGCCTCCCAAAGTGCTGGGATTAACAGATGTGAGCCTCCGCACCCGGATGATAATGTTTTTCTGATAGTGGAGGGCTCTGGAGTCAGACGGCTGTGTTTAAATCTAGTCTCTGCCACGTACTAACTGGAGGGCCCTAGCCAAGTTGCTTTGTCTCTATGTGGTTTTGCTTCCCCATGTGTAAATAGGGCTAATAATGGCACCTAACTCCTAGAGTTGTTGAGAAGATTCAGCAAGTCACATACAAAGCACTCAGTGCCTGGCACATAATAAGTGCCATATATTATTTATTTACAGACAGGGTCTTGCTGTTGTCCCAGCTGGAGTGCAGTGGCACAATCACAGCTCACTGCAGCCTCGAACTCCTGGGCTCAGGTGATCCTCCCACCCCAGCCTCCTGAGTAGCTGGGACTACAGGCACATGCCACCATGCCAGGGTAATTTTTTAATTTTTTGTAGAGACGGTTTCACCATGTTGTCCAAGCTGGTCTCAAACTCCTGGGCTCAAGTGATCCACCCTCCTCAGCCTCCCAAAGTGTTGGGATTACAGGCATGAGCCACTGTGCCTGGCCTTAATATATAACCACAATCAGAATGATTGCATTAATACATTGTTGGTTTTTTTTTATTCAATGAAGTACTTTTAAGCCCGTGGCTCATTTGGAATTGAAGATATAAGACGACAATAATAACCATCCCTTCCCCATGGCCAGTCACTATCCTGACTTTGGTATTTGTCATTCCCATGCATGTTTTCACACATTTACAACATATGTATCCAAATAAGCAATATGTGGTGCTTTTTATGAGGTTTTGAAGTGCCGTGGTTTGCCACGGTTACTACGGGACTGAATGAAGGAGGATGAACGCAGAAATGAAAACTTAAAAGAAACTGTTTTAAAAGAAGGGGTCGGGGGAAGAAGAAGAGGACTCCCTGCTTCTACTGAGCAAAAGCAGCAGCTCTGAGCTTCTACAGCCCTTTGTATTTACTGGGTAGAAAGAGCAGGGAAGAGGAGGTAATGATTGGTCAGCTGCTTAATTGATCACAGGTTCACATTATTGCTAACAGGCTTCAGATGTACCTAATCACAAGAAAACTGCGCTTAGGGAGTGGCTGCCCTCCGCATTCCTTCTGGGCGGCAGATGCAGTTTGTCAGTTTGCCAACATTCTGCATTTATGAGAACAGTTTGCTGTTTACCCATGTAGCCTCCAGGATACTGAGTTGATCACGACCCTCACTCTTTCAGCCTGCAACATTGAAGCTTTATATAAATGCACTATCCTGTCTGTGTCCTCCCATAATGTGCTCTTTTCACTCATTGTTAAGTGTCTGAGATCTATTCATGTTGACATATGCAACTGTGTGTCATGCATTTTTAACTGCTTTAAACTCACCATTGGGTGAATACACAGTTTATCTGTTCTCTTCTTGATGAGCATTGGGCTTTTTTAAATTTATGAGACTATTTATTCTTTTCTCCCCAGGCTTGGCTTGGACTCATCGTCAACAGCAGCAGCATCATCATCATCACCATCATCATCATCATCATCATCATCATCATCATCATCATCAATGGCTGAGCCCTCACTGTGCTTCCTGGGAGCCGGGCTCAGCTTCCCGCCTCCACGGGCACTACAGGAGGGAACAAAGTCACCTGTCAGGATCATGTGGAAAGAGGCCAAGGGTGGATTTAACCCAGGTATGCTGATGCTGAAGTCTGTGCTCCTAACCACTCTGGCCTTCTGCTTCCTGTACCCAGAAGAGATGGAACCCACAGGCCACTGCTAAAAGTCTCCAACGGTGTTAAATATCCTTGGAGGAGCAGGGAATTCCAAACAACCCAAAGCATGCAACACCAACTGAGCCATTCTAAAGCCAGGTCTGTGAGCTGCAGCCAGGCACTGTGCCTTTCCAGAGGCCCTGGTCCAGGCTGCGGGACTCAGCAGAGACTGCTGGGGGCCTGTGCACCCACCTCGGAATGACACCAAGCATTTGTTCCTGGAATTCCCTGCTCCTCCAAGGATATTTAACACCGTTGGAGACTTTTTAGCAGTGGCCTGTGGGTTCCATCTCTTCTGGGTAACACAGGAGGACCAGGGCTTTGGCCAAGAACCTAAAGAGCCACACTCATTTGCTCTTGGGTGGTAGTGAAGGGGTAGAATGGAGAGAGGTGACAGGAAGCTGGGACAGAAGACTTCAGAAACAACCAGGGAGATACTAGAAAGCCACTCCCAGGAGATTGGAGGGACAGATGATCCCGGGAAGCAGCAAACAGTGCTGCTTTTGCTTTAATGTAAATTTGGCTTAGAACAATTTAGAATTTTAAAAATTCCAGTCTTGGATCTCGTTCCAAAGCCTTCTGTTTGCTGGTGAACTAATGATAAAGATAATGGGGGCCAGACACAGTAGCTCACGCCTGTAATCCCAGCAGTTTGGGAGGCTGAGGCAGGCCAATCGCTTGAGCCTAGGAGTTCAAGACCAGCCTGGACAACACTCCATCTCTCCAGAAAAATACGAAAGACTCCATCTCTCCAGAAAAATACAAAAATTAGCTGGGCATGGTGGCACGTGCCTGTGGTTCTGTGGTTCCAGTTACTCGGGAGGCTGAGGTGGGAGGATAACCTGAGCTCGGGAGGTCAAGGCTGCAGTGAGCCGTGATTAGGCCATTGCACTCCAGCCTGGGCAAGGGAGTGAGACCCAGTCTCAAAACAACAACAACAACAACAACAACAACAACAACAACAACAAGACAGAACAATGGGTGTCAGGGGAGTGAGCTTTCTGAATTTCTGCATCTCTCTGAGCCTCAGCTTCCTCATCTGTAGAATGGGAGAGGATCTGCCTAACAGACAAGTATGTGAGGGGCCTGGCAGGGTCAGTCAATGGTTGTTCCCTCCTAATGAGGCATGTCTCACCAGACTATAGCAGGCTGTGGTGGTGCAAATTCCACTAACTGCCCTTCAGTTGGTAGCTTTCTCAGTGCTATAAAGGAGATCAGGATCAGAATGAGAATGATGGGGGAAAAAGAAGTAGAGACAGAAGTCCCTACAAAGGGTCTCACTCCCCGGGGCCCAGCATTCTAGCAAGTTTCCCGTGTGGCCTCGACCCTCACTTACGGGTCCACTCTGAGAGCTGGGCCCACCTCACTGCAGTCTTCTCAGGTCAGGAGCAGGTTCCAAGACAAGCAGGACACACACCGCCTTCCATCCTGGAGAGAAGTTCATTATACACGTAGGGTGGGTGGTACGGCAGCAGGAGCAGAGGAGGAGAGGAGTAACGCTGGTGAAGTGATCTCACTGCATGCCCTAAATACACAGGCACCACATGATTGGAGAGGGAGCATCTGCAAAGATGGAGCCCTGCAGTGCCTGCGTTAGAAAAGCATTCTAAGGCTGAGGTGGGCGAATCACCTGAGGTCAGGAGTTCAAGATCAGCCTGACCAACGTGGCAAAACCCTGTCTCTACTAAAAATACAAAAATTAGCTGGACATGGTGGTGGCTGCCTGCAATCCCAACTACTCGGAGGCTGAGGCAGGAGAATCACTTGAAACCGGGAGACAGAGGTTGCAGGGAGCCGAGACTCGCCACTGCATACTCCAGCCTGGGCAACAGAGTGAGACTCCATCTCAAAAAAAAAAAAAAAAAAAAGGAAAGAAAGAAAAGCATTCTAGATAAGGAGAAACACGGTGGAAGAATGGCCTCATCTCTAGGCAGCACGCTGTTGCTGCTAGGGGCCCAAGACAAGCTCCATGGCTAGTCCCCAGTGTAAGGCGGCTACAGATCTAACGCAAGCAACGGGGACCTGGGTCCAGAAGACTCCATGCCACAGCCGGAGGTGGTCGCCTCCTCTGCGATGAACCACTGCAAAAGCTTTCTCCTTCCGTTGCCCAAAGGAAAGCCAGACTGGAGCCCCCTGGACACCGGGAAGGGGTGCTGATTTCTTTATTTATTAGACTCAAGTGCTTTAGTACAGAATGGTACAGAGATGATATATGTTTGTGCTTCAGTACTTTCAAACACTGAGATTCTGATAATTTTAAGGTAAACAAGTTTCAAGACAGACTAGCTTTTTTAAAATATCCTTTTGATAAATTATTTTTATATAAATAACAGAGAAAGGGAAACCAACATCTTCGACAAACAAGGTCCTGAAGCATGAGCACTGTTTGGTCCGAGGGAGGGGACAGAACAAGCAGCGGGAGTAAGACGCCCGGCGCAGGTGCCTGCGGTTCCGTCCTAAGGAAATCAGGTCGTATAAGTTGGGAGGGAGACGGGGAGAGATCTGACGACTAATCTCAGTGCAAGGGGAGATTTCAAAGCCTTGAGAAGAGAACACCACAATGCAGCGAGCAGAGAGGGCGGGGAGCAGGCTCTGAAAGGGAGGCGGAGGTGGCGCCGAGCTCGCGTACAGCACTTTGAGAGGACATCACTAGACAAGTAATACACACATGGCCTGCAGGAGGTCAAGGGCGGCGAGGGGGCTGGGCAGGGGACATTTTTGTGACTTCCACTGTTATTATATTTCACGACAACAGCAGCAGCACAAATGGTGTGCTCACCACTGGAGAATGAGAGCTGCTGAGTCTTGAGGATGGCGAGACAGCCTTCCTGCATTTGCTGCTTTAGTTTCTGCTTTAGAGCTAAGTTTTATACAGAGAATAAAATGACCATCTTCTCTTACAAACACGATGATGTATGACCCCACACAACACAAGGTATTATGAAGTATCTGAAACTGAGGATAATCTGACTGAAGATGCTTGCCGAGAGGGTACAGGGTCTGTGTGAGTCCAACGGGCCAAGAACCTTCTCCACAGCCATAGCCCTCTGTTCAGGGGCCTCCAGAACCCATCTGTTCTGGTCCATTCCTGACCCTTGAACGAAGGCGGACTAGGGAAAATGAGCTGTTGGGATGATGCCTGGGGACAGAAGGGCCTGGGCCACAGGCTCCAGACTAACTGTTTTTCCAAAGAGATGGAGGCTTCCAGCGGGAGTTTGCTTCTCACCTGTCAGGGCACTGTGACTTAGACTGGAGGACTTCCCTCGGGATCACAGCACTGTGGACACAGGCTGGGGAGGGGGCAGTGACAGGCTGTGGAGGAGGACGCTGGCCTGACTTCGTGCAGACACCCCAGCCTCCACCCACAGCTGCACTACCGGGGGTATGAGACGCTGGGAAAGGCAAAGAGGTCTGTTCCACCTTGGACCTCCTGAGATATCCTGATTGTCACCTCCCAGGTTATTTGGATGAGAGCAGGCACTGAGGGGTAGGGACTGGAATGAAGATAGCAGATTAGTCCTCAGTGTGAAATACTCCAAGAACACAGACATCTCTATGATTCTCAACAAGGACAGGAACAACCCCAAACAAGGTTTTAAAAACACCCAAATTTCTACCGTTCCATACCCAAGCAATGTGCACGTCACCCAGGGTTATGTACAAGGTCACAAATCTTAAATAACGGGGAGAAGGCGTCCATTCATCCTAACAGTCCAGAAATTTCTCCTGCTGTGCACCAATTGCACATGAGCTTCTCTTTTTAGGATACATGTATAAGATACTCTTTTTAAAAAACACAATGCATTATTTTCTTTTGTTTCAAACAAGAAGAGGGCATCACTGAACACGAGAATGCAGCGGCAACAGTGCCAGCCAGGGCGTGCAGGGCTGGGGAGGCAACAGACGCAAAGGAACTGAGGCGGGCGGTGGTGGGAAGCTGCGGAGCGCTGTGGGATGGGGGCGTGTTTTGGAGGGGCGACTTATTTTTTTAACTGCTTATTTCTTCATCTGTTTTATTCAGTTTCTTCAGTGTGTCCAGCAGTTTCTGTGGGGTGAGGATGTGTGTGGATCCTGGAGGAGGCAGAGAAGACAGTGAGCTTGCCAGTTCTGGTTTCCAACACTTCCTTTCCTGCGCTTCTCGATTCCCAGATCTGCACCCACCCCCCTCCCCAACCCTGGTCTGGGTATAGTGGAAGCAGGGAGGGGAGTCAGAATTGGGGTTGGGGTCCCGTCGCAATAGGCCTGGGAGATATTTGGGGGCTGTGGATAAACAAAACACATCCTCTGGCTCAGGCAGGGTCCCAGGCTGCACCAAGGAACGAGCTGCCTCACCATCAGGGTGCAGAGCCATCTGCAGGTGATGGGCAGCTGCGTTTCTAATTCACTCTTAAACTCCAGGTGAAGCCAGGGAGAGAAATTCCAAACATGGCAAGGCAGGGAAAGGCTGAAAATGGGGCCAGAGTTGGTAGGGGGACCATGTGTGGAAAGCATGGTGCCTGGGAGAGGAAGTTGATAGGCAAAGCCCCCTGGGAGAATCCACTGACCTCTGGGAGCCAGCCAGTTGGTACTGCCCTGGTGGGTGGGACCTCAGGTGTGAGAGGGAAAGGGCCAGGGGACCTGAGGCCTTACCTTGCAGAGACCGCGTATTGTAAGAGATTAGAAATGCTTGCAAAAATTTAAGCTAATGGAATTAGATATACTTCTACTGCAAAAATAAAAATAAAAATAAATGAAAGTCTTTGTCATAAGGAGAGAGAGAGAGATCTAGTAAGTGCAGTAAAAAAAGATGCATGGGTCGTGTGGTTTGGACATGGACTTAAACAGAACAGAGGTGACCGGGGTGGTGTGTGGGTGAGCATGAGGCCTGCACGCATGCAGCAGTGTGCTTCAAAGAAAGGTCCTGGTGGGAGACAAGAACTGAACAAAAGAGACACGTACTTGAAAATGTGCCTCCCTGGAGACGTGGCAAAGGAATGGGCCTTCATGGGAGCAGGGGAGCGGAAACCACCGGATGCTGGATTTCCACCCCAAGGGCAGGCAAAAGAAGGCTTTGGCTGGCTCACTGGGCATGACTCCAATACCAGGGTCCCTATGCCTTTGACCACTAACTACTCGCTCAGCTGACCGAAGACTGCTGGAACTGCAGCCCTTCCTGGTCACTCCAGACTAGCAGAAACTTGGAAAGCCGTCTCTGTTCTTCCAACATCCCTTTCTCTGCAGTTCAGGCCCCAGCTGCCCACTCCCAGCTGAGTGAGGAACTTGTCCTCGGCATGATGCCCTGTGCACGCAGCCTGTAGGGGCCCTGCGCTGGAAAGCTGACTCATCATTCTGCAGACCTGAGGCCCCTTCAGCAAATGCGATGCAGGTTTCAGGAGTGTGTCCCTGGGCTTTTTTATAGCACTCCTTTCCCCTGAAGTCCACTCATTTCTGTGACCTCACCACTCCTCCTGCTAGTCCTAAAAGAGGCCAAAGGCTGCTGTACAAATGAGGAGAAAGGACGCATATTACAAGGCTTGCCCCAAACTCTGAAGAGTGAACCATTGCCAGGATGGGGGCCCTCCAAATTGCAACTCCATGTAGCCCACGTGTCCAGATGCTGAAAGACAGCCTGTCCTGCAGAGCGTGAGGATTCGCTTGGGAGCTTCCTCGTTACAAGCAACAGCAAGGAGCGCACGTGCCAGAGAAAATGTCCCCAAGGCCCTCCTTAGCCATCCAAATGACTCCAGGAAATAAGAGGGCAGACTCATTTTAAAGGAGGCATCCGAAGGGGTTCCTCTGATCAGATGCTGATTCCAAAGTCCTCCCTATCTTTGCTGATATGTAAATCTAGGATTTGGGAGAGGCCAAAGAGAGGTTAGGGAATTAATGCACTAGAAGTCTCTGATATTATTTAATCACTGACCATTCATTGCTCCCAGTCTTGACTGAAGAACAATAATTCTAGGACTGAGTATTGGAGACAATCAGTGAAGCCTCGAAGACCCTCAGCAACAGGCTGTGGCCTAGGCCTTCACCTACGTGGTTTCTTTAAGGGGACCAGACTAGCTGGTGTAAATGCTGATCATCAGAAAGCCAATTCTTCAAAGTCAGTCATCTGTGTTGTTTTAATAAATTGGTCAAGCTTTTCACCACCATAAACATTGCAAATTAAGCTGAGTGAGTCCATAATCCACATTTTGCACAGTTCTCATTTTGAATCCACAGATGGCTGACCATGTTGGTTTTCCAGAATAAAGCAGCAAGTGGGCCCTATTGCTCTGAGGGTCCTATTTAGTCCCTATAACTGGACGATTATGAAATGTAAACAGTGGTCTCTAAAAACTAAGTTGAGGCCCATCTACATGACTGTCTACATGTTTTCAAAGCTGTGGGCCAGACACCGCAAGCTCTGATGGGACAAAATCCTTCTTTCTACACGGACAGAATCTGAAAACCAAAAGTGTTCTTGCAGGCTAGCTGGTCCAATCATTCTTGAGTTTGGCTGAAGCAGACCTACTGACTCAGAATATGCAGGGCGGCGCCAGAAAATGTGTACATTTAAAGAGCAGCCCAGGTGAGTATGATCATTAGCCAGGTTTGGAAAACTGTGATCCGGCCCACCCTTCTCATCCTACACATGGGACACGTGAAGGCCAGAGCAGTCAGGTGCTTGCTCAGGGTGGGTGGCACAGACAGGTCCAGAAGCAGTGCCTCCAGGCTCTTGATTCTCGGGACCCTGTGGCCCCTGGGAGGGGAGGGGATGGGCAGGTGGATGCTTGAATAGCAGCCAGGCAATAGGTGGGCTCTGAATTCAGATTCAAATCTGAGTCCCAAAGAAAAATGAAACATACCTGACCCCAATCTGGAATGAAGCAAAATAATCAATATAAAAACCCACCAACTCTCTCCCAAGTGGCCCCCATGTACTGCAAAGACTTGATCCAGTCTTCAGCTCTCTCACATTTGCTTCTCACAGTCTCTTGGGCATTCCCCAAAGAAGAGTACTTTTATCATAAACTAACCAGAGCAGAGAGGTGAAAATCTAATCAAAAGATTTCATTTTTTAGACAATGTGGAGGGATGACTGGTGAGGATTTAGTGAGAGTTGTTGGTTAACCCTGACCTCGGGGGAGCCAGCGTCAGCTACAGGAGGGAGAGGAGCTGGGAAGACAGGGCATGGCACCATCACCCATGCACGGTGTCTGCTGAGAACCCTCTCATTTGCTGCAGGAAAACTCATCCTCTCCTAAAAGATATGTTGGGCCAGGTGCAGTGGCTCATGCCTGTAATCCCAGCACTTGGTAGGCCGAGGCTGGGGGATAACTTGAGCTCAGGAGTTCAAGACCAGCCTGGGCAACGTGGTGAAACCCAGTCTCTACCAAAAATACAAAACAATTAGCCAGGCATGGTGGCGCATGCCTGTGGTCCCAGCTACTAGGTGAGCTGAGGTGGAAGGATCACTTGAACCCAGAAGGTCCAGGCTGAAGTGAGCTAAAATCATGCCACTGCACTCCAGCCTGGGTAACAGAGTGAAACCCTGACTCAAAAGAAAGAAAGAAAAAAAGACACAAAAGATATGCTGCCATGATACTGGTCTTTAGGACACTCAAGTTTTCTGACAGTCTGCACTGTCCTGTACTTTGGTCACCTGGACGATCACAACAGAAGAGGGCAAGTCAGACCTTAATCTGCTTTCTGACCTCACTGGTATTAGGGCTCTGTGCCTTGCTTAACTGAATGCTCTAAAACCCAACACCACTCAGCAAATGATTTCAGAAGCCAGGAATATACGGAGTCTGTTTACGTTCTCTTTGTTTTGATGGCAGCTGAGACCTCTGCTGAGCAAATATAACGCAAAGGAAAATACTCTGCAAAGGAGAAGCTTGTTCTGAAGCAGGGAAGCTCAGAACTCATCCTAGCAGGAGCCTTTGCAGTTTGAGTCTGTGCTCTTTCAGATCCTGCAAGTGGTCTGCTATTGCTGCAGACTCGACTGAACATTTGTCTTTCTAGAAGTCTTAAAATACATACTGCAGCAAATCCATCCACCTACCTGCAGTCTGCACACAGAACCAGATGTCTCTGATTTACAACCTATCAGTGCTTCTAAGGAATGATTTTTTTTAAAACAATGGCTTTTATTCACCACCTACTGGCCTTGCTTTCTAGGGAGGGCCAGCCCAGGCAGGATGGGAGCTATAGCCTAGGGCTATAACCAGGTCCACTTTCTGGGTTCCCAACTACTTTCAGTTCCTTAGCACACTGCTGCCCTGACATTCATATCAAGGAAGGGAGAGAGGAGGAGATAAACAGCGTAGCCTCCTGTTCCTACCTTAGGAGGAAGCCCCATTTTCCTTACATACACAAGCAGCTTCTGATGTCACCTAGCCAAGGTTCTGAAGGGCCATTCCCCTGAGGATCACCAGAGAGTGAGAGAGTGAGCAGGACTGCATGGTTTGAGGCACAAATCGTAATCACTGAATATACAGAATGTCAGAGGTCCTGCGTGCCTGGGGGCACACGATCCACCCTCCCTGTGCTCCTATGCTATGGCCAGAGAGCGAGGGTATCTTCCCACAGCCACACAGGTGCCCATGGAGTAGCTGGAGTAGAGGCCAGTCCTCCTGGCTCTGAGTCCAGGTCTCTCTCCAATGCTCACAGGGGACTCATGCTCTGTGACTCACTGGGCCACATCTCAGCTCAGGTGAAGGGGCTTTTCCAGGGTCCATTGTCAATGATATACACAAAGTCAGGTACACAAAATATGGCCTCATGAAAGAATATGTAACAAGCTAAGGAGTCACTGATGTGATGATGGAAGGCTGCCATTTAAACACATAGAAGGTTCTATCGTATCTGAAGGATGGAAAGAGAGAGGAGGGAATGAGGACAGTTTTGAAGATCAAAATTTGGATAGTCGGCTGGGCGCGGTGGCTCACGCCTATAATCCCAGCACTTTGGGAGGCTGAGGCAGGTGGATCACCTGAGGTTGGGAGTTCGAGACCAGCCTGACCAACATGGAGAAACCCCATCCCTACTAAAAATACAAAAAAAAAAATTAGCCAGGTGTGGTGGCGCATGCCTGTAATCCCAGCAACCTGGGAGACTAAGGCAGGAGGATCACTTGAACCCAGGAGGCAGAGGTTGTGGTGAGCTGAGATCATGCCATTGCACTCCAGCCTGGGCAACAAGAGCGAAACTCTATCTCAAAAAAAATAATAATAATAATAAATAAAAATAAAAATAAATAAATAAAATAAAATTTGGATAGTCTACTAAGCAGACAATAGGTTCTGGGTAACAAGCTTGGTGGGAGACAGAAGATGCTCTCTAAAACCACACAGAGCATTAATAATAGGTTTATGCTGGGCACAGTGGTATGGGCCTATGGTGCCAGCTACTCAGGAGGCTGAGATAGGAGGATCTCTTGAGGCCAGGAGTTTGAGGCTGCAGTGTGTTGTGATCACACCTGTGAAGAGCCACTGCACTCCAGCATGGGCAATATAGCGAGACCCCGTCTCAAAAAAAAAAAAATACATTACTACTGACAGGCTCTCAGACCTTACCAAGGGACTTCAGTGGGAGAGAGAGGGGTATGACTACTCAACTCTTGAAAGGATCCACAGAATTAAAAGTAATTAGTAAAAGAGCAAATGACTGTTAAGTGCCGTTTCCTGCAGAGGAACATGAAACAAAAGCTCTTCCCGCTAAAGATTGGGGTTCCCCAAGCAGATGGCGGCTTGTGACCCAATTACCCCTTTTAACTTATTCCTTGAGAAGTGCCTGTCCTAGGAAAAAGGTATTCACACCATCCGTCCAGCTGCCACTGACCTGGGGTCTATTCTACATTGCCTGCCAAGCTTCCCTCACGACCAGCCATCTCCACCACCGCCTGCCTTCCTGGACATGGTGTTCCCTGAATGTCCACTGGCCTCGCTCTCAGACCCCCACACCCAGCACAACCAGGACACTCTACATTCCTTGTGGGGGCCACAAATTCATCCCAGACCAGCAGGGTTGGGCACTGTGCCTCAGGCATCCCCCAAAACTTCAGCTCCCTCTCTGACAACTGTTCACAGCAGTCATTATCATTTTTAGTTTCCACCCAGCAGCCTGCAGGCGTCTGACTAAGCAGTGCGGAACCCAAGGCATGGGTGAGCCAGCAGGTCAGAGCCCAGAGGGTTCATGGCAGGGCTGTGAGGGCAGCACTGGACACATTTTCAATCGGTGTTGAGAACTGCAAGCATTTTCTTGTTGAAACAAAATCAAATAAATAATAAACTAAAAAGGAAGAAATAAAGAAAAAGAGTGACGGAATAATCAAAGAAAGCCCTTCAGAGTGGAAGAGTTTCTTTTCTGTAATAAGCTGCTTTTACTTTGTTTCTTTGGCTCTCACTCCATTGTTGGAGCCTGATCCTCAAAAGATACCCTAGAGGACTCCCTGAAGTCGGGGTGTCTCAGGTCCATGAGAAATTTGGTGGGAGTAAGAATGTGAGTAGAACCTGTGGGAGAACAGAGGCCAGCTGACTGCTTGAACAAAGGTACGTCACAGGAACATGCCAACTTAGGCCTACATTTTATGCAGCCAATGAGGTATGAGAAAGCAAGACACACACACATGTGTGCGCATGCATACACACACACACAAGCGCGCATGAACACACATGGTAGCAAGGAGGCTGGCATGCACAAAGCAGGGGAGGCCACACAGCGGACGTCAGCTGTCTGCGCGAGGCCCCTCCATGAATCTTCATGGGCAACTGCATACCCCCAGGTTCCCACCTCCCGATATATGGAACCTCAAGTCAGGTCTAAAGATGAAGGGGAAGATTTACACCCAAAGCCTGGCTGTGACAGCTTCTGTCCAGAAAAGCTGTGTTTGGGCTCAGAATTACTCACTACATTCATGCAATACATATGCAAGCAGGGAGCAGAGAGCTTTATCACCGGGGCTACACAACAGAAGGGAAAAACAGTTATGTGGAGAGCTGGTGACCTGACACGGGAAGCTTGAGGGCTGCGGTGGGGAGGTACAGTCTCCCCACTGGATTGTGCTATCAGAGAGGCGGCTGACAGCCCCAGATCCATCTTGAAAAACCCAGAAACAGCCATGTGGACTGGTCTATGGAGTCTGCTCACTTGGATAGCTTGGGAGGGGGGGGGTGCTGCGACTTGCTCACCCCAAATAGGAGGTATAAAACCACCACTTGTTATCGAGATCATGACTGTGCCTGGGATTAAGACCAGTGGTGGGCACCTATGGGAGAAGGTCAGCGATGCCTCCCAGCTGGGGCAGCTCAGGGCCTCTCCCTGTAGCACTTCATGTGTAAGTGGCCTGAGAGGCCATCCTTGGCCCTGGAGAGTATAATTCCCCACTGTGCAGAGCACACCCCCTTCCAAAAGGAGGCCAAGAGCCCTGGCCTCACTCCTTGCTCAGCGTGAGCCTGTTTCCACTGAGGACAGAGCCCAGCCAGGGTAGTGAACATGACAGCTTCTTGCCAGACAGTGTTGAGAGGGACTCCCAGGCTGGCAGGTACCCTCCATTTTGTTAAGGGCAAAACAGGACAAAAAGGGAGGCATCTGGAGAAAGCAAGACTTTTCTTAGCTCGTTCATCTTCTTCCAGCCCTAAACATCATAGAAGCCCCCAAAAGGCACGAAAAAGGAGAAAAGGCTCCTGCTGCGTTAAGCTAGCTCCTACAAGTCGCTTCCTCTCTTTTGGGAAACGAACAGGAAATACGAGAAAGGGCATGGCAGACCTAGAAAGTGGTTGGAGGTGGCTGGGGGAGCCCTGGGCAGAGTCCAGCGGTCAGGCAGTAGTTTCAGGCAGCACCTGCTCACAGCTGTCTGTCCATCTCCACCTGACAGGGCAGCGATTGACTGCCATTCACTGCCCATTCCTGCCTGGGCATGAGGCCAATGCCAGGAGACTGACAGACCTCATCTTGGGCCTAGTTCAAGGCTGTGAATGAGTATGACTGATCCTGTTTTGCTGAGTAAGGAAATGGTTGGAGAGCTCGAACCACTTGCTCAAGGTCCCCCACTTGCAGTTTGCAGAGCAGGAATCTGAGCCTGAGTCTGCCGGACCCTGGGATCAGGCACTTCCTACCTCATGAGGCTGCCTTCCATTGAGAGATGCAGCAGGGCAGACCAAGGAGGGAACCCTTTGCCCCTAGCTTCTGCTGTCCACAGTTACCTAAAGACTAAGTTTTGTGGGTCAAGGGAGTCTATGACAGAATGCGACACCAAAGCGTGGAATGGAGTTGAGGTGCGATGCGGCGGCGCCTTCCGCTGGAAGCACGGCCACTCACCTATCAGCACCTCCCACTTTCCGTTGGCCTGGGTCACCTCGTAGGCGCAGCGCATCTCATTCAGGCTCACACCCCCAAGGATGAAAATGATGAGGCGGGGGCCACTGCGGTACTCGCCTGGGGCCTTGTTCTTATGCCAGTGCCCATAGCGGGCGCTGAGAAAGAGAGAGAGAAAGAGAATGTCAGTCAGTTTATCTGCACTCACGGCATCTAGTGCTTCATACCCCAGTGGTTTGTTTACTTATTAGGTCTGTACACTTGTGCCCCAAACAGTGTAGATGCTTAGTGAGTGCTGGCTGAAATTTCACTGCAATGCAATTTTCAAGTGGATTGGTTCCCAGGAGAAGAGTCACTATGAATGCCTGTGCTGCTGTGACCTTGTCACTCTTAGAAACATGCAGGCAACAGACAGGATCAGTTCAGCTCTGACGTTTGCTGGGTCAAGTTCTGTAGCATCCCCCTGCTAGAGGCTCATGCAGACGTCTACCCCAAGTCACACATGCCTCTGAGCTTGCCTGGGACACTCTGCTGTCAGTGCACAGTGATGACAGTCTAAGATCTGCCTTCAGGCTGGCACATAGATCCCTTGAAAACATGTACTGAGTGAGTGCCTCTTGGAGGCCAGGGCCTCCCCAGTACCACATCCTAAGGAGACACAGGCCTTGACCAAGAGGTCATCATTGAATGGGGCAGGTGGGGAGAAGGAAGTGAGCCCAAATCCTGGTCTGATGAAGAGCTCTGTGCTATAGGGCCAAGCACAGGGAAGCCCTGGAACCCTGTCCGGGCACCACTGGGGAGGCTTCTCCATCCCTGAGCTGCCTCCTGGAAATTGCGGCGAAGCCAGGGAGGAAGAGTACTTCAGTGGCAAGGCTGCTCCCAGAGGGGCCTCCCTCTGAACCTGGGCTTCCTTCAATAGCTCTTTACCTTTGACTGAGAAACAGGAATAAATGGGTTGTTCCCAGGTTAAGAAAATGAGAAAAATGAGATGAAAGGAGCAAGTCCTTTCTGGCCACTGCAATGCGTCGCCTTTCTTCCTGACTCATGACAGCTTTACAGTCACTTTCCAAACCAGGAAGACACCGTTTGGGGCACCGTTTGGGCCAACAGAGAATCTCACAGTTGCTTTCTTTCCTTGTGCAATCATTTGATATCCCATTCTCATCACCCAGCCTGACTGTGGCGCTACTTGGGATTTTGTATTTTATGCCATATTTGGCAAAAAACGTTTTACCTCTGCTGCCATGAGAAGGGCTGCACAATGACACAGAGGCCACCACAGGCCTCTGGCCCAGCTGAAGCCAAAAGTGAACACAGAGAGAAGAGACGCAAAAGAGAAGACAGGTGGGGAAAGCAGGAGAGGAGGGACAGAGATGTGCACATCCTGGGGTGCCAGGTGTGGCACAGCTGCAGTGCCAGGGTCGCCCTCTCGAGCTGCTAACTCTACCATCCCGAGTGCGTGCTCAGCCCTGACTGTTCTCAGGAGCCACTGTGTGGAGAGACCACGTGTGTTACCCACTCGTCAGCTGGGGGACATGTGGGCTGCTCCACACTTGGACTGCATGAGTAAAGCTGTGAACGCTGATGCACTGCAATTTTAAACAGGGTGGTGAGGGAAGATTGGAGAAGGTAACACTTGATTAAAGACCAAAGGAGATAAGAGGCAAGCCATGCAGACATATTTTTTCTTTGTTTGACATGGAGTCTCGCTCTGTCACCCAGACTGGAGTGCAGTGATGCGATCTTAGCTCACCACAACCTCCGCCTCCTGGGTTCAAGCAATTCTCCTGCCTCAGCCTCCTGAGTAGCTGGGACTACAGGCGTCCGCCACCATGCCCAGCTAATTTTTGTATTTTTAGTAGAGACAGGGTTTCACCATGTTCGCCAGGCTGGTCTCAAATGCCTGACCTCAAGTGATTCACCCGCCTTGGCCTCCCAAAGTTCTGGGATTACAGGTGTGAGCTACTGTGCCCAGCCCATGCAGACATATCTGGGGACAGATAATTTCAGGCAGAGGGAAAAGCAAGTGCAGTGGTCCTGAGGCAGACGTAAGCCTGACTGTTTGAGAAGTGCGAGGAAGCTGGCATGGCTGATGCAGAGTGAGCGAGGGAGGAGGTGTGAGGGATGAATCAGAGAGGAACGGGATGCTGGAGGGGGAAGGGCCGTGGGACCACTGTGCAGACCTGGCCCACGCTGCAGCTGTGGGGAGCAGCAGCGAGAGGGCTCTGGTAGATCACACAGCCGTACAGTGGGTCTGCCGCAGAGCTGACATCCAACCAGAGCTGGCTCCCCTCTGTCCTTGCTAAGGGATTTTCACCTACCTGACGGCGGTGGTGCTGAAGGAGGCAGAGGAACGGGTAGAGATATAAGGGTAGTGTTTGGTGTCAAGTTTGTCCTCAATAGTGTCCTAGAAGGAAAAGAGACAGATATTAGCTTGCCATCTGTCTGAAAAGTGCTGATAGGAACCAAGGCCAGATGATCTGTAGAACATGTCACTTGGCAAAGCCATGGCCAGGTTTGCAACAACCAGAGCTCCCTTCCCTGCGGCCAGAGGTGCCTAGCACAGGGCTCAGTTATAGCAGATGCTTTGTAACTAGCTGCTACACTGAGATAGCCTGCTTTTTAAGAGAAGTTTTTTCTTGCTTCTCTTCCAGTTTATTCACTTTCATAATCTATGTGAGGTTTTATAAATGATGCATTCTGTCCAATAAATTCCTGATACTTGCCATCAGCCTTGTAGAAACCAGGCACAAGCAGTGTCTCTCCTGCATGAAGAAGCCTTACCCCCTCCGTTTTTCAAGTGTCTAATTATCTGGTGGGTGGACTCTCACCATCTACCTCCTGCTGCCTAGAAATCCACACTCTTCTTTACAGCTCCCACATGAAGCCTACACATGTCTCTTTAGGGGATCGGAGAGGAGGGGGAGCAAAAGGGAGCAGAGAACAAAGGAAGGAATGAGACAGAGGGGTTGGCTATCCCAACAAGCAAAGAGATATAATTGGTTTCTAGATGTTTCATGTTCACCCATCCTTTTAGTTTGTGGATTTTAAAAATGGGAGCTGACTCACTCTATATATTTAAAATACATTTATATTAATGTACAATTCAATAGGAACACCTGGGCTGCCAGGAATTAACTAAGGGATCCCGAGAAAAACCCCTTCATTCTCTAGACCCCAGTTTTGTTCACTAATCAAGTTGGAAAGATCTAGTGGTGCAGGATTCTATGCAGGGTCTCTTCCCGCTACAAGGAGAGAAGGGAGTGACCCCACAGGGCTACTGCGGTGGCCACCACCTTATACACCTTCCAGCCAACAACTGCAAAAACACCTGCTGCACTAGAGGCTCTGTGCAGATGACACAGCAGCTGAGGGGACAGGACCAACAAACAAAAAGGCGACCCGAGGCACCAAGAGGCACATGTGCACTAAGGAGTCCAGGGGAGGCCCCTGTGTGCTGAGTGGTCAGACAGGTGGGGCGGCAGATGGAAATGGTAAGATTCAAGAGGGGCTTGGATGGAAAGCAGGATCTGGGAAGGGGAGTGGAGGGGTGAGAATATGCCAGGCAAGGGGCTGCTTTGGCCAGAGGAGCAGAATCCGATTTGCTGGTGTGTGGAGGCTCAGGTAGGGAACAGCAGGAGGAGGGCAGGGCGGGGCAGGCAGGGCCGTGCTGGGGAAGTGTGCTGAGCCACTGCACCTGTGTGGAGATGTGATGTCACTCATCTGACCTTTGAGATACACTTGGACCCCTCTGGATGCGGCACCCTAGAGGAGTCTCTATTATAGGAGCTGAGTCCTCCAAGACATAACAACAAATAGATCTGGGGCTGTGCTTCACAGTCTCTCAGCTCTTCAGAAACCCCCAGGCAAGGGGCACCATGAGGGCCGAAGGAGGCCTGGATGCAAATCCTCAAGTGGAGGCAGTACCTGTGAAGTCAGCAGCACCTCGCCGCAGGTGAAGCTGGAAGCATCCAGGCTGACAAGCCAAGGGCCCTGGGCCTGGTTTTTCCTCCCTGTGCCCCAGCACTAACCTCCATGATGTCCTTGATAATCGGAGTCCACCGTGAGAGCTGGTAGGTCTGCTCGCTGATGCGTTCCTTCCGCTCCGGCTTGCTCCGGCGACGCAGCGTGGACTGCATGCACACACACACCAGGTTAGAACCTGAGTCAGGGCCACTTGGGCCCTAGGTGACCTCTGCTACTCTCTGGAAATTCCCTGAAGGAACCCAGAGGCAGCACTGGCAAAGAGTAATGGTGGGGGGATGGTTTTCCATGGAATAGCCCTAAATGTGCCCTTTTGGGAACCTGGAGCAAACTTGTTCTTTAGTCATAAAAAGGCCGGGCTTGGTGGCTCACACCTGTAATCCCAGCACTTTGGGAGGCTGAGGTGAGCAGATCACCTGAGGTCAGGAGTTCACGACCAGTCTGGCCAACATGGCGAAACCCCGTCTCTACTAAAAATACAAAAATTAGCCGGGCGTGGTGGTGTGCACCTGTAATCCCAGCTACTCAGGAGGCTGAGGCAGGAGAATTGCTTGAATGTGGGAGGTGGAGGTTGCAGCGAGCCAAAATCTCACCACTGCACTCCATCCTGGGCTACAGAGTGAGACTCTATCTCAAAAAAAAAAAAAAAAAAAAGTTATAAAAAAGGGCAAACATAGGTCAAGTATGTAAGTGCCATTAAAAAGAAAAAACTCAGCCGGGCGCGGTGGCTCACGCCTGTAATCCCAGCACTTTGGGAGGCCGAGGCGGGCGGATCACGAGGTCAGGAGATCGAGACCATCCTGGCTAACACGGTGAAACCCTGTCTCTACTAAAAATACAAAAAATTAGCCGGGCGTGGTAGCGGGTGCCTGTAGTCCCAGCTACTCGGAAGGCTGAGGCAGGAGAATGGCGTGAACCCGGGAGGCGGAGCTTGCAGTGAGCCGAGATCGCGCCACTGCACTCCAGCCTGGGCGACAGAGCGAGACTCCGTCTCAAAAAAAAAAAAAGAAAAAAGAAAAAACTCCAGGCAGTTGAAACAGTAGTTTGCTGCCTATTAGAGGAGGGCATACTGCTTGGAGCATGCCGTATTGGATTTCAGCAGCACAGTTGCACTGAATGAATGCACATCTCCATTCTCATTTTGATCCCTCTTGTGAACAAGGGTTTAAAAATGCCAAACTCCTGCTAGTTACAGGGCTATGGTCTGGTGGCACTAGAACAGTTTTGTCTATAAGATTCCAGAGGGAGAATATTTGCAACCCTAGCTTTGTTAGTGCTGTGCCTATAGAAGACAAGCACACAGTGGGGCTGTGACAGGCAAGGTTCATGGCAGAGTCCTCTGCAAGGGTCCTGGAGGCTTCACCCCACCTCTTCTAGAGCACATCACGTGGTCCAGGCCTCCCAGACAACCTGCCCTGACTTGGCTCTGAACCAACCCAGTGCAGAAGACTCAAAGGTGGCCAAACTGCTAGCTCTAAGTGTCATATTCTCATCTTCACAGGGGACACTGAGGCTAAGCTGTCCAAAGGTGAGGCCAGACAGACCCTGAGACAAGACAGATAAAATGGCGGGGACCCCTGTTATGGTTTGGTTCCAAGACATCTCAGCTTTCACAACTGTGAATGACTCACTGCTGTTGACGTCTAGGTTCTTGGCTTTGTGTCTCTGATTTATATATAGCTTTACACCTTTATCCCTCTGATTCTGTGTCTCTCTCTCTTGACGTACGAGTGTGTATCAGAGATGCTGTATGTCAGTCAGAGCAGAAGCAGACAGATCTGCCAGCTCCCTTCCCACCTCCCCCGGAAGCTGAGCTGGCCTCTTACATCGGTGACGATGGGCACGCCGAGGTGAGCCATGTTGGTGATGATCTCACTATCCTCCGGGGGTATCTGGGCGTGCTGGATCAGTTTGTTCAGGTTTTCCTCCGTGATGCCTGAGGGCACAAGACACCCGATCACCACACACAGCCCCCATGCACCCAATGGGACAGGCCGGATGGTGGCCCTTCTCCCCTCAGGGTTAGTGGACATTGCTCCCCCACCTCATCAGATTCACTATAGGTGAGGACAACACGAGGATCCCGATTCCCCTCCAGCCACTCTGCCTGAGTGAGGACCATCAGCAGCTGCCCCTATAGTCTGTGTTTCCATCTGCCCCCCGGCTTCTCAGCAACCCCTGCCCACCCCCACCCTGAATCAAGGTCAAATTGGACAAGAGTCTTATTATCTATCTTTTGTACAATGGACATTCCTGGGAAACTGTGATTGAACTGGGTAAAAGTCAGTTCTTTAAAGGCAGAGATTACCAATGTGATGCAAGTTAAAAATACGTGATGGGCATAGCTCTGGTAAACTGGCCACAAGGCCAAGCAGCTTTCCCTCTCTCCCCAGCCCTGTCCTCTTCCATCTACTCCATACCATTTATTAACTCTACAATGACTGGGGGACATTCAGCCTCTAGCTGCAACGATCTGACTACACTGCATTTCCCCAAACAAAAAGGGCCCCTAGGATCTTCTTTTCCTTCCCCAGTCCATGTCTTTTAAATGACTTCTCTGCTTTGTTTCCTCTTTCTCAGTTGTCTCAGTTTCCCCAAGACAGGGTCTGTGCCTTCCTCTAGGTCCCACAGCCCTACCATTCTTCAAAAAGATGTAGAGAAGGATGATGCGGATTTTGTCATAAGTGCTGACATTGGCATCCAGCAGAATGGGGACGATGGCTCGCATAGGGTCCTTGATCTTCTCTCCCTCAGCATCTGTGCCCATGGCCAGGTCCTAAGGAAAACACACCTCATTGGCTCCATCTCTCTGGTGACAGTGTGGAGGAACAGTAGTTCTTAGGAAATTCAGGATCCACAAATGTCTAGAACTGCCACCTTGGTTGGGGAAGGTCTTAAACAGGTGCTTCTGTTCTTATAATGCACTGTAGTTAGCAGGAGTGTGATCAGCATTGTCTCCCACAGCATCAGTGAGGGTGGATAAAAGCCCTGAGTGCCACTTGCCCAACAGAAACCACAATGATTTACCATCTTGTTTTAAAGTAGGCTGTTCACTGTAGGTGAGTGCCAGTGTACTTGTGCCAGCTTCTCAGATAAAGACTCAATCCTGGCTGGGGGCGGTGGCTCATGCCTGTAATCTCCGCACTTTGGAAGGCTGAGGTGGGAGGATCTTTTGAGCCCAGGAGTTTTGAGACCAGCCTGGGCAACACAGCAGAGACCTCATCTTTACCAAGGCATGGTGGCACATGCCTGTAGTCCCAGCTACTCAGGAGGCTGAGGCAGGAGGATTGCTTGAGCCCAGGAGTTCAAGGCTGCAGTGAGCTATGATTGCGCCACTGCACTCTAGCCTGGGTGACAGAGCAAGACCCTGGCTCATAACAAAAAAAAAAGACTAAATCTTGGTAGGCCCTCTAGAGGTACAAGGCCCTGTGAGGGAGCGGGACTTAAAGGGATGTGCTTCCCTCCCATGAAAAGTGCTGGGATTTTAGGATGCCTCCGCGTGGGTAGATTCTTTCCATTCTGCTTCCCCTCACATTGAAGCACATGCTTTTTGAGTTTGAACTGCTCCAGGCTTTTAACGTGTTTTTAATCTTTCTACCATGTTTCATGAGTGAGGAAGGGAAAAAAAGAGCCCCCAAACCAGCAAATCCAAACCCCAGGAGATGAAGGGGAAGATATGGGCTGAAAAAGAACTAGACATGAAAAAGAGTGAAGTGAACACAAGTTCCTGGCCCCGCTTCATGATGCAGGCAAGACTCAGATCCAGAGAAGGCAGCACGCTGGTCTCAGCCAACCAGGACTCACAGCTGCAGCTTCCTTTGTGGCTCTTAGGAGGTTGCCTGAAGGCTCTCTTTTTTTCTCTCAAGATCCCAAGAGTCCATACAAATTCTGATCTCGAGTTCATAGTCTCTCTCCAGTCTGTGTCCCAGGAAGGCAGGACACCTCTCACAGGCCGTTCACCTTTCAGTCCTACCACCAGCCTCAACAGACATTTGACTAGCAGGACATGATTTTAATAATGCAACTAGTTCAACAATACTTTTGATCACTTCTGAAAATTTGTAAACTTCCAAAATTAATCCCAAACTACATTTTTACTGATTTAGGTATGACCTATTTTCTAGATGGTCAGGTTCTTTTCAAGAGGACACCTTGTGTTTGCTATAATCCCCTATAAAATTGATGGATTTTAGCAGGGCTGCTTCCCCTTATAAAATATCCAAAGATACAGGACAGGGCTTACAATCCTAAACTGAGCCTGTCACACCAAACCAGAGGATTGAAATCTTAGCTTCACACTGAGATCCTGAATTGTTTTTTTCTATGAAAAGAGGCCAAGCTGAGGCTTCGGAATCTTATTATTATTATTTTTGAGACAGAGTCTCGTTCTGTTGCCCAGGCTGGAGTGCAGTGGAGCAATCTCTGTTCACTGCAACCTCCGCCTCCCGAGTTCGAGCGATTCTCCTGCCTCAGCCCCCCAAGTAGCTGGGATTACAGGCGCCAGCTACCACGCCCAATTAATTTTTGTATTTTTAGTAGAGATGGGGTTTCACTGTGTTGCCCAAGCTGGTCTTGAACTCCTGACTTCATGATCCGCCCGTCTCGGCCTCCCAAAGTGCTGGAATTACAGGCGTGAGCCACCACGCCCAGCCGGCTTCAGAATCTTTTAACATCTTCTCTTCGCTTAGAATTTGAACCATGGTTTTATAATGTTGAAACACTTGAAGAATTAGGATGAATCTAAGCCAGGATTAGTGACTCCACAAGACAACCTTGAAAAATGTCAGCAATGATTTCCCTTTTGCAGATGAAAAAAATGAAACACAAAGAAACAGGCACATCAAATAATCAGTGACAGAGACAGAACTCAAACCCCAAATTCTCAATTTACAATCCCAATTGTGATCAGGGATGCTTTGGGCAAATTTCTGATTGCTACTGCTCTACCCTCTGTCAGCCTCGAGGTCTCCAAAGCTGGTCTGGCCATGGCAAGAGTAGAACACATTCAGAATATAAAATTCTGCCAGTCCTGTCAATGTAGGGCTCAGAACCCCACACATCTTTCTTCACTCATTCCAGGGAAAACAGAGCCTTTCAAAATAGGCATGCAAAATCCAAACGGCACAGCATTCCAGACCAATCTAGTCCCTACCATGGACAGTGGAACCGCACTGGCTCCAGAGTTGAGACAGCATGATCTAGCAGGCCTTCCCGTCTCTATTTCCTATGATTCTGCAGGATGTTCAAGGGCAGATGTTAAAATTCTGCTGGGTAAATAGGCCTGGCAAAAACTTGCCGTGGCAGAAGGAGAGTCCTACCTGCTCCACTCGGCAGAGTTTGTCTACGGTGCCTTGGTAATGCTTCATACAGTCCTCAGCAAGGTGCAGGTGGGTGGAGTACTAGGAAAAAGCACAACAGTTTGTGACCAAGGGACTAATCATGGATGCATGCAACATCTACTGAGCACCTACTACGTATAAAACACCACTGGGCACCAAGGAGTCGCTAGCCTCAGAAAGGAGGTAAAAAGTGTGTACAAGCGGGTACACAAACATCACAAAGTAGAAAGTGTTACATGTCAAAAGAGAGGGACAAACCACATTCTAAAAGAGTTAAGACAAAGGAGAAATCCTTTATGAGGGTAGGTGGCACCATGGTTTTTATTTGAGACAGAGTCTTGCTCTGTTGCGCAGGCTGGAGTGCAGTGGTGCAACCTCGGTTCACTGCAACGTTTGCCTCCTGGGTTCAAGTGATTCTCCTGCCTCAGCCTCCTGAGTAGCTAGGATTACAGGCACGTGCCACCACGCCCGGCTAATTTTTGTACTTATAGTAGAGACAGGGTTTCACCATGTTGGCCAGGTTGGTCTCGAACTCCTGATCTCAGGTGATCTGCCCACCTCGGTCTCCCAAAGTGCTGGGATTACAGGCATGAGCCACCACACCCAGCCAATGATGGTTTTATTACTACAATGTGTCCACAGATTCTTTGATACTCCTCCTTTTAGGAGGCAGAGCTTCATTCCCTCCTTAACTGTAGGCTGGAATTAGTAGCTTGCTTCTAACAAACAATGTGGAGGAACTGATAATGCATGGCATCCAGGATCGGGACATAAAAGGTATTGTGACTTCCTCCTAGCACTCTCTCTCTCAGATGGCTCACTCTGGGGAAAGCCAATGGCCCTGTTGGGAGGATGCTCAAGGAGCCCTGTGGAGAGGCCCATGTGGTGAGGAACTGAGGCCTCCTGCCAACAGCAAGGGAATAGGAAGGAAAAGATAAAGAGGAGAAAAGAAAGTGACAGGAAATAAGGTGCCTATCCCAGCCTTTCATTTCTTTTCTAATAAAAATTGAAGATAACTAAATCTGTGAATTTCCATGAATCAATTAGAGTAGTAGGGCTTTGAGAAGTCTTTTTGCAGCTGTTTCTACTCAATTATTCAAACAGATGATTTGGGGCTGCCATACCTTGCTGAGCTCTTTCTGGTACTGAGGCATCTTCTTCAGCATCTGGGACAGGTCCCGCATGGTGGTCTGTAAGGGAAAGGAAAGCACATGGTGTCACTCTAATGGCCCTGATGTTAGGAGGCTTTGCAAGGCTAGTGGGCACAGGACAGGACAGCTGCCCACACTAGGGTTCCCAAGCGCACACTCTGTAACACTCAAAATGAATCTGTGAAACACAAAATCATGTGTGTTTAGATTTCCAGGCCTCTGGCTCAAAATTTTTTTTGATCCAAATATGATTGTCTTATAGGTTGGGAACTGAACTCTGAAGTCTAGCAGTTATATTTTATTCTATGCTTATTGGACTAGAAAGCTGTTGAGAGCTAATTCTTGCTGAGGAAAAAAAATCCTTCTATTCACTGCTTTTCTTCATCCTCAGCTCAAGCAGCCTTAGCATCAAGTTTGCACTTCCTCCTGGCAGAAAGACTGTGGCTACGTGGACGGGAGGAGCACAGGGAGGTCACAGAGGGTGGGAATCTGCACCCAATGGGCAAGACAGGTCTGTGTGCTTTCTGTGTGGGCCATCTAATCCCATCCATTTACCCAACAAAAATTTACTGAATTACTACTATATACCAGGAACTATTAGGTGCTGGAGATACAAGGACAAAAGAAAAAAAAAAAAGAATCTCTAATTCACGGAGAATCAGAGCATCCAGGAGAGGAGCCAAAGCACTGCAGAGATCAGGGCCCTTCGAGGGGACTCACCAGGTAGTGTGGGTGCACGTGGCACAGGCATCTGCCTAGTCTGGGTAGGGACCCGGGGAGGGTTTCCCTGAGGAAATGATGCCTGAGCCAAAGAACCTGGCCAGGTCTGAGGCAAGAGGACACTGGTGTGGCTGGAGCAAGGAGGCAGGGCAACAAGGATAGGGGCAGAGATGAGACCAGAGAGAGGCCTGTGGGGCTGATGATCTGGGCTTTGGAAGGGGGGTGTGTGTGTGTGTGTGTGTGTGTTGCAGATGGGAGTTATTCTAAGGGGAACAAGAAGTCCCTAAATGGTTTTAAGCAAGTGAGTAACACAACCAGAGTTGTATTTTGGTAATTCCACTTCCCTTGACGAAGACAGGTGTGCCACCTCTGATAAACAGGCAGGATAGGGAGAGGCCCAGGTAAGGTAGGTTATAAATTCTATAAGGTAGGTTATAATTATATATATATAATTTTATATATATAAATAAGGTAGATTATAATTTTACCACAAGTTAAAAAAAGGTCTCACAGTTCATTCTTCTGGCTTAAAATGAATCATGATCCAAAAGAGTAAATATTAACCATCAGAGTAACAAAAAGCAGTTCTCTGTAAATATCAAAATGTAGGGGCTCTGGATCTGTATCTTTTTTTTGTTTGTTTGTTTTAGACAGAGTCTGACTCTGTCACCCAGGCTGGAGTGCAATGGCATGGTCTTGCCTCACTGCAATCTCCACCTCCCGGGTTCAAGCAATTCTCCTGCCTCAGCCTCCCAAGTAGCTGGGATTACAGGTGCCCACTACCACACCAAGATAATTTTTTGTATTTTTAGTAGAGACAGGGTTTCACCATGTTGACAAGGGTGGTCTCGAACTCCTGACCTTGTGATCCACTTGCCTCGGCCTCCCAAAGTGCTGGGATTACAGGTGTGAGCCACCATGCCCGGCCTGGATCTGTATCTTAAATGTAAAAATGGCCGGGCACGGTGGCTCATGCCTGTAATCCTAGCACTTTGGGAGGCCAAGGTGGGTGGATAGCTGGAGGTCAGGAGTACAAAACCAGCCTGGCCAAGATGGTGAAACCCCGTCTCTACTAAAAATACAAAAAAATTAGCCAGGGGTGGTGGCGCGTGCCTCTAATCCCAGCTACTCAGGAGGCTGAGGCAGGAGAATCGCTTGAACCCAAAATGCGGAGGTTGCAGTAAGCCAAGATCCTGTCACTGCACCTCAGCCTGGGAAAAAGAGCGAGACTCTGTCAAAATAATAATAATAATAATAAAAGCAAAATAAAAATAAGGCAAAATGATATAAACTAAGAGAGGGATATGGCCTTGCTAACCCACTAGTCCTGTTTGGAGGAGGCAGCTTCCCTGCTCTTAGAGAGAAAGCAGGGACTAATTTACTGGGCATTTGAGCACTGGCATGGGTTTACCTTCTCTCCAGTATTCATTCTCTTGCTAGAAGAAAAATCTTTCAGAGACCGGGTGACTTCCCTGGAAGATAAAAGGAGGCAGCTAAGTTTCACAGCAACACCATGGACCTTGCTATGGATGCTATAGGAGTCATGCAATTTTTCCTTTAGGAGTATGTGGTGAGTTTTCCTGCCAGTAAGGTATGCATTTAAAGTTATTTTTGGCCGGGTGTGGTGGCTCACGCCTGTAATCCCAGCACTTTGGGAGGCCAAGGTGGGCAGATCACCTGAGGTTGGGAGTTCGAGACCAGCCTGGTCTATATGGTGAAACCCCATCTCTACTAAAAATACAAAAATTAGCTGGGCATGGTGGCACACTTCTGTAATCCCAGCTACTTGGGAGGCTGAGGCATGAGAATTGCTTGAACCTGGGAGGCAGAGGTGGCAGTGAGCCAAGATCAGGCCACTGCACTCCAGCCTGGGTGACAGAGCAAGGCTCAGTCTCAAAAAGAAAAAGAAAAAGAAAAAGAAGTTATTTTCTAAGAGAGAAGAGAGACACATAGCTTTTCTAATTAATATTTGAAACCAGTGGTCTCCAGAGTGGGGTGTACCAGATTATTCAAGGAGAAAAGAGAAGAAAATATTAGAATATCTACTTATGTTTATTTTACCTCATTCTTTTCAAATTTATATTGGAATATAAATAGTGAAACATAATTCATGTTTGAAAAATATACAAACATATATATTTATGCTGTAAATACACACATTAGTACAATAAAGCATATTTTAAATTCATAAATACATTTAATTTACTGAAATATGGGTTAATATCTTTTTTATTTTTTGAGATGGAGTTTTACTCTGTCATCCAGGCTGGAGTGCAATGGCAAAATCTTGGCTCACTGCAACCTCCAACTCCCGGGTTCAAGTGATTGTCCTGCCTCAGCCACCCGAGTAGCTGGGACTATAGGCGCACGCCACCACACTCAGCTAATTTTTGTATTTTTAGTAGAGACTGGGTTTTACCATGTTGGCCAGGCTGGTCTCGAATTCCTGACCTCAGGTGATCCACCTGCCTCGGCCTCCCAAAGTGCTGGGATTACAGGTGTGAGCCACCACGCCTGGCCACAGGTTAGTATCTTTTTAAGTTGAGTGATCAAAAAAGTTTAGAGACCTCTTCTCTAAACAACAGAACTATCCAAGGCTGTATTATTTTCTCACTCTTCCTTGGGCATTTCCTGAATATATCACCAACTCACTGTAGCAGAATATGTCTTTCTGAAAAAGCAGAATCATTATCTACAGCTTAAAGGTCTTACAACAATGTTTAAATATTAGAAACATTCTGAAACATTTTCAGAGCTGGATACAGTTTAGTAGGGAGACATCAGCTATTGCTCAGGAACTGTAGGTAAAACAGGGAAGGCTGTATACCAGCTATAAAAAAGAAAGTCCAATTGTATACTGTGGTGTTTGGGTCTTTCAATAGAATGAACTAGCTTTAAATTTTTAATGTTTGTAATGCATTTTTCTGAGAGAGCTACATATGTTTTCCAAGAATCCTAAAAGCAGCCCTAATACAGAATTGATTTTCTAACTTCATGAAGTCGGAGTAGCTCAAGCTCAGAGAACAGAAGGGATTTATCATTACGGGTTAGCATGTTGGTGACTCTGCCAAGAAAACGAATTCACACAGTGATGAGCCCCCGCGAGGTGCCCAGAGTGAACGCATCATCAATAGCAGCTGGGTAGAGGCGCCTCGCTGGAGAAGGGGGCAGGGGGCTCTTACTGGGACACCTCTGCGATGTGCTTGTGGCGCAGTGCTATCCACAGGTCGTCGTCCTCGTCCAGGAGCACCTCCTTCACCCGTGCCTCCCCGATGCCGCTGGTCTCATACCTAGAATGGAGACGGGACTCAGGTGGAGTGCACTGTCTCCACAACATTCATCGAACCCTCTTCAGCTTACAGCAGCAGCAGCTCACCACCCTCAGCTGCCAGATGTTCACAAGTGCCGTCACAACATTGGACCTGTCAGCCAGGCTTGCTGTGGCAGCACTGACCCGGGCTGCAATTCCTCGGGTAGGAGAGATTCAAAGCTCTCTTCAAAGTCAACCAATTTGAAATTCTGTCTTAAAATCTTTTGGGTCAGCTGATACAAGCTCCACCTGAGCTGTCTGGTCCAGGGCATGAAGTCAGGTCATACATGAGTTTAGTTATTTATAGGGGAAAGGCAAAGATCACATCTGTCCCTCTGGAAAGGCACTGGGATGTCATCCTCAATGTGTGGCGCCTAAATAGCTTCCAGCAGCTGCCTGCAATAGGCCCTCAGCACCAATCACATGGGAAATCGTGAACAGCTGGAGGAGGCACAAATTATAGCTACCAACAGGGAGAACCGAGATTCACTCATATTTTTAGAATCTTCATTTTGAAACCACTATCTTTATGATGGATGCTATTAAATGCCATGAGAACAATGTCTGTTCTCATACAGTCTGTTTCTTATACAGTCTGGTTCCACAAAAGGAAAAACTGGTTTTTAGAAACTAAATTTCTGATGATTGCTACCAAGAAAAATGTTTTTTACAAATGAAGAAAACAGCTCCTCTGTGAGGAAAGTTCAGTATGAAACTTCTGTTGATATATTTCATCATCATCATATTTCAGGATCTATAAACAAGAAGTTTCAACTCTGCCTCCAGAGAGGCAGAACCAATAAAACAGAAAGAAAAAATTTCAACTCTGAATGAGATACACACATAAACACAAAAATCAATATTAACATATCCAAGTAGGCTATGACCTGAGGTGCTGTGAGCTGGGAACCAAAGACCTAAAGTGCTTGTCCTCCCCAAAAAGAGGACAAGTCATGAGTTCCTGCCTAGAAATGCCACATGGATTTGGGGAACTCGCAGAAGAACTTACAGGCTAATTTGCAAGGCTGTATCAATGAACCGTTTTTCCTAGGGTTAAAAATGCTCTTTTGCTGGGCGCTGTGGCTCACACCTATAATCCCAGCACTTTGGGAGGCTGAGGCGGGCGGATCATGAGGTCAGGAGTTCGAGACCAGGCTGGCCAACATGGTGAAACCCCGTCTCTACTAAAGATACAAAAAATTAGCCAGATGTGGTGGTGGGCACCTGTAATCCCAGCTACTCGGGAGGCTGAGGCAGGAGAATTGCTTGAACCCAGGAGGCGGAGGTTGCAGTGAGCTGAGATTGCGCCAATGCACTCCAGCCTGGGTGACAGGGCGAGACTTCGTCTTAAGAAAACAACAAACAAAAAAAACTCTCTTTTTCTGCCAGGTGTGGTAGCTCATGCCTGTAATCTCAGCACTTTGGGAGGCTGAGGCGGGCGGATCACGAGGTCAGGAGTTTGAGACCAGCCTGGCCAGCACAGTGAAATCCCATCTCTACTAAAAAAATACAAAAAGTTAGCTGGGCATGGTGGCACATGCCTGTAACCCCAGCTACTTGGGAGGCTGAGGCAGGAGAATTGCTTGAACCTGGGAGGCAGAGGTTGCAGTGAGCTGAGATTGTGCCACTGCACTCCCGCTTGGGTGACAGAGCGAGACTCCATCTCAAAACAAACAAACAAAAAAACCCGTTCTTTTTCTAGACATATTTTTGGCTCATGTGCAGAGCCGTATACACTCTGGGGTCTGTAACACTATACTTACTTGTATACATCATTTTCGATAGGCAGCAGATCATAACTCATAGCCTGAAAAGTCAATTCATGGAGCACAGGGGAGCTGGGGTCAAAGCCTCGATCCAGGATCAGGAGCTGGGAGCGTGCCTTGTCTGGGCCCTGGGGGAAAACAGGGAGATGCTTCACAAGCCACCCAGCCAACTCCGGCTTCTCCACCTAGCGAACCCCTCTTGTAAAGGAGGGCAGCAGGAAGCAAACTCTGAGGTGCAAAGTTACTAACGCAGCACAGAAGTCTACTGCTAGACAAGATCACCAAAAATACCCTAAAAGACTCCAGTGTTTCTATTTCATAGCAAGCGCACTTAGGGGCAGATATGAAACGCTAGGAGCCGAAGTGAGTTTCTGTAGGAAACTGCCCAAGTTCAACTACAAATGGGGCAACCACCCTCCAGTGTGCCTGGGACTAAGCGGGTTCCCAGGACCTGGGCCTTTCAGTTTTAAAATCAAGGTGGTGAGGAAACAGCCCTGTATCTTGATTGTAAGATGGTTACATGACTCTATCCATGTGTAAAACGCACAGGGCTGTACACAGAGCATGTGTAAAAACCAGTGAATATCTATCCATGTGTAAAACGCACAGGGCTGTACACAGAGCATGTGTAAAAACCAGTGAATGCTGAATGAGCTCTGAAGCGTGTGTCTGTCGATTTTCTGGTTTGCTATTATGCTTCTGGGGGTTTCCCGGGACTTGGGCCATTCAGAGCTGCAACCAGGAAAGCCCTGGCAAACAGAACAAGTTGGTCACCCTGGCCACGATGAACACATGTAGATGGCCCTGCCCCAGGGGCTTCAGGCATTTCACTGGAAGCCAGTCCCCAGGAAAAGCAGCACTGACACATGCTCTGTGGCAACAGAACCAAGCTGTCTCTGGGACTGTCACACAAACACTGCGGTCCTTGGTAAAGAGAACCACGTGGTCCAAGCCAGACTTACCTCCCCCATTGTTGGATCATCAGCTTTATAGGCATCGAGCTTGTCCTGGATTAGCTGAGCCAGCAGGGCATTGTCCTTGTATTCCCTGACAAAGGAGGGGTGACAGAGCATGAACCACCCAGCACCCATGATGGTGCTGGCTGCCCCCGGGAAAGGAAGCCAAGCAGTGCAGCGGGGTTAGGGGAGATGTGAGCATTGTCTGTATTCGTGTTTTTACAATGAGAGTATAATTAGAAAGGAAAAGCAAAATAAAACACTTAGCTCAGTGCCTGGACCATAAGTAAGTGATTTTCTTATTGCTTTTATCCAGAATGATCTAAGTGGAAACAGATGTCTTTCCAAGCAGCTTCAGATAAACTGCCGCACTTCCACTGGGGGCCCTGACCAGTCAGTGAACCTTTTGCCACGATCAGGCTCCCAGCCTGACTCCCATGATTCTCACTTCCCTCAGTTCACATTCTCTTGGGTCTTGTTTTGTTGTGTTTGTTGGAGAGTGACATTTCAGCTGGCATGGCCAGAACAATGTGAGAACCTTTGAACCCTTCCCCATGGCTGGGTCTGACAGCACTCCCTGGGCCCCACCTGACCTGATGCTGGGGCGGCGGCTGCCTGCTTCCTGGCCAGTCTCAGCACTGCAGCAGCCCTGCTACCAGCCTGAGCTCCCACAGGTCAGTCAGGAGATGCCACCTAGGTCCCATTTCTTAACTGCCGGCTGGCTTTGTCCATGATTACCAACAGTGGAGGGAAGCCAGGCACTGGGACAGCAACCGGAAGGTGTTTTTCTATGGCCACAACTTCCAGGAGACAATGAGGTCACAGGATGGGTGAACCCATGATCCGTGGCACCACCAAGCTCTTGGTTACCACGGCACAATGCCTTGGCAGCCTAAGCCCTTCCTGCCCTACTACTAACCTGCTGGCAGTTCCGAATCCACCTCTGCACGCTCTCAGATTCTGTCCTTACCTGTCCACCCCGTTCCCATCACTCCAAGACCAGGCCCTTTGTTCCTCCTGCAGTGGCCTCCTGGTTAGCCACCCCTTCTGGTTTTTCCTTGCCCTGACTCCTGCTTATACTCCAGCCTTCACTCTCCCAGAGAACTGTGGTCATCCCCGTCCAAATCCCCCATAGGTTTCCAGTGATAACCACCGAAGGACATAATCCCAAACCTGTCATCCAAGACCTCCAGAATTGGCTTCATCCCACGCCACTGCCGTACACATACACTGTGCTGGACTACCCATCTTCCCCAAATGTGCCCCACATTTTCCCAACTCCCAAGTTTTTGTTTATACCAAATGCAAGAGCCAACTGTGCACACAAAATGCTGGCCTCTCTCTCCTCATGAGCCTATCGTCACCTGTGGTCTGCAGACGGGCTTCACCCTTGGCTCAAAGGGCCCTCTCCCTACTGTGGCTGTCCCCAGCACTTGGCCTGTCCTATCTCGCAGGGTCGAGCCTGCAGGGGTGCATCTCTCATGCACATACACGCTGGAAGGCACATCCCACCCATCCTCCCTGATCATGGGCTGGGTCTTCAGCTTCAGGTGCCCCCAGCACTCAGCAAGCAAGTGAGAAATGCGTGGCTTGATAAAATCTGAGGAACATGTCCTTTGGAGAATTACTCTCTTTGTATTTTATCTTACTCTGAAACATCTTTAGTAAAGATAGTATTTGTTTTTAAAGATTAGAAAGAAATTAAAAACGGTAGGCAGCCTGAGTTGCAGTTACATAGAGGTTCACATTTTCGTTATTCAATAGTTGATTTATGCTTTTTTCTGCATGTATTATTATATTTCACTATAACATTGAGAAGATAACAAAACCACTGGAAGAGTAATTTGAAGTAAGAGATGCTCAAATCCTGATCTTCTTGAGACAACTGTCAGAGGAACCTTAAGGCCGGAGGAGGAGTCCAGGCCAGCTCCTCACTTGGGGGACACACGGGAGGCCACTCCAGCAGACTGGTGCACTGCCTTACCCCCGATACCGCACAGCCGGGTACTCCTTCAGGGTGGCACAAAGGGTCGCGATCTGCTCTGCCAGGCGCTCCAGTATAGGATTCTTCATCTGAGCCTTGTGGGGACTGTAGAAGCTTTGGAAAGAGTCAGCAGAGTCCAAGGAATAGACCTGGGGAGGAGAAAAAGTATTAATACATATTGTGAACTATCAGAGTATTCTCTGACCCTGGCAGTGAGTCTACAGAATATGTTCCCGTTTCTTCCACAAATATGTACTGGGTGCCTACCATGTGCCCATGTGCTAAACACTTGGGAACTATTAGTGACCAAAACATCCATGTCCTCAAGGAGTTTGCAATCTAGTAGGAGAAAGCAGACAATAAACATAATGAAAAGTGAATTGTGTGGTCCTGAGAAACTGGCAAGTATATGAGAAAATATCAGAGCAGGGGAGGATGTCCAGGAGGGCTGGACAGGGAGGACACCAGGACTTGCTGAGAAGGTAACATCTGAGCAAGGGCTTGAAGGTGGGATGTTTACAGGGGACTTCCACATGGAGGGAACAGGCAGTGCCAAGGACCTTGGGCGGGTGTGTACCTAGGGTGCCTGGAGAACAGTGACAAGGCCAGGAGGAGAGCAGAAGGGATTAGTGTGAGACTACACTGGAAATTGTAAGCTTAGTTTCAATAAATAAGAGACAAGCCAGATACTGTGCTGTGACTGTGGGCAAATAAAGGAGCTATTTATGGATTTAATAATACCTTATCTTCAGTAGCATGTTCTAAGTATTTGTCTTTTCTTTCTTTCTTTCTTTTTTTTTTTTTGAGATAGAATCTTGCTCTGTTGCCCAGGCTGGGGTGCAGTGGCATGATCTCGGCTCACTGCAGGGTCCGCCTCCCGGGTTCACGCCATTCTCCTGCCTCAGCCTCCCAAGTAGCTGGGACTATAGGTGCCCGCTACCACGCCTGGCTAATTTTTTTGTATTTTTAGTAGAGATGGAGTTTCACCGTGTTAAACAGGATGGTCTCGATCTCCTGACCTCGTGATCCGCCCGTCTTGGCCTCCCAAAGTGCTGGGATTACAGGCGTGAACCATCATGCCTGGCCGTATTTGTCTCTTCTTTTTCTGTTTCTTTTTTTTTTTTTGGAGTATGCTAGAAGTTGAAGATTCTCTCTTAAATGACTGAGTCTTCCAGTTATCAGTATTCTCTTAAATTCTCGTTTATATAAACTACCTTAATCTTAAAAAATGGTATTCGAAAAATAGTTTACTTTCTTAAAATTTCTGAAATATAAGATTGTTCAATATGCTAAAGCTGGATTTTGTTCTATCCAGGTGGGGATGGAACACACAGAAGAAAAAAAAATTCCTTCCCCCAAGCGGGTGACAGGCTTTAGGCCAAGTGAGAAGGAAGCCTGTTTTTAAATGTTCACACTATATATTATGCATCTCTCCTTCTCTAAGAATAGGTCACTCTCTGGTGTCTCGAAGCTGATCTGTAAAGATCCAATATGCCACAATCATCTTTTAGCTCCGTAAAATGCATCAAAGTCCTGTGGTTTTTGTTTCCTTGTCTGGTAAGAGAAGACATTTTAACAACTCTCAAAATACCGAGACAAGTTGTGTCTGTTCTCTCACAATCAGCTTCACCTTTATTTGTTTAATAATTTTGTTTGTTTCCAAGGGAGTGCTTTATGGGCCTGGCATTTGGCACCTGAAGTGTTAACGGCTAATGACGAAGGCTGCCATCTGCTCTCTCAGCACATGACAAGCTGAGGTTATCTCCACGTAAAAAACAGTCTCCTTCGCAGCAGATGGGATGCTTCTGCTCCCCACCCTCGCTCTCCTTCCAAGCTCGTTTCTGATTGGCTACTTAGTGGTTATTCAAGGAGTCGGCCGACAGGAGTGAACACTGAGAGCAAGGATGAAATGCACACAAAGAAAGGCACAAGGCTGAAGCAAAGTCAGAAACAACTGGAGAGTAAGATGAGGGCAGGGGGCAGGCCCTATGGAATACTATTTCCATTCAGTAAACATCCACTTCTAACCTGTCATTTGGCAATTCAGAGCATGGTACCTTCCCTCCTCAACTCTTTAGTAGGTCCCACCCCACCCTCTCAGAATAAGACAGGATGCAGATTTCCTTTGCACCCCCTACTCAGGCTCACCTGGGATTCATACGGGAGAAATGCAATATTGATTTCCGTCAGAGTTTTGATGACTTTGGCTGCTCGGGATTTTACCAGTTCATTAAACAGGGCATCTGGACAAGCTGCAAGTATGACAAAAGACAGTTGGCTTTCCTGTCCATTTGCTGGTTCATTTAACAGCTGCACATGTACAGTGGGCTCTTCATTTTATCAGGATTTTTTTTTTTTTTTGGATGGAGTCTCATTCTGTCACCCAGACTGGAGTGCAATGGCGTGATCTTGCTCACTGCAACCTCTGCCTCCTGGGTTCAAGCAATTCTCCCACCTCAGCCTCCCGAGTAGCTGGGATTATAGGCACCTGCTGTCATATCCAGCTAATTTTTGTATTTTTGTAGAGATGGGGTTTCACCATGTTGACCAGGCTGGTCTCGAACTTCTGATCTCAGGTGATCCACCCGCCTAGGCCTCCCAAAGTGCTGGGATTATAGGCGTGAGCCACCACACCCGGCCAAAATCCTTCTTCTGCTATATCCTTTCCACTTTCTCAGTGGTGAGTGCTGTGGGAGTTTATCCCTAGAGAGAAGATCTCTGGGTGAATTCTTACTGTTTTATACTCTGTAGCTGTCCAGGTCAATTCATCTCCCTCTGCTTCTCCGCTAGGATCTGAGCATAAAATCCTCAAAACATAAGAAAACTAATTCTAGGGTAATGATGCAGATTCTATCTAATACAAAGACTACTGGATTGGAATATCTTTGTAGTTGAAAAATTGATGGAAACATACTACAGCATACAGTGCTAACTGGAAGTCTACATAATGAAATGCCAAGCCTCAGGAAGGTCATTCTCAGCACCAAGCCTGTCAGTCCTGAGAAGAGGTGCTTGTGTGCTATTTTTCAGCAGGAAGGACTGCATGATCTAGTGGGTTTGTATTTGCGTGCACTTATTTTTGTCTCTTATGCAATTTATCTTCTGAAGAGAAACCAGCAGATCGGGACAAGCATGGTAACAACCCATTTCTTCCCTCTTGACCTGCCTTAGTTTTGGCTCAGCCCAGCTGTACAGAAATGCTAACCTGCCTGATGGGACTGGGGACAGCTCTTGGTTGTACTCACAGTCAGTGAAGAAGACGTGTGCAGCCCGGTATTTAGCAGTCGGCGGGTCCTTAAAGTCACTGATGAGAGAGTGGACGGACTGTGGATGGGGGGGAAAAAGAGGGACCTGAATCCAATTCTAGAGCCAAATGGGACCTGTATCTGAACTGAGTTAAATCCAATGGCTTCAAGCCACTTGCACAAAATCAGGGGATTTTTGATGCATAATTCTAACACTCATGTTTGGCCATAACCAAGTCCTGAGGACTTAAAATTAGTACTATTTCAGAGTTTAGATGAACAAAGGCCTTCTTAGCTCATTCTGGAATGACAGTATCAGTTCTTTGGAGCCACTGTAATTAGTTGTTAGGAAGACACCCACAAAAAAGGAAACCCGGCAGAAACCTTCCAGGAGATTCATATTGATGACCTTTTGGCAATTTAATTGCATCTGTAGAAATTCATATGTAAGCCAGTTTTCAAAGTGAAAAAAAAAAGTGTGAAAATTGGAGGAAATTTATATAGACTAAGACACCTAAGGCTGGCATGGTGGCTCACAACTGTAATCCCAACACTTTGGGAGGCCAAGGCAGGTGGATCACTTGAGCTCAGGAGTTTGCCACTAGCCTGGGCAACATAGCAAGATCTCCATCTCTACCAAAAATTAGCTGGGCATGGTGGCATGTGCCTGTAGTCCCAGCTGTTTGGGAGGCTGAGGTGGGAGGATCACTTAAGCCCCGGAGGTCGGGGCTGTAGTGAACTGTGATCACAACACTGCACTCCAGCCTGGGTGATGGAGAGAGACCTGTCTCAAAAAAAAAACAAAAAAAAACAAAAACAAAAACAAACAAACAAAAAACAACAACAACAACCCAAAAAAACAAAAAAGGCTGAGAGTGGTGGCTCATGCTTGTAATCCCAGCACTTTGGGAGACCAAGACAGGTAGATCACTTGAGGTCAGGAGTTCGAGACCAGCCTGGCCAACATGGTGAAACCCTGTCTCTACCAAAAATACAAAAATTAGCTGGGTGTGGCGGGGGGGTGCCTGTAATCCCAGCTACTTGGGAGGCTGAGGCAGGAGAATCTCTTGAACCTGGGAGGCAGAGGTTGCACTGAGCCGAGATCGTGCCACTGCACTCCAGCCTGGGCAACAGAGCTAGACTTCGTCTCAAAAAACAAAACAAAACCAACAAAACAAAACAAAAGAAAACATGCCTAAGACAACTATTACCCAGAAGCAAGGAGTTGGACCTTGTTTGGATAGTGATTTGAAGTAACCTCCAAAATTATAAGACAGGTAAATGTGAACAGTAACTGGATATTGATAAAATAAAATGAAAGCATAAAATACCAAAGTCTGGAGGTGGACTGCTAATTAGACAGAGTGGGTCCTACCTGAAGAGGGAGTGCAAGGGGGAAAACTAGAATGATCCAGGGCCACGGAACACAGGCTCTGGTTTTCTGCACAGCTGCTGTGTTTAAGAACGCTTAATACATTCATCACTTCTCACTGCATAAACACCACCCCCGACCCCACCCCATTGTGGATTGCATGCTTAAACAGAGCAGTGTGTTAAATGCGTGCTTAACCTAGCAATGTCAGACAGTCTGTGCCACATAAATCCCAAGCCAGTCCATCTAACCTTAGCCAGAGTCCTCCTCTGGTGGAAGGTTTACCTTCTCGGATGGAGTGATGAGATACACAGCCTCCAGGCTGGGGAGCGGCTCTCTGCGCTTATTGATATCTTCCACAACTAGACAACAAAACAACCCACAGTGAATAAGAAAACATGATGGGTGACCATAAAACCAGAAGCAATATAGACAGGCTACCTTCAGACTGTTGCAGATAAATATCTACAGTGGGGGACCGGGGGGAATCATTCACTCATTCCTTAAGGTTACCACGTTCCTTGGGAGTGAATTCCATGGTCTCAACATGCCCAAGATGTTAGAATCTGAAATCTGGGCTGGGCATGGTGGCTCATGCCTGTAATCCCAGCACTTTGGGAGGCTGAGGTGGGCACATCACTTGATGTCAGGAGTTCAAGACCAGCCTGGCCAACATGGTGAAACCTCATCTCTACTAAAAAACTACAAAAATTAGCCAGGCATGTTGGAATGTGCCTATAATTCCAGCTACTCAGGAGGCTGAGGTGGGAGAATCGATTGAACCTGGGAGGTGGAAGCTGCAGTAAGCCAAGATAGTACCACTGCACTCCAGCCTGGGTGACAGAGTGAGACTCCATCTCAAAAACAACGACAAAAACAACAACAAAGAAAAATCTGAAATCTTCACACTAGATAGTTCTCACTTCCCATTTCAGTTTAAGTAAATTCATTGATCTGTTCTGAGAGAAAATGGAAAATGATATCTAATTCTGTCAAGAATGGGTCCTTTGCCTCTTCTTCAGCTTTGTCTCATCTGCCCTAGATAATCCCAATTCCTTTGGAATTTCCATGTTGGGTTTATTTATCAACAGCTGGATAGTTTCATTGCTCTCCTCTGCATATCAAATGAGGGCATTCCAACCACATTCTCTATACAATATTGCTTCCTTCAATAGTGCAAAGATTAAATGTTCTATTTGGTTAAAACAAACCATAGGCTTTGGTTTGCTTGTTTCCTCTACAGTTATGTCAGGGACTTCACCTGGAAAGAACAGCTTTTGGGAGAATCTTACCAATCACCCGGTAATGCTTAAAATGTGTTACCTACTGTCCTCTGGCATTGAGAGAGCAAGGCAATTATACAGGTGCCATTCTTTCTATGCAGATCATTTAAGCAGATAAAAGCATCACTTTAGAGGATTGTAACATTTATAAAGACTTGGAATATTTATAAAGACTTTCACCTTAAATAATGTTCAAATTAATACCAAAAATCCCCAAACATCTACTTTACCAGTGGTTATAGATTTGTTTAATTTCATAGGCCACTAATATCTCCCCCCAAAATGTTTCAGAGCTTCAACATAGGGTTGCTAACTTTTAAATTTTGTTAAGTAAGAACACTTTTTCTTTCCTTCTTTCTTTCTTTTTCTTTTTGAGACAGTCTTGCTCTGTCGCCCAGGCTGGAGTGCAGTGGCACAATCTTGGCTCACTGCAACCTCCACCTCCCAGGTTCAAGTGATTCTCCCACCTCAGCCTCCTGAGTAGCTGGGACTACAGGCACGTGCGACCATGCTTGGCTAATTTTTGTATTTTTAGTAGAGACAGGGTTTCACTCTGTTGGACAGGCTGGTCTCAAATTCCTGACCTTGTGAGCCGCCTGCCTCTGCCTCCCAAAGTGCTGGGATTACAGGTGTGAGCCACCATGCCCGGCCATAAGGACATTTTTTAAAAACCACTTTTGGGGGTAGGCAAGAGTCTGTGTATAGTGGAGAGCTCTGAATCCCCATCTCCCACAGGAAGTCAGTTAATAATATCTAATATCACTGAATCAAGAGAAAATAGAACAAGCATTTATGTAGAAAAATAAAAAAGATGTCCAGAATGAAGGGCGAGGTGGCTGCCTCTGGGGTAATAGACCCCGAGGATGGGAGATAGGAGGACAGGAGGTCACTGCTCTTTTCTTAGATCCTTGTTAGCTCCATTTAGTGTTTTTCTCCTTTACTTTTGTGTTTTTTGTCTGTTTTTGCTTTGATAGACGAAAAAAATAGTTTCAAAAATTCAATGAAGAAAATAACATCATAAACTCAAAATAGGGGCAAGCCTAGTCTTAAAACTGACTTGGGGCAGGGCACAGTAGCTCACGTCTGTAATCCCAGCACTTTGGGAAGCCAAGGCGAGCAGATAACTTGGGGCCAGGAGTTCAAGACCAGCTTGGCCAACATGGTGAAACCCTGTCTCTACTAAAAAAAAAAAAAAAGAAAGAAAATAGCCGGGTGTGCTGGCGCCTGCCTGTAATCCCAGCTACTCGGGAGGCTGAGGCACGAGAATTGCCCGAATCCCAGAGGCAGAGTTTGCAGTGAGTCAAGATTGCACCACTATACTCCATCCTGGGCAACAGAGCAAGACTCTGTCTCAAAAACAAACAAACAAAAAACACACTGACTTAGGTCACTAAATGACATAAAAGTCACATAAAAAATTGTGTATGTGTGCCAAGTGCAGTGGCTCACTCCTGTAATCCCACCACTTTGGGAGGCCGAGGCAGGTGGATCACTTGAGGTCAGGAGTTCGAGACCAGCCTAGCCAACATGGTGAAACCCTGTCTCTACTAAAAATACAAAAATTAGCCAGGCGTGATGGCAGGTGCCTGTAATCCCAGCTACTTAGGAGGCTGAGGCAGGATAATCCCTTGAACCCAGGAGGCAGAGGTTGTGGTGAGCTGAGATTGCGCCACTGCCCTCCAGCTTGGGAGACAGCAAGACTCTGTCTCAAACAAACAAACAAACAAAAAAACTGTGTATGCCATTTACAGGACTGTGCTTCTGCTGATAGATATACTGGATCTGTTTTTTAAAAATGAAGGAATCACATCCACGTGCAACCAAAATGAATACAGACACATACATTATACCCTTTAGAAATGTTAACTCAAAATGGATCACAGACCTAAATGTAAAATGCGAAATTATAAAATTCCTAGAGGATTACATAAAAGAAAAGCTAGGTGTCCTTGGATTTGGCAATGACTTTTTAGATATGACACCAAAGTGACAATCCATGAAAACAAGAATTGATAAGCTGGACTTCATTAAAATTAAAAAGTACTGCTCTGTGCAAGATGCCATCAAGAGAATGAAAAGACAAGCCACAGACTGAGGGCAAATATTTCCAAAAGACATATCTGATAAAGAACTGTTATCCAAAATATACAAATATCCCTTAAAATTCAACAATAAGAAAACAAATAACCCAATTAAAAAACGGGCCAAAGACCTTACAGACACTGTACCAAAAAACAATATACAGATGGCAAATAAGCATGTGAAAAGATGCTCCACATCCTAGGTCATCAGGGAAATGCAAATTAAAACAACAATACCATACCACCACACAGCTGGTAGAATGCTCAAAATTCAGAACACTGACAACTCCAAATGCTGGTAAGGATGTGGAGCAACAGGAATTCTCATTCACTACTGCTGGGAATGCAAAATGGTCAGCCACTTTGAAAAATGGTTTGGCAGTATCTTACAAAACTAAGCATACTTACCATGTGATCCAGCAATCCTGCTCCTTATTATTCACCAAAAGTTATAGCACACATTCCAAAGCGTGAATAAAACATAAACATACAAATAACCATAAGGCAAATGTCTAAATAAGCGCTACCCCAGTTAAGAAACGAAACCCAATCAGCACCACAAAAGTGCCCTGGCTCCAGCTCACATTCCCCTCTATCAACACCATTTCCTCTCTTCCCCGCAAACAGAATCATTATCCTCCCTTGAATGGTGAGCTCTTCTCTTGAGGTTTTACCCCTTACATCTGCATTTTAAAACAACACAGCTGAGCTCTGCGGTCTGAACTCTGTGGAATGAAGGCTCACTATCAGTGGTCTTTCGTGTCTTGCTGTCTTTGCTCACCGTTGTTCATCAGATGCATTCATGTTACTGTGAGCGCTCAGGGCTCGCCCATTTTCATCCCTGTAGAGTATTCTACTGTGTAATTGCACGCAACTGATTTAACCATTCTACACTTGATGGACGTTTTGGTTATTTTCCACTTGGGGAACCTATGAGCAACACTGCACATGTATTCCTGCACATGTATCCTGGGCACACATACCTGAGGTTGTCTAGGACACACACCTGACCACAGACTTGCTGGCTCACAGGACATGCATACCTTCAACTTTACTAGACACTGCCAAGTGGTTTTCAAAGGGGCTACACCAGCAGACATTCCATCACGTAGGAGTTTCCATTTTTCTACCTCCTCACCGTCACTTGGCATTATCAGAGATTAAATATTCTAATATTTTGAATCTATATCGGCATCTCACTCTGGTTTGAATTGCATTTCCCTGACCACTAATGACAGTGGACAATTTTCATAGATTGATTGGCCATTTGGATTTCTTCTTTTGTTAAGTGCCTGCTCAGAACTTTTTTCTATTGGGTGGGCTGCCTTTTCTTTCTTGATTTAACCCTTCTTTTGGCATTCCTTTAACAGACATTGAATGAGCATCTAGCCCTGGATTTGGTGCTAGGGATTCAGTGATGAACAAGATAGCCTTGCGCCTCTCAGGAGCTTCTGGTCTTAGCACACAGGTTGCTGGAAGAATCTAAAATCAAAGGAGATAATAATGAATAGGAAAGAGCTAAGCCCGCCACAGAGAGAAGGCTCCAGCACTGCTCAAGTGCAGAGCGCATGCTCACTCGTTATGCCCTCGGTCATGATGTCTGTCATCTTGCAGCAGGAGGACAGCATCCTCATGCTTAACTGATCCACCACCAGCACCTGCAAGGAAAGAGAACAGCGTATGGGCTTCATGGCATCTGCTGTGATTCTCGCTCAGCTTACCGCATCAGACTCCAAAAGGAGCTCCAGAAGTACAGAATACAGAAGAAACCATATTTCCTATGGACCAGAAGCCCACGGGGACACATGCTCACTTGTACCTCCCATACCCTAACCTAACTTTCTAGGAGTTAGAGTTTCCTCTCACTGATGTAATTTTATAAACTTAAAAAAAAATAGTTTTTATTTCCCATGACAAAGTAAATACCCATTTAAAAAAGGAAAAAAAATCAGTCGGGCATGGTGGCTCATGCCTGTAATCCCAACACTTTGGGAGGCTGAGGCGGGTGGATCACTTGAGGTCAGGAGTTCAAGATCAGCCTGGCCAACATGGTGAAACCCCGTCTCTACAAAAATTAGCCAGGTGTGGTGACTCACACCTGTAATCCCAGCTACGTGAGAGGCTGAGGCAGGAGAATGTTTGAACCCAGGAAACGGAGGTCGCAGTGAGCCGAGATCGCGCCATTGTACTCCAGCCTGGGCAACAGCAAGATCCCATCTCATAATAATAATAATAATAATAATAAATAAATAAATAAATAAATAAATAAATAAAGGAAATATCATCTATAGCTCCAACATTCAGACATAATCATATTAGTGAGTACTTTTTCACGGCATGCACTTGTGTTTAAGGGGAGAGTGAACACTAGCGCCTGCACATGTGGTCTGGCATGTGGGGACTTGATGAAAAGCATCATCAGAACTGTGCCACTAACACACATGTCAGCTGGGACATAGTGTACCTTAGTCTAGGCTGGAAGAACAAGAACGTTCCAGTCCTGGCCTAAAAGCTTCAGACCTGCAACTCTTCAGCTAACCTTTCTTATCTTCATTCAGCCCACAGTGGAGAGGAAGCTGGCAGTTAAAACAAGGCTATTTATCCTCTCTTTTTGTAATGCTATAAACTGAGAAGGGGGCAACAGGAGGAAGACACATCAGGGCAGATAGTGTGGATGAGAAAGCTTTCTGCTGCAGTACAGGGGTCAATTAGTTTTTATTATATAAGGCAGCTTCCTCAAGATTAGTTTAAAATTCACATGTCTACAAGCCCGTCACTGATGGGAAGGGTAAGTGAGAAAGGTATGCTAAAGAGGTATGCTAAAGGTATGCGGTGGGGAGGCCCACTGCACGGCCTCCCCTTCTGGGTGGCGAGGACAGATGTGCTGGTTAAAACAAAGGCCCCGGGTGAGACTTCAAAATCCTCCTGTACTAATCAGCTCTGTTGTTCCTAGGCCCAATGCACTTGAAACTGCATGGGCTTTTGACTGCAGGAAACCTTGATGGCAAGAAAGGTTGGTATAAATTCTTCAGCAACATGCAGAAAAAATCAAGTAAAACTGCACACTCTTCTGGCCAGTATAATTCTCAGCCTTAGACAACCAAGCAGTCCTTAAAATGCTGACTTCATGCATAGGGGGCAGCAGGTGCCACTCCTGTACCACCCATTCCAGGAACCCGGCCCACTCTCAGTTTGATTGGCTTAAATACTTGTTTCAAGTACACTATAGTTTCCAGCACTCCTGTCAATGTTACGTGATTAAACGAGCTTACTATTTTTGTCTTATGTAGTTACAGTTCAATGAGGATAGACCAGATGAGGGCTTTGAGCCCAAACTGTACATGGACTCCATGGAGATGCTTTATGGCCACAAAGGGGCAAGAGGGCCTCTTCTTCCTCTCCCAGAGCCAGCAGAATTATACCTTCCTCTGCTTTATCTAACGGGTTCCAGGTAATATTTTGTTTGAACAAAAGAGTTCCACTGCTAACTGCCTGACCAGGTGGTCTTTAAGATAAGCTTTATGACAAACAGAATTCTTAACCAAGACCATATGAAATGTGAGGCAGAGCAGATCACCTTTCTCCAATCCAGGAGCATTCTGTACTCTCTGGACACAGCAAAAGCCCTCATTCCTGCCTACAACTTTCCTCCAACTCCATCCCCTTCTGATTTTTCCATGTGAACTCACCTTAAGCCCATTAACTGTACTTTCTACTCACCTTCCATTCCCCCTTCTTCTTGACCTTCTTTATCACATCATGCATAATCTCTAAAAAAGGAGAAAGAGAGAGAGAGAGAGGAAATTAATGTAATATCAAAGACGTCTACACCTCTCTGTTAGATAAGGTCATTTCCCACCTTAGGCTTTGTGTTTCTGAATCATGCAATTCACCAACTGGTTTACTGAGCCATAACCAACCCACCATAAAAATAGCTCTCAGCCGGGCATGGTGGCTCACACCTGTAATTGGTGCTAGGGATTCAGTGATGAACAAGTTAGCACTTTGGGAGGCTGAGGGGGCAGATCACCTGAGGTCAGGAGTTCGAGACCAGCTTGGCCAACATGGGGAAACCCCATCTATACTAAAAATACAAAAATTAGCCAGGCATGGTGGTGCATGCCTGTAATCCCAGCTACTCGGGAGCTGAGGTTGCAGTGAGCCGAGATCACACCACTGCACTTCAGCCTGGGTGACAAAGCAAGACTCTGTCTCAAAAATTGAAAAAAAAAAAGAAAGTTCTCTTCCTGTCTCCTTAATTCAGTGGTTTTCAAACTTTTTGGTCTCATAACTTCTTTACGCTCTTAATTATTGTATTGGAAACTAAACTGAGAAATTTTTAACAATATTAATTCATTTAAGATAATAAACTCATATGTTACATTAATTGCATTTTAATGAAAAATAAATATATTTGTCATAATAAAACATTTTTAGGGAGACAGCTGGGATTGTTTTACATTTCTGCAACCCTCCTTAATGTCTGGCCTCATAGACATTCTCCTGTCTACTTCTGGCTTCTCCCATCTGCTTCTGCAGCCAGTATGTCCTGAAACATATAACATCTGGGAAACTTCGCTGTGCCCCGTGAGAGAATGAGAATGAAGAGGCAAACCACATCTTGGTCTTAGTATGAAGATAGTTTTGACCTCATGAACCCCCAGAAGGGCTCAGATTTGAGAACCACTGCCTAAAGTTAAGTGGGTAAAGGCTGTGACAATGCCTCAGGCCACATGAGCCCTCCTCAAGCTCTAAAAACAGATGTGAGGAGCAGTTGTGAAATGTTCAAAACCCTGAGCACATCTCCAGAGCACTCTTATCCCCAAATCACCATTTTAATGAGCCCCGTTACCTAGACCACCACACACACACACACACACACACACACACACACACACACACACACACCTGACCAGCTGTGGAGGCTCCATAGGAAAGTCCACTCTTGCTACTCTGTAAACCTGAGTAACACACACCTGGAGCAACTTGAAGGGCAAGAGCTGTTGTCAGCATGTATGGTTCAGACAGTTAGACAATTCTCTAGGGCTCGATGGTTCCTAAATCTGCTTTTGACTATCTTCAGTAATCACTGAATCACAGTAATCACATACACACACACACACACACACACACACACACACACACACACACACACACAGCAGTAAACTTGGAAAACACAGAAAAGTATAAAGGAAAAATTCTGGCCAGGCACAGTGGCTCACACCTGTAATCCCAGCACTTTGGGGGGCCGAGGCGGGTGGATCACCTGAGGTCAGGAGTTCGAGACCAGCCTTACCAATATGGTGAAACCTCATCTCTACTAAAAATACAAAAATTAGTTGGGCATGGTGGTGTGCACCTGTTATACCATCTACTCAGGAGGCTGAGGCAGGAGAATTGCTTGAACCCAGGAGGTGAAGGTTGCAGTGAGCCAAGATTACACCACTGCACTCCAGCCTGGGTGACAGACCCAGAGCCAGACTCCATCTCAAAAAAAAAAGAAAAGAAAAAATTCAATGTATTACTCATGTGCTTAAAAAACAATCAGGCCAGGCACGGTGGCTCATGCCTGTAATCCCAGCACTTTGGGAGGCCAAGGTGGGTGAATCACGAGGTCAGGAGATCGAGACCATCCTGGCCAACATGGTGAAACCCCGTCTCTACTAAAAATACAAAAATTAGCTGGGCATGGTGGTGCATGCCTGTAATCCCAGCCACTTGGGAGGGTGAGGCAGGAGAGTCACTTGAACCAGGGAATCGGAGGTTGCAATAAGCCAAGATCGTGCCACTGCACTCCAGCCTGGTGACAGAGCGAGATTCTGTCTTAAAATAAAAAAGATAACGGCCGGGCGCGGTGGTTCATGCCTGTAATCCCAGCACTTTGGGAGGCCGAGGAGGGTGGATCACGAGGTCAGGAGATTGAGACCATCCTGGTTAACATGGTGAAACCCCGTCTCTACTAAAAATACAAAAAATTAGCTGGGCGTGGTGGCAGGTGCTTGTAGTCTCAGCTACTCAGGAGGCTGAGGCAGGAGAATGGCGTGAACCCGGGAGGCGGAGCTTGCAGTGAGCTGAGATCGTGCCACTGCACTCCAGCCTGGGCGACAGAGCAAGACTCCGTCTCAAAAAAAATAAAAAAAAAAATAAATAAATAAATAAAAAAGATAAAAACAAAACAAAACAAAACAATCAGGCCGGGCGCGGTGGCTCACACCTGTAATCCCAGAACTTTGGGAGGCTGATGGGGGCGGATCACTTAAGGTCAGGAGTTCGAGACCAGCCTGGCCAACATGGTGAAACCCTATCTCAAATAAAAATACAAAAAAATTAGCCAGATGTGGTGATGCGCACCTGTAATCCCAGATACTCAGGAGGCTGAGGCACCAGAATCGCTCGTACCCAGGAGGCAGAGGTTGCAGTGAGCCAAGATCTAGCCACTGCACTCCAGCCTGGATGACAAAGTGAGACTTTGTCTCAAAAAAAAAAAAAAAAAAATCTAAAAGAAAAATTATCTGTAATCATGTCAACTTGAAATGCATAATTAACATTTTAGTTTTATTTCATACTAGCTTTTTCTATGCACTTTTACATAGTTAAGATCATGTTGGCCACGTGCGGTGGCTCATGCCTGTAATCCCAGCACTTTGGGAGGCCAAGGCAGGCAAATCACTTGAGCCCAGGAGTTCGAGACCAGGTTGGACAACATGGTGAAACCCCATCTCTACAAAAAATACAAAAATTAGCCAGTCATGGTGGCATACACCTGTAGTCTTAGCTACTCAGGAGGCTGAGGTAGTGGGACTGCTTCAGTGAGAGGCAAAGTTGCAGTAACCCAAGATCATGCCACTGTACTCCAGCCTGGGTGACAGAGGGAGACTCTGACTCAAAAAAAAAAAAAAATCATGCTGTAGATATATAATTTTATATTATGCTTTTTTCACTTAATGTACTCAACTCACCCATTTTAATAAAAACACTTTCTAGGATTTTAAGGCCTGAATAATTGTTCATGGTCAACAATATTCCCAATAGCCATTTAGATTACTTCGCATGTTTCAGTGTAGTGAAAAACTAGAAACCAATATATCCATAATAGGGCAGTGGTTAACTTAATTAGGTTACATTTGTACAATGGAATACTATGAACCCATTGGAAATAATAATTTGGGAAAATATGTACTCATTCTTTCAGGCTTTCACTCAATAAACATTTGTTGAGTAACCACTACTTGCCAGCCATTGTGCTAAACCCTGCGAATGAACAAGATACTGTGCTGCTCAGCTCCTGTGGAGCTGCTGCTCTAGGGAAGGAGGCGGCCACTAACTGAAAAGAGCAATTGCATCTTCTCATAAGTGCTCCGAATTAAATAAATAAGGTGCTACGATTTTTTAAAAGGGTGTGGGCAGCCTACTTAAATAGGGGGTCAGGCAAGGCCACTCTAAGCAAGTTGGACCTGACGAGGAAGAAGTCAGCCAAGAACTAGGAAAAGGAGAAGGAACAGTACAAAGTCTTGTGGAAAAAGGAAAATGAGATTGACATTTTCTGGGAACTGAAGATGATATACGCTGAGGTTGGAGGCCGGATCATACAGAGCCTCGTGGTCTTTGATAAGGAGTATGATTTTATCTGAAAGGCATTGGAAAGCCATGGAAGGTAAGGATGTAATCTGATGTGCTACAGAGAGACAAGAAGGAGGGGGCAAGAATGGAAGCAGGGGGTGGAGTCAGGAGGCCTTTCCAACAGTCCAGGCATGACAGTGGCAGAGGAGATGGTGAGAAGTGGGCAGATTTGATATACACTATGGAGGTAAAACCAACAGGGCTAGCTGATACACTGGATGTGGCAGAAAAGAAAAGAAACATAACCAACTCCCAGATTTTTGGTTTAAGCCAAGAAATTGATGTAGCATTCAGAGAGTTTGAGAGGAAGGAGAACTGGTCTGTAGAACATCAGGAGTTCTATTTTAGTTGTTTTAAGATTGAGATGGCTAAGACACATTCAAGGGAAGACGCTGAATAGGTAGCTAGAGTTAGCTCTTGGGCTTGGAAGCACAGCCTCAGCTGGAGTGAAACACTGGGGACTTATCAAATAGAGGCAGGAGGGAAGGCTGCAGAAAATGACTCTGACAGGAGCAGTGAGATGGATGGACATGGTCTTTGTGGACCTTGACGAGCGTTTCAGTGAAATAATAAGAATGAAGCCAGACTAAAATGGGAGAGGAGGAAGACAAGACAGACAACAACTCTTAAGAAGTTTTGCTTTGGCCGGGCGTGGTGGCTCACACCTATAATCCCAGCACTTTGGGAGGCCAAGGCGGGTGGATCATGAGGTCAGGAGTTCGAGACCAGCCTGACCAACATGGTGAAACCCTGTCTCTACCAAAAATACAAAAATTAGGTGGCGGGCCTGTAGTCCCAGCTACTCGGGAGGCTGAGGCGGCAGAATCGCTTGAACCCGGGAGGCGGAGGTTGCAGTAAGCCAATTCTCGCCACTGCACTCCAGCCTGGTGACAGAGCAAGACTCTGTCTCAAAAAAAAAAAAAAAAACAAAAAACAAAAATTAGCCGGGCGTGGTGCCGCGTGCCTATAATGCCAACTACTCAGGAGGCTGAGGCAGGAGAATCGCCTGAACCTGCGAGGTGGAGTTTGCAGTGAGCCGAGATCGTGCCACTGCACTCCAGCCTGGGTGACAAAAAAAAAAAAAAAGGAGTTTTGCTTTAAAAGGTAGCAGAGAAAAGGCATAAAAACTAACAGGGTAGATAAAGACATGGATGCAAGGGTAGGATTTGTTTGTTTTTAAAGATGTGAAAGATTATAGCATTTTTAGTGATGCTGGCAATAAGTCAAAAGGGAAGGGGAGAGTGACGATGCAGGAGAGAGGATGGAGTAATGAAAGACTGAGGTCCCTGAGGAAGAGGGAGGAGTTGGAGCTGAGATACAAGAGGAAAGCTTGACCTGGGACAGGAGGCATCCTGTGTGAAGGAGAGGAAAGCCACAGATGGGCTTGGAGACACGGTGGCAGAGGTGAGGGGTTTCCCTGTTGGAGATGAAGTCATTGGCTAAGAGTGGGGAAGGGGTGTTATATATGGAAGCTTTGAAGAAAGAAGGTATCATATATCTTCCCAGAGATTGGGAAAGTCAATTTACTGTGGAAATGTTTTAGCATTTACAGACAGTACTAAGGACTAATTTGATGGTCATGACTGTGAATTTAAAGTTAAACCAGGCAGCTTAGTAATGTTTTTTCCCAATAATGTTCGGCTGTCCAGGTGCAAGAAAGGAAGGCTGGTTTCAACTAAGGTTAGAGTTTTCATATATGAGTACAAACGAGGAAGAAAATGCTCAAAATATATGGCTAAGGGTGAAAAAAGCATGCTACAACTATTTTTAAAGCAGATATGCATAGGAAAATTAGAAAAACTCATACCAAAAGCTTATTTTTGTGCAATAAATTTATAATTAACCTTTACTTGCCAATTTGTGCCTTCCAATGTTGTCCCAAGCTTTCTGCATAAGAAAAATGCTCTCAAAATAATGTGTCAGCGACCATCTTTGTGGCCAGGGCTTTTCTTAGCACAAATTATTCCGTTAGGGTAGCTTTCTGAGTATGGAATAAGTTGGTAAAACATCTAAATGTTCTGGGGTCCTGATAAACTCTGCTGAATTACTTTCCAAAATTATGTCTCCCACCCTCATCAGTACTATGTGGCTCTCCAAATTAACATACTAACTGATAAAATATCTTGAGGTTTACTTATTTTAATCTTTGCCACAATGACAGCAGAAAACAGTATAGTTCACTCTTTATTTGAATGTATTATATTATTGAGGATGAATATATTTTCTTGCCACTAAAAATTAATATAAATTCACTGAAAAAAATTACACTTAAGTTGCCTTTTGATAGGGAAAGGCAGAGATATAATCAAAAGATAAAACCAAGTACTACAAGTGTTAAAAGACACATATAAATTACCACTGCAGCTGCCACCATTCCTAGGAAGTTATTTCCTTTCCAAAGTTCTCAGGGCATATGTTTGTCCTGGGTATTGTTAACAGCCAATTCTAATCCTGCCCTACATTTTTCTAATCCAATACTGAAAAGGAAACAAGGATTAGAGCTCAGTTTAGCATTAAGAATCAAGTAGCTTGGGCTACCTCCTCACAATCCCTGGCAATCTCATTTCATCTCCTTCCTAAGTCCTCTTCATGTGGAGAGAAACAATGAAGACTTCTGAAGTGGGTCCAGCCAGGAGGTCTTACTTCCGCATACCAAACCATGTGTATCTACAGCCAAATGCCTGCTCCACCACCCAGCTAGTCTACGGGGATGTGTTTAAAAGACCGGAGCAGCTTCAGTTCCTCCGTAATACTGAAGACCCTGGTGGACTCTGCTTCCCTCATGGCCAAATGAGTAAGAAAGCAGGTCCCTTCTCAACCACATCCTCTAGGTCCTGGGTGACTCCCAACCTTGGCAAATCTCTGCCATGTCCTGAGAAAAATGGCCGGTGGTCTAAGATGATCTGGGACATCTTCAAATGCACCCAATATTTCAACTGGAGTCCCAAAACACAGGCTCCAGGGATCGCTACAGGGACTGCTCAAGGCTTGCAGCTCCCTATGAAGCCCCACCCTCACAGCCCAGGAGGGACTCACAACTGCCCTCCACAGTGACATATGCCAGATGCCCGATGCCCTGAGCCCAGGGCACATGCAAACACCTGAAGTAGCGTGACTAATATTAGATGAGCCAGAAGCTTAGGAGAAGTGCAACCAAAGTCAACACCACAGGCGATTCCAAGATTCCACACAGTAGCCCCAGAGCACCACACTGCCCAGGACAGAGGCACCAGGATCCACTTTCCCCAGGTTGGGAGAAGTTGCCTTCATGCTGCTGAGGGAACTAAGAGAGTCCAACCTCAGCCCACAACTCCCTGCCTCTTTTTACCAATCCAGAGTACAGGGAATTTCCAGAGTTATTCTGACTCAACAGTAGACGTTCTTCTAAAAGGCATCCTCTTGACTGAACTCCAGGGGTCTGAGGGGGTAATGCTGGCTGCTCAAGCAGAAATCACCCCCAAAAATGCCCAAGGAAGCGCTAAAGTTAGACCAGGGCTGACATCCAGGTTCAGGCATTTGCTGGCTGTGTGACCTTGGGACTTTTTTTTTTTTTTGAGAAGGAGTCTCCCTCTATCGCCCAGGCTGGAGTGCAATGGCGAGATCTTGACTCACTACAACCTCCACCTCCCGGGTTCAAGTGATTCTCCTGCCTCAGCCTCCCTAGTAGCTGGGACTACAGGCACACGCCATCACGCCCAACTAATTTTTGTGTCTTTTGTAGAGACAGGGTTTCACCATGTTGGCCAGGCTGCCTTCGAACTCCTAACCTCAGGTGATCCACCTACCTCAGCCTCCCAAAGTGCTTGGATTAGGTTACAGGCGTGAGCTATCGAGCTACCGTGCCTTGCCAAGTTTAAAACATTTTAAGTTTCAGTTTTCTCATCTGCAAAATTAAAATTATAATACTCTAATAGCCTGTTGTGAAGATTAATGAGATAAAATGCTTACTTAGTCCAGTGACACGTATGAGGCACTCTGCAAAAGGCACCTCTTGTGACATCACTATAAAAGCATATTATTCATACAAAGGAAGAAGAAAATTATGAAATATAACTTCTACCAATCAAGATTTTTAACATAATGTAAAAATCCTCTTAAAAGGAAACAAATGTGGCCGGGCACAGTGGCTCATGCCTGTAATCCCAGCACTTTGGGAGGCTGAGGTGGGTGGATCACTTGAGGTCAGAAGTTTGAGACCAGCCTGGCCAACATGGTGAAACCCCATCTTTACCAAAAATACAAAAATTAGCCAGGCATGGTGGTGGGTGCCTGTAATCCCAGCTACTTGGGAGGCTGAGGCAGGAGAATCGCTTGAACCTGGGAGGCGGAGTTTGCAGTGAGCCAAGATCACGCCACTGCACTCCAGCCTGGGCAGCAGAGTAAGACTCTGCCTCAAGAAAAAAAAAAAAGGAAACAAATGTTTAAAATAGTTTTTAAATAATCATAAAGATATTCAGATAGCAAACTACATGGATATTTCACCAAAAATTTCAAAACTTCTCTGACCTGCGGTAAACATATGAATACATTTTTGGAATAATGGCACTATAGCACCAATGTATACGAATCCTAAATGAAAATATAAAGTTTGACCTGGGCAACATGGCAAAAACCCGTCTCTAGAAAAAATACAAAAATTAGCTGGGTGTGGTAGCTCGCGCCTGTAGTCCCAGCTACTCAGGAGGCTGAGGCAGGAGGATCCCTTTGAGCCTGAAAGGCAGAGACTACAGTGAGCTAAGATGACGCTGCTGTACCACTCTAGCCTGGGCAAGAGTGAGACCCTGTCTCAAACTAAAAAAAAAAAAAAGAAAGAAAGAAAATATAAAGTTGAACATAAGGACCCCCGTCCCCTTCTGAGAGGGCAGAGAGTGGCCCCTGGCTATCTGTGAGTTAATCTGAAGCACAAGCAGAGGCCGATAGAAAGTCAAAGGCATTTTAGTCACAACAGGGCACACAGGTCTGTATTTTAAAATTGTTATTATTTAACATGTATCCAAAAATTCAGTCAGATTAGAAAATAAAATGAGTTACAATATTAGTAATAATGATATATATCTGCAGAAATCAAAATGATTAGCAACATTAAAACATTTAGTAAGGCAGCAGATAAGAAATAAATACATAAAAATCAAGAGGACTTTTTACACAGCAGCAATAACCAGATTGTAGGAAGAGGGCTCACTCTTTACCAGTTTACACTGGGCTGGGACTCGGCCTCCGAAGGTTCAATCTACTGCTGGAAATTCTGCTCTGGAGCAACATGTCTAGGTAGTCTTCCTCTTTCCTGACAGCAAAGACAGCAACCAAGTTTCTCTGAATGTCTCGTGTGGGGCTGAAGGGTCTCCTTGATAAACAACTGCATTTTCCCAGGTGGAATAAGTTAATGTTCAACAAGATTGCAGGAAATGGTACAAATACTTGAAAACAAGCCTTCCAAGTACTCTCAAGTTTCCTTTCTTGGAAATATCATTTATACACACACTATTGGTAACCTAATTATAAACCACTTTAACTTTTTGCCTTTACGTAGTTCTTTTTTTTCGAGACGGAGTTTCACTCTTGTTGCCCAGGCTGGAGCGCAACGGCATGATCTTGGCTCACTGCAACCTCTGCCTCCCCAGTTCAAGCGATTCTCCTGCCTCAGGATCCCGAGTAGCTGGAATTACAGGCATGTGCCACCACCCCCAGCCTATGTAGTTCTTAATAATAAAAAAGTAGCACATTCTTGTAAAAAAAAATCAAACAATAGATTATATAAATACAGGGTGAAATTTCCCTCCTTCCCCCTACTCTTGCGGGGAAAACAGCCACTAACAGTTTCGGGTGTGCCCTTACAGATCCTTTCCTGGGCACATACACCCAGGTGTGGGGAGGTATGCACATGTACACAGCTCTTTGGTTGGGATATTACACGTATACACATTGTTCTGCAATTACATTTTCTACTCAATATATTATAGACTTTCTCTTGTATCATTTCACACAGACCTACCACATGCTTTCAAACTACATAGCATTCCATAGTATGAACATACAATAATTTGCACAAATCTCCTTAAATGTATTCATAAGACAGTCTCTACATGGAGACCTGCTGATTTATTCCAATCAAATTAGTGAGGACTTTATTGTAAACATAAACACTAACACAGGAGGCTAATAAAATTTTTTGATCTATGTCACCTTGTAGCCTGGGGAGGCAAAGTAATTTTCAACTATTCTTCTTTGGGGCTTGAAAACTTTAATATTGGAAAGAACCTCAGAGATCAGCTAAGGCCAGGTTCCAGGTCCCAGGTCTCAGGTCTCAATTTGGGGATTGAGATACTCCCTGCAGAAGACAGCCATCTGGAGTGGGTAAGCCACTAATTGGTCACTCTAGCATGAGCAACTATTCTCTGGACCCCTGTCCGCATGTTCTTCCCACTGCACATGTCGTCTCTCTGGCTCTAGCATGGGCTAGACTCTGACACTGAACCCAGCTGTCCTTTGTTGTGCTACATTGCTATGATCACCTTGACAGAGTAAAGCAAAGGGATTCAAATGGGTTTTGGAGACAGATGGTTAAAGTTCAACTCCCTGCTTCTCCACTCATTAGCTGTGCCTTTGTGCAAGTTATTAAATCTCTGTGTGTCACAGTTTCTCCATCTGTAAAATGGGAAGGACCGCAAATGTCTCATAGGGGTATCGTGAGGATTAAATAAGTGACTGCCTGTACAGCACTTAGCTTAGTGTTTACAACAGTACTTAACCCTGTTGGCTATCACTGGCCCTATTATCACCTATTTTAAATAATATTTTTACGTTCCTAATAAGGAAGAATCTAGTGATTTATTGTTCCTCCATGGGGTTTGTAATATGTCTCCTGTCTTCTAATTTTTTCTCTGCATACATTTTTTCTCATCTATTCCACAATATTTATTGAACAGCTGCTATGTGGCAGACATCCTTCTAGGCATCAGAAAGACCATGATGAGCAAGCTAAACAAAATGCCTACACTCTGGTGTGGAAGGGAGAGACTGCCTATAAACACAAAGAAATAAACACCATCGCCTCGGAGAGTGATCAGTGCCCAAAGGAAATTTAACAGTTTAATGAACTTGCTGGGGGCTTGGAAGAAGGTCCACCATCTGATAATTCCCCTACTGCTAATTTTTTAACCAGTGTCTGATTGAGATATTACAACCTTAGCCAAAATTTTTTCAAAGCTCTTATAAAGAAAAAACTTGGCGGGCACAGTGGCTCACGCCTGTAATCCCAGCACTTTGGGAGGCCGAGGCGGGCAGATCACAAGGTCTGGAGTTCGAGACCAGCCTGGCCAGCGTGGTGAAACCCTTTACTAAAAATACAAAAATTAGCCAGGCATGGTGGTGTGAGCCTGTAGTCCCAGCTACTCGGGAGGCTGAGGCAGGAGAATCACTTGAACCCGGGAGGCGGAGGTTGCAGTAAGCCAAGGTCGTGCCACTGCACTCCAGCCTGGATGACAGAGTGAGACTCCGTCTCAAAAAAAACAAAAACAAAAAAAAAGAAAAAAGAAAAAAAAGAAAAAGTCAGCCGGGCACAGTGGCTCACATCTATAATCCCAGTACTTTGGGAGACTGAGGCGGGCAGGTCACTTGAGGCCAGGAGCTTGAGACCATCCTGGCCAACATGGTGAAACCCCATATCTACTAAAAATACAAAAATTAGCTGGGTTTGGTGGCAGGTGCCTGTAATCCCAGCTACTAGGGAGGCTGAGGCAGGAAAATTGCTTGAACTTGGGAGGCGGAGGTTGCAGCAAGCCAAGATTGCACCACTGCACTCCAATCTGGGCAACAAAGCAAGACTCCTCAAAATAAAGAAAAAACTCAATCGTTAATTTACTCTCAATAACAAAAAAAATGCCCATAATAATAGCAATATCTGAAACATATTGAAGGTTGACTACATGTGAGAGAGTTCCTCATGTGTTTTACATATATCATCTCATTTAAAGCTCCCAGTAGCCCTCAGAGGTCAAGAATTATAGCACCCTCATTTTACAAAGTAAAACACTGACGCTGAGAGAAACAAAGTATCTAGCAATTGCACAATAAAATGCACATAACCACTTGAAGGCAATAGAGGATACAAGCAACATATAAATCAATGTATTTACCTCAAAGAATTTACAGTCCAGTCTGAGAAAGAAGGAATTACACCTTAAGCGCAGTAAGATAAAAAGGCACTGGACCGTCATGCACTGCTGGTGAGAATGTAAAATGGTACAGCTGATGTGGAAAACAGGCCGGCAGCTCCTCAAATAACCAAACATAGAGATCCAGCAACTCCATTCCTAGGTATATATCCTAAAGACATTAAAACGTATGTTGGCTGGGCGTGGTGGCTCATGCCTGTAATCCCATCACTTTGGGAGGCTGAGGCAGGTGGGTCACCTAAGATCAAGAGTTCAAGATCGGCCTGGCCAACATGGTGAAACCCTGTCTCTACTTAAAATACAAACATTAGCCAGGCATGGTGGCAGGCACCTGTAATCCCAGCTACTCGGGAGCCTGAGGCAAGAGAATTGCTTGAACCCAGAGGGCAGAGGTTGCAATGAGCTGACATAGTGCCACTGCACTCCAGCCTGGGCAACAGAGTGAGACCCTGTCTCAAAAAATAATAATAAATAAATTTTAAAAATAAATAAATAACATATGTCTACACAAACACTTGTACATGAATGTTTCTAGCAGCATTATTCATAATAACCAAAAAGTGGAAACAACTCAAACACCCACTGACGGGTGAATGGGTAAGTGCAGTATATCCACACAATGGAGTATTATTCAGTCATTAAAAAGGAGTGAAGTACAATAAATGTTGTAAGACCAAAGAACCTTTAAAACACACTAAGTAAATGAAGGCAGTCATGGCTGTGCGCGGTGGCTCACGCCTGTAATACCAGCACTTTGGGAGGCCAAGGTGGGCGGATCATGAGGTCAGGACATCGAGACCATCCTGGCTAATGCAGTGAAACCCCATCTCCACTAAAAATACAAAAAGTAGCCAGGCGTGGTGGCGGGCGCCTGTAGTCCCAGCTACTCAGGAGGCTGAGGTAGGAGAATGGTGTGAACCTGAGAGGCGGAGCTTGCAGTGAGCTGAGATTGCACCACTGCACTCCAGCCTGGGCGACAGAGAGAGACTCCGTCTCAAAAAAAGGCAGGCAGTCATAAAGGACCACATATTATGTAACGCCATTTAGATGCAATGTCCAGAACAGGTACAGCCATACAAATTGAAAGGAGATTAGTAGTTGCCTACAGCAGGAGAGATGGGGGGTTTAGGGGTTACATATAAGGAATATGGAGTTTCCTTCTGGGGTAATTGAAAGTGTTCTAAAATTGATTGTGATGATGGACACACTGTTCTATGAATAGACTAAAAGCCATTGAATTATACACTTTAAATGGGTGAATGGTATGGTATGTGAATTATATCCCAATAAAGCTGTTTCTAAAATCATTAGAGAATTTTAGATAAAAAATTAAAATTCAAACTCAAAAAACTGGCTGGGCACAATGGCTGTAATCCCAACACTTTAGGAGGCCAAAGTGGGATCGCTTGAAGCCAGGAGTTAGAGACCAGCCTGGGCAACAAAGCAAGACCCTGTCTCTAGAAAAAATTTTTAAAAACAAAAACAAAACAAATGCAGTTATGCTTAATATAAAACTGTTCCATAGTGCCTTCATTTGAAGACAGTAACTCTATCAACTATTAGTTATCTAGAATAATTTACTATAATTTTATATCTAAATTGTATTTGTGGGAAGTGGGAGAGACCAAAATAGAGATCTCAAATTGTCAGCCACAGGGCAAGCACTGGGTATCACTCCCTGTAACTGTTGAATGACAACTAATTAGCCTGGTTATAATCTGAGAACATCTCTATTTAGGTTTGATTTTTGGGTAATGGGTAGTGAGAAAAAAGGGTGAGGGCTAATTGTTTGGAGTTGTCACAAGCTTTAAAACGTGTAGAGATGGGTTAACAATGATTTGATTACATCGGCCTACTGAGCACACCCAAAGATTGCATAAGACTCAAATGTCCAACGCTGTAACATACAAAACCTGGGTTACTGCCAATATCCGAGAGAGTGCCTGATGATAAATGCCTAGTATCCGAGAAACCAAATCCTAACCTCGGGTCCATAAAGATACTGGGTAGGGTTACAGAAATGACTATTTACTTTCTCTTTCAAGAGAGACTCCCATTTTTTATTTTATATCCCTGTTTTATAAGGTTTGGAGCCAAAAAGTGAAGGAGCCAGAAAATCTCTAAGCAAAGACTCATGAACCTTCAAAGTGATTAGTAAAAAAAAATCTCAGCCATGGCCGGGCGCGGTGGCTCATGCCTGTAATCCCAGCACTCTGGGAGGTGGAGGCGGGTGGATCACCTAAGGTCGGGAGTTCAAGACCAGCCTGACCAACATGGAGAAACCCCATCTCTACTAAAAATACAAAAAATTAGCTGAGCGTGGTGGTGGGTGCCTGTAATCCCAGCTACTCGGGAGGCTGAGGCAGGAGAATCACTTGAACCCGGGAGGTGGAGGTTGCGGTGAGCCGAGATCATGCCGTTGCACTACAGCCTGGGTAACAAGAGTGAAACTCTGTCTCAAAAAATAAATAAATAAATAAATAAAAATAACTTCAGCCAGGCGCAGTGGCTCACACCTGTAATCCCTGCACTTTAGGAGGCCGAGGTGGGTAGATCACCCGAGGTCAGGAGCTTGAGACCAGCCTGACCAATATGGTAAAACTCCGTTTCTACTAAAAAAATACAAAATTAGCCAGGCATGGTAGCTCATGCCTGTAATCCCAGCTACTTGGGAGGCTGAGGCAGGAGAATCACCTGAACCCGGGAGGTTCACCTGAACTGCGGGAGAAGTTCAGGTTCAGGTTCACCTGAACCCGGGAGAATCACCTGAACTGCGGAGGTTGCAGTGAGGCGAGATCACACCACTGCACTCTAGCCTGGGCAACAAGAGCGAAACTCCATCTCCAAAAAAAAAAAATCTCAAACCAGGGCTAGTGGAGATGAAAAATAGGAGTTCCTAAGTATATGTTAGAGGCAGCAGTCACCTCCCCTCAGTTCTAAAGGGAAATTATTTCTTCCTTATGTTGCCTGAAACAACGTTCCTTGGATAAAAGGAGCTGTGACGTTACAAAATACACACAAATGGAAAAATCAATCAAAAGTGGAAATCCAATAATTCATATCTTCTTAAAATCAACAGCTTATTGTCATCAACACTATTGAGTTATGTTGATATTTTGAAGCAAAAATACCAAAGAAAGACAAAAATTGTGAAATAGTAACCTTCCAGGGGAGCAAACACTACTCTCACCACATAAAGCTCTGCTACATAAGGACATCTTTAAAAGAAAGGACTGGAAAATGAGGACCATTTTTATACACCACAGTGATACCAGCATTCAGTTATTTGGGAAGCCTGGGCCAGGCACGGTGGCTCACGTCTGTAATCCCAGCACTTTGGGAGGCCAAAGCGGGCAGATCACTTGAGGTCAGGAGTTCAAGAACAGCCTGGCCAACATGGTGAAACCCCATCTCTACTAAAAATACAAAAAATTAGCTGGGTGTGGTGATGCACGCCTGTAGCCCTAGCTAATGGGGAGGCTGAGACAGGAGAATCACTTTAACCCAGGAGGCGGAGGTTGCAGTGAGCCGAGATCGTGCCATTGCACTCCAGCCTGGGCAACAGAGTGAGACTTCATCTCCAAAAAAAAAAAAAAAAAAAAAAAAAAAGATACATGACTACAGCTGACCAGGAAAAAAAAAGATAGAAAAGACATTGCCCTTATACATTACCAACAGCAGCAGTCCTCATCTGTTAATGCCCACTTGGCCTGTCAACCTGTATCTGTGTCTGTTTTATTGTTTGTTTGTTTGTTTGTTTGTTTGTTTTGAGACGGAGTCTCACTCTGTCGCCCAGGCTGGAGTGCAGTGGCACCATCTCGGCTCACTGTAACCTCCGCCTCCCAGGTTCAAGCAATTCTCCTGTCTCAGCCTCCCAAGTAACTGGGATTACAGGCGCCTGCCACCATGCCCAGCTAATTTCTGTATCTTTAGTAGAGACGGAGTTTCACCATATTGGTCATACTGGTCTCAAACTCCTGACCTCAGGTGATCCACCCGCCTCGGCCTCCCAAAGTACTGGGACTACAGGCATGAGCCACCCGCCCAGCCACATCTGTGTCTCCGAAAAAAGCTTGTGCTCCTACTACAGACTCTGCGATGGCTGCAGGAATTCCTCCTTCAACTGCAGAAACCCAGAATATGTATCTTGATCTTGGCAGGAACCCAAGATGTGGCTAGCATCTTAAATTGGTAGATGCAGCATTTAATGGCTCCAAATCACATCTCTTGGCTTGAATGGGAGTTTCCCTAAGGACTTAAAGATGAGTCTAAAACTAAAGAGAGAGGAAAAGAATGGAGTGTTTCATACAATCCCAGAAACCCAGCAGCAGACAGGAGACATAAGATCACCTAGTCCAGTGGGGCCGGGCACAGTGGCTCACGCCTGTAATCGCAGCACTTTGGGAGGCTGAGGTGGGTGGATCACCTGAGGTCAGGAGTTCGAGACCAGCCTGGCCAACATGGTGAAACCCTGTCTCTACTAAAAATACAAAAAATTAGCCGGGCATGGTAGTATTTGCCTGTAATCTCAGCTGCTCAGAAGGCTGAGGCAGAAGAATCGCTTGAACCAGGGAGGTGGAGGTTGCAGTGAGCTGAGGTCACGCCATTGCACTCCAGCCTGCCTGGGCAACTAGAGCAGAACTCCATCTCAAAAAAAAAAAAAAAAAAAGATCACCTAGTCCAGTGGTTCTCAACAGGGAGTGATTTTGCGCCCCCAAGAGGAAGGTCAGCATTGTCTGGATACATTTTTTATTGTCACGACTAGGGGATGATATGGGAATCTACAAGTAGAGGTCAGGAATGCTGCTAAACATCCCACAAGGCACAAGCTCATCTGGCCCAAAATGTCAATAGTGCCAACACTGAGAAATTCTGATGCAGTCTATCTTATAAAGAAACTGAATCCAGGAGAGATCACATGATTTATCCATGACCATGGTGGTGACAGTCATCCTATTCTTTTCTTTTTTGAAATGAGTCTCACCATGTTGCCCAGGCTGGCCTCAAATACCTGGGCTCAAGCAATCCTCCTGCTTCAGCCTCCTGAGTAGCTGGGACTACAGGTGCATGTCACCAAGTTCAGCTCTGTCTTATTTTCAAGTCCAAGATTCTGACCAGCCCAATCTGTTCTGCTCTAAGATTTAGCCTGCTTCAGGTCTACAGATCTGAGATATTAGGAAATGTTTAGTCCCACACAACATGACAAGGCCATAAGCTCACGCTCCCTCTGGAACCCTCAATTCAGCCATGCTATTGATGTCAAACCCACATAAGACAAAAGCCCCAGGGAAGCTTCCAGAAGGCAGGAAATGCCCCACCCACCCATCCACACACACAAAGGGCCAGTGTTAAGAGGGCTTCCTTTCCCCAACCTGTGGAACTGGCTACAGTAAGATACCAGGAAAAGAAAACATCCTTTTGGGGTTGGGGCCAAAGATCGAGCACGGGAAGGAGGTGGAGCTCCAGGAAGAGAAGACGCGAAAAATCCAAAAGAAACACGGGGAGCACTAATGCTCATGAATATGCAGGCTGCGTGATTTCTCAAGCAATTTCCATATTTTATAGCGAAGATTCTGCTTCTTATGGTGTAAAATTGGTTTATTCATTCTGCAATGCCATGATTTGCTGTTTTTGAATTCCCCTGCTAGGCCATTTTCCACCTCATTCTGTTATCTCACATTACATCACATTTGAGCTCTTGGTTGATCATTTTATGTTAGAATGATAAATGGTTTTCTCTGTGCTGGTCTTCTTTACCTAAATGCTACACTTGTCTTTTCCCGTCATAAAACGTTTACAAAGTTTCCACATGGATCTTTCTTCTTCTTTTCCACTGAAATCATCTAGACCAGAGGCTGTTCTCTCAGATCATCTGTCTACTTGTATCAAAATCACAGGCGGGGCAGTCTCTGACTCCCTTCCCTGTGCCCCTAAGGCATGATTTGAATATTCCCCTCGTGCGTTGGGATGAAGGTCTGTGCTGCCTGCCTTCCGCCAGGCACTGAGTGGGTAGTGGAGAAATGACTGAAGCTTGTCTCTCCACACTGTGTAATTTAGTTAAAAGTTCTATACCAAAGATTGCTCCGGTGAGGATGCCTCCCGGGGTCCCCGAGGGTAAGGATGCCTCCTGGGGTCCAGGAGGGTGAGGATGCCTCCTGGGGTCCGCAAGGGTCAGGATGCCTCCCGGGGTCCGGGCAGGTGAGGATGTCTCCTGGGTCCGGGAGGGTTTATCCAGTCAGAAGGCATGACCTTAGCCTCACCTGATTTCCTGCTTCAAAGTGAGCTGAGGGCTAGTTCAGTATTAAATTCCTGGATTTGTGGTGTTCCAAAACTCTTTCTCTTAGGAGACTCTATTTCCTCTCAGTGAGAAAGAAAAACAAGTGGCCAAAAGAGCCAGAGGCTCTGCTGTGTTAAGAAACTCAGGGCTGGGCGCAGTGGCTCATGCCTGTAATCCCAGCACTTTGGGAGGCCAAGGCAGGCAGATCACCTGAGGTCGAGAGTTCAAGACTAGCCTGACCAACATGGAGAAACCCCGTCTCTACTAAAAATACAAAAATTAGCCATGCATGGTGGCTTATGCCTGTAATCCCAGCTACTCACGAGGCTGAGGCAGGAGAATCGCTTGAACCCGGAAGGCGGAGGTTGCAGTGAGCCAAGACTGCACCATTGCACTCCAGCATGGGCAACAAGAACGAAACTCCGTCTCAAAAAAGAAAGAAACTCGGGCGTGGTGGTCCCCAGTCTCTGGCTGGTGGCTACTCCCCTCCTTCCTTCCTGGAATGCAGTTATTACAAATGATAAAGTTGTGTTTTTACATTCTGAGTCTGTCGCCTTATTTTCTACAATAGATGCGTTGTAACTGACTTAGTAGGCCCATGAAAGCGGAATCCTTATCTGGTGGTAGGGAGCAGTGAAAACCAACCAAATGTACACAGCAGAATCCTCAAAAGTTTCAGGAACTGGCAGCACCAGCTGCCTCTGGAACTTAAAAGAATAGGAGGGGTGGCTGGGCGCAGTGGCTCAAGCCTGTAATCCCAGCACTTTGGGAAGCCTAGGCGGGCGGATCACGAGGTCAGGAGATCGAGACCAACCTGGCTAACACAGTGAAACCCTGTCTCTACTAAAAATACAAAAGAATTAGCTGGGCATGGTGGTGGGCGCCTGTAGTCCCAGCTAGTCGGGAGGCTGAGGCAGGAGAATGGCGTGAACCTGGGAGGCGGAGCTTGCAGTGAGTTGAGATCATGCTACTGTGCTCCAGCCTGGGCAACAGATCAAGACTCTGTCTCAAAAAAAAAAAAAAAAAAAAGAATAAGAGGGGCATAAAGCTTGTTGAGAACCCACTGTCAGCTCATCTCATCCAGTCAGTTCCCAGAATTCTGGTAGCCAGACCTTTATCTCCCAGACAGCAGACAAAAGAAGACCTTTCTGGGGAATCAGAGACCAAGAAGAAAAATCTAAATATGCTGACACCGGGAGTTCCCCAACAAACAGCCTATCCAGGTCAGGCCCATCCACAGGGTGAGAGCTCCCAATCAGTTTGTTTTTGTTTTTGTATTGAGACAGGGTCTCACTCTGTTGCCCAAGCTGGAGTGCAGTGTTGTGATCTCAGCTCACTGCAACCTCTGCCTCCTGGGTTCAAGCTATTTTCACGCCTCAGCCTCCCGAGTAGCTGGGATTACAGGTGCCCACCACCACACCCAGCTAATTTTTTGTATTTTTAGTAGAGACAGGGTTTCAACATGTTGACCAGGCTGGTCTTGAACTCCTGGCCTCAGATGATCAGCCCACTTTGGCCTCCCAAAGCACTGGGATTACAGGTGTGAGCCACCGCACCTGGCCTCGTGACTTTTTTTAAGGGATCTTCTTGCTAGTCAATTAGTGATTATTGAGGAATGAGCCAGAGTCACCCCCCAGGGTAATCCACCCTAAGATTATCTAAGGGAAAGCAAACTGAAAAACATTCTGAGTAGTCAAGTAATAGCCTCATCCTAAAATCCTGAAGCAGCACTTTGACCCCCAATACAAGGAGGTCTGCAGATTAAGTGATTTTTAAGGGCTATGCCTCACTGTAGTCTATTGTTTAAAGCCTGTAGTGTGAAATTCTCCCAGAGCGAAGGGTGACTCTTGCTTACCACCAGTGTTTTGTTTTCTTCAAGTCCTTAGCAAATAGAACCATCAATACCAATGTGTCCAGAGACTGGGCAGGGGGCTCCTCTCCAATGCTATCCTGACCACACCAATGCTCAGAAGAAACTGACAGAAGAGATAAGTGGGGTTTGGTTCACCTTGTCGTACCCAGTATGGGGGCTCCAAAAACAGTTTAAGCCTAAATTTTCTTCCTTTTTCCTCCCTTCACTGCCAAAATGAAGCAGCTTTGTTCCTACTGCCATAAAGGAGGCTCACGAGGCTCAACTGCGACTGGATTAGAACCAACTAGAGTCCAGAGCCACAGCCTTTCTGCCTCCACACACTCTTCATGGTTTATACTTGCCATTGTGACTCTACACTGGTGTGGAACATGAAGATAATACTGTATCCCCAGCAGCCACAGAGAAGAAAAAAATTGGCCAATGTGATCAAGCTAATAGACTAGCACAATCTGACTTCCTACTCTGGGTCACGGTCTGGACTAGATTCTTCTAAGATCCTTTCCAGAGCCAAGATTCTACAATTTGATGCCATCTTTTTTTTTTTTTGAAATGATGTATGAGTCCATTCTCATGCTGCTATGAAGAAATACCTGAGACTGGGTAACTGACAAAGAAAAGAGGTTTCATTGACTCACAGTTCCGCATGGCTGGGGAGGCCTCAGGAAACTTACAATCGTGGCAGAAGACACCTCTTCACAGGGCAGCAGGAGAGAGAATGAGTGCCAGCAGGAAAAATGCAAGACGCTTATAAAACCTTTGGACTCATTCATTATCTGAGAATAGTATGAGGGAAACTGCCCCCATGATTCAATTACCTCTACCTGGTCTTGTCCTTGACATGTAGGGATTAGGCGGATTACAATTCAAGATGAGATTTGGGTGGGGACACAGAACAAAACCACAGCAGACAGGGTCTTGCTCTGCACCCCAAGATGGAGTGCAGTGGTGTGTCATGGCTCACTGCAACCTTGACCTCCTTGGCTCAAGTGATCCTCCCAGTTTAGCCTCCTGAGTAGCTGGGACTACAGGCGTGTGCCACCATGTCTGGCTAGTTTTCGTACTTTATTTATTTATTTATTTATTGGTAGAGACAGGGTCTCGCCACATTGCTCAGGCTGGTCTTGAACTCCTGGGCTCAAGCGATCCACCCACCTCGGCCTCCCAATGTGCTGGGATTACAGGCATAAGCCACCACACTCAGCCAATCTGATGCCATTTTAACACAGCATAAAGCCCAAATGCTCAGAGTTTTGCACGTCGACTAACTATAACCATTTCCTCATTTCCTCCTTAAAACAATCCTGAGCAAGGAAGTTAACACAGGCAAGTGTTGTCTAAAACACAGGGGCAACACCACAGACAGGCAAACTCCTGAGAAGTTTCCAGCGGCCAAGCCTCCCAGCCTAGAGAGTGGGGGCTGTTCCTAAACTGGAGCCTCCTGGTGGCTGGCTCAGCTTGCACTGGCTCAGTTTGAGGTTGGGTCCCATGAGTCACAAAATCATAAGACACTGCTGTGAGCCTCACCTTTCCCCTCCGACACTCAGGCCTGCTGGCTGCTCTCCCTGGGCCTGTCCTGTAAATGCCAGTGTCCCACGGGGTGAGATCCCAGCCCTCTTCTCCCACTCTCCTGTGCATCTGACCTGCCCACACTCTGGCACCGGGTGACTGCCAATCTCAAGCATGTCTGCCTGCTCCCATTAGCATCCCCCGCAGGTGGTCCACAGGACCTGAAGCCTGTGCCTACAAAACCTCATCTTCCCCCACAAACCTGTCTCTTCTCCGCCTTTCATCTCTCAATGCACAGCATGACCTTCCAACTGGCCGCCCGAGCCAGAAAACTGGGATTCATTTCTGACTCTTCCTCTCCTCTTCCTGCACAGCCATCACCATGACCTGACCCTTCTGCATCCTAAGATGCCTTCAAGTTGGGGTCCCCCTCCCAACACTGCTGCTCTCTCCCTGGCATAAATCACCATCCTCGCCATCACATCCCCAGCTAGGACCAGCACCACAGCCTCTTCCCTCCCACTGCCTCCCGCCCACTCTCCACACAGCAACCAGATAGCATTTTGAACTCAATTCTAACCATGCCTCTCCCCAACTCAAAACCTTCAGTAGCTTCCCACAGCTGCTGGAATAGAGAGATAAACGACCTTACCAAGGCTAAGCAGGCCCTGGCAACTCTCCGACTGCTCTCCACACACTCCCCACAGCTCCAGCCAGCCACAGCCTTTCTCATTTTCTTGCCAAGCTTAGACCTTCCTCTCCCCCAGGCCCCACGGACCCCATCTCCTGCCTGGCTAATTCCTCATCCTGCAGGTCTCACTCTGCCCCGCTCATGCCCAGGCCTTCCTGGGGGCTTCCCACATGCTTCAGCATTACCTATATTGCCCTGTCAGGGCACATTCCTGCTGCGTCACCACTGTCTGTCTAAATCCCACAAGGACCCGGTCTACTTACACACTACTATCTCTGCTGCCCATGCAGCACAGCTCCTGGCATGTAGAGACAGCGCAAATATTGGTTGGATGAATGAAAACACTTGGTCCCAGACCCTGCTGAGCCATGCTGAAATGAACACAGACTATAATTTATGGTCCTGGAGTTCTCTAACATCTCAGAAGGACACCAAATAAGGGGTGGCTACTGGAGACTCAGATTCAAATCTGCATGAATTTGAATTCACACATCCAGGCTCCAAAGATTTTTTTTTAATTTTGTTTGTTTTTCTCCACTTTTCTTTATCTCCCTCTAAATTTTTTTCTTTCCAAGAATAAAACAGGTTTTCCTACTGTAATAAATACTTAATATCTCATTCACTTCCAATAAGGTTTGCTCGTAGACTAAATAATTAGTAGACATCAGTGAAAGGTAGAGGTTGGGTGTAGTGGCTAACACCTATAATCCCAGCACTTTGGGGGGCCAAAGCGGGAGGACCATATGAGATCAGGAGTTTGAGACCAGCCTGGCCAACATAGTGAAATCCCGTCGTGACTGAAAATACGAAAATTAGCCAGGCGTTTCACTGCACGTTCAATAAGCCCTTTTTGGATACTAGGTGGCAGGCACCTGTAATCCCAGCTACTCAGAAGGCTGAGGCAGGAAAATCACTTGCACCCCGACCCCAAAGGCGGAGGTTACAGTGAGCCAGGATTGCTCCACTGCATTGCAGCCTGGGTGACAGAGCAAGACTCTATCTCACAAGAAAAAAATAAATAAATAAAATAAAGTGACAGATAGAGATGGGTGGATGTTGAAAAGAAAAAAGTTAAAGATCAGGGCAGGTGCTGTGGCACGTGCCTATAATCCCAGCACTTTGAGAGGCTGAGGTGGGAATGCTGCTTGAGCTTGGAAGTTCAAGATCATCCTGGGTGACATGGTGAAACCCCATCTATACAAAAAATACACAAATACAAAAAAAAAAGAAAAGAAAAGAAAAGAAAAATCTGCCAGGCATGGTGATGCATGCCTGTAGTCCCAACTACTTGGGAGGCTGAGGTGGGAGCATGGCTTGAGCCTGGGAGGTTGAGGCTGCAGTGAGCCAAGGTTATGCTACTGCACTCCAGCCTGAGCAACAGAGTGAGACTCCATCTCAAAAAAAAACAAACAAAAAAACAAAAACAAACAAACAAACAAAAAACCAAAAAAGGTCAGGCACGGTGGCTCTCATGCCTGTGATCTCAGCACTTTGGGAAGCCAAGGTGGGTAGACTGCTTGAGCCCAAGAGTCCAAAACCAGCCTGGACAACATGTATTTTCTCTACAGAAAATACAAAAATCAGCCAGGTGTGGTTGCACACACCTGTAGTCCCAGCTGGAATCGCTTGAGCCCAGGAGATCAAAGCTGCAGTGAGCTGTGATTGTGCCACTCTACTCCAGCCTGGGAGACAGAGCCAGACCCTATCTCCCACCACCACCCCTCCCTCCAAAACAAATAAAAAAGAAAAAAGACATGGAAAAAGGTAAGTAAACCTCATACTTGCTGAAAGGAAAACAGAGTCTCAGTCACCTCACTCTAACTTTAGCTCTTGCAACAGCCTCGCAGAGAAGCAACTAATTGAGGCAATTAAAGAGGATCATACTGGGGATTCCCAAAGCACTTCCTGTACAGGCGAGCACAGGACCAGGACTCAAAATTTATGGCTGTTACATTGCCAGTGATAACTATAAAATTTGGCCTGACCACTCCACTAAAGATATTTCATTAGCTTTCAAGCACCTGTTTGTCTCAGAGGTGCTGTGCGCCAAAAAAGCCAGAGGGAAAACCTTTCACTGCACGTTCAATAAGCCCTTCTTGGATACTAGAGGCAGATACGTGCTCTCTTACATTTGATGATGATGCCTGAGTCCCAAACCACCTCTTAGGGAAATTTTGCCACAATTTAAACTACTTATCACCAGTTATGAGAGTGACATCCACTTCAAAACAAAGGACTATATTTAGAAGTAAATGGCAATAGCCAGGCACGGTGGCACACAAATATAGTCCCAGCTACTCAGGGGGCTTGAGCCCAGAAGGTCAAGGCTGCAGTGAGCTATGGATCATGCCACTGTACTCCAGCCTGGGTGACAGACTGAGACCTTGTCTCTAAAATAACAAAATAATAATTTTTTAAAAAAAGAAATGGCAAAAATATTGGATATTAAAAACTATGAAGCAGGACTGAGCGCAGCGGCTCACACCTGTAATCCCAGCACTTTGGGAGACCGAGGCGGGTGGATCACTTGAGGTCAGGAGTTCGAGACTAGCCTGACCAACATGGTGAAACCCCGTCTCTACTAAAAATATAAAAGTTAGCCAGGCATGGTGGTGCATGCCTGCAATCCCAGCTACTCGGGAGGCTGAGGCAAAAGAATTGCTTGAACCCGGAAGATGGATTTGCAGTGAGCTAAGATCATGCCACTGCACTCCAACCTGGGCAACAGAGAGAGACTCTGTCTGAAAAATAAATAAATAAAAATAAAAATAAAAACTATGGAGCAGGGGAAAAAAACCTATGGGATTCAACCAAAGCTGTACTCAGATGAAAATTCATATCCTTAGATGCTTTTAGTAGAAAACAAAGAAAAATTAATAAATTATCCCAGCATTTTATTCAATAAATTAGAATAGCTACACACAATATAGAAGAAACTGATTTTGGTGGGGTGCGGTGGCTAATGTTTGTAATCCCAGCACTTTGGGAAGCTGAGGCAGGCGGATCACGAGGTCAGGAGATCGAGACTATCCTGGCTAACATGATGAAACCCCATCTCTACTAAAAATACAAAAAATTAGCCGGGTGTCGTGGCACGTGCCTATAGTCCCAGCTGCTTGGGAGGCTGAAGCAGGAGAATCGCTTGAACCTGGGAGGCAGCGGTTGCAGTGAGCCAAGACTGTGCCATTGCATTCTAGCCTGGGAGACAGAGCGAGGCTCTGTCTCAAAAAATAAAAAAGTGATTTTTTTTTAAAGGAAAGTAAAATAAGTAAGTTTCCAGCAAGTATTTCCATGAAAATAATACACAAACAGGATAGAATGAGAAAGGGGATCACAACTACAGTTGTAGAATGTATATTTTTTTGTTTGTTTGTTTTGGTTGGTTGGTTTGTTTTTTTGAGACAGAATCTCGCTCTGTCACCCAGGCTGGAGTGTAGTGGCGCGATCTCAGCCCACTGCAACCTCCGCCTCCCAGGTTCAAGCGATTCTCCTGCCTCAGCCTCCCGAGTAGCTGGGATTACAGGCGCTCACCACCATGTCGGGCTAATTTTTGTATTTTTAATAGAGACGGGGTTTCACCATGTTGGTCAGGCTGGTCTCAAACTCCTGACCTCGTGATCTGCCCACCTCAGCCTCCCAAAGTGCTGAGATTACAGGTGTGAGCCACCGTGTCTGGCCTATGTCTTTTTAGATAATTCATTTAAAATTTAAAAATCACTATTGTTGAGTGGTCCGATTGTGTCTTCGTTTCCAGTTTATTAATTAAAAGTGTCATACTTTTAGAACTTCTATTTTTTAAAAGGATTCTAATATAGCTTGCTCATCCTGGGAATGTCCCCATTCTTCAAGATCTGGTTAATACTGTTTTTCCCAACAAGATATTTTTCTCTTTCCTATCTGGAATAGAAATTTCTCCTTTAGGCCAGCTGCAGTGGCTCACGCCTGTAATCCCAGCACTTCGGGAGGCCGAGGCAGGCGGATCATCTGAGGTCAGGAGTTTGAGTCCAGCCTGGCCAACATGGGGAAACCCTGTCTCTACTAAAAATACAAAAATAAGCCGGGCATGGTGACACGTGCCTGTAATCCCAGGTACTCGGGAGGCTGAGGCAGAAGAATTGCTTGAACCTGGGAGGCGGAGGTTGCAGTGAGCCGAGATCATGCTACTGCACTCCAGCCTGGGTGATAGAGCAAGACTCTGTCTCAAAAAAAATATCAAATCAAATCAAATAAATTTCTCCTTTCACTCTTTAGACGCCATTCAGTTTTTTTTTGTTGTTGTTGTTATTGTTGAGGCGGAGTCTCGCTCGCTGCCCAGGCTGGAGTGCAGTGGCGTGATCTCGACTCACTGCAAGCTCTGCCTCCCGGGTTCCCGCCATTCTCCTGCCTCAGCCTCCCAAGTAGCTGGGACTACAGGTGCCCACGACCACGCCTGGCTAATTTTGTTTTGTATTTTTAGTAGAGACGGGGTTTCACCGTGTTAGCCAGGATGGTCTCAATCTCCTGACCTCGTGATCTGCCCGCATCCGCCTCCCAAAGTGCTGGGATTACAGATGTGAGCCACTGCACCCGGCCTCAGTTCTTTATTATGGCACTTTCTGCATTCTGCATTAGGTTATAGGGGTTTTTTTTGGTTTTTGTGTTTTTTTGAGACAAAGTCTTGCTCTGTTGCCCAGGCTAGAGTGCAGTGGTGCGATCTCAGCTCACTGCAACCTCTGCCTCCCGGGTTCAAGCAATTCTCGTGTCTCAGCCACCCAAGTAGCTGGGATTACAGGCATGTGCCACCATGCCCTGCAAATTTTTGTATTTTTAGTAGAGATGGGGTTTTGCCATGTTGGCCAGGCTGGTCTTGAACTCCTGACCTCAAGTGATCCACTCGCCTTGGCCTCCCAAAGTACTGGGATTACAAGCATGAGCCACCATGCCCGGCCTGTTATAGTTATTTGTTAAAAGTTTGTGTGTGTGTGTGTGTGCACGCGTGTGTGTGTGACAGCGTCTTGCTCTGTCGCCCAGGCTGGAGTACAGTGGCACAACCTAGGCTCAAGCAACCTCCACTTCCCAGGCTCAAGCAATCCTCCCACCTCAGCCTCCCAAGTAGCTGGGACCACAGGTGTGCACCAACATGCCTGGCTAATATATATATATATATATATATATATATATATATATATATATATATATTATTTTTTTTTTTTCCGTACAGATGGGGTTTTGCCATGTTGCCCAGGCTGGTCTCAAACTCCTAGACTCAAAACAGTCGCCCACACTGGCCTCCCAAAGTGCTGGGATTACAGGCGTGAGCTACCACACCTGGTCAAAAGTTTTGCTTCCTTGTTAAATAATACGTCATAAGTTCTTTGAAGGCAGGGACTGTGTCCTCTTTCTTTTGCCATTCCCCATAGTGCCTAGAATAGTTATAGATGGCAGGCAGGCAACAAATAGCTCTGTGGAATTAAATTGCATATGTATGGCATCTTCTCAGGTCCCAGACTGTTACAGGTCTTTCCCAAATTTCTCAACATTATGTATTCTTGAACCCAAAGTTGATATCCTGATGGTACACATCAGTTTGGCTGATACTAAAATAGTGGAAGTCTTCCATACGGGTTGGTATGTAGTTGCTGCCTTGAGCCCCTCATCTCCCTGCTGTGGGGTCCTTTTTCCTGGGACCTGTTGGCTATTCCCATAACTCAGCAGCCAAGAAAGCAATGCTGGCACAACCCAAGTCACCAAGGTTTTACTCCTGTGTAACAGCAACATCTGTTTGGATGAGTATTTTGTATTTTAAAGTCACTTTTGCCTTTAGTTTAGTTTTTTGTTTGTTGTTGTTTTGTTTTGTTTTTGAGACAGTCTTGCTCTGTCACTCAGGCTGGACTGCAGTGGTGCAATCTTGACTCCATGCAACCTCTGCCTCCCGGCTTCAAGTGACTCTCCTACCTCAGCCTCCCGAGTAGCTGGGACTACAGCCACGTGCCACCATGCCCAGCTAATTTTTGTATTTTTAGTAGAGACAGAGTTTCACCATGGTGGCCCGGATGGTCTCCATCTCCTGACCTCAGATGATCAGCCTGTCTCAGCCTCCCAAAGTGCTCGGATTATAAGCATGAGCCACCGCACTCAGCCTCACCTTTGCTTTTATACCTATTCTACCTTCCTACATTGTTCCTAGGAAAATTGTTTTCTTTTTTCTTCCAAAACCACATTTAGGATATTTTCTTAAGATAATAGGCCAAGCATAGTGTCTCACACCTGTAATCCCAGCAATTTGGGAGGCTGAGGCAGGAGGATCCCTTGAGCCCAGGAGTTTGAGACTAGCCTGGGCAACACAGCGAGAACCCATCTCTAAAAAAAATACAAAAATTGCCAGATGTGGTGGTGTGTGCCTATTGTCCCAGCTGCTTGAGAGGCTGAAATGGGAGGATCACCTGAGCCTAGGAGGTTGAGGCTGCAGTGAGCCATAACTGTGCCACTGTACTCCAGTCTAGGTGACAGAGTGAGACTCTGTCTCAAAAAAAAAAAAAAAAAATCCTAGTAAATCTGTTATCAGATAGGGATGATTTCTTTCCCCCTAAACTGTCTCAGTTGCATGGAGAAACTGTGACATGGACAGGTCACCCACAGAATTGTATTTAACTTTGAAGTAAAACAAATGCTCATATTTAAGCAACCTCCTCCCTGGAGACCCAGGCCATGCAATTAAATATTGAAGTCCTCTGTCTCAATGTAAATGTTTCCAACTGACACTCTTTTAAAAGGACTTCCTTGATGATGTGCATTTAAGCGATACTACAGGGAAAAGTTCAGGACAAATGTGTCAACTGGGCTAATAGCTTACCTTTCAAGTTAGCTTGCTCTCTCTTTTTTTTTTTAAACATCTGAAAGCTTACTATTCAGATGTAATTCACATAAGCTTTGCCATTTTACGTTATTTACTTTTTTGAGACAGGGTCTCGCTCTGTCACTCAGGATGGAGTGCAGTGGCATGATCTTGGCTCCCTGTAGCTGGTCAGAACACTTTCATCACCCGACAAGAAGCCCCGTACCTGCTAGCGATCCCTCCCCATTCTGCCCTCCCCCAGCCCCTGGCAACCACTAATCTACCTTCTGTCTTTGGGTTTGCCAACTCTGAACACTTCATATAAATGGGAGCATCCACTATGTGGCCTTTGTATCTGGCTTCTTTCACTTAGTGTCATGTTTTCTTTCTTTCTTTCTTTTTTTTTCTGAGACCAAGTCTTGCTCTTGTCACCCAGGCTGGAGTGCAATTGCACAACCTTGGCTCACTGCAATCTCCACCTCCTGGGTTCAAGCAATTCTCCTGCCTCAGCCTCCTGAGTAGCTGGGATTACAGGCACCCACCACTGCGCCCAGCTAAGTTTTGTATTTTCAGTAGAGACAGGGTTTCACCATGTTGGCCAGGCTGGTCGAGAACTCCTGACCTCAGGTGATCCACCTGCCTTGGCCTCCCAAAGTGCTCGGATTACAGGCAGGAGCCACCGCGCCCGGCCATCATCGTGTTTTCAAGGTTCATCTGTGTTGTAGCCTATGTGAGTGCTTCATGCCTATGTCAGTGCTTCATTCCTTCTTTTGGCTGAGTAATATTTCATCGTATGAATAGGCCACATTTTGCTCATCTACTAATCACTTGATAGGCATTTGAGTTGTTTGGCTGTTATGAATAATGCTGCTGCGACATTTGTATATGAGTTTGGTGTGGATGTATACTGTCATTTCTTTTGATTATATACACTGGAGTGGTATTGCTGAGTCAGATGGTAACTCTATGTGTAACTTTTTTTTTTTTTTTTTTTTTTTTTGAGATGGAGTTTCGCTCTTGTTGCCCAGGCTGGAGTGCAATGGCACAATCTCTGCTCACTGCAACCTCCAACTCCCAGGTTCAAGCGATTCTCCTGCCTCAGCCTCCCAAGTAACTGAGATTACAGGCATGCACCACCATGCCCGGCTAATATATTGTATTTTTAGTAGAGATAGGGTTTCGCCATGTTGGTCAGGCTGGTCTCAAACTCCTGACCTCACGTGATTTGCCCGCTTCGGCCTCCCAAAGTGCTGGGATTACAGGTGTGGGCCACAGTGCCTGTCCCTCTATGTGTAACTTTTTGAGGCACTGCCAAATAGTTACCTCTTTTTTTTTTTTTTTTTTGAGATGGAGTTTCTCTCTTGTCACCCAGGCTAGAGTGCAATGGCATGATCTCTGCTCACTGCAATCTCCCCCTCCTGGGTTCAAGCAATTCTCCTGCCTCAACCTCCTGAGTAGCTGGGATTACAGGTGTGTGCCACCATGCCTGGCTAATTTTAGTATTATTAGTAGAGACAGGGTTTCACCATGTCGGCCAGGCTGGTCTCGAACTCCTGACCTCAGGTGATCCACCTGCCTCGGCCTCCCAAAGTCCTGGGATTACAGGCATGAGCCACCACGCCCAGCCTAAAGTTACCTTTTTTTTGTTTGTTTGTTTTGAAACAGAGTCTCACTCTGTCTCCCAGGCTGGAGTGCAGTAGGATGATCTTGGCTCACTGCAGCCTTGACTTCCTGGGCTCAAGCAATCCTCCTGAGTAGCTGGGACTACAGATCGGGGACACTATGCCTGGTTAAATTTTTTTTTTTTTTTTTGAGACAGAGTCTCACTCTGTTGCCCAGGCTGGAGTGCAGTGGTACCATCTCAGCTCACTGCAACCTCTGCCTCCCGGGTTCAAGCAATTCTCCTGCCTCAGCCTCCCAAGTAGCTGGAATTACAGATGTGTGCCACCACACCCAGCTAATTTTTGTATTATTAGTAGAGACGGGGTTTCACCATGTCAGCCAGGCTGTTCTCAACTCCTGACCTCAGGTGATCCACCCTCCTCAGCCTCCCAAAGTGCTGGGATTACAGGCGTGAGCCACCGCACCCGGCCGGCTAATTTCTAAATTTTTTGTAGAGACGAGGTCTCACTATATTGCCCAGGCTGGTTTTGAACTCCTGGGCTCAAGTGAATCTCCCACCTTGGCCTCCCAAAGTGCTGGAATTATAGGCGTGAGCCACTGTGCCTGGCCTAAGTTATCTCTTTTTACAAGTCAAATTTCTCCTGTACTTAAGGTCAAGCAGGATTTGCAGTACATTAAATAATTAGTAGAGGGAAAGTGCAAGTTTCAGTGTCTTGTTGGCAGAGTTGTGACTTACCCAGTGTCACCCATGAGTCAGGGGCAGAACCCGGAATAGAATCCGGAGGACCTGTCTGCCACTTGGATCCTGTACATTTTTGGAAAAATTTAGGGAAAAAAGATTTTCAAGTATCAAAAACCAAGGAAGAGAGGTTAAGAATACAGGCTCTAGGTAATCTTAGCACTTTGGGAGGCTGAGACGGGAGGGTCACTTGAGCTCAGGAGTTCAAGACAAGCCTGGGCAACATAGTGAGTCCTCATCTCTACTAAAAATTTTTCTAAAAATTGGCCAGGTGCGGTGGCTCACGCCTGTAATCCCAGCACTTTTGGAGGCCAAGGCAGGTGGATCACAAGGTCAAGAGATCAAGATCATCCTGACCAATATGGTGAAACCCCATCTCTACTAAAAATACAAAAAATTAGCTGGGCGTAGTGGCACATGCCTGTAGTCCCAGCTACTCATGAGGCTGAGGCAAGAGAATTGCTTGAACCCGGGAGGCGGAGGTTGCAGTGAGCCAAGATCGCACCACTGCACTCTAGCCTGGTGACAGAGCGAGGTTTCGTCTTGAAGAAAAAAAAATTTTTTTTTAATTAACTGAGCATGGTGGTGCATGCCTGTAGTCCCAGCTACTTGGGATGCTGAGACAAGAGGATTGCTTGAGCCCAGGAGGTTGAGGTTGCAGTGAGCTATGATTGCGCCGCTGTGCTCCAGCCTGGGCAACAGAAACCTGTCTCTGGGAAAAAGAAAAAAAAAAGAAGTACAGGCTCTGCAGCCTGTGAGCCAGAATCCAAATCTGAGAAGACAGGTGTTGAGATTAAGACTGATGCTGCAGCCAAACTACCAGGGTCCAAATCCTGCATCTGCCTCTTCTCACCTATGGGACCTAGCGCACATTCCTCACCTGACTTCAATGTTCTCATCCATAAAGCGCAGGGAATACACCTCTCTTACAGGGTAACTATAGACATTCAACAAGTTAGCATACACAAAGCACTTAGTTTAGTGTTTAGCACTTGTTGATGTGATGTAAATGTTAGTTACTAAAACATTATAACAACAGTGCTGGGGCGGTGGCTCACGTCTGTAATTCCAGCGCTTTGGGAGGCCAAGGTGGGTGGATCATTTGAGGTCAGGAGTTCAAGACCAGCCTCGCCAACATGGCAAAACCCCGTCTAAAATACATATATATATACAAAAATTAGCCAGCCGTGGTGGCACACGCCTGTAATCCCAGCTACTCGGGAGGCAGAGGCAGAAGAATCACTTGAACCCGGGAGGCGGAGATTGCAGTGAGCCAAGATAGTGCCACTGCACTCCAGCCTGGGAGACAGAGCAAGACTCTGTCTCAAAATAATACATACATACATACAAACATTATAACGACAAATTGATAACCTTGTGGAATTATCCTAAACTCTCTCAGCCTCTGTTTCCTTAGAGTAAAAGAAGACTAATGAGAGTAACTCATGGGATCTTTTTGAGGATTAAATGACAACATACGACATGCCTAGGACAGTGTCTGGCACCTAATAAGTGATCAATAGATTTAGTTTTTATTATTACAGTTTTACTCGAAGCAAAGCAATAATTTTTAGATTTAGATTCAAAGTTCAGACCAATTGATCATAATCTATAACCTGATAAATACTGAAGCCACTTCATAAGAGAGACTGAATTGACTTGGAAAGTGCAACTTTCAACGCTTTGTCAGTGTATTTATTCGGGGGGGTGGGGATTAGTGAGGGAGGTTGAGGAAAAAGAGGAGTATCTGTCTTTCATAGACTGAGTCTGACACCTCTGATCTCTCCTGCTTTCCACTTATAATTTGGCCCTAGAAGAGCTAAGTGGATGATGCCTGAACTCACCTCTCGGGCTGCTGAGTGCAGTGAGAGGGTAAGAGGAGTTCACAGTCCTTAGACAAAGCCTCCTTCTACTCACTTCATCCCCTGGCAGAGAAAAGCAGGGGTGAGGGAACCTTAGAATTCAATCATCAGGGGAAAATGTTGGAGGGGTGGCTATAGAGGGGATGATGAGAAAATGTGTTTCTTGACCAGTGATTCAGAATTTTTATGACTAGCTTTGGCTAGTTACATTATTAGAAAGTATACGGTCTGAAGCAGAGAGCTTCTGCTTGCCTGGAACATTAGGATGTCCAGCTTGTTCTAATACCAACCCACAATGATCCCAAATGGACAGGAATGTTTATAACTATTTTTGTCAGCAGCAGTTCTTCAGTCCCGGAGTCTGGGCCTTTTGTGTGTCTCCCTGGTGCTCCGGGATTGATGGCTTTCCTCCTACCCACTCTTCTAGTGGGTTACACAGGGCATCGAGGGGCAAGGGGACTGGTCTAATGAAGAGCTCAGCCTTTTGGAGCCAGAGAAGCCCGAGTTTGAATTCCAGCCTTACTACTTGTGTGCACTGTTAAGTGACTTTATCTGTACCTGAATTTCCTCATCTCTAAAATGGGGACAGTTATATCTACTTAGGACATTTAGCGTTAAGAATAGTATATTTGGCTGGGCGCAGTGGCTCACGCCTGTAATCCCAACACTTTGGAAGGCCGGACTGCCTGAGCTCAGGAGTTCAAGACCAGTCTGGTCAACAAGGTGAAACCCCGCCTCTACTAAAATACAAAAAATTAGCCGGGCGTGGCAGCGTGCGCCTATAGTCCCAGCTACTCATGAGGCTGAGGCAGGAGAATTGCTTGAACCCAGTAGGCGGAGGTTGCAATCAGCCGAGATCGCACCACTGCACTCCAGCCTGGGCAACAGAGTAAGACTCTGTCTCAAAAAAAAAAAAAAAAAAAAAAAAAGGAATAGTATATTTAAGTGACTAGGACAGTGCCTGGCACATCATAGGTTCTCAGTAGGTGGTCATTCTTATTATGACTTAGAGCCTGGCACAATCTGGGGAACTTGGTGATACCCAGACAGAACCAGAGAGGCATTCTCTGTTTTCCTGTTAATAAAAATATTTTTAAAACCTTTATTTTTTAAATTATAAAAGTAGAGCACACTATACATTTTAAAGAAGAAAATCAAATACAGAAGTGTGTAAAGTGAAGGCATCTGGTTGCTGGGCTTGCTCTCCTCCCCGCTTTTCTACTGTGTCCTAGCCCAGTTCTGGAGCTCTTGTTTTCATTCTGGGGTAAGAGAGCCCCCAGGATGGCCTCCAGTGGTCCCTGGTTCCTGGTATTCACACGCTTGTGTAGTCCCCTCCCACTTTGTGCCAGCATTGGTCTGTGTGATGGATAGGATATGGTAAAAGTGATGATGGCCCTTCTAAATTAGGTTATAGAGACTGCGGTCTCCAGGTCTCCATCTCTTTTGGGTCGCTGGCTCTGGAGGAAGCCGGCTGGCTTCCCAGGCGAAGCCCCTGTGGCAAAGAACTGAGGTATCCGGCCAACAGCCTGCTGGATAACTGAGGCCCACTAACAACAGGAGTGCCATTGGAGGTGGATTCTTCAGCTCTGGTCTGGTCTTGAGATAGCTACAGCCCATTGATGTAACCTCCTGAGGGGCCCTGAGCCACAACCTCCCAGCCAGGCTGCTCCCCTCCCAGACCCTGACCCTCAGGATGTCTGAGACAATAAATGTTCATTGTTTTAAGCTGCTAAGTTTTGGTGTAATTTGTTATGCAACAATAGATAACTAATAGATGTCTTTTGTCTATTTTTTATTTAGTTTTTTTTAAAAACAATTTAAGGAAGCTCTCTACAGATAGATAGATAAATAGATATCGGCCCTTTGTTATATGCTGCAGATACTTTTCAAGCTTATTTGTCTTTCAAATTGCTTTTTGGTGTTTTTACTGAATAGAAGTATAGTCATATCTGTCAGTCTTTTCCTTAATGTTTTCTAATAATGTTTAGAAAGCTCCTGCACAATAATATAAGGAAAAGTACATCTGTTATTATCTACTACCTTTATCATTTTATTTATTTAATCCCTATGGGACTTATTTTTGTGAACATGTGAAGTACAGAAGTAAATTTATTTTCCCCATCAAAATGTAGCCAACTGCCTGAATATCATATGTTGAGTTTTCTTTCCTTTCCTCACTGACTTAAAATGCTACCTTTGCCATATATGGGATTCTTATCTGGACCTACTCTAGACTTCTTGTTCTATGTCATTGATCTTTTCACTTTCCCTCTCATCTGGTAGTGCTACAATGTTTTGGTAATCGTAGCTTTACAGTATGTTTTGAATCTGGTAGGTGAAAATTCCCATTTTCTTTTTTTTTCAAAAATTTCTTAGCTCCTCTTAGCTTAGCCTTTACCATTCCAGATGAATGTTGGGACTTTTGTAGGAATTTTATTAAATGTATAGGTTAATTTAGCAAGAACTGATATTTTTTCATATTCTTCCATAAAGCAACATAGCATTCTTCTCCATTTATGAAGGTCTTGCTAACTTCCTATTAGACTTATTCCTAGAGTTTGTTGTGACAGCACTGTGCTAGACACTAGTTCTTACCCCCAGCGAACTTATGGTCTTACAATTAGTACAAATAATTTATTAATTGCAACTGTGATAAGAATTACAAAGGAAAGTCCAGGGAACCGTGATTACAGGGAGGCCTGATGGGATTGGGGAGGTTAGAGGTTTCTCTACAGGGACATTTAAACTACTCCTTTTAGTTCTGGATTACTAGGAGTTTTTGTTTTGTTTTTAAAAGCAGATTAACTTGTTTTTCAGTTTCTACTGAGAAGATTATATAGTTTTAAAATTTTCATTTCTTAATGTCATTCTAATATTGAACTATTGTGTTTCTGAAATAAGCTCTACTTGATTGTCATTTTTGTTTTTAATGTATAATTAGGTTCTTTTTTTTTTGAGACAGAGTTTGGCTCTTGTCGCCCAGGCTGGAATGCAGTGGCGCAATCTCAGCTCAATGCAACCTCTGCCTCCCAGTTCAAGCAATTCTTCTGCCTCAGCCTCTTTTAGAGAAAAGGGCAAAGCTAGAAACCCTATCCAAAATTAGAAGCCAGAATTAACCTGCGTCATTGACAAAGGATTTCAACATTTTTCTTCTAAAATTTATACCTAATTGTTATAGGAATAGAACTCTGTTCACATAATCACCATTTTTTTTTCTTTTTTCTTTTCTTTTTTTTTTTTTTTTTTGAGATGGAGTCTTGCTCTGTTGCCATGCTGGCATGCAATGGCACGATCTCGGCTCACTGCAACCTCTGCCTCCCAGGTTCAAGCGAGGGTTCAGCCTCCCGAGTAGCTGGGATTACAGGCACCCACCACCACACCCAGCTAATTTTTTTTATTTTTAGTAGAGACAGGGTTTCACCATGTTGGTCAGGCTGGTCTCGAACTCCTGACCTCAGGTGACCCGCCAGCCTCGGCCTCCCAAAGTCCTGAGATTACAGGCATGAGCCACTGCACCTAGCCATCCTCACCAATTTTATGTAAAATTGCTTTGTTATCTTTGTGTACAATGGGTTTGCTTTATTTCAGAAAGTAAATTCTGACCATGCTTGCATATTGATTTTTTTTTACCTTTATGCTTGCTTCTAATTAAAGGTGGGGGAAGGGGATTATGGAGCCACTTGCATAAACAAGGGTTCCAGCAAAATGATGCAAAACTTGATTTCTATAACACTTGAGGATTTTATCTTCAATGTGTAGTGTTCAAATATACCATTTTATTTTACTTTTATATTTATAGAGATGGGGTCTCACTATGTTACCCAGGCTGATCTTGAATTCCTGGGCTTAAGCAATCCTCCCATTTCAGCCTCCCAAAGTACAAATGTAACATTTTAAAGAATACAACCTGTAACATTCTATTCTATATTTCACGCTTTAAAAGGATATTGGAAAGAAAAGATACATACAGAATAATGAAGAAAGTTATTTTTTACTAATGTTGCAAGGAAATGCCCACCAGGTTTCACCAAATTAACACTGATTGTGTCAAGTCACTTAACTGCTCTAAGTCTCCATTTCTTATTCATGGGTAAAATGAGATGTTGACATTAGAGGATCCCTATGGGTCCTCCTAGCCCTAAACATCTCGAGTACAAGTATCAGAACCCGTACTGCATGGGTACAATGAAGGTGTTACGATGAGCACCTTTTAAAATTTTGTTTCATTTGGTGTTCAGTTTTTATAACAATTTTCTTCTGATGTAATAGGTGAGATAAGGTTTTACAACTAGATTCCTCAGTAGGAGTATTTCCTATATATCAATGAAAAGAATGGAGAGGGGAAATAAAACAGCTATGGTGCCCAACAAGAACACTACATGGCCAAAAGCATTCCACAGCGAGCGCGCGCTACGATAGGAGAGAATCATTGGAAAGGAAACTAGATTTCCACCATTTTATTCTTTTTCCTTTCTTATCCTCTCCTACAGAGAAAAGCCCAGTTTTAATCTTCACTTAATCCCCAAAGAGATAGCAAAAGCCACAGCAATCCTTACACATTTTTTTTGTTATAAAGAAATGGACAAAATATTGACAAGGCACTGTTTTTCCACACATATCACCAATCTTATTTAGCACTGTGGATGCCGTTTTGCAAATGTCACCCACCATCAGCCCTCGCTCCGCTGCGGCCGCCACTCGCCGCCACCCACTTTTAAAAATCCATTCATGTGGTGCCTTTCATCCAAACCCATAAACAACCATTTCCTCCCTGCCACCGTGGTCTGAGCTCCCGAAGCGTTCGGCCACGGCAGGGCAGAGCCCCGCAACCAGGGAGATTGCAGACTGCGGCGCTGGGCGGCGGACACCGAAGCTCTCCTCATCTCCCGAGTGATTTCAGGGGTTCAGGATCCTGATAAGTCCCCGCCCTGGAAGCCAAGCCCCGGGAAGGGGAGGAGTGAGGTGGCCCCGGCCCAGCAGAGCTCAGCCTCCGGAAAACAGGCGTCTCCTCCCCAGGCCAAGCCACTGCGCCTAGTCTCCCAGGTGGGTCTCGCAGCCAGGGACCGCGGCGCGGCCCGGGGCGGGGGAGGAGGACGCAGGCCAGGATCTCGCTCGTCACGACTCACCCAGGAGGGTGGGGAGGAGGAGGGACTGCAGGAAAAGGGAGCGGAGTCTGGGCGCTCAAGGAATAAAGACGAGGAAGGGGAGAGGGGACTGAGGGGAAGGTAACGGGGGTGAGGATGGGGGTGCGGGGGAGGGTGACGGGCTGCAGGGGGTAGAGGCGAGATGAAGGAGAGGGACGGGTGTTGGGGGTGAAAGAGGGGGAAGGAGGGTGGGATGGGGGAGAGGCGGGATGGAGAGAGTGGGGTGAGGGAGGGGTGGAGGAAGGGGGAAGGATGGGGCGAGGGGAGAGAAATGGGGGTGAAGGGAAGAGAGGGAGGGAGGGATGGAGGGGAAGGAGGATGCAGGGAAAAGGGAGACAGGGACCGCGAGGAAGGAGGATGGCGAGGGAGGAGGGCGGGCTGCAGGGGGAGGGCTGGGGTGAAACATGAGGTGAGGGAGGGGAGAGCGGGGCAAGCCTTCCTCTCGCGCGGGCGGCGCCTGAATAACGGGACCCCACGGACCAGGAGCCTCAGGCCCGGGGCGCAGGGCCGGCAGCCCGCTCGGAGGCCTGGGCGCTGCCGGCAGGGGCCGCGCGGGGCTCCTCGGGAGCCGCAGTCCCCGCCTGCTGGAAGGATCCCGGCTCCACTTACTCTCTCCGACAACAGCTTTGAGGCCAATGGGGGCCATGGCGCTGCGCGAGTCTCCCGGCTCCGATCTCCTCGTCCCGCGACGCCTGCGGACCCCGCCGCCTCCTCAGGTGGGCGCGCTGGGCCAGCCGCAGCTCTCCGCCCCGCAGCCGCGCTAGGGACCGACTGACGCGCGGACTGGGCGCGGGGGCGCGGCGCGAGCCAGAGCGAGGCTGCCCCGCCGCCGGCGCGCGCGGGGGCGGGGCAAGCCGGGGGCGGGGCCTCGCGCCGGCCGTTGGCGTCACCCACTCGCCTCCGCCAATCGCACTGCGGCCCGGAGGCTCAACCCCGCCCCCCGAGATGCGGCTGGGCGCCAGGCGGCCGCTGGCTGGTGCGGAGCCGCGCCCTCCCCCTCACCTCACGCGCCGCGCGCGCCCGGGGCGCAGGGTACCCAGGCCTCCTCTTTCCCGTCGGTGCTGGGATCCCTGGCCACAGGCTACCGACGCGCTCCATCTGCCTGAAACCCCGCTCGGGTCCTGTCTTTCCTCTTTCTGGGAGCTTCCGTTTTTTCCTGCCCACGGAAGGAGCTTGGAGGCGAGATCTCTTACTAGCAGCGCCCACTCCCAGCCGCAGCGAAGCCAGGGTGAATCCACCCACAGCACCTCCCTGTCGCTGGGTACCTGCATTCGTGCATTCACCAACACTGAGTTCTTGTGTCAAACTCCGTGCCAAGCACCTCGCGGGCATCATCTCATCAAATCCTCCAATCACTGGGCATTGCTTTTTATTTTGTTTTGTTTACACTCCTCTTAGCTCATACCTATGGGCATTATTTTTAATCTCCATTTTCCGGTGGAAAAACCAAGTCTCGGAGATATTGGAAATAGCACTAGACTTACCTTCAGGCAGCGTAGCATCCGTTAGCTAATGTTCAGTATTCTGTCACTTTTATGTGTAAGCCGTTATTCTGTCCCCTGGAGCTACGACCATGTACAAGGCAGAATCTCATCTTGCTTATGGGCGCTCAGAGTTTAGAAGTTTCTAAGCCCCAAATCTGATACGAATATACTGTGGGACCGACTCTGGTCTCAGTATCTCCTTCCTGGAGTCCGTATTTATTAAAGCGGTCCCAGGTCAGTTTTTGCTCAACTTTCTTTGTTAATAGGAGATACTGCTTTTCTTTTTCTTTTTTCTTTTCTTTTCTTTTTTTTTTTTTTTTTTTTTTTTTTTTTTTGAGGCAGAGTCTCGCACTTTCGCCCAGGCTGGAGTTCAGTGGCTCGATCTTGGCTCACTGCAACCTCCGCCTCCCAGGTTCAAGTGATTCTCCTGCCTCAGCCTCAGAGTAGCTGGGATTACAGGCGCCCGCCACCATCGCCTGGCCAATTTTTTGTATTTTTAGTAGAGACGGGGTTTCACTATGTTGGCCAGGATGGTCTCAGATACTACTTTTGAAATATGGGGGAGGGCTTGCTTTTGGCTTCAAAGTAACACAAATTGAGCCAATTAAAAATAAAAAAGAATAAGAGAGCTAGTAGTAGTAAAAATCAGTGAACATTCATTAAATATTTGGAATACATTTGAGCTAGGTTTTTAATCTTCATATTATTAAGATGCATAATAATATTTTACAGATGAAGAATTGAGATTCAGAGTGGATAAGTGCTTTATTAGTAAATGACAAAGGAAAGATCCAATTCTAGGATCTGAATTCTGAACCATTATCTTATACTGAGCAAAAACAAAAAACAAAAAACAAAAAACCTGCTGAGAACTAAGGAGGAATTTTCCAAAGTCACAGAAGCCAGTGGTGGCTGAGCCAGGACAAGAGGCTACATGTCCTACTTCAGTCGCCAGCCCCAAGTCAAGCAGATTTGACCATCTTCTCACCACCACCCCAATCTACCCCCAACAGAACCTTCAGATGGGTTCAGAGAGAGAGGAGGCGTTAATGTGTCAACTCTCTATGTCTGGGCCTTGCCTTTTGCCCAGGAAACATATTGATAGCCCCTGTGTGTATTTGGAGGAGGAGATAGTGTGTAAACATGGGGAGACCTAGGATGCACTGGTAATGCCACATGCTTCCTCCTTCGCCAGCTGGCACATATCAGCAGAGACTCCACAGTTTCTGTATCTGCCATGAAAATATAAATTTGAAGCTGGAAAATTCCTTAGCAGCTAAGGAGTAGGAATGGCCAAGGGCTCCTCTTGTCACTCATCCAGTCAGTGGGTCAACAAGCGTTTATTGAGTGCGGCCAAAGTCTGGGCCATGTGCTGTGGGTAAGATGGAGACAATTTCTGTCCTCAAGGAGCTGGTATTCTAGCTGAGGGACAGACAGGAAACAAGGTGTTACAGCATTGAGTGACTGTTCTGACAAGTGCTGAAGCAGATGGAGAAGGGGCTGTAAGAGTGGATAGCAAGGCACCTGGCCCAGTGGACTGGCTGGGGTACAGTCAGAGCTGGCTTCCTGAGATGGGAAAACGGTGGTAAGAGGGACCTGGGAGAGTGTCTAGGCAGATATACAGTAGGTACAAAGACCCAGCGGCAGAAAGGAGTTTGGCTCTTCCAGGAACAGAGAAGGGACATTGTGACTAGAGAGGAGAAAGCCTGAGGGGTAGGGCTGGAGGAAGAGCCCCCAGGGTAGGCCTGGATGCCAGGATCCAGGACTTCTTAGTGGCCTGGGATCCGTGTTCAGGGACCTTCTCAAAGGTCACAGCAAATAATATATAGTAGCTTCTTATTTTCTGTAGAAGGAAGGACAAAAAAAAAAAAAAAAACAAAACAAAAAAAAGCCTTTCCTGCAGATGTGTACCTGAGATGTTCACTGGGGATGACAAAAATCAGAATGGATGTTTTTTTAAAGTAGCATGATTGGAAGATAGAGCGGGGTGACAGACTGTGAATCCACCCAGGAATTCAGGTTGGGAGCGCTGATTTGGCATCCAAGACCTGGTTGGAGACCTCTTGACATCTTTGAGCCTTGTGTCCCCATCTGTGAAACGGGGACAAATAAAACTTCCAGGCCTCTCTCCCAGGGTGACTGAGAAGCCAGCAAAATGATCCACTTGAAAGGGTAAAATACGGCCAGGCATGGTGGCTCACGCCTGTAATTCCAGCACTTTGGGAGGCCGAGGCGGGCAGATCACAAGGTCAGGAAATCGAGACCATCCTGGCTAACACAGTGAAACCCCGTCTCTACTAAAAATACAAAAAATTAGCCGGGCGTGGTGGTAGGCGCCTGTAGTCCCAGCTACTCGGGAGGCTGAGGCAGGAGAATGGCGGGAACCTGGGAGGCGGAGCTCGCAGTGAGCCGAGATGGCGCCACTGCACTCCAATCTGGGCGACAGAGGGAGACTCCCTCTCAAAGAAAGAAAGAAAAAAAGAGTAAAATACTCCCTCAGCTATCACACAATACTACCCTTTGCTCTGTATTCTTAATTTGCATTTACTGGGAGTTTGATACATGCCAGGCACTGTGCAAAAAAAGCTCTCATGAATTTTCACTGGATTCTCACTACTGCCCTATGAGGTCGGTGCTATTATTATCTCCACGTTCCTGGGGCGCAGAGAGATCAAGTCACTTGTCCAAGGTCACACAGCTCTAACGGCTGAGCCAGGACTCTGACTTCCTGATGACCAGGGGAGAACGTCGAGCGCCCAGGGTGCAGCTCCAGTGCCCAGACCTAAGGTGAGGTTTGGCTGTGTGGACAGCTCGTTGGGAGAGTATCAGCAAAGAGAATCAGCACCCTCGGGAGTTTGGACCCAGGCGGGTCCGCGCCCCCGACCCGGTCCCAGCGCCAGGGCCAGCCGGGGTAGCAGCCGCAGGATGCGCGGGGTTGGTCGGCGGCACCAGCCAGCGGGCGCGCAGGTGCGTCCACAGCTGCGCATGCGCGGCCTGCAGCCTCCGCAGAGCCGGGTGCTGGCCCAGCGCAGGGGTGGGAAGAGTACTGCGATTTACGCACGGGTCACGTGGCGGCGGGGAGTGCTCCAGGTGGGCCGACCGCTGCGGAGAGGAGCGGGGGAGAGGCTGGCGATCAGGACAGATGGAGAGGGAGCGGCCTGGAGAGACCGAGAACGAGGAGACAGAAATAGCAATGGAGCCAACCAGCGGGAGAGAGGCCACCCCTCCACCGGACCTCCTGAGTCCTTCACGCGGTATCACAAGCTTGTCCCCTCCCTGCACAACTGGAGCCTGTTGCAGAGCCCTGGGGCCAGTCTGGGCCGCTTCTCCGACAGCCTCGGGCTGCACCTCCCTCCCTTCTGCTTTTAAGCTGCATCATCAGCTGCGGTGTTCTGTGTTCACCCACATCCCCTCCTCCTAGCCTCTGGGCCGTTTGATTCTGCGACACTCCTTTAGGAGCAGTTTCTAAAGAATTCAACAAGATAATATTTATAAGGTACTTTATCCAGGACTGGGAACCTGGTAAGGCTCAAGTGAATGTTAGCTATTAATATCCTTCTTAAAAATGACACATCATTAGGCTGAATTAAATCACTGCTAAATAGATAGGTATGGGTTATGGAGAGTTCAGTCTGTGTCCCGCTTATTTGCTGCTAGATTCATTGGCAAGAATGAAAAGTAATTGTTTCTGTCGCTGTCACCCCCACCACCATGCATACATCTACAAAGAGCAGCTGGGCCTGGAGTACTTAAGTTTGAGACATCCTTGCACTCAAGAGTGAACCGTTTTTGAGTTTGAGGCCACACTGCAGTATCAAAAAGGCTTTGTTTTCAAAAGCCCAGGAGAGGGCCTCAACTTCAAGGGACCGCAGAGGCCAGGGTAATGTAATACCACAGATAGTAGCCAGCTGCAGAGCACATGACTTGCCCAGAGGAGTAGTGCTTGCTTAGCTCCAGTCAGTGGTTTCCCTGCAGCAACTGAGGGTCTAGAATGTAGAAATTATGCAACATCTCCCAATGTTTAGGTGTTGCAATGGATTTTTTTTTTTTTTTTTTTGAGTCAGAGTCTCACTCTGTCGCCCAGGCTGGAGTGCAGAAGCATGATCTCTACTCACTGCAAGCTCTGCCTCCCGGGTTCAACCGATTCTCCTGCCTCAGCCTCCCGAGTAGCTGGGATTACAGGTGTGTGCCACCTGGCTAATTTTTGTATTTTCAGTAGAGTCAGGGTTTCACCATGTTGGTTGGCTAGGCTGGTCTCAAACTCCTGACCTCAACTGATCCTCCCGCCTCGGCTTCCCAAAGTGCTGGGATTTCAGGCATGAGCCACTGCGCCAGGCCAGCAATGGATTTTTTTTTTTTTTAACCTGTAACACAGCCCAGGAAATCCTGAGAACATGTGCCCTGCATTTTAAAAGATGATAACACCACACTGCCCAAACAGAACACATATGAGGACCACATTCATCCCCGCGCTACCTGCATGTAAACTCTAAGGAACTGGAATCCTTCCTCCCAAAGTGAGAGGTCGGATTCCCCCAAGGGCAAGAAGAAGGAGCAGCAGATGCCCAGAGAGGCACTGATGCTCCTCCTCTCATATAAAGTCCCCTGGTGAGCAGGGCTTTGGACTAGGGGTGGGGATGGTGTAAATGCCTGGGCACCAAGCACTAGGACTTCAGTCTCTAGGGCCACAGAGGGGGTCCTTCTGCTTAGCCAGGCTCTGGGGCAGTGCATATAGCCAGTAGGGCCAGCCTCTTTTTCTTGGATTGGTAAGCCCTGTAGTGGAAGCTTCTGAGAGTGGCTGATGTGGGCAGCTCAATTTTGCCCAGACTGTGTAAGCCCTTGAGTCCTGGTACAAGCCCAGGAACAAAGAGGAGTCACTGGGGGAAAAAAGCCAGACATTAGAAGTGGGGGCTTAAAGCAGGTTTTATCCAATTAAAAAAGAAAGAAATATGGCATTTTTTACATCTTGGGTATCACAGAAAAATTCATACCTTTCAACAGATTAAATTATTATCAAGGCTGGGCATGGTGGCTCATGCCTATAATCCCAGCACTTTGGGAGGCTGAGGCAGATGAGTTGCTTGAGCCCGGGAGTTCGAGACCAGCCTGGGCAACATGTTGAAATCCCATCTTCACTAAAAATACAAAAATTAGCTGGGCATGATGGTGCATGCATGTAATCCCAGCTAACTGGGAGGCTGAGGTGGGAGGATCACTTGAGCCCTGGAGGTCGAGGCTCCAGTGAGCCAAGGTTGCATCATGGTGCTCCAGCCTGGGAGACAGAATGAGACCCTGTCTAAAAAATAAATAAATAAATAAATAAATAAATAAATAATTGTCAAATCCCAGAGGAAAGAGTTTTCATTCCAACTGGGGAAACTGTTTTGTTCATATATGTTTTGGCATTTCAGCTGAGCCTGGAGGCTGAGAAGAGAAAGGGGTTCAAATCCAATTTTTGTTTGTTTGTTTGTTTATTTATTTATTTATCTTTTGAGATGGAGTCTTGCTCTGTGGTCCAGGTTGGAGTGCAGTGGCATAATCTTGGCTCACTGCAACCTCTGCCTCCTAGACTCAAGCAATTCTCATACCTCAGCTACCTGAGTAGCTAGGATTACAGGCGTGTGCCATGACACCCGGCTAATTTTTGTATTTTTAGTAGAGATGGGGGTTTCACTATGTTGGCCAGGCTGGTCTTGAACTCCTGACCTCAAGTGATCCACCCACTTCGGCCTCCCAAAGTGTTGGAATTACAGGCATGAGCCACCGCATCTGGCCCAAATCCAATTTTTTTAAAAAGAGTATAAATAGGCCAGGCGAGGTGGCTCATGCCTGTAATCCCAGCATTTTGGGAGGCCGAGGCGGGTGGATCACTTGAGGTCAGGAGTTCAAGACCAGGTTGACCAATATGGTGAAACCCCGTCTCTACTAAAAATACAAAATTACCTGGGCATGGTGGCACATGCCTGTAGTCCCAGTTGCTCAGAAGGCTGAGGCTGGAGACTCACTTGAACCCAGGAGGCAGAAGTTGCAATGAGCCGAGATTGCACCACTGCACTCCAGCCTGGGCAACAGAGTGAGACTTCATCTCAAAAAACAAACAAACAAACAAACAAAAATTAGCCTGGCTTGGTGGCACATGCCTGTAATCCCAACTACTTGGGAGGCTGAGGCTGAAGAATCACTTGAACCTGGGTGGCAGAGGTTGCAGTGAGCTGAGATTGTGCCACTGCACTCCAGCCTGGGCAACAAAGCGAGACTCAATCTAAAAAAAAAATTATTATTTGTCAATTAAAAATAATAAATAAAACATCTTTAAAAAAAGACTAGACCCATGCTTCCCAAACTATGCATAGATGCACCCTTGTGTACCACACTGCATTTACAGGAGCATGATAGAATATTTAAAATTTTTACTTTATCTTTTTTTTTTTGAGACAGGATCTCACTCTGTTGCCCAGGCTTGAGTGCAATGGCATGATCATAGCTGACTGCAACCTCAAACTCCTGGGGTCAAGCGATCCTCCCACCTCAGCCTCCTGGGTAACTGGGACTATAGGTGCATGCCATCATACCCAGTTAATTTTTTTTTTTGAGACGGAGTCTCGCTCTGTCACACAGGCTGGAGTGCAATGGCGCGACCTCAGCTCACTGCAACTTCCACCTCCTGTGTTCAAGCGATTCTCCTGCCTCAGTCTCCTAAGTAGCTGGAATTACAGGCGCAAACCACCACACCTGGCTAATTTTTATATTTTTAGTAGAGATGGGGTTTCATCATGTTGGTCAGGCTGGTTTCAAACTCCTGACCTTGTGATCCGCCCACCTCGGCCTCCCAAAGTGCTGAGATTACAGGCGTGAGCCACCATGCCCGGCCATTTTTTTGTATTTTTTATACAGACAGGGTCTCACTATGTTGCCCAGGCTGGTCTTGGACCCCTGGCCTTAAGCAATCCTCCTGCCTTAGCCTCCCAAAGTGCTGAGCTTATGGGTGTGAGCCACTGTGCCCAGCCAAATATATATATATATATTTTTTTTTCTTTTTTTCTTTTTCTTTTTTTTTTTTTTTGAGACAGAGTTTTGCTCTTTTGCCCAGGCTGGAGAGAAGCGGTATGATCTCAGCTCACTGCAACCTCTGCCCCCAAGGTTCAAGCGATTCTCCTGCTTCAGCCTCTTTGCGTAGCTGGGATTATAGGCGCCCGCCACCACGCCTGGCTAATTTTTGTATTTTTACTAGAGACGGGGTTTCACCATGTTGGCCAGGCTGGTCTCGAACTCTTGACCTCGGGTGATCCACCTGCTTCGGCCTCCCAAAGTGCTAGGATTACAGGTATGAGCCACCATGCCCAGCCCAGCTGAATATTTCAAACTTTGGAGGGAAACACAATTATATTCACCTTTGGGTGAACAGTGTGAAAACAGCTAGCTGGAAACAGTACACAATTTCAACATTAAGCTCTACAACTTTGCTTTCTGTGGTATTATATCTTTGTAATACTGGGTTTTCAGCAATCGATGTGATAATGTTACTGGAAAAGAGTCTCAACCCGGACCCTAAGAGAGGGTTCTTGCATGTCACCCAGGAAGGAATTCAAGACATGTTGCAGAGTGCAATGAGAAGAGGTAGTTTATTAAAAGCTACTCTGGGCTGGGCTTGGTGGCTCACACCTGTAATCCCAGCACTTAGGGAGGCCAAGGTGGGTGGATCACTTAAAGTCAGGAGTTTGAGATCAGCCTGGCCAACATGGTGAAACCCTGTCTCTAATAAAAATACAAAAGTTAGCCGGGCATGGTGGCATGTGCCTGTAATCCCAGCTACGCAAGAGGCTGAGGCAGAAGAATCGCTTGAACCCAGGAGGTGGAGGTTGCAGTGAGTCGAGATAGCACCGTCGTACTCCAGCCTGGGCAGCAAGAGCGAGACTCCATGTCAATGAATAAAAGAAAAGAAAAGAAAAAAGAAAGCTACTCTGTTACAGTCAGGAGGGTGTCCCCAGAAAGCAAGAGGAAGAATGCCCTGTCTTTGTTTAAGTTATTTCTTATAAGGGGTCTTGTCTACGTAAAAGCTAAGCCAAGCCTGTGTCTACGTGCGGGTGAGCAGACAGCATGACAAAATTTATTACTCTCTTGATTTAAACTATCCTTAACATTTTAGTGTGTGAGTACATCAAAGCATAACTATAATTATCTTGAAAGCATATATTGTTATGAGTATTGGTACATCCAAACTATAAACATCCCATGACTATGGGTCATGACCAGCAAGAAATGTGCTTTGTTAGTTTCAGGATGGAGCTGAATTTAAAATGGTGTCACTCTGGCTGTCCTAGGCTCTTGCTTCCCTAACAAAGAGAAGCAAATAACTCAACTGGTCGAGGTGGCTCAGACCTGTAATCGCAGCACTTTGAGAGGCTGAGGTGGGAGAATCACTTGAGCTCAGGAGTTTGAGACTAGCCTGGGCAAAATGGCGAAACCTCATGTCTACAAAAAATACAAAAATTAGCCAGACATGGTGGCACATGCCTGTAGTCCCAGCTACTTGGGAGTCTGCTAAGGTGGGAGGATAGTGTGAGCCAGGGAGGTTGAGGCTGCAGTGAGCTGAGACTGCATCACTGTACTCCAGCCTAAGCAACAGAGTGAGACTCTGTCTCAAAAAAAAAAGAAGAAGAAAATAATAAATTACTCATGAAAATCAATGTGGAACACAAAATGAGAGTGTTGGCCAGGTGTGGTGGCTTATACTTGTAATCCCAGTACTTTGTGAGGCTGAGGTAGGAGGATCGCTTGAGCCCAGGAGTTTGAGACCAGACTGGGCAACATGGCAAAATCCTGTCTCTGGGAAAAATACAAAAGCTAGCTATTCACTGACTATTTGGATGTTAAAAAAAAAAAAAAAAAAAAAAAAAAAAAAAAAAAAAAGGCCAGGCTCAGTGGCTTACGCCTGTAATCCCGGCACTTTGAGAGGCCGAGGTGGGCGGATCACAAGGTCAGGAGTTCAAGACCAGCCTGGCCAACATGGTGAAACCCCATCTCTACCAAAAATACAAAATTTAGCCGGGTGTGGTGATGTGCGCCTGTAATCCCAGCTACTCAGGAGGCTGAGGCAGGAGAATCACTTGAACCCGGGAGGCAGAGGTTGCAGTGAGCCGAGATGGTGCCACTGCACTCTAGCCTGGGTTACAGAGCAAGACTCCATCTTGAAAAACTAATAATAATAAAAAACAATAATAATAAAAGCTAGCTGAGCACGGTGGTGTGTGTCTGCGGTCCCAGCTACTAGTAAGGCTGAGGTGGGAGAATCACTTGAGCTGGGAGTTTCAGGCTGCAATCAGCCATGATCTCGCCACTGCACTCCAGCCTGGGTGACAGAGCAAGACCCTGTCTCAAAAAGGAAGGAAGGAAGGGAGGGAGGGAGGGAGGGAGGGAGGGAGGGAGGGAGGGAAAGAGAGAGAGAGAAAGAAAAGGAAGGAAGGAAGGAAGGGAAAGAAAGAAAGAATTGGTATCTAATGTGATTCCAAGATTCCAAGAAAGTACACATATCCCATTAACTAAGTAATCATGGTGTCTTACTCCATTTTGTGCTGCTAAAACAGAATCCCATAGACTGGGTAATTTATAAATAACAGAAATTTCTCATAGTTCTGGAGGCTGGGAAGTCCAAGATCAAGATACTGGCATGTGGTGAGGGCCTTCTTGCTGCATCATCCCATGCAGAAGGGCAAAGAGAGGGCAAAGAAAAGGGGAAAGAGAGAAAGGGAGAAGGAGAGGGGGAGGAAACAGAAGTTAGGTATTTTTTTTTTCTTTGTAGAGAAAGGGTCTTGCTATGTAGCCCAGGCTGGTCTCGAACTCCTGGCCTCAAGCAATCCTCCCACTTCAGTCTCCCAAAGTGCTGGAATTACAGGCATGAGCCATCATACCCAGCCCTGGTTGGCTATTTCTTTTGACCTAGGACTGCTATGAAAAGAAATCACTGAGACATAAAAGCTGCTATGTTTGGGCACCTCTGGCATAGGCAAAGAAAGTGTGGTGTAGTGGCATTTAGCAATATTTATTGAGCGCTTACTGTGTGCCAGTCATTAATCTAGGCAGTGGTGATACAGCAAGGAACAAAAGAGAAAAATCCCTGTGGACAAGAAGCTGACATTCTAGAGGGAAAAACAATAAATATCTCAGCAATTTATGTTAGGACGTAAAAAAATAAATATAAATAAAAACAATAATAAGTCAATAATAAACTTATTCATTAGTCAGGGCGTGGGCTGAGCGTGGTGGCTCAGGCCAATAATCCCAGCACTTCAGGGTATCGAGGTGGGAAGAGTGCTTGAGCCCAGGAGTTAGAGACCAGCCTGGGCAACATGGCAAAACCCTGTCTCAACAAAAAATGTAAAAATTAGCCAGGCATGGTGGCACATGCCTGTAGTTCCAACTACTCGGGAGGCTGAGGTGGGAGGATCACTTGAACCCAAGAGATCAAGGCTGCAGTGAGCCATGATGGCACCACTGCACTCCAGCCTGGGCGACAGAACAAGACTCTGTCTCTCCCTCTCTCTCTCAATATATATATACTCAAATGAGTATACATGTATGTACTCATTTCAACCTCACAATCATCCTATGAGGTAGTTACTATTATTATCCCCATTTTACAGATGAGGAAACAGCCATTTGTCCGGGGTCACACAGCCAATAAATGATAGGGCAGGGATTTAGACCCTGGTGTGTGGCAGATGAGGACGGAAGTGGAATGCAGTACGCTGTGGTTTGGACTTTATTTCTCTCTCCATGAGAAACCATGGAAGGTTTTCAAATATAGAAGTGACATTTAGGCCGGGCATGGTGGTTCATGCCTGCAATCCCAGCACTTTGGGATGTTTGTGAATAGCTACTGCACTCCAGCCTGGGCAACATAGTGAGACCCCGATCTCTTAAAAAAAAAAAAAAAGATATTGTGCATGAAGCACTCAGCACATAAGAGTACTCAGGAAGTGGTAGGTGTTATTCCTTTTTTTGTTTTTTTGTTTGTTTGTTTTTGAGACAGAGTCTCACTCTGTCACCAGGCTAGAGTGCAGTGGCACAAACTCAGCTCACTCGGCTCACTCTGCCCACTGAGGCGGGCGGATCACCTGAGGCCAGGAGTTCAAGAGCAGCCTGGCCAACATGGTGAAACCCCATCTGTACTAAAAATACAAAAATTAGCCGGGCATGGTGGCAAGTGCCTGTAATCCCAGCCACTTGGGAGGATGAGGCAGGAGAATGGCGTGAACCCAGGGGGCAGAGGTTGCAGTGAGCCAAGATTGTGCCGCTACACTCCAGCCTGGGTGACAGAGCGAGACTCCATTTAAATAATAATAAAAAAAGGCCGGGTGCGGTGGCTCACGCCTGTAATCTCAGCACACTGGGAGGCCGAGGCAGGCAGATCACGAGGTCAAGAGATCGAGACTATCCTGGCCAACATGGCGAAACCCCATCTCTAACTAAAAATACAAAAATTAGCTGGACGTGGTGGCACGTGCCTGTAGTCCCAGCTACTTGGGAGGCTGAGGCAAGAGAATCACTTGAACCTGGGCGGCGGAGGTTGCAGTGAGCCGAGATCGCGCCACTACACTCCAGCCTGGTGACAAAGGGAGACTCGGTCTCAAAAAAAAAAAAAAAAGTGGCATTTATTTATTCATCTGTTTAACATTCAATAAATAGTTATCATGTGCCTGTGTTAACAAACAAAAATAAAACACCAGTGTTTGTTCACCCGGTAAGTAACCGCAAGACTCGGGTTTTGATTAGTAGGAGTTTTATTACTTGGTGCAAGTAAGGAGGGCACTGGGAGTATTCTCCAAAGCAGTGCCTCCCTGAAGAAAAGTGACAGGAGGGTTTTAGGGGGCGACAGAGAGAGGAGAGGGTGCGTTGTGGCATGTAGAGGAGGGGTCCCAGTTGCGCAGAGTCAGTGTGTCATCATGCCAGCACATGAGTGTGGTGTTAGGGTAAGAAGCTATAGCTCCTCCGGGGTGGAGACTTCAGTGTACTAATGAGGAAAGTTCACTTGAGTTCATCTATAAGTTGCCAGGGTCTGTCAAGAGCTGGCTTAAACCAACAAGGTGGCCAAATTCTACGGGGTTTGGGGAGGAACAGGCCTCAGGGAGGAAGGCTGTAAAGCAGGCTGATTGCTCAAGTTGATTAAATTCCTAGAATCCCTGGGGTCCTGCTGCCTGCTTACACCCGCTGTGTGCCAGCACTCTGCCTGTGCCGAGCACTCCAGGTTGAACTTATAGACATAATCACGCCCTCGGGGACTTCCAGTAAGGCAGGGCTGAGCACTCTGCCAGGGGTGCAACAGAGGATCTAGGAGGACAGATGGGGACATGCAGCCCAGCCTGGGACCTCGAAAGGACTCTTGGGGAAAGGCAAAGTTGAAACCTAAAAGCTGAGCTAGAATTTGCAGGTTGAGGAGGGGCGTGGGAAGCAGAGAATATTCTGAGCAGAGGCAACAGCATGGGTGAGGAAGGCCCAGTGACCTGTGATCTGGCATGTTCACGTTGGCACAGCCTACTTGGCGGCAGACTGGAGGCTGCAACAGAGGTGAAGGTACCAGGGTGGGAGGCCCCTGGGAGGCTGGTGCAAGAGTTCAGGCTGGACACTGTGGAGTCCTACCCTGGGGGCTGGAATGGGAGGGGCTGAACGTAACTGAGACGAATAAGAATAATACCTCTTGGCCGGGTGGTGTGGTAGCTCACGCCTGTAATCCCAGCACTTTGGGAGGCCGAGGTGGGCGGATCATGAAGTCAGGAGATTGAGACCATCCTGGTCAATATGGTGAAACCCCATCTCTACTAAAAATACAAAAATTAGCTGGGCATGGTGGCACACACCTGTAGGTACTTGGGAGGCTGAGGCAGGAGAATCACTTGAACCCGGGAGGCGGAGGTTGCAGTGAGCCAAGTGAGCCGAGTTTGTGCCACTGTACTCTAGCCTGGTGACAGACCAAGACTCCGTCTCAAAAACAAAACAAAACAAAACAAAACAAAAAAATAACACCTGCCACTTCCTGAGAACTCTTATGTGCTGAGTGCTTCATGCACAATATCTAATATATATATATATATATGTATGTGTGTGTATATATATATATATATATATATATATATATATATATATATATATATATATTTTTAGAGATCGGGGTCTCACTATGTTGCCCAGGCTGAAGTGCAGTAGCTATTCACAAGCATAACCATAGCTCACTGCAGCCTGGAACTCCTGGCCTCAAGCATCGTCCCACCTCAGCCTCCAGAGTAGCTGGGACTACAGGTGGGTGACACTGCACCCAGCAGCACAAGATCTCATGATGATTTCTACGCATTTTCTAGGTGAGGAAACAGACACGACACATCCTGGGGCATGAATGTAGCAAATTCCAAGCCAAACCAGGACTTGAGCCTGGCGTTTCTGAGCCCAAAGCCTGGACTCCTTCCCACACAGCTCTGTTGCCTGTCTAGATTTTAGAGCCATTTTGAGCCAGACACAAAAGTATACATTATGATTCCATGCATATAAAGTTTTAAGAACAGTCTATGATAAAGGAAATTAGAATAATGATTGTCTCATGGGGATGGAGGGTGAAGAGTATTGACTGGGAAGAGAGATGAGAGGGACTTTGGAAACGCTCTGTGTCTTGATGTGGGTGGTGGTAACATGGTGCATATTTATGTAAAAATTCATGGAGCTGCTCACTTAAGAATTATATATTTTGGCTGGGCGCAGTGGCTCACGCCTGTAATCCCAGCACTTTGGGAGGCCGAAGCATGCAGATCACCTGAGGTCGGGAGTTTGAGACCGGCCTGACCAACATGGAGAAACCCCGTCTCTACTAAAAATGCAAAACTAGCCGGGCATCGTGGCGCATGCCTGTAATCCCAGCTACTCAGGAGGCTGAGGCAGGAGAATCGCTTGAACCCCAGGAGGCAGAGGTTGCAGTGAGCCGAGATTGTGCCATTGCACTCCAGCCTGGGCAACAAGAGTGAAACGCCGTCTCAAAAAAAAAAAAAGTGTGTATTTTATTGCATGCATATTATACTTTGATTTTTATTTTTAAAGAGCCTCCTGGAAGAAGTGCCATTAAAGGCAAAACTTGAAATCATTTTGGATAATTATTATAATCATATATGGAATGTATATGATATATCAGACATACCATTTATTGGGCACTTATGATACGTGAGGCACTGTCCTAAGTGCTATGCATAATATAATTTTTACGGTAGTCTTGGGGAGGTAAATATAGGCATGCCCATTTTACAGAGGAGAAAACTGAGGTTTCAAGAAAGCAGGGACAGGCTGGGCGTGGTGACTCACACCTGTAATCCCAGCACTTTGGGAGGCCGAAGCAAAAGGATCACTTGAAATCAGGAGTTCGAGGCCAGTCTGGCCAACATGGCGAAACCAATTCTCTACTAAAAATACAAAAATTAGCTGAGCGTGATGGTGTGCACCCGTAGTCCCAGCTACTTGGGAGGCTGAGGCAGGAGAATCACTTGAACCTGGGAGGCTGAAGTTGCAATGAGTGGAGATTGCGCCACTGCACTCCAGCCTGGGTGATAGAGCAAGACTCAGTCTCAAAATAAATAAATAAATAAATAATAAAAATATAGGCTGCCGTGTGTGGTGGCTGGCTCACACCTGTAATCCCACAGCTTTGAGAGGTCAATTTGAGATCACTTGAGCCCAGGTGTTCGAGACCAGCCTGGGCAACATAATGAGACACCCCCCCAACATCTCTACAAAAAATAAAAAGATTAGCCGGGTGTGGTGGCACATGCCTGTGATCCCAGCTACTCAGGAAGCTGAGGTGGGAGGATTGCTTGAGCCTAAGAGTTTGAGGCTGCAATGAGCCATGATCGTGATTATGTCACTGCACTCCAGCCTGGGTGGCAGAGCGAGACCCTGTCTCAAAAAAAAAATTAAACAAAATAAAATTTAAAATAATAATAATGGCCATGTGCGGTGGCTCACGCCTGTAATCCCAGCACTTTGGGAGGCCGAGGCAGGCGGATCACTTCAGGTCAGGAGTTCGAGGCCAGCCCAGCCAATATGGTGAAACCCCATCTCTACGAAAAACAAAAAAACTGGCAAGGTGTGGTGGCGCATGCCTGTAATCCTAGCTGCTTGGGAGGCTGAGGCAGGAGAATTGCATAAGCCTGGGAGGTGGAGGTTGCGGTGAGCCAAGATTGCGCCACTGTATTCCAGCCTGGGTGACAGCGAGACTCCATCTCAAAAATAAATAAATAAATAAATAATAATTATTTTATTTTATTTATTTTTTGGAGATGGAGTCTCACTCTGTCACCCAGGCTGGAGTGCAGTGGCATGATCTTGACTCACTGCAACCTCCACCTCCCAGTTCAAGCGATTCTCCTGCCTCAGCCTCCCGAGTAGCTAGGATTACAGGCATGTGACACCACACCTGGCTAATTTTTGTATTTTTAGTAGAGAGAGGGTTACACCATGGTGGCCGGGCTGGTCTCGAACTCCTAACCTCAGGTGATCCACCTGCCTCGGCCTCCCAAAGTGCTGGGATTACTGGCATGAGCCACCACGCCCGGCTGATAATAATAATTTTTAAATAAGTCAGAGACTTGTCTGGGTCATGCAGGAGGTGGCTTGGCCAGATTTCTAGCTGAGGTTCGTCTGACCCTACATCCATGCCCTTGCTACTGCTGCTCCCACCTTCCCATCAGGAAGTGGTGGGACTTGGGTTACAGAGGATGAGGAAGTAGAAACCAGAGCTGGCTCTGAGCAGAGACGGATGTACTCCTTCGAAGGGCATGTCTCCTTCCAAGGCTCTGTACCTAATTCTGTATTTGGAGTTTTGTTTTGTTTTGTTTTGTTTTGCTTGAGATGGACTCTTGCCCTGTCACCCAGAATGAAGTGCAGTGCTGCAATCTCTGCTCACTGCAACCTCTGCCTCCTGGGTTCAAGCAATCCTCCTGCCTCAGCCTCCTGAGTAGCTCGGATTACAGGCGCACCACCAC